>NC_000011.10:95938964-96566178 GCF_000001405.40 Homo sapiens
GCCTTATTTACCCTTAATTTTTAAAATTTAGATAATAAATTTCAATCAGCTGTAGAAAAGCACTTTGCTAAAACCTCTCAAGAAAACCCACAGTTTTATGGAAAGATGAAAACAGTAATGTATGGTGTGGTCCAAATGAATTGTTAACGTAGAGGAGAGGATATGCTTGTGTTCACACCCCCTCAGGTCCTCTTTGGATTCCAGAATGATCCATCAAACCATACCATGGCAAGGCTAGGACCCAACCCTGTACCAGAAATGAAGGAAATGACCCTGCAGGAACTGCAGCCCCAGATGATGCGGCTTCCTTGGACAACACAAGCCCCAGACATTACCCGGGGGATGCTGAAGAAGATGACTCAGAAGACTGAGTGAATCCTGCTCCAGAAACAGACACTATTCACTCCAGACAATTTGTTCCTTACTACGCTCTCTGTTGTACGTTGCAACTCGTGTAGGCTATTGATCCTTTTTATGCTCTTGCTTTGTCTTCAACCTGTACCTGCTACACTCTATTGGGCTCATATATTAGATCCGCCTTTCTTTCACCCTGTCACCTGGGCAGACACCCCCTTCCCAGCCTCTAATAACATAACTGCTTGGCTAGGAGGGATAGATTTGACCCCAGTGGGGTCCCTCATTAACGGCACACATTGGACTAAGGTGCCAGGTAACACTACATATCACTCCACTATCCTCCCACTGTGTTCAAGTTATAAAAGTTCTAACCCTTACTGTGTACCTGCCCAAACACAATTATGGCTACATCATGGCAAAGGAAATGCCTTAAGAGTCTTAGTTGCAGGTATCCTCAAACTGGGCACTGCAACCAATGCCGCTTTCCCAAACATTCTTCTGGCTAAAGAACAAAGCCAGGAAAGTAATGGATTCCACTTTAGCTGGGAGGTCTGTCACAGGGAACAGGCCCATAGCCTCCAATTAGGCAGTTATAGAATCTTAGACTGGAGCCTCCACAGCCATTTGCAGGGCAATCGTACTGATGTTTTGTGTCTATTATGGCATCAATGACAGTTTCATAGCCACATCCTGTTCCCCTATAATTTGGGCCGATAGGGGGTTGGAATGTCCCAGACCCCAAGTAGAGTCCATGCCACCCCAAGACAATTTATGGCACCTGGGATATCTTAGCATCCCCCCCTTAACACCTGGCATGGGACATATCATAATTCCAGTTACAATTTTTTTATACTATGACCTTTTTTCATAATCACTTTAATCAGTGCCTGATTTGCACTAGCCATCCATATGTTTTCCTTATGGAAAATCTTATTTTATTTTATTTTTTTTAATACAAAAATAAAAAATAGAACCTGCCATATGATCCAGCAATCTTACTTCCAGGAATATATCCAAAAGAATTAAAAGCATGGCCAGGATGGGCGTGGTGGCTCATACTTGCAATCCCAGCACTTTGGGAGGCCAAGGTGGGTGGATCACGAGGTCAGGAGATTGAGACCATCCTGGCTAACATGGTGAAACCCCATCCTTATTAAAAATACAAAAAATTAGCCAAGCGTGGTGGCGGGTGCTGTAGTCCCAGCTACTCAGGAGGCTGAGGCAGGAGAATGGCGTGAACCCAGGAGGAAGCTTGCAGTGAGCTGACATCTCACCACTGCACTCCATCCTGGGTGACAGAGCAAGACTCTGTCTCAAAAAAAAAAAAAAAAAAAGAATGGAAAGCAAGGCCACCACTTGCCTTTACAATAATGATCCAGACTTTGCACACCTATATTCATTTCCTCTCTGATTGACCAAAACTTTGTCATAGGCCACACCTACTGCAAGAGAAGCTTGGAAATACAATGTTTAGGTAAGTTTCTGTATTTGTTTTCTAGTGTCGTATAACAAATTATCACAACCTTAGCAGCCTAACATGACACACATTTATTATCTCATAATTGCTGTGGATCAGGAGTCTCGGCAAGATTTTGCTGGATCCTCTGCTCAGGATCTCACCAGGCTGAAATCAAGGTGTTGGACAGGCTGTGTTCTCATCTGGAGGCGTGATTGGAAGAATTTATTTCCAAACTTATTCAGGTTGTCACCAAATCTCTGCACCTTTGCCATGTAACATAATCTAATCACAGGAGTAAAATCTCATCACATTCGCAAGTCCTGCCACACTCATGGGGAGACAATATACAGGATATATACAGCAGTGTTGAGTCTTGTGGGTAATCTTAGAATTCAACCTATCTCAGTGCCCATTTGCCTAACTAAAAATTTTGTTACTGTGTAAGAAGCAGGAAATAGATTTTGGGAGAGGGCTAATAGTTGTCCTTCTTTTGGTAACAAAAAATCTGTGTGCCCCCTCTTAATAATACACAGAACATGGTTCTTCCTTCTCAAGGGCAAAACTATAAATCTCCTTAGTAATTCTTTACAGCTCAAGGCCCAGTATTTGTGGGAGCAATGCAGTTCTCGGCATCATTTCCAGATATGGCTTCTTGTGCTCTGGTATTCTATACAACTATAAAAAAATTAGATTCACCTCCCCACTCACACATACCTTTATTATATGATGGTGGATCAGGAACAGGATTAGTACAATAAGAAATCATATTCAAAAAAGGAAAGACTGGGAAACAGTTGGTGATTTCTGGAAATTATAAGCTCCTGCTGGATAGGAATAATAAAAACTCCCTGTTTTAACAATAAATGTTTTGTTTAGCTCATTTGGCATTCCATATTTCTTTTCTCTGGGAGGAACACCTTTGTTCATTATTCTCCCTGGCCTGTTTGGAGTACGTTTTTCCTTGCCTATTTTGCTCCATGATACATTTGAGATAGGCATTGGAGAGAATTTATTTTGTGTGGAGGCAGGGAGTTCATCACATCTTTTGCAGCTATCTTCTAGATGCAAGTTTATAGGCCTTCAGGTTGCTTTAGCACTCAAATAATCATAGATTTTTGTATAATAGAACTGACTTGGTGCTTCTTTGCCAATATAATTTCCTCAAAACTTAGGCATCTGGTCTATATTTATTGTCAGTTGTGTGCATGTGTATATGTGTGTGTGTGTGTGTGTGTGTGTGTGTGTGTGTGTGTGTGTGTGTGTATATATATATGTATATATATATACAACAGCCAAAGGTTTCTATTAGAGTAGTTTAATGCATGAAAAGTCTGGTGTTCTCCTTTCTGCCCTCTGTACTCTGCTAGCTATTTTAAACAGAAAAGCATTTCAGATGGAATTAGATGCCTATAAAATCATGAAAGGGATGAAGTAGTGGATTCCAGGTAGCACCTTCAGAAATGATTCTCAGAATGACATAGCTAAACAGGCTTTGCAAAGGAACAGGCTTTAGCAGCCTGTGCTAAAATGAGGAAAGTGGAGATTTGAGAATGTTGCCATTAGAACTGATGCAATTACTATAAACAAGCTATAATCCAACGATCAAGAAACACAGAACTTCAAGGCTGGCAATCAGCCAAAACAGTAAATAGATTGTCTCTGTCTCACTACCATTTTCCAAGTATTTTGTGAATGCATCTAATTAACAGAACTGATGTTATATTCATGACTTTAGTATTTAAGAAAGTCTGAAAAATGTATTTTGTAGCTTTCCCACCTCTGCAGTTTTAGGAAGCCCACTAGAAAGAGTGTGTAAAATGCTGAGTGCCATCCACTATACTCACTACAATTCATCCCTTTGGCTATTGCACTTTCTTTTCTTTTCTTTCTTTCTTTTCTTTTCTTTTCTTTTTTTTTTTTTTTTTTTTTTTTTTTTTTTTTTTTGAGACGGAGCCTTGCTCTGTTGCCAGGCTGGAGTGCAGTGGTGCAATCTTTGCTCACTGCAACCTCCGCCTGCCAGGTTCAAGCGATCCTCCTGCATCAGCCTCCCAAGTAGCTGGGACTCCAGGCGTGCACCACCACGCCCAGCTAATTTTTTGTATTTTTAGTAGAGACAGGGTTTCACCATGTTGGCCAGGATGGTCTCGATTTCTTGACCTCATGAACCACCCGCCTCAGCCTCCCAAAGTGCTGGGATTACAGGCATGAGCCACTGCGCCCAGCCTGGCTATTTCACTTTCAGAAACACCATTCTACTACTACTTAAACTTCTAAATAATAATTGCACAACATATGCTTCCAGTCACAATGAAACTATTCATCATAGAGATAAAAACATGCTTCTATAAAAGGAGAAACCCAAAATCTCATCAGTATCTGTAACTATCTCTGAATGATGTTTACTCCTTTTCTAGTTAAATCACAACCCTGACATAATATCCTGTAACCAACCCAAGGATATTATGGCATTGAAAAATAATATTAATATGATTGAATAATAAAATCAATCAGTCATACTATATAAAACAATAGAGAGAAGAGAGATGAATGAATGAGAAAAACATAGACATAATAGTACAAAGAAGAAAATATGGGCAGCTTTTATAGGCCTTATTTCTGCAGTTTATCACCAAGACATTGATTACTACTTATAATTCTTTCTTCCCAAACTCCTATCCTGTCCTCTTTATCCTCCTTTATTACCTCAGCTAGTTGCTGTTCTTTGCCTTTTTAGATAATCTAAATGTTGGTTGCTGAAAGATATGAACATACAGAATTCCTGCCTGTATTGTGTGTCTGTAACGTTTCATTGTCTTTTATCATTGGATAGCAGTTTGATATGTTCTGGCTGTGGCCCCACTGAAATCTCATCTTGAATTGTAATCCCCATAATCCCCACATTTCAGGGGAGGGACCCAGTGGGAAGTGATTGCATCATGGTGACAGTTTCCCCCATGATGTTCTCATGATAGTGAGTGTGTCCTCATGAGATCTGATGGTTTTATAAGTGTCTGACATTACCCCTGCTTGCACTCACTTCTTCCTGCTGCCCTGTGAAGAAAGTCCCTGCTTCTGCTTCACTTTCTGCCATGGTTGTAAGTTTTCTGAGGCCTCCCCACCCATGCAGAACTGTGAGTTAATTAAACCTCTTTTCTTTATAAATTACCCAGTCTCAGGTATTTCTTTATAGCAGTGAGTGAATGGACTAATACAGTAAACTGATACCACAGGAAGTGGTGTGCTGCTATAACGATACCCAAAAATGTGGAAGTGACTTTGGAATGGGGTAACAGGCAGAGGTTGGAACAATTTGGAGGGCTCAGAAGACAGGAAGATGTGGGAAAGCTCAAAACTTCCTAGAGACTTGTTGAATGGCTTTGTTCAACAAATTGTTCAACAAATCAATGGCTTTTTGAATGCTGATAGTGATATGGACAATAAAGTCCAGGCTGAGGTGGTCTCAGATGGAGATAAGGAACTTGCTGGGAACAGGAATAAAGGTGGCTTTTGCTATGCTTTAGCAAAGTGACTGGCAGAATTTTGCCCCTGCCATAGAGGTCTGGGAAACTTTAACTTCAGAGAGATGATTTAGGATATCTCACAGAAGAAATTTCTAAGCAAGAAAGCATTCAAGAGGTGACTTCGGTGCTCTTAAAAGCATTCAGTTTTATGCATTCACAAAGAGATTGTTTGGAATTGGAACTTACGTTTAAAAGGGAAGCAGAGCATAAAAGTTTAAAATATTTGCAGCCTGACGATGTGATAGAAAAGAAAAAGCCATTTTCTGAGGAGAAGTTCAAGCTGGCAACAGAAATTTGCATAAGTAATGAGGATCCAAATGTTAATCGCCAAGACAATAGTGAAAATGTCTCCAGGACATGTCAGATGTCTTCAAGGGACCCCTTTTATCACAGGCCCAGAGGCCTAGGAGGAAAAAATGATTTCGTAGGCTAGGCCCAGGGCCTTGCTTCTTTGTGCAGTCTCATGACTTGGTGCCCAGCGTCCTAGCTGTGAATAAAAGGGGTCAATGTACAGCTCAGGCCATTGCTTCAGAGGGTGCAAGCTCCAAGCCTTGGTGGCTTCCATGTGATGTTGGGCCTGTGGATGCACAGAAGTCAATAATCGAGGTTTAGGAACCTCTGCCTAGATTTCAGATGTATGGTAATGTCTGGATGTCCATGCAGAAGTTTGCTGCAGAGATGGAGCCTTCATGGAGAACCTCTGCTAGGGTAGTGTGGAAGGGAAATGTGGGCTCACAGCCCCCACACACAGTCCCCACTGGGGTATTGCCTACTGGAGCTATGAAAAGAGGGCCACTGTCCTCCAGACCCCAGAATGGTAGATCCACTGACAGCTTGCACCATTAACCTGGAAAAGCAACAGACACTCAACACCAGTCCATGAAAGCAGCTGGGAGGGGGCTTGCATCCTGCAAAGCCACAGGGGCAGAGCTGCTCAAGACCATGAGAGCCCACTCCTTGCATCAGCATGACCTGGATGTGACATGTGGTTTCAAAGGAAATTATTTAGGAGCTTTAAGATTTAATGACTGCCATGTTGGATTTTGGACCTGCATGGGGCCTGTAGCCATTCTGTTTTGGCCAATTTCTCCCTTTTGGAATGGATGCATTTACCCAATGCTTGTATCCCCATTGTATCTTGGAAGTAACCAACTTGCTTTTGATTTTACAGGCTCCTAGGCAAAAGAGACTTGCATTGTCTCAGATAAGACTTTGGACTTGGACTTTTGGGTTAATGCTGAAATGAGTTAAGACTTTGGAGGACTGTTGGGAAGGCATGATTGTGTTTTGAAATGTGAAGACATGAGATTTGGGAGGGGTTGGGGTGGAATGATATGGGTTGCCTTTGTCCCCACACAAGTCTCATCTTGAATTGTAATCCCAATAATCCCCACATGTCATGAAAGGGACCCAGTGGTAAGTCACTGGATCATGGGGGCAGTTTCCCCCATGCTGTTCTCATGCTGGTGAGTAGGTTCTCACAAGATCTGATGGTTTTATAAGTGTCTGGCTTTTCCCTTGCTTGCATCCACTTCTCTTTCCTGCCACCCTGTGAAGAAGGTGTCTTCTTCTGCTTTGCCTTCTGACATGATTGTAATTTTTCTGAGGCCTACTCATCCAGGTGGAACTGTGAGTCAATTAAACTTTTTTTCTTTATAAATTGCCTACTCTCAGATATTTCTTTATAGCAGAATGAGAAAGAACTAATACACAGTTCAAAGAAGCACTTCTGGAAGGTCCCCTAGATTTCAAATATGTTTTTTCTTGTCTTCATTGTGTAGCAGCACCCCATATCCCTTTGATAATCAGGATCAATCACTAACTGATTCAGTAACTTCTTTTTTACATATTAATTAAGCAATACAGGGATCTCAAAATGAACTGATGTGAGTCTTAACTTCTGCTTTTGTGAGATTATTGTTATTTCCCTTAATGAAATTTTCCATTCCTTGGGTATTAAGCCTGTAATCCAGCAGAGAAGGAAAAACATTTTGCAAATAGGTCATTTGGTACAATAGTGAGTGAACCCACTCTCACTTCCACACCTTCCTTGAGTTATAGATCCACGTATGTCTATGGGAGAGAAAGAGTATCGTATATTGGAAGCCGTCTCAAGGGATGTGTTGTATTCTATAGGGAAGAATATTAATTTTATAAGATATAATCCCCTGGCCAGTGTCATAACTCAGCCTTGATTATACAATTAATGATTCTTGTAACATTTTGCATTGTCTCACTTTAACTGTAAAATGGGTTCCTTGTTCAAATTCAGTGTTAGGTGGAATGCCATGGCAGTGAATATACATTTAGTAATTCTAAAGAAGTTGGGGCTGGGCAAAGCATGACAGGCAGAGAAGAGTAAGTGTTGAATAAGTGTCTGGATAAGTGTCTATCCAGTATAAGTGTCTGTTCCTCTGAGGACAAATCATTGCCCACTTCATAATGGCAGAGAGTAATATAATCAATCTACTACTAGATGACTGGATGCTCCCTCCCAGGTATGCCACCGTATTGAAAACTCAGCATCAGCTTTTGTCACTGGCAACTTAGGCATTTAGTGATGGAGACAGTCAGATTCAGCTTTGCTGAAAGAAAGGACATATTTTTCTGTCTATCTGTAGCTCAATTCTTGCCCATCTGGCCACATTGTTTATAGGCTCATTGAGCAAGTACTGGGGTGGCTGAGAAAATAGACCCACTAACATCCACAAAATAGGACATATTGTCACCAGATTATTGAGAGCCTCCTCTCTCATGGGTAACTAAGTGTGCATTCACATATAACACAAATTTCTCACACTCTGGGTCCATTCCAAGATGTCCATCTACAACCTCTTCCTCACATTTCCTTGTCACCAGTCCTCCAAAATGATTTCTTCTATTCACTTGAACATTTGACCAAACAGCCTGACACTCACCATAAATAGGTATAGAACTGAAATTCTGATCGTGTCTCCTTACAAACAAAGTGAAAAACAAAATAGATCTCACTAGCACAGAGCAGAAAGTAGAATATCATCTGAATGTTGTTTAATATTATTTTGAGTACAAAGGAAAAGATGATAGAATAGCTCAAATAGCACCATAAATGGTTAAACAGAACTGCAGTAAAAATGTAGAATGTGAATCTGTATGTTTCAAGGACCAGAGAATCTGTAAATATATTTTACAAAATCAGCCAAAAAATAATTGCATGTTCTCTCTTTTAAATGGGAGTTGAATAATGTGTACACATGGACATACAGTGTAGAATGACAGACAATGGCAACTCAGAAGGGTGACAGGGTGGGAGGGGAGTGGAAAATGAGAGATTACTTAATGAGTACTGTATTGGTCCGTTTTCACACTGCTGATAAAGACATACCTGAGACTGGGCAATTTACAAAAGAAAGAGATTTAACTGGACTGAAGTTCCACATGGCTAGGGAGGCCTCACAATCATGGTGGAAGGCAAGAAGAAGTAAATCACATCTTATTTGGATGGCTGCAGGCAAAAAAAAAAGAGCTTATGCAGAGAAACTCCCATTTTAAAACCATCAGATCTCATGAGACCCATTCACTATCATGAGAATAGCATGGGAAAGACCCAACCCCATGATTCAATCATCTCCCACCAGGTCCCTCCCACAACATGCGGGAATTATGGGAGCTACAAGATGAGATTTGGGTGGGGACACAGAGCCAAATCATATCTTTCCACCCTTGGCCCCTCCCAAATGTCCTATAATCACATTTTAAAACCAGTCACGCCTTCCCAACAATCCCCCAAAATCTCAACTCATTTCAGCATAACTCAAAAGTCCACAGTCCAAAGTCTCATCTGAGACAAGGCAAGTCTCTTCTACCTATGAGCCTGTAAAATCAAAAGCAAGTTACTTACTTCCTAGATACAATGGGGGTGCAGGAATTGGGTAAATACAGCCATTCCGAATGGGAGAAATTGCCCAAAACAAAAGGGCTACAGGCCCCATGCAAGTCCAAAATCCAGTGGGGCAGCCAAATTTTAAAGCTCCAAAATGATCTCCTTTGATTCATGTCTCACACTCAGGTCATGCTGATGCAAGAGAGGGGTTCCCAAGGTCTTGGGCAGCTCCAACCCTGTAGCTTTGCAGGGTACAGCCTCCCTCCTGGCTGCCTTCACAGGCTGGCATGGAGTGTCTGTGGCTTTTCCAGATGCACGGTGCAAGCTGTCAGTGGATCTACCATTCTGGGTCTGGAGAAAGGTGGCCCCTCTTCTCACAGCTCCCCTAGGCAGTGCTCCCATAGGGACTGTGTGTGGGGGCTCTGAGTCCACATTTCCCTTCCACACTGCCCTAGCAGAGGTTCTCCATGAGGGCTCCACCTCTGCAGCAAACTTATGCCTCGGCATCCAGGCATTTCCATACATCTTCTGAAATCTAGGTGGAGGTTCCCAAACCCCATTTCTTGACTTCTGTGCACTCACAGGCTCAATATCACATGAAAGCTGCCAAGGCTTGAGGCTTGCACCCTCAGAAACCACAGCCCAAGCTCTATGTTGGCCCCTTTCAGCCACAGCTAGAGCAGCTGGGACGCAGGTCACCAAGTTCCTAGGCTGCACACAGCATGGGGACCATGGGCCCAGCCACACAACCACTTTTTTCTCCTAGGTCTCCAGGCCTGTGATGAAAGATGCTGCTGTGAAGACCTCTGACATACCCTGCAGATATATTCACCGTTGTCTTGGTGATTAATATTTGGCTCCTTTTTACTTTTGTTACTTATGCAAATTTCTGCAGCCAGCTTGAATTTCTCCTCAGAAAATGGGATTTTCTTTTCTATCACATTGTCTGGCTGCAAATTTTCCAAGCTTTTATGCTCCACTTTTCTAATAAAACGCAATACCTTTAACAGCACCCAAGTCACCTCTTGAATGCTTTGCTGCTTAGAAATTTCTTCCGCCAGATACCTTAAGTCATCTCTCTCAAGTTCAAAGTTTCACAAATCTCTAGGGCAGAGGCAAAATGCCACCAATCTCCTTGCTAAAACATAACAAGAGTCACTTTTGCTCCAGTTCCCAACAATTTCCTCATCTCCATCTCAGACCACCTCACCCTAGACCTTATTTTTCATATCACTATCAGCATTTTTGTCAAAGCCATTCAACAAGTCTCTAGGAAGTTCCAAACTTTCCCACATTTTCCTATCTTCTTCTGAGCCCTCCTAACTGTTCCAATCTCTGCCTGTTACCCAATTCCAAAGGCGCTTCCACATTTTTGGGTATCTTTGCAGCAATGTCCCACTCTACTGGTACCAATTTACTGTATTAGTCCGTTTTCATGCTGCTGATATAGACATACCTGAAGCTGGGCAATTTACAAAAGAAAGAGGTTTAATTGGACTTACAATTCCACATGGCTGAGGAGGCCTCATAATAATGGCAGAAGGCAAGGAGGGGCAACTCACATCTTATGTGGATGGCAGCAGGCCAAAAAAAAAAAAAAAAAAGCTTGTGCAGAGAAGCTCCCATTTTTTAAAACCATCAGATCTTGTGAGACCCATTCACAATCACAAGAACAGCATGGGAAAGATCCACCCTCATGATTCAATCATCGCCCACCTGTCCCTCTCATGACACATGGGAATTATGGGAGTTACATGATGAGACTTGGGTGGGGACACAGCGAACCCCTATCAAGTACAATGTACATTATTATTCCAGTGATGGATACACTAAAAGCCCTGACTTCACCACTAAGTAACACATTCATGTAACAAAATTACACTGGTACCCTCTACATTTATATAAATAAAATAAAATTTAAAAAAGAAACACAAAAATTTGGATTACAGTGGTAAATATGGCAGATTATATTTTCAAAAAGTCACCACAGAAATATAATTCATTCCACTTCTTCTTACAATGTGATGTTGATAAATCTCCATCAAGAGATGGGATTGATGTTCTCTCTCCTTGAGTCTAGGTTAGCCCATGACTACAAAGAAGTGACATTTTGTGTCTTCTGAGGCTAGGTTATAAAAGATATGGTTTTCATTAGTCCCTCTCTCTCTCTCTCTCTCTCACTCACTCTCTCTCTCTCTCTCTATCTAGACAGAGCAATAGTCACTCTTGGAACACAGTCACCATGTCATGAAGAATACCAGGTCACTTGGAGAAGTCATATGTAGACGTTCCAGCTAACAGCCAACATCAACCAGCTAAAGTCCCAGCCAATATCTAGTTTCAACTACCAGACATGTGAGTGAGCAAGCACTCACATGTTTCCAGTTCTCAGTCATCAAGTCACCCTTACCTTTAAATTATCCAACTGAAATGTAGCTGAAAAAAATTATGCCAACTGTGTCTTGTTCAGAATATGTGAGTGGCTGGGTGGGTATGGCAGCTCATGCCTGTAATCCCAGCACTTTGGAAGTCTCAGATGGGAGGATCTCTGGAGCTCAGAAGTTTAAGACCAGCCTGGGCAACATAGGGAGACTTTGTCTCTACAAAAGTAAAAATAAAAAAAATTAACGAAGTGTGGTGGTGTGTACACATGGTCCTCAGCTACTCGGGAGGCTGAGTTGGGAGGACTGTTTGAGCCTGAGAGATTGATGACTCAGTGAGCCACAATTGCAGCACTGCACTCCAGCCTAGGTGACAGAGCAAGACTCTGTCTCAAAAGAAAAAAAAAGAATATGTGAGCATAATAAACAGTTGTTTTACACAACTAAATTTTAGGGTGATTTTGTTAAATAGCCATAAATAACCAGAAAAGTAAATGTCTAAAACTGGACTTTATTGTGAACAATTATCCCATAGTTCACAATGTGTTGTCTATTATGATGATTTGACAAAAAGAGGCATGAAGCTATCAAAGATTACATACACTTTTCAAACTCATAGATTAAGATTTTTTTATTATTTAATGAACAATAATTATATGCCTGTGATATAGATGAATAAAATGCATTCAGAACAATGGGACAGGTGACTAGCTCCATATAGAATTATGAGGGAGTCTTGAAGTAGTATTCTACTAAATTATTAAATATAAAAAAACACTCAATGCTCACAAGATCACAATGAAATAAGTACATTTATATAATACTGAGAACACTGTAAACTATAGCAATCTTCTTAGTAATAAGGCAAAACATAGCAAAATTCATAAAGAAATTCATGAATTTCTAAATTCATGAATTTTACTAAATATTTACCCCAAAAAATGAGAGAGAGAGAAAAGAGAGAGGCAATGAGATGTTAATTGCAGCATTATCATTAGAAACAAACAATAGAAATGCCCAATAATAGGAGAGAAATAAGGTACATTTAAATAATGAATTATAGCCATTCAAATAATAATCAGAAAAACGGTATAGAATCATGGAGGAATGTTTACAGTGTTTTAAGTGAAAGAATATAAATAGCACTTACCCCATTATTACAATTACAGAATATATATAGTCACATTGATTAGAGCTAGATGAGGAAATATTAGAAGGCAAAATGAACAGAATAGAGAGCCATCCAAGAAAAGTTTTATGTATATATGGGGATCAATTATATGCTTTAAGTCACTTCAAATCAGTGGGGAAAGGATGAACTTATCAAAAAATGATGTTGGCTGCCTGTTGCACTCAATGTTAAAAAGACAGATGATAGATTTTTAATTTTTTTTTTTCTTGAGACAAGAGTCTTGCCCTGTCATCGTGGCTGGAGTGCAGTGGCACGAAGTCTGCTCATTGCAACCTTCGCCTCCCAAGCTCAAGCAATCCTCACACTTCAGCCTCCCAAGTAGCTGGGACTACAGGCATGTGCCACCAGGCCTGGCTAATTTTTGTATTTTTAGTAGAGACGGGGTTTCACCCCAGGCTGCTCTAAAACTCATGGGCTCAAGAAATTGGCCTGCCTCGGCCTCCCAAAGTGCTGGGATTACAGGCATAAGCCAACATGCCCGGCCCAGATAGATATATATATTTTTTAAATCAATCAAAACTATCTTTTTATAGATAGTTTGAGATACAAATCTAACTGTATTTACTACAATGAATAGAAAAGTAGAAGTAGAAGTATAAAATGCAAAAGACTATTTTTATAATTTTTGGATAAGAAATACCTTAAGCAAATCAGAAAACTAGAAACCAAAAAGGAAAAGACTACCAGATTTGACTATATTAATATGTGAAACTTGTTTCTGGTAAGTGATAACATAAACAAAAATAAAAGAAAGGTGACAAACAGGAAGAAAATATTTATTACATATAAAATAACAAGGGAAAAATGACCATACTATACAAAGAGTATCTACAAATCATAGGAAAAGCAACATCTCAGCAGAGGACATAAGAAGATAATTCATGGAAAAAATGTGATTATCTAATAGTATGCAAATTAAAATATAGTACACCTTGCTGCTAATAACGAAGATAATTAAAATAGAAATGACATCATTTTTACTCATAGGACAGAGAAAAAGGACTTACTGACAGTAAGTAGTGTTTGCAAGCATTCCAAGAAAGACACTCATATACTGTTGGAGGATGTCTAATTTGGCACAGGCAGTATCTATACAAATTTCTAATATGCTTTTTGATCCCAACATTGCACTTACAGGATTCTACCTTGGTAAAATATTCTAACTTGTGCATAAAGATGGGTGTTCGGCTGGGTGTGATGGCTCAGGCCTGTAATCCCAGCACTTTGGGAGGCCGAGGAGGGTGGATCACTTGAGGTCAGGAGTTCGAGAACAGCTTGGCCAACATGGCAAAACCCCGTCTCTACTAAAAATACAAAAATTAGCTGGGCGTGGTGGCACACACCTGTAATCCCAGCTACTAGGGAGGCTGAGGCAGGGGAATCACTTGAACCCTGGGGGTGGAGGTTGCAGTGAGCCGAGATTGTGCCACTGCACTCCAGCCTGGAGAGCGAGACCCTGTCTCAAAAAAAAAAAAAAAGGGTGTTTATTATAGACATACACACACAAACACAAAGGAAATAGCTTAACTGTCCATTTAAAAATAATCGACTGCACAGCTATTCAAGATCTCCAAGACATGTTGTTCGCAAAAACAAAAAAGTTGTCCAATAAAATATTTGATTAATATATATTTAGAAAAAATTGCAGGCCTTAAATCCATGTATATAAATACATATTAAAAGATCTTCAGGAACAAGTATCAAACTAGTAATCATGTTTACCTCTTAGGAAAATTAGTTTAATTGAAAAAGGTGAGTATCAAATGGAATTTTAGCATTCTACTTTATATATATTGGTACATATAAACTTTTACTATCAAGCACATATTTATGTATGTTGAAAAGCAATGAAACTAAAAATGAAAGTAAAGAAGCAAATGTATTACAAAGGTACCTATAAATTATCTTTAATAGCAATCATTAGGTAAAAGCATTATTATAAGCAATTTTCAAGCTCTTTTATAAACACTGTATTATCACACTTTATCTTCACAACAATTCTATGAGGTACAGAAGTAGGTATATATTATTATTATTATTTTGTACTTGAAGATACATTCTTAGAGAAGCTAAGTAATTTGCCATACTTTGTATTATTGCATTTACTGAAAATGCAGCCTCTTTCTTTCTCATGAGAGAGAGGCAGATGTAATGAGTTTGTCTTATAAGTGTGGTATATGAAAGTTCAAAAACACACACAGATAGGCATGTGGCTATAGCCTTTTTTGCAGAGTTTGCAGTTATAACAATCTACAGACTGAGAATTATGAAGAAAATCAAGATAATTAGAACCATTTTAAGGTTATGATATAATCAAATAAAATATGAATGTACTTTACAAACAGTAAAATGCTATGCAAATAGAAGTTATTACAGTGGTCTCTGTTGAGCAGCAGATGGCTTAGCAGAACTAGAAACCCTGAGTAGAATTCTGGCTCTAATACTTCCCAAGCATGTTTCTGTAAAATGCAGTTAATATTCTTTACTTCCCATCCCATATTCCTACATTATGTGCATATAACTACACATACATACATATAGGAATATGAGAAATAAGTGAGATGATACATATAAAGGCATCTAGTATAGTGCCTGGCAAGTTATACATGCTCTGTGGATACTAGTTCTATATGAAATTCATTTTTAAAAAAGAGACATATAGCATAGGTCAGACCAAAGCAAAGCGGAGGATTGAGCATAGCTAAAATTTTGGTGGTAATTGAAGACCCCAGTGCCTCTAGTTTTTTTCTGGTGACCTTGGAGATATGTTAAAAAATATCAACAGACTGAGCTATCTGAAGTAATTTTTAGAGAAAAGCTGTCTTTGTGTTTGAGTATATTAATCTAATCATTTCAGACAATGATCTCTATTATTGTGATTTAATCTAGCAACTGTCACTTTTGCATTGAGTAAATTAATTTGTCTCCGTTTGATCACGGCTCTTAAACTACACAGCTGTGGACATGTTGCCTTCCTTCTTTGATTCATTAAAATTACTTTCACATTCTTGGTATTTTCATGACTGCTTGATATATTGCTTCAAGCATTGGTAAGTAGAGAAAGGATTTCTGGTGGTTTGGGAAGGATGAATTTGTCCTGCAAGATATTACATCTTGATGTATTGCTATTGAATCACCTGGAAAGTACTGAATGAACTGTTGAGCTTTGGTACCTATTTTCAGTGTCTAATGTTGGGTATCTAATGTACATCACACTTATGTGGTATACATAAATATAAACATAAATATAATATATAATATAGAAACATGTTGTATATAAGATAAATATATGCATAAATATAAACATAAAGTTGCTTATACTTTCAAGGTTATCTACTGCATTTCTACTGCAACTTATAACAACAAAAGGGTATATAAGAGATAACCACCTCTCCTTGACCTTAATTGAATTTGTGTTTTGAGTTGAAAACTAATCTAAAACCCACATTTTCACTTAGGGTTACAATCTCTTTGAAATATTCAGACTTGAAGATAAAATCGAGTCATCTTCAAAATGACTTGAAAATTTTTTTGCTTCTTTCTCCCTTGCCACAGCCAGATGAATTTGACATATCTTTGCTAACAACTTTTCCATCCTAATATTAATGCTCTCACACCTCCTTTAAATCTTTGCTCAAATGTGTCTTTTTTTCAGGCCTAACTTGAATATCCTATTTTAAAATTTATATACATCCCTGAACTCATTTCCTTTATCCTTCTCTAATTGTTTCTTTCTTATATCACTTATTAACTGTTTCTTGTCATATAATGCACATATCTGTTGTTTATTATCGGTGGCTCTTAGCTAGTATGTAAACTCCATAAAGGAATCTTGGTTGACTTTGCCCACCGATATGTCTCAAGCATCCATAAGAGGGCTTGGCACAAAGTAGACATTTAATAAATATATATTTGAATGAATGAATGAATATGTTTCATAGGTGCCTCCTTAGGGAAAAAAAAACTTTTTTTTTCAGACAGGGTCTCACTCTGTCACCCAGGCTGGAGTGCAATGGTGTGATCATGGCTCACTGCAGCCTCAACCTCCCAGCCCAAGTAATCCTCACATCTCAGCCTCTCGAGTAGCTGGGACCACAGGCATGCACCACCATGCCTGGCTAATTTCTTTTTATTTTTTGTAGAGACGGGGTCTCAGTACTTCACCCAGACTGGTCTTGAACTCCTGGGCTCAAGCAAGCCTCCTGCCTCAGCCTCCCAAAGTGCTGGGATTACAGACATGAGAAACACTGGCCTCAAGAAAATTCTTGATCTGATTTGACAATGCTCATAAGAACACCATTTAATCACAAGGGAAAATGGTATTCATGGAGACTGTTTTGGATGAGTGATTGACTTTCTGAAGAATATGTTCTCTTCGTAAAATATGTGACTAGGTTTAGTTCTAAAATGTATATTCATCTCTTTGGAATGCTTTCATATTATTTGTGATTTAGAATACCCTACTAGTTCAAAATATAACATCTGTGTGGTTATATGCAAAGATGAAAAACTAGAAACTTTTTTTTTGTATTACCCAAATAGAGATCTTTGATCTCTGTGTTTAAATTTCAAAGCTTGAACTCTAGAATCACAGTGCTATATTCTTAGATGCTATTCCTATACTCCAAAGGTCTTAAGGCAAATGAAATACTGGTTTTTTAAAATAAGAGTGAAGTTAGAGGAAATCTCAGAAAACGGTGTCATGCTTAGCAGTAATTTGATGGCAGAGAAGAAACATCAACAAAATCCTTCTTTTTTATCTCTCACATTTTAGGGCTACAGTTTCAAAATATATAGACTTCACATATGTTCCTAGGCCTGCAACATTTACATAAGGTAAACTTGAATAGGAAAATTGAGGGGAAAAAAGAGAGAAGGGGTTGATTGTGAAGTGTTGCTCTTCGGAGTTGTACATGGCCCAATTTTTTTAATTAAACCCTTGAAACATAGCTTAAGATGTAATCAGTCAATTCTTTACTGAATGCAGATTCATTAGGAATAGCCAAACAAGTCTAAACTAATGCAATTCACTTAGAAAACAAAAAGCCCAAACTAAACAAGATAACCTAATTAAAGATTTTTGACTTAATAACTCATGTTTGTTCTAGAATAAAAGAATTTACTGGATAGTTACCTTCTTCATCTACATTGTATTTTGGCAAATATTTATTGAAACTCTCTTTTCCACACAGGTTTTAAGGTGGCTCGTAACAAAAGCTACATGAAATTAAAAGAATAAAAGACCCAGAGAAAAGGTTAGACCAATATGCCAATGTTAACAGAATCTTAAGATTTGGCCCTGAGCTTTCTGGCAGCCATATATAAAATTAAACACACCATCAGTTATATCGTTCTCATTATCAGGAAGGAAGAATCACATGAGTCTTTCAGAAGAAACAAAAGCTCTTTATAGCATTGAATTACACACAAAATTTCTCACTGAAATTTTATATGAAAGATACAGAGTAATATGTAAAATTCCTCCGTAATTTACATGACTGTTTCTTGTGATAATTAAAAAAATAAAAACAGAGGACACCATCAGAAATAAGTACATGATCCTTTGGGAGCGCTGGATAGGAATAATTAGCTCAACTTAGGGGTATAAGGTAGGCTTCCTGGAGGAGTTGATACATGAACTTAAAATGCATAAATTATCCAGGTGAAGAAAGAATGGCAGGCCGGGCGCGGTGGCTCACGCCTGTAATCCCAGCACTTTGGGAGGCCGAGGCGGGCGGATCACGAGGTCAGGAGATCGAGACCATCCCGGCTAAAACGGTGAAACCCCGTCTCTACTAAAAATACAAAAAATTAGCCGGGCGTAGTGGCGGGCGCCTGTAGTCCCAGCTACTTGGGAGGCTGAGGCAGGAGAATGGCGTGAACCCGGGAGGCGGAGCTTGCAGTGAGCCGAGATCCCGCCACTGCACTCCAGCCTGGGCGACAGAGCGAGACTCCGTCTCAAAAAAAAAAAAAAAAAAAAAAAAAAAAAAAAAAGAATGGCAGGGAAGGGCATTGCAAGCACAGTAAACAGTACACCAATTCTTTGCTCTTCTAGTACTCTGATGTTCAAATAGTTATGACATATTTAATTAGAATTTGGTTTCTTGTTTATATGAATAATTCAGTAAAAGATGCAGTCACTACCATTCTAAAAACCTTAATTAAGTAATTCCTTCTTAACCTAAATTTGGCTTGGTTCTCATGAGAAAAGATGGAAATTGGTGAAAACGACTTGTAGGTCGTATAGTTTAACCTATATAATGTGCTCGCAGCTGTCCCTCACACCGTTGCAACATTCCTAACATATAAAAAGCCTCTAAGATGGGATTAGGAAGGCATGAAGTCCTCATCAAAAGAACACAAATTAGGTCCTTCATTAGGGGTTAGAACTTCAGGTGCAAGGAATGTGAGGATTATAAATGGGACCAGATTGGAGCCGTCACAATCTTTTGATCTTCCATCCCACAACTCTAGAAGAATAACCAGTAAGGGAAATTTTCTAGGTCACTCAT
This sequence comes from Homo sapiens, assembly GCF_000001405.40. Taxonomy (NCBI): domain Eukaryota; kingdom Metazoa; phylum Chordata; class Mammalia; order Primates; family Hominidae; genus Homo; species Homo sapiens. The sequence goes on from NC_000011.10 coordinate 95,958,249, forward strand.
TCCTATCTTTGGTAGCCAACTATAACCAAGATGACTTCTAGAATAAATAAAGCATGCATGAATGGCTTAGAATGGCTCCATTTTGAGCCTGTGAAGAAGAGCAAAAGATGTAGATAAGGCTGACATATTTTCAAGCCTGATTCAATAGAGTAGATGATAATATGGGAATTTCATATAGCTGGTGCTCCAGCTGTAGATAAAGATATTCTATTTTCCTAAATTGTCATCTCTGGATGCCTTGATAAACTAGTATAATTGCTGTGGAAGGCAGGACAAAACTTAGAAATTGGGGGTAATGAACATATGAGGACTAATATTTGTATATGTGGATGATCCTCTTTTAATACTGGTTTGAACCAAGGTGAATCAAATAGATACTTGGAAACAGATTGTTAAGAGGATTTTAAAAGTCTAGTTTTGAACACATCATGTCTTCTTAATTTAAACAGAAGGCTTAAAACCATCAAGTTTACTTGCTGAAATTAATCCTGAGGTGTTAACTAGCTATATGATCCTGAGAAATTTATTTAATTTCTTTTTGCTTCAATTTTTACTTCTGTACACAAGTGATAATAATATCTATCACATAGTTTTTAAAAAATATGAAATGAGTTAGGACATGCTAAATGCTTCTAATAGTGTTCATCATACAGAAAAAAACTTTAAGTGTTAATTCTTATTGAAGTTGTGGTTGTTATTATGTAGAGAGACCCCTGAACATAGACCTTCTCACTTCACTTCTTCACAAGAATAAATATCTATTGAATGGATGAATGAATGTTTACTTATTTTCACCTTACCATAAAAAATAGCACTTTTTTTCTCTGCTGAAATGGATTTTCTATAGGTAAATATAATTATCCAGTTTGTAGATTCAAGGAATTTAACACTAAAAGGAATAGGGTGGAAACTGGAGTCTTTTAAGGAAAGATGGAAGGGCCACACAGAGCCAGCTAGAGACAAAATCCATCCAATAGCTTTCATTACTTAGGATGTGGACAGGTATCCTCACAGTTTCCTCTGTTATTATTAGTTGCTTGACATTTAATACATTTCTAGAGCAGAAAGAAGAAATAAATATGATGCACTCATCAATAAAGAGATGATGCAAACTACAATAATTTTAAAAAGCATTTATCAAACAATGTAAAGGAAAAGTGTGAGAGGCTAAGGAACATAAAACTAGGTGATAAAATGAGATATAGAAATAAAATGGAATTAACAAAGAAAGATTAAAAATCAATGATATACAGAAGTATCCTCCTTATCTGTGGTTTTGCTTTCCAGTTTCAGTCACCCGCGGTCAACCTCAGTCCAAAAATATTAAATGGAAAATTCCAAGGATAAACAACTCATAACTTCTAAATTGTGTGCTCTTCTGAGTAGTGCCCAGGATGCGAATAATCCCTTTGTTCAGAGTATCCATGTTGTCTCTGCTACTTGCCTGTTAGTAACTCAGTAGCCGTCTTGGTTTATCAGATCACCTGTCACAGTATCTCAGTGCTTGGGTTCAGTAATCCTTGTTTTACTTAATAGTGGCTACACAGTACAAGAGTAGTGATGCTGGTGATTTGGATATGTCAAAGAGAAGCTATAAAGTGCTTCCTTTAAATGAAAAGGTGAACGTTTTTGACTTAATAAGGAAAGAAAAAAGTTGTATGCAGAGGTGGCTAAGATTTATGGTAAGAATAAATCTTCTCTCTGTGAAATTGTCAAGAAAGAAAAAGGAAGCTGTGCATAGTATATCTAGAGTTTGGTTCTATCTACAGTTTCAGGCAACCACTGGGGGTCTTGGAATGTATCTCATGTGGATAATGGGGGACTACTCTATAAAAAAATAATTACAACCAGAGAACTAAAAGTTGAAATAGTGAAAATAATAAAATAAGATAAAAATGATATGAATGTATAACCAATGCATGATATTAGGAATAGTTAGTAAAGAAATGAAAAAAATCAGCTGGGTGAGGTGACGAACCTGTATTCCCAGCTACTCGGGAGGTTGAGGTGGGAGTATCGCTTGAACCCAGGGGTTAGAGACCAGCCTGAGCTACATAGAAAGATTCTGTCTAAAAAAAAATTTAAAAAGTAAAAATCCATATAGGTTAAAAGGGGGAAATAGTTTAAAAGGGTAATCAGAGGTTTCAAATAAAAGTAGAATACAATGTCCAGAAAATGTCACCTACTTTTGTCCTCTGAAGTTCTCTCAAAGACTCCTTAGCTACATTCCCTTAGAACACAGACCAGTATTCCTTTACCCTGTTTTATGCCTTAAGCCTTGAATGCAGTCTTTAAACTACAGCTATCAATTCATGCAGATCCAAATTCTTTCCTCGAACACAGCAAAAAGTCAGGTGTTTCCCCACTCTGGCCTCTTGTTTTAAAACTTTAGTTTCTTGATATCATTATTACTGGAAAAGTATCCCATGTCATGTGAAGAAGTGCTCCTCAAACTTTAGTCTCTGTATCCCCTTAGTCAGGCAAAGCAAACAAAAGTAATCTCTGGAAAGAGTGGTGTTGAGCTTGAAGATAAATCAGTAAAATGTCGGTTTTTTAATTATTATGTACAAAGTATTTTTTTTATTGCAAATACAAATATATCAGTGTTTGCATTTTATAGAAATTCATATTCTTTAAAGGTCGCCAGAATACACTCTTAGGATAAATTACACAGAACAGCATTTGGCTAACTATACCATAGGATATCAATTAGGGTTATGTGGAAAACACCAAATAAACTTAGAAAATTCCAGTTTCTAAATAAGTTAAACGGTTTTGTTTGCTAGAGAAAACTTCCAAAACACCAATATCTTTTATACTTCTCTAAGAATGGGCTCTAGTACCTTCTATACTAACTTGAAAATGGAATCCCTTTGAGTGTATGTTGCAAAGCCCAGAACTAATATTTCATGAAATATACTTTGAGAAACAGTTTCTAGAGAAAGAACTATACAGAGAGGTAGAAAAATCTAACTCTCTAATCAAGTCTCTACAATGTCTGAATCCAATTGTGTTACTGAAGGAATAATAGGAAGAATTCAAAAAGCCTGACATTATATTGAAATGGGAAGGGAACCATCATATCTGGAAAAGTGATAGAGCCAACTGAACTTTCTTTTTAAAATCTGGACTCTCTGAATGGAGCACTACATGTTTTTAACTTCAAAAACTTAAAGTAGTTTGAACATGCTTCTTTGAGGTGAAATATGCCTTAATATGTTTTGAATCTAAAATAAAAGAAAATAAATATACATATGCAATGTCTTATTTATTGAATAACTTACTTCCAGGGTCAGTTAAATTTGGAGATCCAAATCTTTATCCATTTCTTTTTGAGATTTTCAGTTTTTCTCTATGTCACATGAAGTGCTCGTGTCATTGCACAAGTGCAAATAACTTCTTGAGGAAAGAAAAACTGCTATGAGACATGCCAATATTTTATGCCCCAACTGAGACATCTGTGCACACAATTGACATTCAGAACTCCCTGGTATACATTATTTCATAAGCCTTTGCATATTTTGCTTTCAAGCCCTATTATTATTGATTTAAAAGAAGTGAAACTTTTTTTTTTTACAAATATTATCCACTACCTTTGAAATGCTAAAGTGAGAATCTTTGAAATGAGTTTGGAAAAAATCTTGAATAATCCACATCATCATAGACATGTAACACTCAAATGAATTCACACAGTCACTGCCCTTTAACAGCTGTGTTTTTTCTATCACATTTAATTTTAATATTTGCAACTATACTTTAGTGTAGTTATAGTGCCCTCTCTATGAATATACTTTCTGGATTAGAGAAAGGACGCAGAATATTTTTCCATAACAAAGTCATTTGGGTTGAATTGTCAAAATCTAATCCTCATAACACCACTCTCTTTTGATTTTGTAAAGTGAAAAAAGACATCTACTTTAACACACTCAGAGCAGGATTAAGACATCTTTCAAACCTTCTGATCACTCCAAAGATTAACAAAAATGCCTTGCTAACTTTAACCAAAAGACCAGATGTAGAATAATCTTCTATTTTTCCAGCAAGTATTGAAAGGCAGGATTATACAAATGGAGACACACAAATATAAATGGGGGTGCTCTCTCTCTGTATCTCTCTCACTATTCATATATACTTTTTCTTTAGTGCTTTGAAAACTGACATGTTGCTTTTAGGTTAGTATATGAATCAGTAATGAGTAAAAACTACTTTGAAGATTACTTAATGTTATACTCATTCATATTGGAGATAATTTTCCTTAATATTTGTTGCATGTTTTTCAAGAATAAGTGTTAAAAATCAGTTTTAATTTTTAAACATACATAACCTCTGTGCCATTCTGTCTTCACTTCCCATTAGTTTCCAAACAAAGCCCTACACAATCTTTAGTTGATTTCCTTACTGTTTAGTAGAGTAGATGTCCTCTTATGTGATGTGAATAGAAGTGGTAGTTGGTTAGTTAACTTAAAAAAGAAAAATAAAATTGGGTTAAACAGAATTATGTATGTATGTTAAACAGAATTATCTATGTATACATTATATACATACATATATAAATTATATTTTTAAACTTAAAACATAATTTTAAAATTTATTTTTAATGTAAAGTTTATAATGTGCCAGCATTCACAAATCTTTTTGATGTTAGGGCCAAGGCCTTTCTTTTTGATATGGTTTTATTCTCTGAAGTCTTTCTTGCATGAATCACATACATAATGCATTTTCTGATTTCAATTTCTGGTTTCATTAAAATGGAATGGAAACTTAAAGACACAAGGCAATTTGAGTGCAAAATCCTCATACTTAACGATCAATTAGTTGATCAACTGCAATGCTCCTTCCGTTTTTCACATTCTTAATTTGACAGCATTTAAAAATTTTTTATTGTAAAAGATATTAAATACACAACATATAAATAAAGTCTCTTCTGTGATGCTGCCTATGAAGGTGGCAGCCATCTCCTATTCACCATCATAGCCACACTCAGACCCCTTGTGGAGCCCAAGATTGTCATAAAGAGGATCAAGAAGTTCATCATCGGGACAGATCGATATGTCAAAATTAAGTGTAACTGGTGGAAACCCAGAGGTATTAACAACAGGGTATGCAGAGGATTCAAGGGCCAGACTTGATGTCCAACACTGGTTATAGGAGCAACAAGAAGACAAAGCACATGCTGCCCATGGCTTCTGGAAGTTCCTAGTATCCAGTGTCAAGGAGCTGGATGTGCTGCTGATGTGCAACAAATCTTACTGGGCTGAGAATGCTCACAATGTTTTCTCAAAGAAGAACCACACAGCCATCATGGAAAGAGCAGCCTAGCTCATCATCAGAGTCACCAATCCTAATGCCAGGCTGCACAGCAAAGAAAATGAATAGACAGGTTGTGTGCACGTTTTACTTGTGTTTAAAGAAAACCATAAAAACTGCCAAGAAAGGTATGAATAAATTAAGGAATAAGATAACAAATAATGGCATACACAACAACCAGGTTAAGAAACAGAACACTACCAGTACCTTAAAAGCTCTCTTTGTTCCCTAGACGCAACCATTAGGCTGGCTTTTATGAGAATTAGTCTCTTGCTTTTCTTTGCGGTTTTGCCAATCTGTATTATAAACCAAGAAGTATCTGAGACAGGTCTCAATCAATTTAGAGTTTTATTTTGCCAAGGTTAAGGACTATGACCTGTGACACAACCTCAAGAGGTCCTTCCTGACAATATGTGCCAAAGGTGGCTGGGTTGCAGCTTGGTTTTATACATTTTAGGGATACAGAAGTTACAGGCAAAGACATAAATCAATGCATGGAAAGTATACTTGGCTCAGCCTGGAAAAGTGGGATATCTTGAAGCAGTGGGGGAGTTGGGTGGCGGGGGGATTTCCAAGTCATTGGTGCATTCAAAGATTTCCTAATTAGCAATTGGTCGAAAGAGTTTAGCTCTGCCTAAAGAGTTGAAGTCAGCATAAAGAAATATTGAGTTAAGATAAAAGGAGAGGTTGTGGAAGCCAAGGTTCTTATCATGTAGATAGAGCCTTGAGGTAGCAGGCTTCAGAGAAAATGTCTCTTATCAGGCCTTAAATGGTGTCAGACTCTGCATAAAAGACATAGTAAGGGAAGGAGATTCTCTATAGAATGCACATTTCCCCCACAAGAGACAGCTTTGCAGGGCTATTTCAATATATGTCAAAGAAGTATATTTGGCAGTAAAGTGACTTCCCTCAAGGCCTGCTATTTGTCATGTGATGCTATACCAGAGTCAGGTTGGAATCTGGTATCTTATTGCTATCAAGAGCCTGCTTCGTCAGTCTCAAGATCTCTGTTTTAATGTTAATGCTGGTTAGATGTTTCTAAACTCCAAAGGGAGGAGTATACAGTGAGACATGTCTGACTCCTTCCCATTATGGCCTGAACTTGTTTGTCAGGTTTCTTTGGGATCCCGTTGGCCAAAAAGGGGTCCATTCAGTCGATTGGGGAGCTTCGAATTTTATTTTTGGTTTGCAGTATGTATTCTTAAATAACATCTTGTTTAGTTTGGCCTTTTAAAATATTTTTTAAAAATAGAATCAAGGTGTAGGGTTTTTTGTGTGTGACTTGCTTCTTTCATTCAACATTATGTTGATGTATTTAGCTCATTCCCTTTTCTTGTAGCATTACATTCCATTTTATGACAATACCTCAATTTACCTCTTCTAACATTGATGGACATTTAGATTTTGTTTTAGTTTAATTCCCCCCACAGTAGATACTAAGACAAAGATCTGCATGCAGGGAGTTTATCTGGAAGGTGATACCTGGAAGCACTGTGAAGGCGTAAGGAAGTGAGACCTGGAAAGAATAAGAACCAATAAAGCATTTATTTATAAGCAGATTACCACAATGAGCAACCAGGCTTATTCCCACTGGGAACTCTGAAAGATAGTGTGAAACACACATGAGACTTATCCACTAAAGGAGAAGGGATCTGGGCTATTTATCCACCATCCTAAATTGGTTGAAAGCCCCCTTTGGGACAGAAATTCTCTTCTACTTAAGGCTTGTCCCAAGTATTCTGCTAAAGACGATGCCCTCAGGCAATCGTCAAGAAATATGTAGGAGGCAATCATCTTGACAGCAGCTGTCTAGGATAGATTAAAGCGATATGGATGGAGCCCTTTTGAGATCTGCTACTGCAACCCGTTGCACCCTTCAGATCCACTCAACCCTCACACTATGTTCACTCTATGTTGTCACTGATTCTTCAAATTTTTAAGGTACAGGTACCTGAAAAAGAGAAGAATAAAAGGCTTAAATGTAGATGGAGTAAGTACACTCCCTACTGCTGTAGTTGGTCCTGAGGCCATCAGTTGATATTCATCATCTCCCACCTTTACCACCCATGGTAGACTTCCCTTGGTCAGAATATCTCTTGGATGCTTCTCTTGGTAGGTGACCCAGTCCTTTATCTTTGAGGGAATTGAGTTTCTGGTTACCTTGCCCTTTTCAAGACTAGGTAGTTGCAATTGCCCATGTGCTATTATCACTGGGCATGGAATCACCAAGAGGTACCCTGGGGAATTCTGAGTTAGAAAAAGTTGCTGACTTTATACTATAGATGCTTCCTGTCAAAGAGCATGGTAATTATCTATTTGGTCTTTAAAAATGTTCTTTATTAGAATTTGATAATTTTATGCATGTAAGGCTCAATACACACACATATACATGTATATCCACACATATCCTAGATTTTGATGTTACTGTGAATATGATTTTCAAGTTATGCTTTTTAATAGTTGGTGGCATATAAAAACTGCTTTTGTGTGTTGATTTAGTTTCCAGAAAATTGGCTAGATTCTCTGGGGTTTTCTAAATGAATAACCACATATATTTATGATTATCCAATTATGATTGTTTTGTTTCTGTACAATTTTAATGTATTTTTTTTCTTTTTTTGTTTTCTTGTACTGAGTAGGACTTCCACCAGAAGATCAGGTAGGAATGGATGATAGTGGGCATCCTCTTCTTGTTCCTGCCAACTTTTTAAACCAACTTTGTACTCCTGGGAGAAACCCAACTTAGCCATAATGTATTATGTCTTTTATATACAACTGGATTGTGTTGGTTAAAATTGGGTTTAAGATTTTTGAAACTACATTCATGAGTGTGACTAGTCTATAATTTTCCTACCATGTGCCAGCCATGTCTTATGTTTGTGTCATGATTATGCCAGCTTTAAAAATTGAGTTGGAGACCGGGTGCAGTGGCTTAAGCCTGTAACCCCAGCACTTTGGGGGGCCAAGGCAGGTGGATGACCTGAGGTCAGGAGTTCAAGACCAGCCTGGCCAACATGGTGAAACCCTGTCTCTACTAAAAATACAAAATTTAGCCAGGCATGGTAGCATGCGCCTGTAGTCCCAGCTACTCTGAAGGCTGAGACGGGAAGAACCACTTGAACCCAGGAAGCAGAGGTTTCAGTGAACCAAGATTGCACCACTGCACTCCAGTCTGGGCCACAGAGCGAGACTCCTTCTCAAAAAAAAAAAAAAAATTGAGTTGGAAATTGAAAAGTGTTTCTTCTTTTTCATTCTCTGAAAAAATTCATATAAAATTGGCCTGAACTATTTCTTGACTATTTCATAAAATCCGGCTTTTTTGTCCTGCCTTTTTCTTTGTGGCAATAATTTGAATGACTGTCTGAATTCCTTTAATAGCTATCAGGCTATCCAACTTCTCTATCTTTTGCTAAATCAGTTTTGGTGAGTTGTATTTTGTGGTAATTCATTCATTACCTCTAAATTTTCAACTTTATTGCCATAAACTTGTGCACAATATCTTATCATTACCTGTTTAATCTCTGTAGTTTCTATAGTTATGCTCCTTTTAAATTCCTAATAATGTTGTCATCTTCTCAATTTTTTTCAATTTTCTCAATTTCTTCAGAGGTTTGTCAATTTTATAAATATCTTAAAGAATCAACTTTTGGCATTGTTAATCCTCCCTATTATTGTATGCTTGGTTTAGCCCTTACTTTATTAATTAAAATATGTTCTTTGTTATTTCCCTTACTTTTCTTCAGATTTTTCTTGCATTCTTGTTCTTGTTCCTCAAGTTGAATTTTTAAAAATTCACTTTAAACTTTTTTTCTAATGAAAGCAATTAAGGGAACAGATTTCGCTCCAATTCCTCAAGCAGCATACATATTCTATTATTGTTTAAGTACAGGTTTGCTTGCCTTCCTTCCTTCCTTCCTTTCTTTCCTTCTTTCTTCTTTTGTGTGTGTGTGTGTGTGTGTGTGTGTGTGTGTGTGTGTGTGTGTGTTTTGGGTCTGGCTCTGTCACCCAGGCTGGAGTGCAGTGGTGCGATCTCTGCAATCTCTGCTTCCTGGGCTCAAGTGATCCTCCCACCTCAGCCTCCTGAGTAGCTTGGATTACAGGTGCACACCATCACATCCAGCTAAATATATATATATATATTTATTTATTTATTTATTTTTTGTAGAAACAGGTTTTCACCATGTTGCCCAGGTGGTCTTGAACTCCTAAGCTTAATGGATCCTTCTACCTTGGCCTCCCAAAGTGCTGGGATTACAGGTGTGAGCCACCACGTCTGGCGTAATTACAAGTATTTTCTATATTTTTAGTTTTGCCATCCACTCATGAGTTGTTTCGATTATTATTATTATTTTATTTATTTATTTATTTGAGGCAGAGTCTCACTCTGTTGGCCAGGCTGGAGTGCAGTGGCATGATCTCGGCTCACTGAAGCCTCCGCTTCCCGGGTTCAAGCAATTCTCCTGCCTCAGTCTCCCGAGTAGCTAGGATTACAGGCATGTGCCACCACACCTGGCTAATTTTTGTATTTTTAGTAGAGACAGGGTTTTCACCATGTTGGCCAGGCTGGTCTCAAACTCCTGACCTCAGGTCATCCACCTGCCTTGGCCTCCCAAAGTGCTGGGATTACAGGCATGAGCCACCGCGCCCAGCCTAGATGATTTTTTTTAAATTTTAATTTTCAAATGAATGAAGTTTCCATGTTATCTTTTAAAATTATTTCTAGCAGGTGAATTGGGGGAGAAGAATGTGATCACACTAATGCTGATTATTTGAAATTTAATGATGCTATTTTATGGCCTATAATGTTATCAATTATTATGAATATTCCATGCTTAAAAAGAATGTTTATTCTTCATTCACTATGGACAATTTATGTTGATATTTCCAAGCTTCTACTTTATTTCTTTACATACATTAAACAGGTTTTTATATGTGCCTGCTATTTCTGAAAGCTGAAGCTTTTGTGGGTCTTGTTCTGCTGTCTGTTGTTTATGCTGGTGCTCACTCATGATGCTTTGTTTATATATGTGTTTTGTGATTTTTGATAATGGATCTGATGCTGGTTTTCTTTGACACTTTGTAGAAACTTTCTGAAGCCTCCTAAGAGAATTTGATTCTATTTTCTGCTGTTGTAGCCAACTGGGGACACCCCAAATACAATTCTCTACTCAAATATTTTTTGACACACAAATTTTATCAATGCAAGCCCAAATGCATATGAATGCCCTCTGGTGGTTATGCGTTTTCAGGGGAGAATTTTTCCCCTTTGTGACACAGCAGAGTTTATTTCATTTTTACCCTTACTCAGTGGTTGTAATTTCATGGAGTATCAGCTTTTTGTAGAGGATATTTTTATTATAATCCTCATCTCAAGCATGCCCTAGCCTGTGTATCCTGCCCCCCATAACCTATGCAGCTGCCAAAATGTAGGTTCAAGGTCTCCAGAGTTCAACAAAAACTATCAGGGCAAAAGCTGTCATTGACACTTATGTCCAGGGATTCATAATTTTTACTTCAAGTCTGGAATTGGCATATTTGTTACTTTGGTGGTAACCTGCTGATCTATTTTTTAAATGCCACTTTATCTTTTTTCGTTTTCAAGTGGCCTTATTGAGATATAAATCACACACATAAAATTTTCCCCTTTAAAGTGTACAGGTTAGTGGTTTTTGGTATTTTTAGAGTTGGACAACCATTACTACTATCCAATTTTAGGGCATTTTCTTCACCCCAAAAAGAAATCTATTCCCATTAGCAGTCATTCTTCACCTCACCCCCTAGCCCTAGGCAATCACTAATTTCCTTTCTGTCTCTATGGATTTGTCTATTTTGGATATTTTCTAAGAATTCAGTCATATATCATGCAGTGTTTTGTGATTGTCAGCTTTCACTGAGTATAATGTTCTCAGGATTCTTCTATGTTATAGCATGTATCCCGTACTTAATTTCTTTTTATTGCCAAATAATACTCCACAATAAGAATGAATCAGCTTTTATTTATCCATTCATCAGCTGATGGACATTGGATTGTCTCTACTTTTGGCTATTATGAATAATGCTGCTTTGAATATTCATGTACAAGTTTTCAAGTGGACAACATATATTTTCATTTCTCTTGGTCATATACTTCAGAACAGAATTGCTGGGTTATAGGATAATGCTGTTTAACTTTTTTTTTCTTTTTTTTGAGACAAGGTCTGGCTCTATCACCCAGGCTGGAGTGCAGTGGCACGATCTTGGCTTACTGCAACCTCTGCCTCCCAGGCTCAAGCCATCCTCCCACCTCAGCCTCCCAAGTAGCTGGGACTACAGGCATGTGCCACCATGCAGGGCTAATTTTTGTATTTTTTTTGTAGAAACAAGGGGTTTTGCCATCTTGCCCCGGCTGGTCTTGAACTTGTGAGCTGAAGCAATCTACTTACCTCGGCCTCCAAAATTGCTGGGATTACAGGCATCAGCCATTGCCCTCAGCCTGTTTAACCTTTTGAAGAACTTCTAGATCTTTTTCCAAGTGGCTGGACCATTTTACATTCCCACTAGCAGTGTATGAGAGTTCCAATTTCTGCACATTTTTGCAAACATTTGTTGTCTGTCTTTTTTATTATAGCCATCCTAGTTAGGTATGAAGTATTATCGCTATCTCATTGTGGTTTTAATTTGCATTTCCCTGATGAATAATTATATTGAGCATCTTTTCTTGTGTCTATTGACCACTTGTATATCTTCTTTGGTAAAAAGCCCATGCAAATGCTTAGGCTGTTTTTAAATTGGATTGTCTTTTTGTAAAATTGTAAGAGTTTTAAAACTATTTTTAGATGCCTCTTATCAGATGTATAGTTTATAAATAGTTTCTCCCATTCTGTGGCCATTTTTCTATTTTCTTGATAGTGGCTTCGAAGCACAAAAATTTTTAATTTTGATGAAGCCCAATTTATCTATTTTTTCTTTTGTTGCTTATGTTTTTGGTGTCATATCTAAGAAACCATTGCCTAATTCAAGCTCATGAAGATTTACACCTATTTTCTTCCACGAGCTTTATAGTTTTAGTTCTTAATTTAGATCTATGAACCATTTTGAGTTAACTTTTGTATGCAGTGTAAGGTAGGGGTCCAACTTCATTCTTCTGCATGTGGATATCCAGCTGTCTCAGTACTATTTTTGAAAATACTGTCCTCTCCCCATCCCCACCAATTGTCCTGGTACCTTGTCAAAACTCAAGTGACCATAAATGTGAAGAACAGACATACAGATCCATGGAATAGAATTGAGAGTCTATTCCATGGATCTGTATGTCTATACTTATGCCAGTACCATAAAATCTTTATTTCTGTAGCTTTTTAGTAACTTTTGAAATTCCCATTTTATTTTTAAATCTAGTATTGGGACTTTCAGGGTATTTCATCTGCATCCTGCAATAACTCTAAATCAAAAACTATTTATTCATTTATTTACAGTAGAATGCCATTAGTGGTCATTCCAAATAACTGAGCTTTTTTCATTTCTAACGATCTATGTCCGGTATAAAAAGACATTTAAAATAAACAATATAACAACCATGTAGTCCCCATCCAGCTAAGAAAATAACATAACACAATTATAATAAAGATCTCTGTGTACAATTTCCCAATCACATTTCTTATAATCCATTTATTCAAAGATGATCAGCATCTTAAATTTATGTTTACCATTCCCATGCATATCTTTATAGCGTTACTGTCATTTCCAACCACCTGCTCTACTATATATCCTCTCCTATAGAGGCTATACTTTAAATACTTGATGCCCAGCCTCTCTTGAATATCTGAAAAGCCATAAAACACAGTCAGAGCTAATGAGGTATAGTTAAAAGTCTCTAGCTTGGGTGATCTTTCCGAAATGAAAACGTAAAGACTTGCTATAGGCAATATTTTTGCCCTTCATATTGTTTTCCTTTCCACTTTTTTTTAGCTTGGAACATAGACAGGAGGCTGAGGTAATGAGTCTTGTCATCATTGGTGACAAGAATGAGGAAGAAGGCTTTTATGCATACCCATGGCAGAGATGAAAGGTGAAAATAGCCTGAGTACCTGATAGCACTGTTAGACCCTTGTTCCTGGTCAGGATTGCCCACCCAGACCCCTTGTTCCACAAGACAAATACTATGTTTCATCACATTCATACCATCGATTATAAGACACATCATTATTCCATATACCACTAAGAAAAGAAAATGCTATTATACAATAATATAATATTTTCTCTTCACATCAATTGTAAATGATTACCTAATTTTACAAATAAAAAATATGAAAAACTTGTGTTCTTAGAGCCCATGAAATATTTTAAAAACCCTTCTCTGTTTAAACCACCATCAGGTGGGATTTCAAATACCTGCGATGAACAGTTTCCTAATTGATACCATTCTGTAATAAACGGACAAATTTAGATTAAGTTAATGTATTTGAAAACAGAGAATGAGGAAAATCAGGCTTTCCTGAGAAAGCTGCAGGCTTGTTATATCAGACCTGGGCCAATGTATTGGCAGATGTATTCCTTTCCCTTTTTCTGTTCTGATCTATAATGCCCTCCTTCAGACTACGTTCCAGCTGAGTTCAGCAAATGAGATACATTTCCTGGAGAGTGAGAGAAGATGAGTGAGGGTGGGGATTGTATTCCTTCTCCTCCCTCTCTGTCGTAAGTGATGTTTCCATTAACAGCTGAAACTTCTCCCTGGATCTGGCTCCTACCAGACAGGCCAGCCAATGTTGCAGCATCTGCTTAGTGATCCTGGCTCCTTGTATTTTTGCCCTTGCATCCTAGAAGCTGTAGTGGCTTCTTGCTTTTGTTCATCTCTAAATGGTTCTCACCTTTCTCTATTTGGCATCTCTGCTGTCTATCACCTGTGCAACCAATTCCTTGCATTAAAATCTCCCTGACACATGAAATATTTGAATTGGTTTTCATTTCTCTAATTAGAAATCAGTTGAGACTTTTTAAAGAATGTTGAATTCTCAATCCTAAGCTAAAGTTATTGTATACTAAGTCAGAGAGATAGGGATGTTAGCAGGAGATATGACTGGGACCAGAGAGAATTCTGATTCTCTAGGCCCCTCCCAAGCACCTTATATAATATACTCTCTGAGGAAAGAGACAATTATTCTCAATGTAAAATGCAACTGGCATGCATCCTGAGGACAGAAGAAAGTTTTTATGTCTCTTCTCCCCCAAGCTGTTGATTCAAAAGCTCAAGGGCAAAATAATTTTTACTCTTAAGATGTTATCTATACATTTTAGTTTCTCTTCCAAGTAGAACTCATCCTTACCATTATCCTCTTCTCTTTCCACACTGAATGTTTATTGTATACACTGGAGGTGAATAAACATCTTTTGGGCTTAGGTTGCTGGTCTGTCTTCACTTGGCAAAAGAGTTTACCTCACCTAGCTGTGCTGGTCTAAGAGGTGAATGCAGCAAACAGATGAGATTTAGATTGTCTCTCTATAGGAAGAAGGTGAGTGTGTTTGGATTATTAGTGAGATTTTGTAATTTAAGATATGGGGAATACAGTGTGTATGAAAAAAAGGGCAGCCAGAAAAAGGTAGTAAATATTTGTGAGGTTTTTTTTTTTTTACATCGGTTTCTTGTATTTATTTATTTTTTTCCCTGACAATAACAACCTGATTTTCCTTTGAGAAATTACCCCTTTCTCACCCTCAGCCCATTTGGTTTCGGTGGTATTAATACTACTTCTGCCTACAGGGATAGACATTTGATTCAGGCCTGGCCAATCAGTACACTGTACCTCCTTGGCCAAAGTGATTGTTCAGGGATGGGCACACACCCTAATTAAAGTCTATGAGACACACAGTTAGGTCTTTTGAAAGGAAAACATTCACTCTGTTTATGCTGAACATGGACTTATGAGGATGTTAAATCTGGAGGTTGTCAACCACTTTGCCAATATAAGAGAAGGGCATGCCCAAGGATGGAGACAAGACACAGGGAAGCAAAGGCGAGAGACATAAAGGAACCAATTCTTGACATTGTTGAGCTGCTGTATACAGCCATACCTAAACTAAATATCTCCCAGAAGTTTTAGTTATGTTAAGCAGTACATTCTTTTTTCTAAGCCTGTTGGAGACATGTTTTCTTTCCATCCTTTCTCCCATCCTTCTATCCTCTTTTTGCTGAAAGAACCCCAAAAGAAGTTTCTATATATGTATGCAGTATTGTATATATTATTTTCTCTTTCCTACCCTTCCTCCTTCCCTTTTGCTGAAAGAATCCTAAGTATTGTAGAAAGCATTTGTATATTCTTGCACATCCTAGAGCTGAAGATGACTTACATTTGATAAAAGGGAATTTAAGATGCTATTTATGTAAACAAACAGAAGCTCTCTATTTATATTATTGCATGCAGATCAGCATTTTGGTTTTAAAAACCTAAGCAACAGCATTTTGATTTTAAAAATCTAAGGTCAATATGTTTTCTTAATTCTCATGGTACAAGGTTTTAGTTATTTTATTGCTGCCAATGAAGCTGATCCTAGGACACTCCTGGTACTTCATCTATGATATTTGGCTCTGTGTCCCTACCCAAATCTCATCTCAAATAGTAATCTCCATGTGTTGAGAGGGACCTGGTGGGAGGTGATTGGATCATGGGGTGGTTCCGCCATGCTGTTCTTGTGATAGTGCAGGAGTTCACATGAGATCTGATGGTTTAAAAATGGCAATTTCCACTGTGCATTTTCTCTCCTGCCATCACATAAGACGTATCTGCTTCCCCATTTGCCTTCCACCATGATCGTAAGTTTCCTGAGGCCTCCCAGCCATACAGCACTGTGAGTCAATTAAGCCTCTTTTCTTTATAAATTACCCAGTCTCAGGTAGTATCTTTATAGCAGCACGAGAACAGGAACTTAAGGATATTAGAAGCTGTTACACTGCCATTTACAAATCACAGAAGTTCATTAATATATACCCAATGGAGTATATTACTCAAAGTACTGATTTTCTCCTAAAATAAAATTTCTTTATTTTAGAAAGGATGCTAATGAGTCTTTTTTTGGCTAATTTTCTACTTAGTTTTGGAAGAAAATCTAACACAGGGTTTTAGAGTTGAAAGGGAATAGTGTTATTTCAGCCCCAAACCCTTTTTTTTGGGGTGCAAAAACAGTCACAGAAATGTAAAAGAGAAATTGTGGATAAAATGGTTAACAATTTGAACAGCCTTTGGCAACTAAAGGTTGGGAAGGAGCTGAGCTTTTCTCTCTTTCGTACTTACTTTTCCACTCTCAGTTCTACTTCCATGGCTACACAATGGGGTTCATAGATAATTTTGTAATTACACATTTTTCTCTTAATCTGTATATACATTATTTATTTTTTTAAAATGTGGATTTTATTTCCTATCTGACCTTCCAGGCTCATTAGAATAGGGACTATATAAAAATGTGAATTTCAGGCTGGGTGCAATGGCTCATGCCTGTAATCCCAACACTTTGGGAGGCCAAGGGGGGTAGATCATGAGGTCAGGAGATCGAGACCATCCTGGCTAACACGGTGAAACCCCATCTCTACTAAGAATACAAAAAATTAGCCGGGTGTGGTGGCGGGTGCCTGTGGTCCCAGCTACTTGGGAGGCTGAGGCAGGAGAATGGCATGAAACTGGGAGATGGAGCTTGCAGTGAGCAGAGATCACGCCACTGCACTCCAGACTGGGCGACAGAGCTAGACTCCATCTCAAAAAAAAAATTTTCAATTTCATTATAATTTCATTATTGGTTTATTAATAATGCTAATAACAAAGACAATGTCACATACTTTTTTAGTAGAGGGGAAAGGGATAATGAGAGCTTAACAACATATTTAGACAGCAGTGCAGGAGAATTTGGAATGGTTCTTCTTGCCTCCTCTAAAGACCCATCTTACTCTCAACCTCCTTGACTCTCAAGAAGGGCTGTGTAAATATGTCCAGTCGGGCTGTGTTTACCTAGCCTGTGTTCACTAGCCGGTCTGACCAAATGCCACACAGCAGGCCAGGCAAATGCCCACAGTGCCTGCGAATTAGGTTGTATTTCCCTAGTATTTAGTAGATGCCATGCATATAGAATGTTAATACAAACTTTTTAAGTCAACTAAAGAACACTGTGACAAGTCAACATTTCACTCGTTCAGAAGCTTCCGAGAGACTAAACTTGCCTTTAAGTACCCATTATTATGAATAGTTTTCAGAACTTTGTATAATGAAGCAACAATATTGTTGATAACTGAAAGTATGATTTCATACAGGATAACGATTTCTGAATTTTTTTTTTTTTTTTTTTGAGATGGAGTCTCGCTCTGTTGCCAGGCTGGAGTGCAGTGGCGCAATCTGGGCTCACTGCAACCTCCGCCTCCCGGGTTCAAGTGATTTTCCTGCCTCAGCCTCTCGAGGAGCTGGGACTACAGGCTCCCACCACCACACCTGGCTAATTCTTTGTATTTTTAGTAGAGATGAGGTTTCACCATGTTGATCAGGATGGTCTCGATCTCTTGACCTCGTTATCCACCCGCCTTGGCCTCCCAAAATGCTGGGATTACAGGCGTGAGCCATCACGCCTGGCCTACTTCTGAATTTTTTTAAACAGTTTTTTACACATGAAATTATACGCAATACAACATACTTGTTTTACAAGTTGAAATCTTTACCGTTATGGTACGTTTACAGTAATGCAGGTAACATTAGCGCATTCACTTAGAGCAGAGTTATTTATCTTCATAGGGCTTAATACAAAGCCAAGACCGAATTACTTGCTTAAACTGCTTTCTAGTCTTTGACTTAAAACAAAAAAGAAAAATTGCTTCTACCTCCTCTCTATGTCAGGATGATAAACAATGCCAACAATTAAGTGGTCTGGTATTTCTAAAAATGGCAGATTGTATTCCAATAGCTCTTAAGTTGTAAATCTTAAGGTTTTAGCTAAATATGTCTATCAAATTGTCATTATCTCTGCTTTCAGGAAAATTATGTCACCTTTGGTAATAGGCTGCTAACAAACAAACTACAGACTACACATCATGTTTTCCCAAAGAATCCTGTATTTTAATGAATAGCTGAATAAATAGACATTAATTATGAAATTCACATTAAGATAGAAGAAAATCCAAACATTCTGATTGCTTTATCTCTTAAATTTGATAACTACTACAAAACATACTATTTATGTTAGGGTAAAAATAAGCTGACTCACAGGAGTGTAACTGGGAAGTGCTGGCAGATATATACAGTAACATGGAGGAGCCATACAACAAAAGCGTTTATATGTACATCATTTTTTTTCTTTTTGTATGGAGAAATGCTGCCTTATAAAATCGGAAAACACACAGTAGACTACATGCAACAAGGACCAATACAATGTGCACAGCAGAAGAATCAAATAAGACACAAGAACTATGGGTTTAAAAAAGAATTTGGGAGCAGGACAAAAAACAAGGATTGAAACCTGGAATGCTTTCTTATTGAGGTTTCAGAATATAAATTTGTCTAACAAGCCTCTTGATAGTTTTCAAAAGTTCCCACTCAACCACCTATGGTTTAAGTGTAGAGCTAAAAATAAACCATCATATTATACAAAACTTTGCATATTAGCATACAAAAGGTAGCAATTTACTTTTTGTATAAAATATAACCTTTTGATAGTATATTTATTTCACATATGTATAAATATAACCCAAAGAATATGTTTGAAGTATTTCTACCAAAATATTCTTTACAAAAGTTTACAAAACAAGTAATTTATTTATATTTACAAACTAGCACAGGGAAGATTCTGGGCCAGTGATGTTGGTATTGTAAAGAAGGAGAGTGCTTCCAGACATTTTAAAGACTGGGAGACAGCTTTGCAGAATTTTCAAAGTGTGTTCTTTTTCTTTGAACAGATATTGAAAGACTTGATTATTAAATAACTTCAGCTAAATTACATTTGATATTTGAATATGTGAGCATAGAACTGAAAGGGCTGAAGATAACCTTTGCTCCTCTGTAATTAGGAAAATGATAGTGATATTTTGCATTCATTCCAAATCAGCACACGTCTTCCCCATTTTACAGCTGATCTGGATGTGGACACTAAGGTTAAATGACTCAACAAAAACTCTTTAATACAGTGCTCAGCCCTGAGGGACAAAACCTGGATATGAAGAGTCCATCTAGCATGTGGCAATGATTCATCACATCAGGGACAAAAGAACAAACAGAATGCTCCTAACAGACCACATTCCATTTTGTTGCTCACCCAAATCCAAATAATACGTCCAATGAAGGACAAATTGTTTTCCCTCTTGATTATGCGTTCCTTCAAACTCCGTGAAATACATTTGTACACACTGGTACTTGCCATCCCTGGTTCTTATCTCCAACCAAAACATGATATTTTCTAATCTCGGTTTTCTTCTCCAAACTTCCTTTTCTTATAAACCAGCCTCAGTCATCAAAATGAGTAGGGAGGACGAGGTTCAATTTCACTCAGCTTGGGAACAAACCAGCAGGCATCAATCATAATAAGCAACATCCCAGGTTATTTGTAGCCAAATAAATCTTATTTATAGCAATGTCCACTGGGTTTTTTAAAAAAGTGAAATCTAATGCAGAGAGGTGTGCACCAATATTTCAGTATGATTAGGACAAGTCTTTGTTATATCTAAAATTTCATTTGGAATGGATTCAGATATTCGTTGTGGAAGCCAAAATCAAATTGCACAGCTCTATATTTTTGTTTAATCACTAGACACAGCATCCCACTGAAGTAGAGGATTGTGGGAAAATTGTAAAAGTGAGGAGTGAATATGGGGAAGAAATTCTGTAATCCACTGGATGTTTTCTAGGTTCTCTGGCTTTTTCTTAATTTGCATACTGTTTGGTTACTCCAAACAAACCTATAACATTTCAATCTATCCTGCAAGCTTCAGGAAAATTAAATGAAAAGACACAATGGAAAGATTAAACCATACCTATCTATTAGAGCAAATTAAGGAGTTTGTTGCTTGGAACTAGTACCTCCTCATGACATGGGGTTTAAATAAACTACAAGTTCTATTACCTTTTTTATTTTCCAGGGAAAAAGAAACTTGGGAAGGCTATTTTACACAATTAATTACACATTGACACCACAGTTCTGTTTGGATAAATTGGATACTGTATCCTGGAGTTTAGACAGGGAAAAGTGATCCCAATATTTTACTTTCAGGTGTAAGATTTAAAACAAGAATTTGGACCAAAATGTTCATCACTGCAGTTACTTTCTGCTTTCCATTTTTAAGCATGTTATCTTCATGTAGTCCACCTGAACATCAACAGTTCAGCCTCTACAGAGTTTCTGTAATATACTGCCTTTTAGTGCTTGGAGTTTGTAAATTGTCTTCCCTTTCTTCTTTAGGAATTGTTCCCCAAGATTTCATCAAGATTGATGTCTTTCATCCAGTCATCATTACCAGGCTCTGTCTTCAATAAAGAATCAATGAAATCAGCATCACTGTTTAGGGCAGGGCCCATGTTATCATTTTGTTGGCTGAGGAAGTCAAAAGCTAAGTCACTGCTGTGGTCAGTTCCTTGAAAAGCCCTGGAACTTTGGTTGGGTGAAGGAAAATTGCTGGGCGTCAGGGATGGTGGCTGGTTGATGCCCGTCCTCGACTGATTCAACCCTGTTCCTGACTGATTCAAATTAGGCAAAATCTGTGTGCTTAGCTGATTGGGTCTGAGATTCAGACCCCTGAGGGGACCCATGGTTTGCCCATTTAGTGTTTGGCTCATTTGGTTCATGGGTCTCATTTGCACTGCTGGTGTTAACTGGTTAGGAGGAGCCACTGCCCTCTGGGAAAATTGCTGGCTACCTACTGCCTGTTGCAGTGACTGATTTGGGGTATAGGCTGCAGGTGTACCTGTGGGGAAGCGGACTCCTGCAGACGTCAGGGCTTCTTGCTGTTTGCTTGTTCCTTCTTGAGAGGCCCAGTTTGGTGCAGTTGTGTTGGATGTGATCATTACGTTTGATGTTCTCTGTGGTGGCATGCTTGCCATACTATGGGTTAAATTTGGTCTCAATTGTTGTGAATTACCAACAGATCCAGCTCCAAAAGTGGCTACATTGTTATTATTACTTGGCCCTAAGGTAGGTGGCCGTGGCATCATAGGGTTGTTTTGATTTGCTAACAATTGCTTTGGGTTTCTCTGTTGGGTCAATTGATTCATTCCTGAAGTGACACTGTATGTGTTAGGTTGATTACAAGGCAGATTTCCATACATCCCCATATTCTGAACTGCTGTAGATAATGATGGCATTCTTGTCCCGTGAGAAGTAGACAGGAGGCTGGAATTGGGAGTTAAAATGGTGTGTGTTGAAACTGGGTTTGCCAAAGCCTGGTTAGAGTTTAAGCTTATTGTGGATGAGCCACCTGAGAAAAAGAAGAGAATTTTATTAGTTCGTAGCAGCATGTTATCTCCTCTGTAACTGCACTTTTCAATAACTCATCAATCTGAAACTGCTTTCAGGTGTAAGACAATTTAGGCGAAATAATGATCAAATAAATTATATAAAAGGAACAAGACAGCTCTTAGGAGGAAGGAGCACCTGAGGTCACTTTTTGGTTCAGAAGTTTACATATTACAAAAAGAAGACTAAAATAGAATAGTTCTATCTTGTAGGTTTTATTTTATTCCTCTTCTGAAGTCATTGAAGGGAGGTAATAGTCAATCTTCCATTTTGAATTAGCTTTACTATGTTCCAAGTCCAGAGACTACAGTCTTGATTAGTCAGCTCTCATGAAATCCATGTTACTGTTTACCCCAGGTCCAAATGAGAAAGTGTGGATGAATGCTACACACGGCTCCTAGATTAATATTCCCAAACTATGGCCTTGAAAATCATGTCCCATTCTTTGAATCATCCCCATTCAAGAAGCTACCCCAGTGACTCCCCAGTGTTCAAAGGGTAAATCTCCATCTCTTTAAACATCTGGAATTCAGTGCTCTAGAAATTATCTCATAAAGAAATTCTTCAGTTCCAGGAGGTGTAGTTACTATCAAATTGTTACTCAATGCACTGTGAGCCACCTTTGCTTATGGGATTTCCCTTCCTCACTGAGCCCTATATTTTCCTCAAGGTTCAGGCTAAGGCCGAAGCTCCTCCATTAAACTTTCTTTTATCTTCCAGCCTCCTCTCTCCAGCAGTATTTGCCCTTCGAATCTTTCATTTAACACTTAGTATTGGGCAATCTGTGGAGTCTCAAAGTGCCTGCCAGTTAAACTGATGCCTGTCAATAACTGATAGGATATTGACAGAGACCCAGGAGGCAGACAAGGGTCTCCCCCACGCCTTCAAACCTAACACAGCCTGAAGGCTGAAAAACTGGACTGCTGGTCCTGGATGAAGACCGCTTCCGACTGACTCTTTCTGAATAATGCCCACCTGTGCACTGGGAAGACAGGGTGGAGCCTTGGGAAGTTCGTGCCATTTGCAGCAGTGAGGAGCCTGGCCTCTCCTGTTCCTGTGTGGTGACCTGGAATTCAATCTGTGAGGTGGGAAACCTGCTAGCAGGACTCTCTCTCACTTTGCTGAGAGTTATTTTTCCTTTTTGCCGAATAAATTCCATTTTTCCTCATCCTTCCATGTGTCCACGAACCTAATCTTTCCTTGCCATGTGACGAGAGCCTGGTTTTAGCTGAACTAAGGAGAAAGTTCTGCAACAATATGGAACAAGTGCCTAAGCCACAGGCTGTGTAATAAGAGGCTCCACACAACAGATAGTGACTAATCAACATATTGAAATCTTCTTGACTTCTGGAGGTTAAAGTCATCACGAGGAAATATTTTTGGAGGCAAAGATGATCAGGGAGGCCCAGAGAGTCAGAGATTCTGAGAAATACAGAGCTAAATACACATAAGAATATCACAATGTCAGTGGATGGGGAGAGCATGTCTGCAATTGTAAACGTGGGCTATCCCCTGCTGCTTAAGGATACGTAGGTGGTATACATCCTGAAAAACTGAGGGCCAAATGAACACAGTAGCTTTGCTATTTATTTATAAATATGCCCCCAACTAGACTACATACCCCTTGAAGGCAAGAACAGTCTCTTGTATCTCCTTGTATCTGTGTAGTGCATTGTGTAGTGGGCAGTGTTTGATGAAGAGACATAACAGCCAGGTAGGAGACACTTGAACAATAACTGAGATGACATACAATGCCAGTAAGATTCAGCAATATCATCTTTGTATCTGAAAGTTTCATATCAAGGGAATTTATATTATGAAAATGCTGTGGAAAAAAATGTAGAGGTTTTAAAAATTATCACCTGTAGTCGCCCTGTATTTTAATGATATGGCCTGAGAAGGTTTATAAGGAAAACAATCTTTTTAAACAACCAGAATAGAGAGAATTTCCACAAAGATCACAAAATAGTAACAGTTAATGTTTAAAAGCTCCTAACAGGTGACAGAGACTGTTCCAGGTGCTTTTCATACTCCATTTTTAATATCAAAATCTGGGAAAGGTAATCATTATTGTACCAAGATTAAAATAAAAAATGATTTTAAAAAGAGTTTGTATTGCGTTTTGTTGCTTATTTCATCATCAGAAGACATGGGAAACGCAATGCTCTAGAATAATGATTCTGACCCACTTGAGTGTCAGCAGTTGGATGCTAAGGATTTCTCCCTTAGAAAAACACCAATATTCACTGTGGAAGAGACTGCTAGGTGCCTACCCAATATCCAACCTCTCTATATTCCTTCGAAACAGAGCTTTGGTTTTAGAAACAGAGCCTTCTTTAGAAACAGAGCAATGTGCTCAGCTGAAAAACCACATTCCCCAAACTTCCTTGTCGATGGGGTGGGCGGGAGGGTCCAGGTGAATATGTTCTGGCTAAGGGAATCAGATTTCTTTTCTTTCCTCTTCCTACCTGGAATACAGGTATGAGACTAGTGATGTGGTAGCTACCAGGCAGCCCTTAGGATAGAAGCCACATGCTGAAAGAGATGGAGTGGAAAGATAAAAGATGCTTGAAATCCAGCAAGCCAGCCCTAGACTACTGTGCCTGGGATCCTTTTATGTGAGTAGGAAAAGAAAAACCTCAATATCCACCTTGAATTGTGTATAGTATTCCAAAGGGCGCCCAGCTTTTTCAAAGCTCGCTCATAGGCCATGGTATTAAAAAACCATGTTTTAAGTACAGTATGCACTGCATAACAATGTTTGGTCAATGAAGGACTGCATGTATGACAGTGGTCCCATAAGATTATAGTGGAGCTGAAAAATTCCTATGGCTGTATTTTAGAGGACACTCTAAAATAATTATTAAATGCATTCGCTCACCACTCACTGACACCCAGTGTGACTTTCAGTCCTGTAAGCTCCATTCATGGTGAGTGCCCTACACATATGTAACATTTTTTATCTTCCTTTATCATATATAAAAAGCATAGTAAATGTTTTTACTATGCTTTCAATAATTATTTTGGAGTGTACTCCTTCTACTTATACAAAAAGTTAACTGTAAAACAGCCTCAGGCAGGTCTTTCAGGAGATATTCCAGAAGAAGGCATTGTTATCATAGGAGGTGACAGCTCCATGTGTGTTATTGTTCCTGAACACCTTCCAGTGGGTCAAGATGTGGTGGATGACAGTGATATTGATGATCCTGACCCTGTGCAGGCCTAGGCTAATGTGTGTTTGTGTGTGTTTGTGTCTTAGTTTAAAAAATAAAAACAAAAAATTTTTAAAAAATTTTAAGTGAAATAAGCCAGGCACAGAACCATACGTTCTCATCCATATGTGTAAGCTAAGTTGCTCTCATAGAAGTAGAGAATAGAATTGCGGTTTCTAGAGGTGGGGAGGATGTGGGGAGAAAAAGCTAGACAGAAGATGGTTAATGGATACAAAATTACAGCTAGATAGGAGGAATAAGTCCTGGTGTTTTGTAGCACTCTAGGATGACTATAGTTAAGGATAATTTATACTATGTTTTCAAATACCAAGAAGAGGATTTTGAACGTTCCCAACACAAAGAAATGATAAATGTTTGATGTGATGGTTATGCTAACAACACTGATCTGGTCATTACACACTGTTTACATACATCAAAATATCCTACTGTACCCCATATATATGAACAATTATATGTCAATTAAAAATAATTTAAAAATTGTAAGAAAATAGAAAAAAAGCTTCTAGAATAAGGATATAGAGAAGAAATATTTTTGTACAGCTGTACAATGTGATTGTATTTTAAGCTGTGTTATCACAAAAGTCAAAAGTTTAAACAATTTAAAAGTTGTAAAGCAAAGCAAAAAAATTAATGTAAAAGTTAATTTATTATTAAAGAAAGAAATTTTTAAAAATAAGTTTAGTGCAGCCTAAGTGTACAGTGTTTATAAGGTCCACAGTAGTGTACAGTGATGTCCTAGGCCTTTGCATTCACACGCCACTCACTCACTGACACCCAGTGCAACTTCCAGTCCTGCAAGCTCCATTCACGGTAAGGGCCCTATACAAATGTACCATTTTGTATCTTTTTAATTATATTTTACTGTACCTTTTCTATGTTTAGATACACACAAACTTACCATTGTGTTATAACTGCCTACAGTAGTCATCACACTAACATGCTGTATAGGTTTGTAGCCTAGAAGCAATCAGCTATATCATATAGCCTAGGTGTGTAGTGGGCTAGATCATCTAGGTTTGTATAAGTACACTTTATGATGTTTGCACAATGAAATTACCTAACAACGCAATTCTCAGAACATACCCCCAACATTAACCAACACATGGCTGGAAACTGCATCTTATCTTTCAGCCTCCTTGAGACAATCAACTAGAGAATCCTGTTTTTGCTCTGAGGCGAAGTAATCTTAGAGAGTGGAAAACATACATCCCATTCCTAATGTTACTTGTTGTCTTTAGAGACAGTGTCTCAATATGTTGCCCAGGCTGGCCTCGAACTTTTGGGCTCAAGCAATCCTCCCACCTCTGCCTCCAGAATAGCTGGGACTACAGGCACGTGCGACTGAGCCCAGCTCCATTCTCAATTTTAGTTGAAAGAGGCAACCTGTTGTATTTGAGGGGGTTTAAATAAGTCAGGACAACATATTTAAAAGTACACTTAACAGTACCAGGAAGTATTTATAAAATAGGGGTGTTCACAGCCTTTCTTTCTTTAGAGAATCTTCTTTATGGCTTCCTGGACAGATGAAGGTAACAGGTAAGGCAGAGAGAACTTAGGAAACCCAAGAGCGTAAACTTAACTTACATCAAAAAGTGCAGAGCATTTTAGACAGTTTTGGGCAGAAGCGTATTGAATAGTTGCTGAATAGGAGAAGGCAGAGCAATATAGGCTGGGTTTGGGAAAGGTTCTTTTGGAGTTTCATGAGCGGGAGGAGAGAGAATTTGGGGGACTTTTGTACTTACCATTTATTTTATACTGAGAGAGCTATTAAGAAGATTTGCTTTGTGATTTAAATGGAGTTCACCTTTGGTGTTTTTGAGAGACTTCGTGAAAACTAAATCTGCTTTTCAAGTATTCCTTGGTGGCAGGACCATTTGTCTTTGAAGGGGAAACCTTGGAGATGGGCTCAATGGTGGATACAAAAAGACTAGGATTTGTGAAAGTTACACATGTGCCTGTCTAAGAGGGAGAAATGTCTGCTTACCTTCTACTACCTGGGTTAAGGTATATCTTTGGAAGGAGAATGATTGAACCTAACAGAAAAATATTTAGCTCTTTTGAATTCTCAGAGGTAGTCCAGAGAGTGGTGAAATATGTGAGTACAGGGCATGACTAAGCAAAAACTGATGAAAGGACTAAAAAATATTTAACTGTAGTCTTGGCATGAAAGTCAAATGGGAGTTAGAAATTCTAAGAAAGATATTATAATCATATGTGAGTTACAGGGATTATTGAAAATTGAAGTTTTTTTTTCCTTTCACAGCTATAATTTTTATTAATTTTTAAGAACACTTACCAGAATACTGAGCAGTTGGTTGCATATTGCCCACATTTCTTCTTTGGTCTTTATAATCTGGAGGTGGCCTTGACAAATGTCGGTTTATCTGATCTTGTGGAGCAATTTTCTCCTTGAGAAATGATATGAAAGCATATTATGTTGCATCATTCCCTTTTCACTTGTGAAAATACATGTAAAATTTTGTAAAATTTCAGAAAATATAAGAACAATTTTGCAATCATGGGTTACAAATCATGACCTTATTTTGTAGTCTTAATTCAGAGACAAATCTTTTCAATTTCAATAAACTTCCTGTATGGAAGTATAATTTCTACTTTTCCATAACAGTCAACATGTGTTTTGGTTCTAGTAACTACTCCTATTTTCTTTATTTTGCAATTCAATTTCAATGAGAACTAAATTTCTGTGATTTTTCAAGATGCTAATTTCTAATTTTGTCTAAAAACAGACACAAACAAGGTCACTGTGCAACCTCCAAAACACCAAACACCCCCCTCTCTTGTTAAATGAGTGATAGCTACTTCTTTATTCAATGAGAATAGCACATCTGATATGCTTTGGCAGGTACCTACGTAGAATTCTGGTCCCACACAGTGGGGAAAGCATAGGAGGTAGGGTTTTCAGATAAAATACAGAACATGTAGGTATTCTGTATTCTTATTTGTTTTTGTTTGTTTGTTTGTTTGTTTGAGATGGAGTCTTGCTCTGTCACCCAGAGTGGAGTGCAGTGGTGTGATCTCGGCTTACTGCAACCTCTGCCTCCCTGGTTCAAGTGATTCTCCTCCTCCTGAGCCCCTGGGATTACAGGTGCCCGCCATCACGCCCAGCAAATTTTTGTATTTTTTTTTAATAGAGATGGGCTTTTACCATATTGGCCAGGCTGGTCTCGAACTCCTGACCTCATGATCCACCCAGCTCAGCCTCCCAGAGTGCTGGGATTACAGGCATGAACAACCGCGCCCAGCTCTGTATTCTTATTTGTTAAATCTGATGACCCTAGGTAGGAGGAGATGTCAGGAGATAACCAACAGGTACCGATATAGGCACTATATGAATTTTATCTCTTTTTTACCTTCGCATAAACAATTCTTAAAGGTAGGTATGATTATTTCCACCTAAAAAATAAGGAAATTAAAGCCTTGTTAGGCTAAGTAACTTGCTCAAGGTCACACAGTGGTAGAACTGAGACCAAATCCTGAGTCCAAAACTCAGGCTCTTTCCTGACACACAATACGAGGCCCCTTGCTACTCTGTTTCTCAGCTCCCCATTCTAAAAGCACAGGTTTGCTGTCCTCCCTTCATTTCTTCCTTTTGGAATCAGCCTTTTGATCTTTAGAATAGGTGACTTTGGAAGCTAAGAGAAAAAAAAAGAGACATTCTTTTAATATGTCAATATCCTCAGTCAAAGACCACTAGGAACACAGCTGTTGGCTTTATTACTTGTTGCAGCAAGGGAGAACACACATCATGAGGGGTCACAGGGTGTCTCAGTAGGAGAATGTTAGAAAGAATCTGTCCTGAGATTTGGACTTTGAGTGATTTCGGAAGAGTCTAAGGAAATGGGGCTTTGTTCTAGATTGGAAGCTGTCACAAAGTAAAGTCAATTCTAACTGAATAAAGAAGTAGCTATCACTCATTTAACAACAGAGGGGGGTGTTTGGTGTTTTGGAGGTTGCACAGTGACCTTGTTTGTGTCTGTTTTTAGACAAAATTATGAAGTGTTATTTTGTCTCATTTTATCATGGTCTCAGAGTAACCCTGTCTGAGGTTGACATTCTGTAGGATTGTTTATACCCAACAGAGAACAAAACAGCTTGGCTGTGAGTATCATATCAGCTTTGGGAATTAAGGGCTGCTTTTTATCTTGTTTGGTATGGATCAGGGAGTTTTTAGAATGACTTCACTGCAATTTTGTATGCATCCCAAAGCAATCTCAATTTTCAAAATAAAAATAATCAGCATAGGTAGACGGAGAACACTATAATTATAGAAAAGTCAACAAATAGAAAAGAAAACTTTGTAATAGATACATGGGTAAATTAGCTGGAAAACAAATGTGCACTGCCTAACTTAGAACTGACTTAAACCATGTGTTTCTCAGTTTCCCATCACATTCCAAACCTTCTTAGTAGAATAAGTCTACTATAAAGGAGAGGAAAAAGCCTTAAAACAACAACAAACCAAATTTAAATTCTTGTTGCTAAGAAAAAGGCTTGAAAGACACAGTTTTTTGCACATAAGTAATTCATATAAAACACAATTTTGATGAGCTAAGTGTAAATGAATCAGAAACATATGGATTACATTTCTTTTAAACATGGGTTTACAAATTAAGGGAAAAAGTGGTTGGTGAAATGCTCTTTGGTTTTGCCCAAACCCTAAATGTTTAAGAAACAGCTTGAGATGTTCCATGAACCCAAATGTGGTGATGTTCAACCAGCTCTGCTGTAAACTGTTGTGTGAGATGACAGTTTTGATTTTATGCCAGCATGGACTTTCTGAAATCCACTCTTTTCCAAAAGCATCTGTCATTCTTTCTTATGTAATTAGGTGTTTCTACCGTTTATACTGAAGACAGGATGTGTGTGTGTGTGTGTGTGTGTGTGTGTGTATGTGTGAGAGTGAGAGAGAAAGAGAGAGATAAAGAGAAGAAGGTGCTTGACTTCCCATCATAGACTATATTGTAAACCTGGATTTATTTTTATATATCTTCAATCTAATTATTGACTTTTTTTTTTCTTTTGAGATGGAATCTCACTTTGTCATCCAGGCTGGAGTGCAATGGCACGATCTCAGCTCACTGCAACCTCTGCCTCCCAGGTTCAAGCGATTCTTCTGCCTCAGTCTCCCAAGTAGCTGAGATTACAGGTGCCCGCCATCATGCCCAGCTAATTTTGTATTTTTTTAGTAGAGACGGAGTTTTACCATGTTTGTCAGGCTTGTCTCCACCAGAGGCTAAACTGTTGTTCAAAGGGTTTTCATTTATATATATATAATATTTATAGTATATATATTTATATTATATATATTTACATTATTATATATAATATTTATATTACATATATCATTTATATATATATATCCAGAAATTTAGGTTTCTTAAACTACTCGTTCACAAATGACTTAGATTAATAACCTTGCATATGGACATAACACAGAACTGCCATGTTGTTCTTTTGTGCTGAAGAGCAGCAAAGACTAGCCTGCAATACTGAATAGAGATGGCTACATTTTGCAAAAGACTGACATTCCTATTCTGTGCAAGTGTAAACATATAGGCCATTCTTGAGAATACTTTTATGCAATATGAAATTTAATTTATGAACTAATATCTAATGATAACCCAATCTGTTGGACTTGAAAACCCATTATAGAAATCATCTGTTATAGTACATATCTGTTCTGCTTCAGTTTCTCCATCTGTAAAAATGTGAGATGTGGATAATTATAGGACCTCCCTCATATTTCTATTTAATTCTGTGAAAATCCAGCTTGGTGCCTGGCATACAGTAGGTACACAATGCGTGTTGGTAATTACGATGTCCGTTGTAATAAGTACTATTCATGTCTCTTCTTTGTGCTTCATTGGTAGGAGAATAATAGAGAATAAGGATAACAAACTTTCATGAGACAACGTCTCAATTTAGGTGCCTATGTGGCCTTGCCAACTGACTGCAAATGACCACAAAGCATATGCTAATGTACAGTGGTATCAAAGACCACTTCTTCCTGGATATGCTAAAAAGCACAGACACCCTCAATGGTGTCCAAACAAAGAGAAATGTGAATGGTTTTTAAAAATCACAAAAACAGCAGCCTCATTCTCATTCATCTCACAGTTTATGCCACTGCCCTTTGCACCTGTCCTAGTGGTGACTCAACTGGGGCCCAGTGGGAGTTAGCCCAGTGCCAGGCCAGGACCCTCATGGAATGTATATGCTACCACTTCCTTGCCTTTTAACAAGAGCTGAAAATCAACCTCTGTGTGTTATAATTCATGAAATTAGTAGTATTGATGGTAGTGATGAAAGTGTACCCAGTAAGTCAACCTTAGATTACACATTTTTCTCTCTGCTGTCCTTGTTTCTAAGTTCTTTAGCTTATAAGGATAAAAATGGGAGGGGAAGGGAACAGGGGGGAGGACTGGAGTTTTCAAAACTATGATTTCTAGAAGAAACCAGTTGTGTCACTTTGTGATCCAGTCTGTGACTCCCTTAAACCTTATGGCAGTATTCAACGTCATCTGTAATCTTATTTCTCAATATTCCTTATTCCAGGTCAAATAAATTTACTTCTCACTATTTCTTTTCACATGCCCTGAATACGAAACTTATTCCACTTGTAATTCCTTTAAAAGTGTGGTTGTTATACTATGTTTACTTTTTATCAGGCATTAAATATTTCATAATGCAATCTCAAACTCACCAACAAATTCACACCCAGGCTGCACCTTTTGGTGCTCCACCCTCCACCTACAATAGTGGACCCCACCTACTCTATCAGAATCCTACAGTCCTTCAAAATCAATGTCAAATTTTACTTCTTTGGGAGACTATCCTCAATCTTTGCAGGCTGGATTTAATCTTTCTTTCCATTACATTTTCTCTTACTTTTTATACTTTTTACTGTAAAAAGTATACTTTTTTCTCTTACTTTTTATACTTTTTAGTATATTTTATACTTTTACTATAATGCAAATCTGAATCTAGTACTTCCCCTTGTGTTAAATCCTTAAAATCTCTTCTGTTGCTTTTTAATGTAAATTCTGGCCTCTCAAGCCCTATCCTCCTGCTTCTTATCCCATCTTTACCCATCAATTCCCCCTTCTCGTGCACACTCAATACCTTGGCAGGCATAATATGTAGTATCCTTTATTGTCCCTAGGTCTTTGAATATGCTGGTTGTTCTGGCTGAAATAACCCTCCTACTCATCTCTTACTCCACTTTCAGATATTCGGTAGATAGAAAGTTCTTTCTGAAATCATTTCTAGTAGTTACCAGAGTATGGCATTTAATCACATGCATTACAATTGGCCAATTTATCTGACATATCCTCAGTGGGCTCAAGGCTTCTCTAGGGTGAAGAGAGGATTTGCCTTGTTTATGGCTCTCCCCTCATTGCAAATTATTATTTACTGAATAATTATAGCACTTGTGATACCCTGCATTTCTGACTCTCACTACAAAGCTCCTTGAATATAAAATTATTTGATTTTGTTGTTATCTTTTCTGTATACTTTAGCTCTAATTCACCTGGAGATGCTTACTTTTTATTTCATTTGGCCAAATAGTTTGAAGGGAGGCAATGAAACCAGGGCTGAGCAGATAAATACTGAAGGAGGGTTAATGCATGAAGAGTGTGTGGGAAACACAATCTTGTCTTTCTTAAACAGTCAAATATTAGGTTGGTGCAAAAGTGATTACGGTTTTTGCCATTAAAAGTAGTGGCAAAAA
Source organism: Homo sapiens (assembly GCF_000001405.40). Taxonomy (NCBI): domain Eukaryota; kingdom Metazoa; phylum Chordata; class Mammalia; order Primates; family Hominidae; genus Homo; species Homo sapiens. Next base: position 95,990,988 of record NC_000011.10, read on the forward strand.
TCGCAATCACTTTTGCATCAACCTAATATATACAGTGCAAATGGGAAATGTATTTTACATTTTCTTTTAAAAAATCCCCCATTGTGAGTTGCTTTATTTTGGAAGCCAAATCTTGGTTTTGAGGCTCCATGTTGGCTTTTAAAATTGCTTTTGAAACTCTTATCTCTAAAATCAGTTTGGATTTGAGTTGATTCAAGTTCAGTTTACTGTTTCTGCCCCTTAAGCCTGGGGAACAACACTGGTTTCTTTTGCCTGATTCAAATGCCCATGTTGGTTGTTCTAGACATTCCTGGGCTGGGCAGGGCTGGTTAGCAGAGGTGCCATGCATTCCAAGTGTCCAGCAGTTGTTAAATCAAGTTTGGGTTTTTTTTTCTTCCTGCAGTACACTAAATGTATGGAATTATCCTCTCTTACAGTCAGCACACCTTTGTTGCTGTCACGTAAGTAGGCACAGTAAATATAAATGGAAAAGAATAAACTCCCTCTGTTGGGTCAACAGGTTTGTTCAGTAGAAATTAAGAGAAAGTTTTACCGCGTCAGCCAGCATCTGCTGCTGGAGAAGAAGTTGCTGTTTCTGCTCCATGATCTGCCTCTGTAGAGTCTGCTTCTTTCCCATCAATTGCTGATTCAACAGTGATTGCTGGGAGTTCATGTAACCACTTCCAGTGTTTGGATTTGAGCAGGGGTTAGGACTTGGACTGGGGCCTGTGTTCTGGCCTACCACAGAGTGTTGATCCTAAAGAAGAGAAAGGGGGAAGGAAAAGCTACTGTGAATTAAAAAAAGAAAAATGTAGCACAAAGATCATACACTCAGATTCCAAACATTTTTCATCTTATTAAAGATCAAACATGGTTAAATGGGTTGGAGATCAGAGAATCGCTTTTTAAATGTAGAAGAAATAATTGCATAACACAGCAACCAAAGCAGCTGGGTTAATGACATTAGGGCACTGGAAAAGCTCCCATGAGGACTCTGATTGTGGAACCTCCACATTCCAGAAGGTGTTTATGGAACCTCAAAGAAAACTACCATAAAAACATATGGCAAACCTCTCAATTTCTCAGGAATAAACATCATAACCTAACAAATCCTTCCTTTTCCCAAAGTTAGCATGTATCATTGCTGATCCTGCAATGAAAGTCATGTTTTAATTCACGTGTTTAAAAGTTGAAACTATTTTGGACAGAAGGCATTTTGCCTTACCCAGCTTTCTGTGACAGAAAGGCAGGAAGGCCTCTAAGTTTCTGTTTTATAAACTCAAACTTGGAAAGGACTTCACTTCTCAGGGCCTTGTAAATTTTGTTCCGCAGTCAACAATTCAGGTATCTCGGCGCAAGAATCTCAGTAAAAGAATACCCGACACACTGACAATGAGAAAATATTGATTAAAAACTCAACTGTATATCAAATAATATTGGGTATTGGTGAACTGCCTTTCTAATTTGAGGTCTCTACCAATTTTTTGGCATTGACAGATCAGGACTCTGCAAGACAGTAAGCTAAACCCAGTTGAATATTCTCATTAATTCCCAATGATGTATTTAGGATTGAGCTCTACACTAGTACACTAGTAGGGTTACAAGAAGACTAGAAAATATGGTTATCACCTTAGAGAATTTATCACCCAAGTGAGGGAGAAATGCTTACATGTATAAATATAAGAAAATGTAAAATCAAATTTTAGTTTACATGATATAAACACTAAGTCAAAAATTGTTATACTTTGATCAGAATGATCTGGGAATCAGCTTATAAGGCAGATGCCCTGGCCTTGTCCCAGGGATTCTGAGGCTATAGATCAGGGTACCTCCTTAGGTTATTCTGATACTCATTGGTCCAGGGAATATGCTTTGGGAAACACTGAATACATGGGAACAAAAGAAATCCAACTCTCTCTTTTTTTTTTTTAAGAGACAGAGTCTCACTCTATTACCCAGGCTGGAGTGCAGTGGCATAATCATGGCTCACTGCAGCTTCAACCTCCCAGGCTCAAGCAGTCCTCCCACTTCAGCCTCCTAAAGTGCCTGGGACCACAGGCGTGCGCCACCTGGCTAATTTTTAAATTTTTTTTAGAGACAGGGTGGCTAATTTTTAAATTTTTTTTAGAGACGGGGTCTTACTATGTTGCCCAGGCTGGTCTCAAAGTCAAGGGCTCAAGTGATCCTAGATCCTTGGCCTCCCACAGTGCTGGTATTACAGGCATGAAGCACTGTGCCCAGAAAAAAAAAAAAAAAATCCATCTGTCATTCACCAACTAAACTATGTAAGGTTACAAGACATAAAAACATTAAGCAGGGAGTTGGGTGCGGTGGCTCATGCCTGTAAACCTAGCACTTTGGGAGGCCGAGGCAGGTGGTTCACCTGAGGTCAGGAGTTTGAGACCAGCCTGGCCAACATGGTTAAACCCCATCTCTACTAAAATATGAAAATTAGTTGGGTGTGGTGGCACATGCCTGTAATCCCAATTACTTACTCAGGAGGCTGAGGCATGAGAATCACTTGAACCTAGGAGGCAGAGGTTGCAGCGACCCGAGATTGTGCCGCTGCACTCCAGCCTGGGTGACAGAGCAAGACTCTGTCTCAAAACAAAAACAAACAAACAAAAAACCACAAAGCAACTCCCATGATACCACATGAGTAGAGGTGGTAGGTACACTGTTTGTGGAAATTATCTTTTTTATTTCTTTCTCTTTCTTTAACTATGTGCCGAGCTGAAATAAATAAACAAGTAAGTAAGTAAGCCACAAGCCGAAAGCCTTGGCCTTGCTTTAGTAATCTCTGAGGCTACAGAGCTCACCAGCTGCCTCAAAAGCAAAGGGTTACAAAATAATTCTAAGGGCGACCATCCACTGAGGCTTATTATCAGCCAGTCACTGTGGTCCGTGCTTTACGTGATTTATCTCATTCACTCCTCCCAACAAAACAATGAGCAAGAACTTGTATTATTAACCCAACTTTGCAGATGAGAAACCTGAGCTCAGAGAGATCACATAGCTGTAAGTGGCCGAGGAGGATTTGAAGCCAGGTCTGTCTGACCCCACAACTCTAGTTCTCAATCAGTACACTTTACTGCCTGTCACGTGAGACAGGAAGCATTGAGAAGAAAGATTTTTGTACTTTAAACCTGGGCCAACCCATCAGTTCATGCAGCACTCTTCCCAGGGTTGAGCACCCTCAGGTCAGGAAGGTGGAAAGAAGTGTGTTGGAGAGAAGGACAGGGGAGTGAGGACAGGGTGGGGAGATCCTCTTCACTAGTTAGTAAAAAATAATTACAGCCATCTCTGAGGTACATCCTTTGAGCAGCTTAAGGAAACCATCCTCTAATATATTTACACCCCTATGACCAGTCAGTTCTTTCAACTTTAAATCCATCATGAATTTCGGAGACTTCACCGCCTGTGTTCTATAAGCCACTAAGAATGTGGACTTGGAGACAAGTACTTGAGGGTCATTGACAGAATGGCAAATGAGGATCGGTGAGCTGAGTGTCTTGGAGGGCAAAAGGAGGAGGAAATACATGGAGGATTGGGGGCTGGGCCTTTTGGTGCACCCTGAGTAAGGACAGGGAAGCAGAGCCTGTGACAGGGGGAAAGAGGCAGGATCAGGGAAGCGTAAAGACAGCTGGAAGTGGTGGGGGAAGACATCAAGGTGGGAGAGAATGTATTGGAGATGGTAGTTTGCTTTCTACTCTCCACTTGAACCAGAATAGAAAGAGTCTGCTCTTTTCTTTGTTAGTTTGGAGTTTTATGTAAGACTTTCAAAAGAAGATTTTGTGTTTTTTTGTTTTGGTTTATTTTTTTAAGTAGCTGACAAGCATAGGTAGAAAAATTCAAAACACTTTTCTTTTCATCTTCTTTGCATTGCCATGCAATGGACAAGACCATAAGCTCCGGAGATAGGTCCACCTTGGTTCATACCCCAGTTCTGACACTTAGTTGTGTGATGTGGCAGAAGTTAATTCACCTCTCTAAGCCTCAGTTTTCTTATCTGTAAAAGGGAAATAATAACAGTATGGATGTCACAGTTTCCCTACAAGAGTTAGGGGAGATAATCCAATACCTACCACGTAGTAAGCACTTACTAAACAATAGCTGCTCATAATTATTAAAGTTATTTCTACACATAGGAACAATAGTCTGTTTACGTTTGTTTTCATTGTGAAACAAAGGAGATAGAACTCGCAGACTACAGAAAGCTGTTCTGTGTCAGGTCTCTGAGAAATGTAGAGGTCTCAGTTATATTGCAGATTATGAGCTGCCAGGGATTTGGGAAATTACCTTCATCCTCCTACTTGAAGATGCCAGAAGATGGGTGGGGTATCATTCTCTGATGGGCTGTCTTTTGGGGTGTGCTTCTTTCTTCTCAGTTAGGGGCTTAGCTCAGGTCTCTGTTAGCTTTGCTCTTTGCTGTTCTGGTTTTTATTCTTTTAACATCCAATTATTTATGCATAGTGCAATCATGTACATTTACTAAGTACCGTGCCTTAGTTTCCTCATTTGCAACATAAAGGTAATACATTAATTACCTAAAATTTAACAAGATGAATTTTAGAACAGTGCCAGGGACTTAGTAGAGATGTTTGATACACTTTAACTATTATTATTTTGTTATTTCTGTATTTTTAAATATTAGATGTTTTATATCCAATGAGTCTTATGAAGGAGCTCACACTGTAAGTGTACCTGGACTACAGATGTGGTGTGTTTGGCCCCCATCATGTTTGAAACACAAATTGCTCTTTTTGCTCTCCAGGTGGCCACAGCAGCCTCTACTATTCCTTACTTTATTATACCCACCCATTTTCCTCACTTCTATCATTTGCCTGGTCCATGTAGGCCATCTGAGTTTAAGATCTCTGGCATACAGTTTATCTGGGAAGATAAGCTACACATACCACACACTCCACATATCCACTCACCCAAAGTTATGACAACAAAAAGCAATGCATAATCATTTCCATTAGGTGGTATGATACCTACTAGTGTCTTAAGATTAAAACCCAGATCATGGCATACATTTACCTATGTAACAAACCTGCACATCCTGCACATGTACCCGGGAACTTAAAAGTTGAAGGAAAAATCAATCAATCAATCAATCAATCAATCTCAGATCACCTAATGCCTAGTCACCCATGAATCCATCAATCCATTAATGCATTTGACAAAGTATACTGAATGTCTACTCTGTGCTAGGCAGTTTTTTATTTTCTAGAGACCAAAATGTACTTAGAAATGGGGAAAATGAAGAGAAAGAAAAGAGGTAGACAGAGTGCTCAATGTTGGCAGAATTGATGAGCTCCAAAATAACTTCCAGAGAATTCTGGAAAACCAACCTTTTCTAAGATTTATAAAAGATCTGCATGCCAGGAAAATGTAACTATGTCTCTTTCTCTCTCTAATCAAACAGATAGACTGTGCTAAATGTAGTTTATTTCCTTCACGGTACCAAAAGATACTTTAGGACCCTTTTCCCTAGGGTCTGAAGGGTTTTCCAAATTTGAAACTGGTGCTTGGGTGAAGGGAGGTGCCCTGGTATGGAGGAAAGAATGAGATAAATCCTTTCTTGTAATTTTGTAAAAGATTTTTAAATCTTGTAGTTTCTAACTCATGGGTTTTACCATGTACCTACTATATACATTCTTTGAATTCATGATTGAAGTAATATTTCACTGCTCTTGCATTTTTTTGCCCTTATGTTTGCTGTAAAACACAAAACACCTCCTTATACAAGCTTGCTGTCATTGCCAACATGTTGTGCAAACTTTAGTACATAAAATAGTTTGAAAGAAAAAACTGCTTTGATGCATTGGCTTCGATTTTCATACTCAGCCTCACTCTTTGCCTTAAATTCAACCCATGTAGAACTTAATAGAAATCATCTGTTTTTTCCCCAACACACATTTTCTCCTGAAGGGCATATGAAGGCTGTGGTAAAAATCGCACATTCTCAGCTGATAGATGAGAGTATGTGTGTATGTGTGCATGCATGCATGTGTGTGATTGTGAAAGAATTAGGCTATTTCCATCTAGGTAGTCTTTCACATAATAGAAAACCCAGTTTTCTAGACAAACCGTAGTTAAAGATTGATTTGGCAGCAAGGAATAGTCAATGACTGGTTCAAATCATGAACTTGCATGATCTTTCATTTTACATGTTCTTTTTCTGTTTTTACCTACAAAATTACAGAGTTTGGTTCTAACCTACAAAATAGGTTTCGCATCCAATCCTCCTGGGTTTTAAATCAATTATGAGTGCACAATAACGTATATTTATTGTGTACTCCTAGATAGTTTTCCACGTTTGTGAGTGTGTGTGTGCATGCGCATTTGAGATTTTTAAAAGTCTTTTTATAGTATTAGTCCCTGAGATAGTGTAGCATGCCAGTGCTTAAGTATGGATAAAACTTCTTGGTCCCTGTTTTAACCCAGCACAGGACTGCCAGACCAATGAAAACATGTTTGTATTCTTTTTATAAGGTTCAATCAATCAACCTGTCTTTAGAATTATTAAGTTCACTGCATTCTTATTCATTAATTCAACAAGTATTTATTAAGCATTGCATTCTTCTGGGCCTTGGGGATAAAGCAGTAAAAAGATACTGAAGGGACTTCTCATGAACCTAAAACAAACAACATTTTTATGAGTTTTAGAATCATAATCGCTTAGTGGGATACACATCTTTTTCTCAAAATGCCATCCCAATCAAAAAGCATTTGAGATCTTCATTTCAATATTTCTGAGCTGTACACAAGTGGTCCCGAGCCCACTCTAAGGCCCACTGGTGAGCATCCTCTTCTTCTAAGGCTTTGGCCTTGTCATTAGAAATTCACTGCTCTGTCCCTAACCACTGCTAGTATTTAGTCATCCTATCTCTGCTCTTTTACTCTGAGAATGTTTTAAAATTATCTCAAATCAGTAGTGAAGATCTCATAATACAGTCATATATATATATATTTTTAAAATGTTTCCATCCTCATCTGTCATTTAAGAAGATGCTAGATATTCTTGATCAAACTGCTATACTCAAGAATTTTGGACTCAAACTCTATACAGATACTAGACTCTTTATATAGCAACAGCTTCCTTATATAGCAAAGCCTATATCTACCCATTTATCCACTTTTCTATCTATCTGTCTGTCTGTCTGTCAGTCTGTCTGTCTGTCTGTCTGTCTGTCTGTCTGTCTATCTATCTATCCACCCCATCCATCCATCTACGTACCCAACCTCCTTACCTGTCCATTCTAGTCCAAATCTCCAAAGTGCACTTTCTTCTACCACATCCCTAGCAAATGATCATTCAACCTCTGCTAAAATTACAGAAACATTCTTGATGTATTATTTGGAATGCTCTTCAGAACTCCAAGCTGCTATTCTTAACAGCATCTGAGCAAAGAAAATGCTTTGGACATGATGGGTTTCATTCATTCACTTATTTTCTAAAAAGTAGGTACTGACTAAGAATAACCTATGTCCTGGGCATTTCATCAGGTGCTAGAGAAATGGAGATAATTTGGACACAGTTCTTGTTTGCAACGCTTTTACCTCCAAGGAGAGGAGATAGTCATAGTCACACCCTGGATTGTGGGCAGTCTTATTAGGAGGGTAACAAAGTTCATGCAGCCTGCTGGAAAATCCTGCCACTTGACTATATTTTTAAGTTTTCCAACTGTGCTACTGATGGATCATTTATTTCCTAGAATGGTCTCAAGGATGTTAGGAGACCATTTGGTAAATCAGGTATATGATGACCGAATCTTTTAGCTTGAGGCAAATAAAACATGCTCACAAGTTAAGTAAGCTCACAAGGAAGCTGGATGCATGTTTTAACTTATGGAAAAAAATCTGGTTAAAAATGCTTTCCCCAATTTTTTACTTCATTGGTTTAATATCTTGCCTATGGATGACCATGGGAAGTACTAGCTCACTGAGGTTGCAATCTATGTCTACAAACCTGGGAGACAATTAGGAGAACACATGAACTCTTTTAAATGGGTACCCTTTTTCCTTAGAAGACAAATTACCTGTCCTCTGTGTTAATTGTGTTTCTCTCAAAGGCAGTTTGAAGTCCTTTTGTAAAAAAGTCCAAATTAAAAAATTAAGAACAAACCTCACTGTCCCAGCCTTCTACCAGTGTATTCACCACTAACCTTTTCTTTAAATTTTCTGGGATAAATATTTAAAGAAATAGTATGTGTGAAGAAAATCTTGTAAATCTATCCAAAATCTATCCAAAAGCAGAGGATAGGCCTGGCTACTAGGTGTTACTTTGATAAAGTGTCTCTGTAAATCATGGTCAATATGTGAGAGATCTTTAAAAAAGATGTTAACTAATAAAATCACTGGGACTACCTCTTTCTTTCATTTCAATGGAATTGTAAGGACTCTGTCAGGCAGGATTGATTTCAGCAAAAGGTAGAATGGGGTACAAAATATCCCTTGTTTCACTGAAGTATATACAGAAATAGTAAGACTCGTTGGATTCAGTCAGTTTTATAGTTAAAGCAGTTTTGTGGGCTGAACACTGACACAGTAACTTTCACAAAGTAGGCAAAGTTACCAGGCAGGTATTGTTCTCTTAATTAAAAAAAAAAAAAAAAGCTCTACAAAATATTTGTCTTGTTCTAGGCATTTGGGTAAAATAGCTCTCTGTTCCTCTTCACTTATTTTGGAAGGGGACTGTATAATGATTTTCCCCCCACAAAAATGAAGTAATGTAAATTACTTGAGATCCATGAGAGTATTTTGGCGTGGGATGACTGCCCTTTCTTTTTCTTGGCTTCTAGAGCTAGGCATCCGCAATTTGCAAAACAAATTCAAGATAAAATACCCAGCTGGGCAAGTCTGTACAGTAGATCTCACAAACTGGTTTGCTATTCAATCTTTCTTCTCCCTACCCACTTCTCTCTTTCCCTCTTTTTGTCTTTCTTTCCCTGTCTCAATGAACTAACTGCTCAACTGTTCCTCTCGGCTATTCATCTTCGGAACTGTCTGCCGATGAAGCCATTTATTTATCTCTGTGACTGAAAAACAAGTTGTCTGAACTGTTTCAGATTCCCAATAAGCTGGCAGGCCCACTTGCTCAAAGTTATTTATTTGGGGCATTAATAGTGAGGTGGTTGTGGGTGGCCAAAATAATTGAGCAGTTGTTGTTTAACACAGCAACGACAACAACAATGACAACAAAACAATTGTCAGGAAATCAGCCAGGAAACAGCTTGTAAACAGAAAAGGCTGAAGGGATGAAACTCTCCTATCTTCAGGTTACCAGATCTTTCAGTTTCTATTTCAAGGGTCAGCAAACTATGGCATGACGGCCTAATCCAGCCTGCCACCGTTTTTGGTAAATAAAATTTTATTGGAACACAGCCATACACATTCATTCATATGCCTGTGGCTGCTTTCCCACTATAATAACAGAGTTGAATAGTTGTGCCAGAGACCTACGGCACACAAAGCCTATAATATTTACTACCTGGCCCTTTACAGAAAAAGTTTCTTGACCCTTGCTGTACTTGGCTGTATTGGACAAATAATGTGAGATACTTTGGTCTTTCACATTAAATTTTAAAAATGCCTTAGATGAAGTACCCAGCAATCCTTTGAGATAACTGGCAAGTTGAAAATAAGAAATATTTATCATAAAATCTGTTTACATTAGCCTTCCACTTCAGTAACAATTACACACAGCAGGAACTAAAAAACAACTTACAGATCTTTCATCCAACTCTATTTTACAGATAAAGACGCTGCCCAGAAAGTTTAAGGAATTGACTTGCACAAGGTCACACACCTAACTGAGAGATGAGGAACACAGATCCCAAATCTGGGAAAATATATTAAGAAGAAATAAACAGAACAAAGTCTATTCGCTTGAAAGAATTGTAGCTTATCTGATATAACTTATTGGGGGTGAGAGGTTGGGTGGTGGAGATGAAGGTCAAGCTTGAAAAAACAGAAGAAAGTATTTGGTTTAGTATTCTTCTTTCCCCTTCACAATTGTGAATAGTAGCTGCTTTCCCCTTCTATTTAATAGGAAATTTTCTTTACTTGCTCAGTACCTTCTCCTGCACCGTGCAGAGAAACCCCAATCATATGTTTATAATGTTTATTTCAAATGATTAGAATGAATTTCATAGTCACTACAGAGTTTATCCTTCAGATGTTACCCAATTTTTAAGTCACCAGGACGCTGTGTCTATTCTCAGCCTCTGGGGTGGACACGTATTACGGGTTGGCACAGAGACCAGTTCCATGAGTGAGAAAGCAGCCTTCAGTGGGAGAGTGGCCAGGAACAAAACGTCAGTGGGTCAGGGTGGAGTGGGAAGAGTTTGGTAACTCAGGGGAAGGAATGAGAAATTTTTCTTAAAAGAGAAATTCTGCAACTTTAGAAGGATTCTTTGTGGCAGATTTCAAATTTCTGCTCTATAAGTTGGCTTTTAGCTTTCTGCCTCTAGAGCAGTGGTTTCAAACATTGATTTGGATCATAGTTCCTTTTGAGGATTTCACATAGCTATGGATTCTGCATCTCCTCCCATCCCCCAAACACATATACAACTAATAATTTTGTCTACAATTTCAGGGAGTTTACAAACTCTCTAAACATCCACAGATTATCCATAGAGCTCAGGTTGAGAACTCAACCCCCCCTCACTCCCCACCGCAAACGTTGGTATTTATGAAAGTAATAAAATGATTTTTCCCTTGGATACAGCCTCTACACTGTACTCCCAGCTTAAAATCATACATAGCTCTTCACTAACTTTGGGATCACGTCCTAACTCCCAAGAATGGTATAAAAGGCCTTCCATGATCTGGGCTCTGCATCTTTCTCCAGTATTATCTCTCAACACATCCTTTCCTCACCCTATACAATGGTGATACTAAACTACATGCAGTTCTCCAAACCCACAGAGCTCTTTCTCTTCTCCAAATTTTTGTAAATGGTCATATCCTCTCTGCCTGGAACACTCTTTCTCTGCCTTTTCCTACCAGGTGAACATCCTTTTTTTCTGGGCTCAACTCAGATGTAATTTTTTTTCAGGAAGCCTTCTCTGACCACTTAGAACTGAGTTAGGTGGCCCTCTCCTGTGCTTTTGTGAGACCCAGTACTGGCCCATTAGGCAGCCTTTGTCACTCTATATCACAATTGCTCATTTGCTTATACCTCTTTCCCATTTTAAGTGCTTTGAAGGCTGGGACATGTTCATTGTGAAATTCCCAGGGTATAGCAGACTCTCCATAGATGTTTTCTGAATTAAAAATATATGAATGATTGAAGAAGCAATGTGAAGGAAAAAATGAGGACAGAACTTCCTGCTGTGAGGCACATGGTGTGAAAATGTTGGCTCTTTCCAAAGGCAACTGGAAAACCAAAGTGGGGGAGAAAGGCAAAGGTTGAGCAACATTTTTGAAGCCAATGTTGTTTTTATGGGTGTGCCACCTTAGAAGGACCTTTGGCAAATAGAATGTCTTAGGAAAGAAAAGTTAGTGGTGAATGATGATGGAGATCATGATGACAATGACGATGATGATGGGGCTGATGAAGATGATGATGGGGATGATGAAGATGATGGGGATGATGAAGATGATGACAGGGATGATGAGGATGATGGGGATGAGGAGGATGGAGATGATGATGATGATGGGGATGATGAGGATGATGATGGGGATGATGAAGAATAATGATGGGGATGGTGGGGAGCATGATGGGGATGATAAGGAGGACGATGGGGGATGATAAGAAAGATGATCGGGATGATGAGGAGGATGATGAGGATGATGAGGATGATGAGGATGATGGGGATGATGAAGATGATGATGGGGATGATGAGGAGGATGATGGGGATGATGAGGAGGATGATGGGGATGATGAAATGATGATGGGGATGATGAGGAGGATGATGGGGATGATGAGAAAGATGATGGGGATAAGGAAGATGATGGGGATGATAAGAAGGATGATGGCGATGATGAAGATGGTGAGGATGATGATGGTGATGATGAGGATGATGATGGGGATGATGAAGATGATGATGGGGATGAGGAGGATGATGGGGATGATGAACATGATGATGGGGATGATGAGGAGGATGATGGGGATGATGAGGATGATGGGGATGATGAAGATGATTATGGGGATGAGGAGGATGATGGGGATGAGGAGGATGATGGGGATGATGATAAGGATGATGGGGATGATGATAAGGATGATGGGGATGATGAGGAAGATGATGTGCATGTGTTGGAAGGCAGGGAGAAGGCACACTGATGGAATAAGAGTTCTACTAGTATTAATACTTCTCATTTTTTGAAAGATAAATGCCAAGCCATGTGTTGAGGGCCTGCATTTTTTATCTTAATGAGTCCCCATAATAATTCTGTTTTAATTATTATTCACATTTTAAAGATAAGGAGATTCAAGTTACAGAACTTGTCTTTTTTCCCCACATGTATGCCTTTAAAATCAAAAGTACTTTAAAGGCGATTGAGCTTAGTAAACAAGATAATAAGCAAATATATATACATTTTAAAATCCCTCTGTTCAAAAAGGGATTTCAGTGAGTAGACAGCACTAGTGAAAGGTGGGTTCTGGGATCAGGCAGACCTGGGTTCAAATTCCAACTTTGGTTTTTTCTAAGTTGTATAGGGGTAATATTTAATAAATTTTACCTCCAATGATGATTAAGAACAAATAGCATAAAGTAAGTGAAGTATCTGGTATACAACAGATTCAAAACAAATATTAATATCTATACTTAAGTCAATTTGATATTAATTGAATATCATATAAATTTTCTGAATATCATACATATAACACAAGGCATTAGATTAAATAATATACAATTTCTGATCATCAGATAGTGATGGTAGCATAGTATTTATAGTAATACTAGTAATAAATCAACAAACAATAATTATCCAGAAATGTTCTCACTTAAACTTAGTAATAGCTGAGCATTACCACCACTGCCTCTACCAACTAAAACAAGATTAGGAAATTGTGTTTAAGAGTAATTTTATCTTTTGTTGAGTTTATTATATGAGTTGAATAAACTGTCAATCCCCTTTTCTTTTCTCTTTGGTAGGCTGTATATCAAGCCTATACTTTCTCTTCACAAAAGCAAAAGGATATACATTAGAAACTAGTTTTATACCATGAATTTTCCATTCCTCTAGAAATATTTGGAAAGTATTATGGTTTTGGGTAGGACAAGTTATCAACATTTTCTATTCTCATTAAAAATGAAGGCAATTCAGTAAATGAGTAGTGATGGAGTCTAAAGAGGGGTAAATGATACCACAGTTCCAAAGAAAGAAAATCACTTTTAAAGGGTTAGTTCTTAAATCAAAATGATGGCCAAATTATACATGAAACAAATCCGGAATAAAAAAATTGATTTCCAAAGATGGCTTCTTATACTCTATAAAACATATATGATCTCTCCTTTGGGAATAAAAAAAACCCAGTATGTAATTTTGACTCTGGAATTTCACCTTAATGACAATTGTATAGACTACTTTTGGCTGCTTGTTATACTCTTCAAGATAGCAAAGTGAGAAATCCAAGAAAATTCTCACATGTCTCATGTGATATCCCATGAGAATATATTGTAATGATGAAAAAAAATGGAGCTTTTGTAGTTAGAATGTCTGTGTGTAAATATTTGCTTCATAATTTACTAGTTGTTTTTCTTGGGCAAATTATACAATTTTGTATATTTTGACTTCTTGTCTATTATGGAAAAAATAATAGTGCCTTCCTCATGGAATTGCTGTATGGCTTGAATAAGATCATGTAAATAAAATATGTGACACAGTCTCTGGCCCCTATGAGGTGTTTGCTATGGTTTTAATAATGGCGTCTCCTCCAAAATTCCTGTTGAAACTTAATCCTCAGGGTAGTGGCACAAGAGGTGAGCCCTTATGGGAGGTGATCAAGTCATGAGGGCTCTGCCTCCTGACAGGGATTAGGTGCCCTTATAAAAGGGATTGAGAAAGTGAGTTCAGTCCCTTTTTGCTCTTCTACCTACCACCATGGAAGAATGCCATGATGAGAAGGCACCTAATCAGTGGAACAGGCCCTCACCAGACACAAATGCCAGTGCATTGATCTTGGACTTCACAGCCTCCGTAACAGTGAGAAATACATTTCTGTTCTTTATAAATTACCCATTCTGTGGTATTTTGTTATAACAGCACAAATGAACAAGACAGTTTCCAAGAAACATTAGCATTTATTTTAACTATTATCTGCTCTGACAATTTTTACTTCTTATCACGTATACTGACATTTAATTGATTCTTCTAGAAATCTGTTTATGTGAACTGTAAATCTTTTAAATTTTCAGTCTTCCCTTATGACTTCTCTAGGCCTTACTTTCTCCAACTTTAAGATATGGAAATTAGACTATAATTTCTCAATTCCACTCTAGTGCTAGAATAGTTGAAATTCCATTTTTATTTAATCAAAGGAACAATAAATACCACTGTGATGAAATAATTTGATTTTTTTTCTCATTGAGTCAAAAATACAAACTATCAACAAGAGATGCAAAGATTTTGCCTCTATAATGAACAAATAATAGATTGATCCAGTTGAGGGTGGAGAGTAGGGGATCAAGGTGGTTGTCTTCTGATGACATTGAAGTAAATACACTGAAGCTTGGGAATGGAAATGTTGAATAAATGTATTAGGCTGAATTCTGGACTGGATTTTCAAGGCATAAGGTAGAACTATACAGCTTTGGTAATAAGTTCTGACTTTTCTCAACTAATTCTAACAAAAGATTCATATTTTTCCCTAATACTATAAAAAGAATACAAAATATTTTGCCACAGATAATTTTTATGCTTTGAATCTCTCCATTCTGTACTAAAATATACAAAATGTATTAATCTGTAAAGTAACCTACAAATTTTGACATACTTTTTCTCATGAGAAATGAGAGAATGTCTCGGTTATTACAGGTTGTCTATTAGACATGGGAATCTAGGTGCACAAATATAGTGACTGTGGTCAATATCTTCCAATGTGTTTGTGTAGTCTAATGTGACATGATTGCTTTTTTGAATGTACTATTATAATGGACAGAAAGGACATTAGAAAAGGAGCCATCTGTTCTCTGTTAAATGTAGCTATGAAGTCTCTCTTGGATTAGCAAAGCAAGCCACTAAATACTTCAGTGAGACTTCAAAAAAGCTGAGTTCTCCCTAAGAATCACTAAGGGATGAACTTCAAAAGATTAGAGGTTTCACTTGGATCAAATCCCAGAAAATCAAGTTATTTACCAAATCTTATTTATGCAAACTATATAAACACATTTTGATCTGCAGGGTACCAAAATGATGTTTTAGAAAAATGATAACCTTAAATGAAAAGTCTACTGTGGAGAAGACTGAGGAAAGTCAACTTTTTTTTGGTCTGATTATTTTGTCTGTCTACATTGATCAAATAAGCGGTACAACTACTGCCAGATCTGATGCTACTCTGTGACTATGAACATAGAAAACAGTACCTAAATTTTTTATTAATTCTATTGGGAAATAAGATTGGAGTATCTTTTTTTTTTCTTTTTTTTTTTTAAGATGGAGTTTCGCTCTTGTTGCCCAGGCTGGAGTGCAGTGGCATGATCTCGGTCCACTGCAAGCTCTGCCTCCCAGGTTCAAGTGATTCTCCTGCCTCAGCCTCCCGAGTAGCTGGGATTACAGGCACGTGCCACCATACCTGGCTAATTTTTTGTATGTTTAGTAGAGATGGGGTTTCACCATGTTGGGCAGGCTGGTTTCAAAGTCCTGACCTCAGGTGATCCGCCTGCCTCGGCCTCCCAAAGCGCTGAGATTACAGGCGTGAGCCACCACGCCTGGCCAGGAATATCTTATACACACACACACACACACACACACACACACACACACACACACACGAGTATTTTAATGTTTTGTTTCTTTTTGTTTGGAATTACAAAGACTAGGTAGACTAGTAAGCCTAAATTATTTCTAGATATCAATCTTTTTTTTTATTATTTTTTTAGACAGAGTCTCACTCTGTCACCAGGCTGGAGTGCAGTGGCATGATCTCGGCCCACTGCAACCTCCCCCTCTTGAGTTCAAGTGATTCCCCTGCCTCAGCCTCCAGAGTAGCTGGGAATACAGGAGCGTACCACCATGTCCAGTTAATTTTTTTTTTTTTTTTGTATTTTAGTAGAGATGAGGTTTCACCATGTTGGCCAGGATGGTCTTGATCTCCCGACCTCGTGATCCACCCACCTCTGTCTCCCAAAGTGCTGGGATTACAGGCGTGAGCCACCATGCCCAGCTGATATCAATCATTTTTAAAGGCGTTTTTCTTCTATAAAGATTTCTAGTATATCTTTGGGTTCACAGAATGACTCTTTACATTAATTCATCAAAATAGAAAATTCAGAATAAGGCAGGTCTATCTTGGCACCTTTCCAACATAGGTAACTGGTATCACTTGGATCCTGCGAGACAAAATATGACTATATCTTGCATTATCTGCTAACGAATATATCAATTGTTTATTTACATGTATGTTTTCTTTTACTACATAGTGGTTATTTTAAGAATATGAACTGTTTTATTCAATTATGCACTCCTATTAGCATATATAAGCCTGATAGAAAGTAGATATTAAGTATATATTTGTTGTTAAGTAAACAACTAAATAATTACTTGAAAATCAGATAAACTTCATTTATAACATGATTTATAATTACTTAGATATTATTAAGAAAGTAACATTCTCAGTAAACTATCGCAAGAACAAAAAACCAAACACCGCATATTCTCACTCATAGGTGGGAATTGAACAATGAGATCACATGGTCACAGGAAGGGGAATATCACACTCTGGGGACTGTGGTGGGGTGGGGGGAGGGGGGAGGGGTAGCACTGGGAGATATACCTAATGCTAGATGACGAGTTAGTGGGTGCAGCGCACCAGCATGGCACATGTATACATATGTAACTAACCTGCACAATGTGCACATGTACCCTAAAACTTAAAGTATAAAAAAAAAAAAAAAATTTTTCAGTGAAATGACGAATATCAATATTACATATCATATAACAACATGTTTTACCTGGGAGTACTTATTAATGTCAGTTCAATATAATATATAAACCTTTTCATTTGTGATTAAAACCTTGAATGTAAATTCAACACACACAGATTTACGTGAACTTTTAACCTTTTTTTTCCTCAGCAATTTGGGTAGGTTGGTTGTATCGGATTCTAGTTACTTGTAACTGAAAACAGATCCTTGATTTGAACATAACTGTCCAGTGATTTTTCAATTTGGTAAACATTTGTGGCTTATGTTCCTCACTGCTGATCAGGAGAGAATGCAGGAAGGGAGACTGATATATCGTGCAGTTACCAATGTTTACATTGTTTTGTACTTTCCAGATTCATGTGGTGCTTTTTTAAAATGATATACATTTGGGACTGGAACAACTTTTCAGCTGCTGGCTGGATCCAAATAACAGTTCACTGAGTACATATCTGAACATTTCTAAATATTTAAATCAAAACTGTGACTAAATTTGAGCCAATTAGATCCTCTTTAGAATTTGAAAATATTGTTATCTAGCCATCCTCAGAAGAAAAACAAAAACAAGTTTTAAAAACAGCCCTCTTCTCCATAAAGTTAACAGAACTTGGGCCAAGCATGAGAAATGCCACACCACTGAGTATCATGGAAATTTAAAATCAGTCAACTATTTGCTTCATGTACATGTTGCCAAATAATTGGCCTAAAAATTATTTAACTAAACTAACGGAGTCAACTAGCTGTTTTGGTATAAAATGAACAGCTTGATTATCTCATCCCAGGACATGATTTCCTTGATAGATTTTTGGTTGAAGTTCATCATATTTATCTAACCCTTGCCAGGTATTCACTTCAGTTTTCTTCCTGAAGACACAGCTGTATTGACACCGCTGAAATTCTAGCATCATTTTTAAAAGTTGCTTTTTTCAAGGTATTGGGTAAGCAATAGTACTTCATTTGGGGAAGGTGTTATGTTAATAAATATTTTGAGAGTTAACTAAATGAAAGTATTTTGAGTTCTTTGGAGGCAAAATAATATTGTTAGATGTAATATTAATGTGCAATTGACTAGCCATATAGGTCATATGGAAGGAAGAACAATTCAGTTCCTTTAATCACTTAATGCTAACGATGGCCATTCGCATGTATAGCAGTCCTTCTGCACCTCAGCGCTGCAACTTTTCCTTTACATCTTCATTAAATCTAAATATTTTCTCACGTATTTTCTTTACCTTGATCTGACAGCTGGGTTCATGGCTTTTCCCCAGATAATATGCCATTCATTCAAACACCCTACTATTGCTTTCTATACCAGGAAGGTGCTAATCTTTGAATTTAACTGGGTCCTGGTCATAAGATAAAGTGGAATGGTTTCTTTTTTATATATAGGGAAAGCACTAAAGATCTGAATAATTTAGTTTATTTCAGTAATTTAACTATATTTGTTATTTACAAAGAAATCAAGGAGAGACTATTGGTATGTGGTGAATAACTTCCAGTCAAATCTAACATTAGTAGAACCAACTGTGTACTTACTACTCTACTGCACTGCTCTTCAGAAGGTAGAAGAAAACAACGTAAGCATTGACATATATCTTCACTTCTTAGGGAAGCCAGGAAAAGCACAGTTATTTACCTGTAAACATTTGTTACAGTGAAGGAGGGCTGTACTGTTTCTATTTAAATGCAAATAATAATTCACAATGTTGTGTAGAGAGTGATTTATTTTGATACGTTTTCCCCCTAGCCCTAGGATTTTAGGTCAGCTACTAGAAATATTGCCCAAGGACATCTGTTCAAGAACCAATTTTACAAAAAGGTCATGTATTCCTTAATATAAGTATCTATGGTCAAGGATAAAAAACCAATCAGGCCTAACAGGATTTATAAGGCGTGGGTTATGAAAAGATGTTCCTTAGAGGGTTGCAGTTCTATGAACTGAATCAGGAACAATTTGGAGCTTCGGGAATGATCTACTTACTGCAAACTGTAATATGTCTTAAAAGACCAAACCAATTATAGTTATCATTATCATTATAAACCTTCTGCTTTCTATCTTAATTATATTACTCCATCATAACTTCAACAGATAGATACTGTGTTCAGAGAAAATTTACATTCTATATCCTAATTATATATGGATACATATTTAAACATAGAAGCAAGACTTTGAAAATTAAAGTGTTTACAAGTTATACACTGTGACTATTTCTAAGAAAACTGGATTACTATTTAGAGATTTATATAAAAAACTGATTTTCCTGTGTGGGAAGATTTAGAGCAAATCTACTAGAAGATACAGGGGCAGATTGGCCATTCCCCAGTCCCTTCCTACTTTTATATGTAGGGGACACTTAACAAGAGACAGGTCCTTGGGTTAGACAGAATCACTTCTGGGATCAAGTGGAACATTCATAGTTACCTGTAGACCAGGTAGGGGCATAGGATGCTGACAGAGGCTACATTTTAGATTTCTTGAGGTACAAACAGTCCCTACTCAACTTCCCTGATTACAATGTAGATGAGTTAAGAATAGTGGCGAATGAAAAAAGAGAGAACAATAGAGACACATAGTATTTTGAACCAAAAAGTTATATACAGATGTAAAACACAAGAAAAGTTGCTTCATGCAGACACATCAAAAAACTATAGCAGATTGCATTTGTTAGAAAGAGAGAGAAAGAGAGACAGAGAAATATTTTTGCCTGGGGATAGTAAGCATAATCTGAGAATATCACTAACAGTTTTAGTTGTTCTATATTAGTACTTTCATATAAGTATATATTTTAAAAGTAATTTCATGATGATGCAATTATGTTTAGAAGAAATTCAGAGTTTTATAAGGTCACTTTAATCCAGAAAAATATTCTTTAAAGTTTAAAAATACTGTTTTTTTCCTCCTTTAAAATGTTCCATTGATATTTTATTGCAGTAAAATATTCAAAAATGGTTATGCTTACTATTTCTCATCAGTCAGAATGGCTCTTATTAAAAAGTCAAAATATAATACATGTTGATGAGGTTGCAGAGAAAAGGGAATGCTTATGCACTGCTGGTGGGAATTGTAGTTCAGCCACTGTGGAAAGCAGTTTGGAGATTTCTCAAGGAACTAAAAATAGAACTACCATTTGACCCAGCAATTCTATTACTGAGTATCTACCTTAAAGGAAAATAAGTCATTCTACCAAAAAGCCACCTGCACTTATATGTTCATTGCAACACTGTTTACAAAAGCAAAGACATGGAACCAACCAAGGTATCTACCAATGTTGAATTAGTAAGAAAATATGGTACATATACACCATGAAATACTACATAGCCATAAAAAAGAATTAAATCACGTCCTTTTGTAGCAACATGGATGCAGCTGGAGGCCATTCTTGTAAGTGAATGAACACAGAAAGAAAAACCAAATACCATATGTTCTCACTTATAAGTGAGAGCTAAACATTGAGTACACATGGACATAAAGCTGGGAACAACAGACACTGGGGACTCCAAAAGGGGGAGGGTGGGAGAGAGGCTGGGGCAGACAAAGTACCCATTGGGTACTATGTTCACTATTTGGGTGACGGGATCAATAGAAGCCCAAACCTCATCATCATGCAATATAACCATGGAGCAAATCTGCACATGTACCCCTTGAATCTAAAAACAAGCAAACAAAAAAATGGTTATATAAAAGTCTGCAAGCTGTAATCAATGACAGAATAAATGGAATTTTTTTTCTTAGCCTTTAGGAAAATGCCAAGACATATTCCCACCTCTCACATGAGTTGGTGGTTTAAGAATTTGGTTTGCAAAACACAATTTAATATTTTATTTATAGAAGTCAAGAGAAATGGTAACAATTTAAAATTTTGATTCTTGAATATCTGTGCTTGTTAAAAAGAAAAGGTGTGTGGGTGTGTTGAAGGGTTTTTATTCCATTACTACCATAAAATCTACTTTTATTTACGTCTTTTAGAATCAAACTTTTAAAACATTTGCTAAAATTTCATAAATCTCATATGCCAAAATTCAGCTGAGCCAAACTCTTAGTTACCTGTTCTCCGTTTTTGAGCTGCAGTAGCATTTGGTAAACAGAATGCCCAGAACCTCCTCTGAAAGCACCACTAGCAGGCACTGTGAGAGCATTTTCATTCAAGTTCATTCGACTTGGGCAAAAAGAGAACAGCGGCTTACATCAACTGAGGATCAGTGAACACAATCTCATAGCAACAGACACCAAAACAGTCCCTCATTACAAGCCTTGTCCAACAATCAAGTCTTTAACGAGAACAAAGGTTGACAGTGATTAATCATTAAGCGGTTCCCTGTTCCTTGCTGCACGTGTTCACAGCAGCCTCCTACAGAGGCAGTCTGGCATATTTCCTGTCTCTGTGCTCCACTGTGCCATGTCTGAAGGGACGCCCAGGCAGCCTTCTCACTATTTTAATTTCAAATGCTACAAACATCTACAGAGTCTCTATGTGCACATGTCTTGACTTTTATTCTGAGCCTGGCAGACTCTGAATGGATATAGGGAGTATGAACATAATAAGCCGTTAACTCCACATCTGCTTACTAGATTATGTTCAAAGACAGTATAAGAAATTGATTAAACACTGTTTTCTAGAATAAACCTTTGAAATCTGTTTGTTTCCTTAAGCAACACAATGATAAGTTGCTATAATTTAGTTGTGCAGTGAACAGAAGATACCTTCACTACTGTTTCTACATAAAAATAGCTTCTGTGTTGTCAAAGCACCATGCTTTGACAAGCAACAAAAACATTTTCAGAAACCTCTTTCAAATAATTCTGTTTCACAAGGCAACAGAATTATAAAGTCAACTAATGCTGCCACCATTTTATTCAATGTTCCCTTTTCCTGTGTCTTTTTTATGACCTGTCTGGGCATTATCTATCTTAGTTGGTCATGCAATAGCATATGTATTCACCTTAACAGACTAACTTGGAGGGTTTTTATTTTCTCTCTTTCAACATGTACATTTCACTGATGACCATGTTGCCTGTAAACTGCTAGGAGCTCAGGTGAAAAGAGAGAGTTATGAGATACAGATTTCTGAGAGGTGAGGGGCAAGGGTTAATTGAAATTTTTAAAATGATCAAGGGAAGTAGGTTATGTATCAACAAACATATTGTTTTTCCAATAACAAATGTCACATTTAAGAACAACAAAATGAGATAACCCTAAGC
Organism: Homo sapiens; assembly: GCF_000001405.40. NCBI lineage: Eukaryota > Metazoa > Chordata > Mammalia > Primates > Hominidae > Homo > Homo sapiens. The sequence continues at coordinate 96,013,266 of NC_000011.10, forward strand.
ATTCTTTGTATCTATTCACTTCTCTCTTCAAAGTAATCAGAATTAAGTAATGTGAGGTCTCCAGTAGCTCATGTAGTAGATTATAACTAGTCCATCTACAATATAAAAGCTAAAGTATAAAATCCAACCACAAAGTGATACAGGACTGCTAGGAAGGGAAGAGTGTGGTCCCTTTAAATGACATGGAATGGGGGAAGCAAAGTACTGGGTAGAGAAAGGCAGGTCCCTGGCAAGGGCTCCACTCCAACGACCTAGGTGAGGACAGGCACTTCCTGCCCAAATGTTGCATTTCCCAAGACCACCTGGGCCTGCCACAACCCCATCCTGGGCCTATAAAAACCCCAGACCCTAGCAGTAGACACAAAGGCAGCCAGACGTCGAGAGGAGCACACTGGCAGAGGAGCACACGCACAAGCACTGGCGCCTGCAGGCCGTCAGCAGGACACTGGCGGGACGAGGTGGGGCTGTTGGAGGAGAGCCAGGGCCACCGAGCAGCCCACCTCCAGGGAAAGAGCATCTTCCTTCTGGTTCCTCCATCTGCTGAGAGCTACTTCCACTAAATAAAACTTTGCATTCTTTCTTCAAGCCCACGTGTGATCTGATTCTTCCTGTACACCAAGGCAGGAACCCAGGATACAGAAAGCCCTCTGTCCTTGTGATAAGGAAGGGGATCTAATTGAGCTGGTTAACACAAGCCACCTATAGACAGCAAACTAAGAGAGCACGCTGTAACACATGCCCACTGGGGCTTCAGGAGCCGTAAACATTCACCCCTAGACATGGCCGTGGGGTCGCAGCCCCACAGCCTGCCTGTATGTATGCTCCCTTAGAGGTTTGATCAGCGGGGCACTGATGAAGCGAGCCACTTCCCCATCTCACACCCTGCGAGGGGGACAAGGGAATCTTTCTTGTCTCAAAAGTATAAAATATGCAATTCTCCCAGTATACTCAGCATTTTAGTATACAGCTGCAGTTTCTTTAAACTGAGTATATTCACTGAGGAATGGGAAATGACAATGCCACTCTACGAACAAAAAGACTACCTTATTATTGGTAACTAGGCTCTCCACAGGGATCCTTGCGACAGGGATGACACAGTGGTTGTTGACTCACATTAATATCAAAGCAGCCTGAGAGGAAACCACATTCAGAAAATGAACTTAACCACAGCCTCCTGGAATCAACATTTAAAACTAACATCGGTGAACTCTGAACTGAGAAGGAAAACAGTGATGAATTGTAGAGAGAAAGCTTTCAGGTTTTCAGGTGGTCTCAAACTACATTCTTACAAACCAACCAATTGATTATTTTGACTCAATTCAACTTGTAGTAAAAAACTCTAACTGGTTCTGTGTTATCTCTGCAGTTAGGGTACGTCAACTTCACCTCACACAAACATACTTTTAAAACAATATTTGACTTGAACTGGTCTGCTTATCCTCTTTCTCTAATTTGAAGCTCCACTTGTAACATTTGGGGGCTTATGTCAAAGTCTTAGAACAAAGACTTAAATCAATTACAAGTTAAAGGACTTAAAACTATGTGTAGATGGCATGGAACATTGAAGCAATTTCCAAATCATGGGGTATGCAAATCTCAAAGAAATTCCAATGCATGTTTGAGTCATTAATTCATCAATAACTATAATAGCTATCATGTGTTGGACACTTTCTCCATATCAGTCACTACACTGGGCACTTTATACACGATCACATTTCATAACTATAATAACCATCTATGTACTAGCCACCCTATTAGTATCTCCATTTTATAGATGAGAGAACTGACATTTGGAGAAGCTAAATACTTCATCTAGTTAGTCAGTGATTGAGCCAAAAGTCTATCTCAGGCAGCCTGACTCCAGAGCCCTGCCATAATATCCGAAAAGAAATAATACAAAACTAAGGCAGCCAGAGCCCTTGATCTAAAGTGGTGGTAAATCTATACTATTGGCACTTCATATGGAAACATGAAGCAATTTAAGCTACTACATAACAGTACAGTTCAGTTATATAGGATCTGCATTTGATATAGGAGTAATATGACGTTGAATAAGTAGCTTCATTTTTCCAAACCCCAGTTTCCTCATCTATAAAAGTAGTAAGGTGCCCAATTCCCAGGGTAGCAGTGAGTTTTAATTGAGATAATATGTGTAAAAAGTATTTTGTAAACACTGTACTCCAGCTGGTTGACCATTATGGTTTACTGTGAAATATAAAAGAATGAAGCTTCTGACATGTTTTCTATTGGGCCAATTCAATAGATGTGGAAGAGCTAACCATAAAATGAAAGTGCTAAGAAGGCAAAAAAAAAAAAAAAGGGGGGGGGGGCAATTCATGAAGACATATTAGTGATGACCCATGTGTACCAAAATGTGTAGAAGATCCTTTATGCCATGGGGAAGACCAAAGTGACCTGAAAAATAAGTGAATTGTCTGCAGGCTTTATGGCATTAGATACTAAGAATATGAACTTTGTACTTAGACAGACCTGGGTTTAAATTCTGAACAAGTTAGTCCAGTCTTAAGGTATCTAATGTTCTCATTAATGATATTGAATCATGAATGTAGGGATTAAAGGAGAGAATGCATATGAGGTGCTTCATACTGACAAGGCTCAGTTAATGTGGTGACTATTATTATTATTATTTAACTTCTCAGGTCAGTACAGTATAAAGGAAAGAATGAAATTTCAGGAGAGGTATGTATTAGAGATAATACATGCATGGCTGGCCCTAGGGAATGTACATAAAAGACGTATTTGGGGCATCATCAGGTCGCTTCTAAAGTCCTTTTGTTCAAAACTTAATCTTTATTTAAACTTTATTTAAACTTATTTATTTAAATAAATGATCCACTTATATCAAGAAATCCGATTGGGTCTCTGTATCTCATGTAGATAGACTGTTTGGTTCAGTGAACTGTCCTCCAATTTACACCATGAATCTGGAACTGCTTTCTGACTGATCATGAGAACAGACACTGCCTACGTGTACATGGGGGGAGGGTGGGTGGGCAGTGCACATTAGGAGGGAGCAGAGAGCAAAAAAGTGAAGGGGAGGGGAGAGAAAGACTAGAAGATGAAAGCTGGAGATCAAAGAGTCATTCTGCCCATCCTGCTCCTAGCAGCCACAGGAAGCTCTCTGGTGGTGATCAGATTACCAGATTACCACTTGCATCAGATTCAACACCCTTGCCAGACCCCTGTCCCTCCACCATGCCTCTCACACCTTACTTCTGTTGATGTTTTAGAGTCCCCACCTCTCCTAAGTTTGAAGGGAGCACATACCATACTGTCTAGCAGAGATATTCAGATTCTAGGAGGAACACTTTTTGTGGGGATAAAAGCTAACTATGATGACATTTTACAAAAGCTTTTGGGAAGAAGAAGAAGGGCTCCTATGTTCATATAAACACAAATATGCAGATTGCCCTTCTCATCGTAGTTTGTGTGGAATTATGGACTTTAGGGACATTAAAAAAGGGTCCATATAATAACTATTGTTAGTATCCTAAAGACTAAACTTTCAATTTAGAGTGCTTTCGGATTGTGTTCTAATCTGAGACTTTTTTGAATTTAGGAGGAACAGATCCAGAAACTCTATAGAAAAGATTTGTTTAAATGGCTCAAAAAAGGGAGATAAAGAATCAGCCAAATGTTGCTAGTAACCCTTTCTTTTGATATATGGAAACTATATAAAATGTAAAATTTCTGAGAATAATACTGAAGTGTAGTAATTTTAAAGGCAATTAACTATGTGAGGAATAATCAGTAATAATAATAATACTCAACATGTATTGAGGGCTTGATATGTGGAAGGCATATTACTAAACAATTTGATTACCTTGTTTAATCTTTACAACATTCTTTTGAGGTAGGTAGATCTTACTATTCCTCCCATTTCATAGATGAGGAAAATGAGGCTTAGACAAGTTAGCTAAATTGCACAACATTTGTTAGTTAGTAAATGGCGAATCTAAATCCAGTTTGGAAAAGCAGATGTGCTTTGGTTATGCATACCTTGATTTCTGAAAAAGTGCAGGTAACTGAAGTCTTAAAAACCAAAGCACACTGAGAGATTACCCCTCCCTCCCTCTCTCCCTCCCTCCCCACCTCTTTTCTCCCTTCCCTCCCTCCCTCCCTCCCTTCCTTCCTTCCATAAAACAAATACATTTGCATTCCTACTGTGCCTACAATAATAACTGGGGTTATAGTGGTAAATAAATCAGAGCTCTGGCCCTCATGAAACCAACATTTTAGTGTAGGAAGACAGATAATAGACATTTTAACAAATAATATATGATGATAAATACTATAAAGAAAAAGAAAACAGGGCTGGAGGCGGGGTGTGTTGCTGGTACAGGTAGGAGTGGGTAGGGTGAGCAGAGAAGACTTCTAGGATAAGATGACATTGGACCTGGAAGAAGTGAGGGGAGAGCCTTGTGCACAGTGGAGGGATTTCAAGTCCTGAGTTCTTGAGGTGGGAGCATGTTTCATCCGCCTGAAGCCTAGCAAGCAGGCCACTGTGCTGCTGTGCAAGAGGCAAGATTGGCGGTGGGGTGCAGGGGTGGAGAAGCAGGGGAGACATGGTCCTGTGGGGCTTCGTAGGCAACTGTCAGAACTTTAGCTTTTACTTGAATAATAAGGAAAGCCATTAGAGGATACTGAGCAGAGGAATGACATGATATATGTTTTAAAGATCACTCTGTCAGCTATGTGGTGAATAGTTTGTACGGAGAAAGAAGATGAGTAAGGAAGGCTACAGGAATAATTCAGAGGTGAGATGGCAGGGGCTTGGGCCAGAGTGGTAGCAGTGGGAAGTGGCTGGATTCCACATAGTCTCTGACGGTAGAGCCACTAATAAGCAACTATGAGATTTTGGCCTGAGTATAGGGAAGTATAGAGTTATCATTTTCTGAGATGGGAAAGACTGTGAAACAGTTTTGCTTTCTGTGGGGAGGGAGTTGGAGGAGTTGGAAATAGGGAATTTAACCTGGGATATGTCAAGTTTGAGATGCTTATTACACATCCAAGTGGAGATGTCAGGAAGGCAACTTGATATATGAGTCTGGAGTTCAGGAGAGAAATATAGACTAGAAATAGAAATTTAGGAGTTGTCAGCATAGAAAAGATACTGAAAGTCATGAATTTGGATGCTATCACCTAGGGAGTGAGTATAGATGATGAAAAGGAGTACAGTAACTGTCCTCTGGACACCCCATCGTTTGGAAGTCTGGTATATGAAGAAGAAACTAGCAAAGGAGAGTGCAAACCATGAATGAGTTGTGTCCTGAAAGCTAAGAGAAGAAAGTATGTCAAGGAAAGGAAGTGATTAATGGATTCGATGTTCCTGATAAGTCAAGCTCCGTCGCCCAGGCTGGAGTGCAGTGGCACCATCTTGGCTCACTGCAACCTCTGCCTCCCAGGTTCAAGCAACTCTCTTGCCTCAGCCTCCCAAGTGGCTGAGACTACAGGGACCTGCCACCATGACTGGCTAATTTTTAGTAGAGATGGGGTTTCACCATGTTGGCCAGCCTGGTCTTGAACTCCTGACCTCAAGTGATATGCCTGCCTCCACCTCCCAAAGTGCTGGGATTACTGGTGTGAGCCACGGCGCCTGGCTGAGAGTTAAGAATTGACCACTGGAATTGGCAATGTAGATATCACTAATAGTTTTGACAAGAGCAGTTTCACTGGAAATCTAGAGACAAAAACGTGATTGAAATGAGTTTGAGACAAAATGAGAAGAGAAGTAGGGAGTTAGGATTGGGGATAATTTTTTTCAAGGAGTATGGCTGTAAAGCAGAAAAATAGAGAGGTAGCAGAAGAAAATGTGGAGGTTTTTTGTTTATTTTGTTTGTTTCTTAAGGTGAGTTTTAGGTTTTATGCCTATGAGAATAGTTTAAATAAAAAATGGCAAATGCCTTAATGTAAATTCTTCCCCTTATTTTTTCTGCTTTATAATATATACAATTTAGTATATAAGTTCTGATTATATATAGTTAGTTATATAGCAAGTAATATTGCTAATAAGTGTGGCTAGTGAAGTTATAATAGTGCCAGTGATAGTCTTTGGCTATCATCCTGATCATAACAATCATTTTGAATATAATCTCTGTAGGGTTTGGTCTTTAATACCTTGCAACAGGAAGCTATTAGCTTCAACATGGGGTCCTCTGGGTAGGAATGCATGCTGAATGTGCTCCAAAAATCACAGACAAGTTTTTGAATAAAATACAGTTAGAGCCATAATATGGAAAATTGTTATGGAAAAAATTAGTCACTCACTCACTTGAGATATAACTCCTGGCATATCAGATTTTATTTTAGCTAAGGTAACCTAACTTTCTGAGTCCTGTAAAAATAATTTAAATTCCCCATTTTAGCCATTTCAGCAGCCAAGGGCTGATAATAATAATTATAATAATAATAATAATAATAATAATAATAATAATAATACACATGTAGAACCAGACACCTGGCAGTGAATAGTGGATTGAAAAGCTACTGGAAACAGTCTAGCTGGGGAAATGGTAAAACTTAGAAGACCTTAATATTGGAAGAATATGATTATACATCAAAGTCCATTTTAAGTAAAACTTTTGTTCAAAAATCCAGTTGCTAGTTTATACGTTTTTCTCCATACTTATGACTCAAAGTTCAAACTTTGGTTGTCCCTCTGAGTCTCCTAGCTCTGGAGTTTACGCTATTCAGTCGTTAAGTGCTGTTTAAAGAGGCTGCGAAGCACTTTCTAGTTAATAGATTCACATTCTCTACATGGTCAATGTTGGAGGTGCCAGTCAGTGAAGGGGAGTGCATGCAGAGGGAACAACCTTGCACACACAGATTTAGTAGGGGGAAAAGGAAGAGTAATTGGGAGGGTTTTTCTGGACCCTTACTTCACTTCTAAACTCCAATAAAGACCATCAAATATTGCCAAGAGTATCCCCAGGCAAAAGTGCCTTCAAAACTCCCTTTTGCTGCTTTTTCCCCTCTCCATCAGATTCTCATTTTTGAAAAGCAACTCTCTTCTGCCCAGGACTCTATAGTCTGCTTCTTCTGCCAGCTTCTGAAGTCTAACCCACACTTGCCTTCCTATTAGCACCACATGACTCAGATTTATAAAGGTCTCCTTTTTGGTATCAAAATGTATCTAACTTATGGCCAATTTCTCTTGTTCTCAGCTAGGTCAGGACTTTGCAAACTTTAATGTGCATATGAATCACTTTGGGATCTTGTTAAAAGGCAAAGCCTTATTCGGTAGGTGTTAAGGGAGGGGGTGACTGGGGCACTGAGTTTCTGAATCTCTAACGAGCTCCATGTGATTCTGATGCAGTGGATCCGCAGGCCACGTGTGAACTGATGAGAGCTAGGTGACTGAAGCTTCATGGATACACTACTGTGAGCTAAGGTGGTAGGGAGTTATTGTATGTCTGCTTTCAGACAATGTTTACAGTTTTACAGTATATTTTACACATTAATCATATAAATGAATAAAACAGGAATTTTAAGTCTTAGTGGCAGAGTGTAAGGAAGAAAATTTTGGTCAGAATGAGAGAGACAGAATGGCCATTACTCCCTTTCAAACTGAATTACCTTTAAGTCACGAGAACTCCAGACCTAGCCTTTGGTGGATAAAACCAGAAACTCTCCTCTTTGAAGTTTAGTCTCAAAAGAGTAGGGACAACTATGCTATATGGATAGAAGGAAATAGGGGATAAATAGTGCTAGGAATTATGGATTTCTTCCCTTTTTTTCTTTTTTCTTTTGTGGTGTGTTTATGTATATCTATATTTATGAGTAGAGTTATATGTAAATGTGGAAGCCTTCCTCAAGTTGATCTTTTCACCCTTGAGCCTAAATCAGTCACCTCTCCTATGTGCTTCCATAGATTCCTGGGTTTCTCCCTGTTGAAGCTCTTGTCACACTGTATAGGTTTGTTCTCTTCTCCATTAGACTGGGAGCTCTTTGAAGGAAGGACTGTATCTGGTCACCATTGTATCTACAACCACCAGCATGGCCTTACTCACAGCAGTGCTTAATAAATATTTGTTAAATGAATGGAAAATCGATATATTTCAGGTTTCTGTAACTGGTGCTTTAGTTTCCCAACTAGAGGGGGAGGATACGAATCCATCATGACCCCAGCAGATGAAAGCCTCCTTGTGGGCTACTCACTGAATGCCTGCGGCTCTCTGTCTACTGGGCCTAAGGTAGGACTGCACATCCTGGCCTCCTTGTAGGTGGCTGGGACTTCTGGTTAGCTCAAGCCAGTGAGTTGTGAGCTGAAGTAATGTGTGTCTCTCTCTGGCTAAGAATTTATTTGTTAATGCTAGCCACTTGAGGACTCGCTTTTCTCTCTGGTACAGCGGCTGGCAATGTCCTGGTTGGTGGCTGCTCCAACACCTATAGTCCAAGAGTGACTATGATGGGCAGAACCCCTTTCCCCCATCGTGCACGTACAGTGTAAGAAAGAAAATTCTGTGTTTTAGCCATTGAGATTTTGACATTATTTGTTACTGCTACATAACTTCACCCATCCTGATTAACAGAGGTTGTGAGGGTAATGCCAAGAACTGAGGGATGCCATGTCCTGCCTCTTCCCAGTCCCAGCATTCCTCTTTGCCTTGAAGCTGGGCTCCAGGTGCAACCCAGATCCAAGACTGTGGTTCTGAAAGTAAGGCTTTGCCTCTGTTCTTGAAACAGAGTTCCTACCTTGAACCTGGTTCAGGTTGAAGGATTCCTGCCATGTGTCCATGACTAAGCTGGGGTCTCTGTAGGCCAGGCCATCTAGGATGGGAGGAGCTGCCTTGCCTAGGGCTGGCACCCTAGGGCTGGCTGGATCTCTATCACTGCTCCTGCTCCTCCAACCATGTGATCCATTCACAGGTCAGGGCACCCTGAAGAAACTACGTTGAATTTCATTTTGCTCATAACAGTATTCCCAAGGGTTATCTGGTGCTGTATTCTGTCTGCCACAATGATCTCCATCGCTAGCTCCCGTCCTGAATCTTTCCTGAGACCCCAGTGCCTGTCCTATAATCAGGAAATTTTGTCCCAGTTTCCTGCCTTTCTCATTATGCCCTGAATCATGCAGTTAAATGGGCCATGTGTATCTGCATCCAGAGACATAACAGATGGGATCTTGGGGATTAAGGTAGCAAACAGAGAGCAGAGGGCTTTTAGAAGGATTAGTCTTTCGCTTGGTGGGAAGGGTAGAGAAGGACACTGGGGAGCTGATTTGAAAAGGGTCACTGGGGCCCATAAGCATATGTGACAGTGGTTGGATTTAGTTAGCCCTCACTGTCCCTGTCTATCTGTCCCCCGAATATCTGTAGAGGAAATAGCACTAGGCTAAGAGGCAAAAAACATGGGTTTGAGTGCTGGCTCTGCCACTTACTTTCTGTGTGACCTTGACAGATCAGTTAACCTCTCTGAGCCTATGGAAAATGAAGCTAATTATATGTGTCTAATGTGGCCCATAATGAGGCTGACTGGGATCTCACTCACAAGGATCAGATGAAAGGATGTTTGAGGAAGCACTTGGCCCATTATAAAGTGTTTTTTACAGGTAAGGCAGTATTATGACAATGAGGATGTTTGGAACAGATGGGCAGATGGACTAGGCCAGTAGACATGACGCTTAACCTCAAAACCAGTGATGATGGTATCTTTGTGTTTAAATAGAACCAGGCAATTGTCACATTATAAAAAAATGACTGCTAAAGATACTGTATCTGAAGAAGGTAAGGCATGCAGGGGATCCCCAAGACTGGGGCTGGGTAGAGCTGAGCAAGATTCAGTGAGGAAAAGAGTTCAGGAATGAGAAGTTAGAAGAGGATGAAGCCCCTCTGCAGTGGGCAGGCTGGAATGGACGATCCCTGGCAGGCCACTCAGCCCACTATGCTACTGACAGAAAACTTGGACCCTCATCAATCAGGGAGGTTCAACCACACTGCGTCCCTTCCTGATTTGCAGTCGCGATGGGCAGAGGTACAAGGGGAGAAGCTGCAGACGGCATTGTTGCCATATGATGGAGTCACTGTTTGCATATTTTGTTGCTGGGTAGTCTTGAGGCCTCTGGAGGACCTCCTTTTTCTTATATTAATTCCCAATGCACCCACTTGCCGAGCCCAGCCTTACCGCCTCGCTTTTCAGCACAGTTCCCACACATGTCAAAGCTTTACAGACTGCCCGGTAGCCAGGCAGGAGCAGCTGGCAAGGCTCCCCAGAATGGAGCCTGGACCACCCAGCTAGTGAGACGACTGATGTGGAATGTGGGTTCATGTTGTGGAGTGCAGCAGGCCCACAGTGCTACATGGGATGTCCCATCTGTGGGCGTGGGATCTAGGAGGCTATGGGGGAAATGCAGGCAGACTCCATGAGTTCTCCTAAGAGGCCCTGGAAACATGAGGGTGGCCATTGATCACAAGGCCTTTCCACCTAATGGCTTTTCCTATACAAGTAGTTCACATCTCGAACATTTCCAGGCTTAGAGCAAACAGAATATGGCTGAGAAATTCTGAGCAAGGCAGAAGGTAAGAAAATGCAAGGAGAAAGTTAGGGAAGCTGGAGAAATGTGAGGTTATTAGGATGAGCTGCTTCTATCAAGAGGTAGTGAACAAGAGGGCAGTTTTGCTGAATAAGGACAGAATCATCTTAAAAATGGATAAGTCTCCTGCAGTAAAGTGACAGATTAATTAAACTGCAAACCTTCTCAGTTGTCTAGGTCTGGAGAAAGTTAAGATATAAGATGATCATAAAAATGGAAAGTCCAGATATCAAAGACACAAAATAGCTGAGGCAAAGACTAGGGAAATGCTGGTAAAGGAGATTTCAGCAGTAGAGAAGCAAACCAGTGAGGGGAAGATCTATTTTTTAATAGATGATTAAAAATTTTCTCTCAGGGAAAGATACTGTAGGTTGAAATGAAAGAGTTGCGATAGTAGAAAAGATTATTTTTGCAAAATGCCTGAGTTTGGAGAAAGAACATGGGCTTACAGCCCCAACTTCATAACTTCCTAATTGTGCAATCTTGTAAAAGTAGTTTGACCTCTCTATGCCTCAATTTCCCTCTATACAAACTAGAGAACTTAGTAATGTCAAATCACGGGGATACAATAAGGCTTAAAACAGATCTTGCATATGAAGACTGTTGGAAATCTGTAAAGTTCTAAACAAATGTTAGCTTTTATTATCACAGAATTTCTTTGTTTTCCTCCACTATATTTCACACTTTCTAAGCGTGCAGACATGCACTCATGTTGCTAAAAGCCACATCTGTTTTTTGAGTAGGCTGGTCATAGGTAGAACTAAAAGGAATAATTGGAAGACTTCCTCTGGCTATCTCTTCTGGTTTCCTACTGAGTAGAGTAAATTTCAAACCATTATCTGTGGCAGTTATGTCTCCCCAGCCCTGTGCCTAAGGATCATTTTTGGCTGTCACCCATTCACCTTACAGAACTTCTCGGAACGGTTCTGGTACTTTCACGCCCTGGCAACTGTGGATATTTTGTGCAGGAGGCCTAGACTGCCCTGCCACTCCTTCTCCTTCTGCTCACCTCTTACTCAGCCCTCCACATGCAGCTCTGATGCCACCTTGCCTGTGTCAAACTGGCCACATCCTCTCAGTGTTTCCACAGTGCTCTGTTCAAAACTCTGTTATATGCTTATGGACTGCTGGTGGGAATGTAAATAAGTTCAGCCACTACGGAAAGCAGTTTGGAGATTTCTCAAAGAACTTAAAACAAACTACCGTTCAACCCAGAAATCCCATTACTGTGTATATACCCAAAAGAAAAGCAACCGTTCCACCAAAAAGACACGTGCACTCGCATGTTTATCACAGCACTATTCACAATAGTAAAGACATGAAATCAACCTAGGTGTCTGTCAACTGTGGATTGGATAAAGAAAATGTGGCACATACACACCATGGAATACCCCACAGCCATAAAAAAGAAAAAAATCATATCCATTGCAGCAACATGTATGCAGCTGGAGGTCATCATCCTAAGTGAATTAATGCAGGAACAGAAAACCAAGTAGTGTATGTTCTCACTTATGAGTAGGAGCTAAGCATTGGGTACACATGGACATAAAGATGGGAACGACAGGTACTGGGGACTACTGGGGGAGGGGGGAGGTGGACAAGCACTGAAACACTACCTATTGGATACCATGCTCACTACTCGAGTGACGAGATAATTCATACCCCAAACCTCAGCATCATATACTCTGGTAACAAACCTGAATGTGTACCCACTGAATCTAAAATAAAAGTGTAAATTATTGTTATTATTATTTGAGATGGAGTCTCGCTCTGTCGCCCAGGCTGGAGTGCAATGGCACAATCTCGGCTCACTGCAACCTCCACCTCCCGGGTTCAAGCGATTCTCCTGCCTCAGCTTCCCACGTAGCTGGGATTATAGGCATTTGCCACCATACCCAACTAATTTTTTTTTTCTTTGTATTTTTAGTAGAGTTGAGGTTTCACCATGTTGGCCAGGATCGTCTCAATCTTTTGACCTCATGATCCGCCCACCTCAGCCTCCCAAAGTGCTGGGATTACAGGTATAAGCCACCGCGCCCAGCCAAAAGTATAAATTATTTTTTAAAAAGATTCTGTTATAGCCTCTGATTATAACCATTATAGAAGCAAACAACAAATAAACCCCAGCTAACATTTATTGAGGGCTTATAATGTTCCAGACACCTTAAGAAGCATTGTACATAGACGATCTCACTGATTCTTCAACAAGAGTTTTTCTAAGGTAATGCTGTTCTTATGCCTATTTTATAGATGAGGAAACTGAGCCTCTAAGAGGTTGAGTAACTAGCCCCAGTTAGACTGCAAACAAGTAATTAACTGTTTTTAACCACCATCTGGACTGCACTGTTACAAACTGTTCATTTATCAGTCTCCTCCTCTCCCATTAGACTAAGAGTGTTCAAAGAAGAGGAATCACACTTTGGCCAGCAGTATACCTGCAGCCCTGCGGCTAAAGTTTGCTGAATGAAAATATAAGTGGGCTCTCATTTTGAATATAAGGTGAGTTCATGAAACAACCCTAAAATATCAATATCCTCTGTACATTGAGATCATAGGGACCACCCAAGAGAGATAATAGTTGGGTTTGAATTGGATCTTTGGCCATCATTTTAAGTCTCTCATCCTCTTAGCAACACTGGTAAGAGCATCGGCTTCTACCGTGGTGAGATGATGCATATGTGATAGATAAACCCAACCCTCCCTTCCTTCAGAGGTGATTCACATTGTCAGTAGCATACAAGCAAGGGAGAGGGCTGTAAATCTCCCCCTATTCTTTATGTAACCCTCTCTACAGGGTTTCCTTTTCAAGGTGATCAAAAGTATTCCTTTTGGCATCTGTTTGCTCAGCACATATGACTAAAATTCAACAGGATATAAAAGAATCCATTTATATTTATATGTAGTAGATGGAAAGGAGGGATGATGTAGATGCAACACGAGTAGATACGGCACAGTAGATACAACATGAGAAGGACTAAGATGGTCCCAGCATTGCTATGGGGTTAAAAAAAAAAAAAAAAGGTATCTTATACAATGCATTTGTTTAGCATCCTGGCAAATAAATAAATAAATAAATAAATAAATAAATACTCTAATCAAATCTTCACTATATTGCTAACACCTATAACAGTCCCTGGCACATAGTAAGTACTTAATAAGTGCTTCATGAATCGATGAATAAATAAACCAATGAATGGACAACATTGTAGGAAGCTTGTTTTCCTACCTACAGGAAGTACAGGATACTGGTGCCTCTGGAGTTTCTAGCTAAGGTGACAATGCCCAGGATTGAGCTGATGGGACTTTGATTACTGAATTGGCTACAGTCTCAAGATAGCTCTCAACAAGCAATCCTTTGAACAAACCTTACATTTTGTCACTCATGCATTCATTTATTCATTCATTCATTCATTCATTCACCCATTCAGCAAATTTTTATAGAGTGCTATTAAAGCTAGGCACTATGACAAGTACTTCACATACAATGCTGAGAAGTATATGCTATTATAATCCCAGTTTTACAGATGAGGAAGCCAAGACTCAGAGTAGTTAAGTAAGTTCTCAAGACCACACAGTATGTGGCCAGGCTGTGATTTCAACTTAGGACTCTTTGACTCCAAACCTCCCTCGTATTCTCTCCTTTATACTGTTTCTGACCTTAAGGAACTCAGAGTTGAGCATGGGAATGATCTGGAAAATAAACACAATGTGAAAAGTGCTCTGACAGAGGTAAGGACTAGGTGCAGTGGGACCACAGAGGAAAGACATCTAACTCAGATCTGGGGAGAATGGAGCCAGGAAGGAACATTAGAGGAGATGCTATCCTCAGTCACGGAGGAGGGCTGGGAGCGAGAGGCAGAGACACAAAGCTGAGGGGAGCGTAGTACATTCTTTTTCAGGTTATTTTATTTTATTGTTTTATTTTACTTTTTGAGACAGTGTCTCATTCTGCCACTCAGGCTGGAGTGCAGTGGCATGATCATGGCTTACTGTAGCCTCAACCTCCTGGGCTCAGGTGATCCTCCTGCCTCAGCCTCCCAAGTAGCTGGGACTACAGGTATGTGTTACTGTGCCCGGCTCATTTTCGTATTTTTTGTAGAGATGGGGTTTTGCCATGTTGCCCAGGCTGGTCTCAAACTCCTGAGCTCAAGTGATCTGCCTGCCTTGGCCTCCCAAAGTGCTGGAACCATGGGCATGAACCACAGCACCTGGCCCATTTTTCTTTGTGTGAAGGGACTCATAAGTAAACAAGGTCCCAATAATGTCTAGTTGTCTGCATCTTTTTCTATTTATTATTTGACTAAATTTAAGGGATGCTATCCCACAGATTGAGTATAAATGGTAAGTATTAGGTACTTCAGTCTGGACCTTGAAAGTTTTAAAAATAAGATTTTTCCTCATATATTTGCTCCCTCAAAACACATATGCTGCCATGTGCCACAGCACCATTGCATGTGCTGTTCTCTCTGCCCCAAAGACTCTTCTTTCTCTCTTATAAGCATTTTACCACGTTTTCCTCATTTCTGCACCTGGCTAATTCCCATTCATTCTTCAAGGTTTAAACTCCACTTCCCCTGGGAGGCCTCCTCGACCCCAAGATTAATTTAAGTGTCCCCTAATATTGTCCTCTAAATCCCTCTGTCATGACACTCATCAGGCTTTTTTCCCCATTTACTTAATTATCTGTCACTCCCTTTAAACATTACACTCCATGAAAGCCTATGACTGTCTTTTCACTCCTATATCCTTAGTGATCAGCAAAGTGCCTGGCACATAATAGGCACTGATTAATAAATATCTGTAGAAAGAATAAGTATTTGATAACTTTTTTTCTTCTAGAAAATAAAAATTCAATACTCAGCAAAGTCTAACATCTAGGCAGTAGAGTCAGACTGGAGAAAGGAGAAAAAAAGAAAATTATGTGTTCTGAAAAAGGGCAGAGGGAAATGTGACACAGTATAACATTGCTGTCCTTTATTGTATCCCTTTACTGTATTATTGTATTTACTTCCTGAAACACATAATAATTTTCCAGGTCTTATCAATAGTAACATCCTATATTCTTACATCCCCAACACACAGACCATTTTTTTTAAAATAAGGCTATAAAAATGTCATTCACCACATTCAGGACAGTGTTGCTTTTGCCAGATTTATGGCAACTGAATAACACAGAGAGGAAATCCTGAAAGTCAGAGGTGTACTCTCCAGGCCCCACTCACTATCTTCTAAACATTTTGAACTGAATTTTACATTTTTAAGTGGATCAATTCCTCATTTCAACCCAAAGGTGCCTGTCTGTTTCTGAAATTTGCAACATCTGCTAGGGAAGTGAAGAGTGAAACGGTTTTTTTTTTTTTTTTAACATCAAATAATAATAAAAAAAAAACTTTGTTGAAGGACTGTGGATTTTCAATTTGTTCCACATGAGACTATTTCAGGAAATTACCTTTTAACTGGTGCTCATCTTGTTTGTGCAATAATGTTCCCCTGATAGGGATGGACTGTGATCTAAGAGATTTTTACATCGTAAAAATGTAAAATCTCTTCGATTTTTACATTGGGAGACTAGTTTGTCTTCCAAGGACAATATCCAGGTTTCTAGTTGTTTGCCGTCTCAAAGAGATTCTTTACCAATGTGGGAGACCAAAATTTCTCCAGTTTCTAAAGCTGGAGTCATAATTAAGGCAAAAATTATGCCTTCCTGTGAACAAAATTTTTAGAGGATAATCTAGATAATGTAGTTTTTCATTGTTGGAACAGGGTAACGGATGGTACTAGGAGGAAATTCTCAAAAATAGGCTGTGTTAACATCTCTCACCTGTATCTGTCCTCCCATCTTCTTCTCTGCTCCTATTCTCTCCATGGACTGGAAACTCCCACCATTTGTCATTCACTGGCTTAAAGCTCTGACTTTCTATGTTCAGTGGCGCTTTAAAAATTTAGTGGTGAGGTTTCAGGAAATGAAAGATTTCAGGTGCTCAAAGATAGGCCTAAAGGTCACATTCAGAAACCCCATCTCATGTCAAACAGAGTTTTTTGTTTTTGTTTTTGTATGTTACCAGACCACAAAATATTTCTGGAAAAAGTGTTCAGCTAATTTTTTTAAAAGACTCACTTTAAAATTCATATGGAGCCAGGCGCGGTGGCTCACGCCTATAATCCCAGCACTTTGGGAGGCCAAGGTGGGTGGATCACGAGGTCAGACGTTCGAGACCAACCTGGCCAACACAGTGAAACCCCGTCTCTGCTAAAAATACAAAAAATTAGCCGGGCGTGGTAGCGGACACCTGTAATCCCTCAGCCTACTCGGGAGGCTGAGGCAGGAGAATAACTTGAACCTGGGAGGCGGAGCTTGCAGTGAGCCGAGATTGCGCCACTGCACTCCAGCCTGGGCAACAGAGTGAGACTCCATAAAAAAAAAAAAATCATATGGAAAGATAAAGTTCAGAAATAGCTAATATCATTGTTTTTTTAAAAAAGGAAGAGAAGATGGGGGAATTACTCTACCAGGTATGTGATGACCTATAACAGCCATTGTGATTGAAACAATGTGAATTGGCTTTGGAAGAAATGAATAGATAAACAGAATAGAATGGACTAGGGAGTCCAGAAACAGACTCACAAATATAAGGAAAATTGTTATATAAGAATAATAACATTACAAATCCATGAGGAAAGAATGGAATATTTAACATATGCTTCTGTGACAACTGTTCATCCAAATGGAAAAAACAATTACATCTTTACACCATGGCATCCCCAAATATAGAATTACAGTTGAATTTCCATCAACATCCCTAGGAAAACAGCTCAAAACTCAAGCTGTATACATGGTAGAGATCATTCAGGTTTTACTGAGTGTTCTATAGTGACCCAGTTCCAGAGGAAGGCAGTGACCATTGACCTGACAGAGAACTGCCAGAACTCTACTTAAAGGCAGCCAAGCAGGCAGAAATACTTCCAGTGGTAATTTCACTACTCCTGGAGTACTAATACAAAACTGGGAACCCAAGGCTACATCAAGATCCCAAGGGAAAATGGTGCTAAATATGCTATAGATCTCAGTTTGAGTGACACTCACTACCAATCCTTGTTCTTATTAAGGGTGGACAAATAAGGATTCATGCATTCTCTCTTTCCTTCCTCTGAACACCTAGAGCATTCCTAGTCTTGGGAGATTTAAGTACACAGAGATTAAGAGTTTGGTTAGGAGTCACCCAAACCTGGGCTTGAATTCTAGATCTGACTGTAAATGACTTGGGAACAATAGTAGCACGTACGTTTCCTAGGGTTACTGTAAGAATTAACTAAGGTAATATATCTCAAAAGCACAGTAAAGTACCTGGCATGAATAAGTGCTCAACAAATTTGTGCAATTATTATTGGCCTTTTCTCCTGCATTACACGTTTTAATGTTTCTTTTCTCACTGGATACCAGGTTTTGTAAAAGGTACTTTTACACATTTATTTCATTGAATCCTATGAGCTAAGTGTTATTATTTCCATTTAACAGTTTGTGTGTGTGTGTGTGTGTGTGTTTGTGTGTTTTCTCTCTTTGACAAAACTGTAAATTAGTGTTTTCCAAACTATGCTAAAGAGAAAAACAAATTAGTTTATTTACTGCAGTACCTCTCAGAGTCATTGGTATGCTAAGGAGTATTGCTAATTTCCAGAAAAGAGTATTCCTTAACATAGTTCATGACCCAAACAGTTGTTATTCTCAGAATACAGCATGGGAAAATGTGCAATAAAGATTCACTGAATGAATGGATCCAGTTTCATGCTTTTTTTTGCATGCCCCCAGTGCGTAGCATGCTTGGGGTACAGACAAAATGTTTCATAAATTCCAGTTGCTTGATTTATACGTTAAATTACCTATATCTGGCCGGGCACAGTGGCTCATGCCTGTAATCCCAGCACTTTGGGAGGCTGAGATGGGTGGATCACGAAGTCAGGAGATCGAGACCACCCTGGCTAACATGGTGAAACCCCGTCTCTACTAAAAATACAAAAAAATTAGCTGGGCATGGTGGTGGACACCTGTAGTCCCAGCCTCTTGGGAGGCTGAGGCAGGAGAATGGCGTGAACCCGGGAGGCAGAGCTTGCAGTGAGCTGAGATTGCGCCACTGCACTCCAGCCTGGGTGACAGAGCGAGACTCTGTCTAAAAATTAAAAAAAATAAAAATAAATAAAAAATTACCCGTATCTTTGTACATCAGTGGGCCAAGATGGGGAGATGCTATCTCTTTACCTGAAAGTGAGCCCACAGTTTTAAATGTCCACAAATTAAGAATGTTTGGGATCAAATCCTGGCAAGAATATGGATCAACTGGAATACTCGAACACTCCAGACAGGATAGCAAAGTGGTGCAGCCACTTTGGAGAACAGGTTGGCAGATTCTTATAAAGTTAAATATACACTTACCATATGACCGAAGAATCCCACTCCTAGGTATTTATTTAAGATAAATAAAAAGTTATGTTTCCACTGGGTGCGGTGGCTCATACTTGTAATCTCAGCACTTTGGGAGGCCGAGGCAGGTGGATCACTTGAGGTCAGAAGTAAAAGACCAGCCTGACCAACATGGTGAAACCCATCTCTACAAAAATACAAAAATTAGCCGGGCGTGATGGCAGGTGCCGGCAATCCCAGCTACTTGGGAGGCTGAGACAGGAGGATTGCTTGAACCCTGGAGGCAGAGGTTGCAGTGAGCCAAGACTATGCCACTGCACTCTAGCCTGGGTGACAGAGCAAGAGTCTGTCTCAAAAAAAAAAAAAAAAAAAAGTTATGTTTCCACAAAAATCAAATTGGAAACAATCAAATGTCTCTTATTTGGTGAATAGATAAACAAACTATCATAGATTCATACAATGTGATGCTACTTCGCACTAAAAAGAATTGAATTACTGATATATTTAAATCACAAGGTTGACTCTCAAGTGCGCTATGCTAAGTGAAAGAAGCCAGTGGCAAAAGGGTATATACTGTCTGATCCCATTTAAACAAAATTCTGTACAACACTACAGGGATACACCAGCAGTTGCCAGGACTGAAGGTGGGGGAAGAGGTTGAATACAAAGAGACACAGAAATTTATAAAGGTGATGAAAATTCTATTAATAGATTGTGGTTATGGTTACATACCTATGCGTTTGTCAAAACTTGGGGCACTTACATACCCAAAAAGTGAAATTTGTAGCATGTAAATTATAGCTTAATTTTTAAAACAGGGAGACTCTCCCTTGAAATGGTCTACAGCTTATTTTACTTCTTAAGACAACAAAACTAATACATGCTATTTAAGCACTTTTTACAAAATGGCATGGAATGTGCTAGTGTAACCTCCTAAGATGACTGCTGTTCACAGTTCCCTCAAATTCCTTTTCCTGGCATTGCTCAACCTTATCTTGTATCCAAGTGGTTTCCAAACCCTTACCTGCCCTGGGGACAATTATTTCTACTTCCACTTTTGCAACATTTATCATGTAGTACCTTATATCAGAGTTCCTTCTCTGTCTTATCTTCTTAGGATTGTAAGTTCCATACAATAAAAATCCATGCTTTACTTGTATCTACCACAGTGCCTGTTAAAATGCCTGGCAGGAATGCCATAAAGAATGTTTAACACATAAATGAATCTATGCTTAGGTAATAGTTTCAAGTCTGTAAGTCCTTCAGAGACTGTGAGCTCCTTGAAGACAGGGATTGTGCATACCTAATCTTGTACTAGACTTGACGCACTGTAAATGCTCAAAAATTTTTGAATAAATGGATTCCAGCAGATTCTGATTAATTTTGTTTTGGATGGTGCATGGCAGAGGAATTGACTCTTGGGGTGAAAGTTGTGGTCTGGTGAGAGAGCACATGGAAGAGGAGAGTGTACCCTGGGTCGCGTCTGGGAAAACCTAGTGACAGAGGGTAAATGTGAAACCTTCCAGGTTGCATTGGCTGGGTTTCATCTCTCATCACGAGATTTTTTTCAGAGAGCTCTTGGAAGGGAGATATTCCATTTGGATCCAGTTGGAATTACTAACAGAGGATGGGCTGCAACACGGCAGGTTTCCAATTGTGTTTCTTAGGCTTGAAACTCTTCCCAGAAGCAAAGATGATGAAGGCTTCATTTGTTAGGCATGAAAATAGAAAACACTTTACAAAGGGTTTTAAGGAAAATCTTTTCTTTCCTATTATTTTTATCCCCCACTCCCTATTGTTGGCCAATCCTCAAATTTTAAACTCTTTGGGGAAAGAACAACGTTCCTTATAGCTCTTGTTACTAAACTAAACTAAGTGGAAGCATTGAATCTACTTTATTGGATACATTTAATGAGGTTTTAGTTGTAATAATTATGGTTAAATAGTTCAACATCTAAAACATTGTAGTACTTTAGGTGGCCTGAGGGGAATGCGTCTCATAAAGATATATAATAACATAATGATCACTCATAAAGTCTGGGTTTTATACTGTTTGTATCTAATGACTAACAACCAATCCAGGAAGCACAGAATATGACCCCCATCTCCCTGTCCTTTCATTGCTTCTAAAACAGCACAGTCAGCCAGCTAGGGCAGTTGGTCAAATACTTTGAAGTGTGTGTGTGTGTGTGTGTGTGTGAGAGAGAGAGAGAGAGAGAGAGAGTGTGTGTGTGTGTGTGTGTCAGAGAGAGATTTCTTCTGTTTAAAAACATTTGTTATTTATGAAACCACATAATTAAAAATAATTCCATCAACTTACTATAAAGCTCCATTTCTAATGCAAAAAAATTTTGTGGAAGTAGCAAAGTAATAAGAAAAGACTTGAAGCTTTTCAAATTCTGCCCAGAATACCAAAATTATTTTTGATACTTTAATCTTTTTTGATACTTTATTGAGCATTCAAAATCATTTAGCATCACGAGAAATCTTAAAAGCATATTCTAAAGGGAAAATACATGGCATCTCTGAGCACTGGACTCAGACTATCCACTATAAATTTGAGGTCATATTTTGTCTAGATGGCATTTTTGGGGGTCAGAGTTATTGGTTTGATCATATAGGGCCAGTTAGCTTTTTCTTGGACTCTAATCATTGTAACCATATGGTTTTCAATATATGCCCTTAGTCACATGGGGAAGCATATGGGAGTGTCCAAGAGGTTTAGTTTAAAAGATTAAAAGGCTTGTCTGCTTTCTGAATTATTTGAACCCGTCCTCATAGGCAAAGGTCCTGGAATTAAGGACAGACTAATATAATTACTGGGTAATATGGGAAAGCTACCTTGAGGAAGTGGAGGTGGAATTTAACTCCCAAAGAAGGAAAAGAATTTGCATAACTACCACAAAGATAAAAGATTAGAATTCTGGAATTGTGTGGTACCCTTTAGAAAGGCAATCAGGGCAAGTGTGAGATAGGTCAAGAGAGGGTAGACATATCAGTGGCAGGAATGTGGAAAAGAAACCACGCTAGACTGGAAGAAAGCTATGCGAAGCCAACCATAAGTAATTCTGATTTTAAAATTTCAAATAGAGTGTCTTTTAAAAAAGTAGTGCGTGTTTTAGGTATGCCCATTATTTTCTCACAGCACCTTCTTTTGGAACAATCTGCTCTGCCTAGATCAATCAAATTCTTGTTTTCTGAGGATGTGGATTCTACGGAAGATAGGAGACTGGGTCTGTCAGGTGTTAGCTCCTGGCACTGGAAAGTCATGTAGAGCAAGAAATAGTATCGTGGTAACCCAAAGTCCTGTGCAGGCTGAAATCACTGGGCAACAGTAACTAAGATCTTTGTAGAGGAAACTTCAGAGAGGAATGAAGCAAGAGATCATGAGATCTCAGAAGGAAGGAAGCACAGAGACAGGGAAGATTACTGCTGTGCTTTCCCATTTTTTGGTATTCTCCCAACATTGGGTTCTCTAAGACTCCACTGTATTCTTCCAGGAAATCTTCATATATTCAAAAGAGACTGAGGAGATTTCTGTTCCATGAAATGCAACAGTGCCTCACACACAGAGAGATGAAAGGAAGACAAACAAATTCAAAATCAAAAGGCCTCCATTCGAGTCCTAGCTCCATGTGACCGTGGGCAAGTTACATAACCTCTCTGATACACGTGCTGGGCATCTGTGAACTAAGGGTTAGGATATAGACTCCTCAGTGAGGCTACAGGGATTAAATGTGAAAATGGTCTGAAACTGTGCCTGTCATACAGTGAAACCCTCAAAAAACAGAATATAACTGAATAAAATAATGCACAAGTATAGCAATTTTAAAAAACTTTACCACAGTATTATGTTCAATTAAAACAGATTTTTGTGGAAAACATAGCTATTCTTTGAGATGCTACACATGTAATTCTATAATAAAGTAGGCACATGACACACAGAAAATCTCTCATCTAATGAGTGGCTTAACCCCACCGGAATGACACATACAAACGGACATAATCAAAAAGCCGGGGGTAAGATATAGGTATAGGGCCCAAGAAAAAAGATGGTATGTCTCAGGTTTTAAGTAGGGGTAGAAGGGCACTTTAAGTTCACTCTAGAGAGTTTTATTTCCTCTAACAACTAGGAGAGGTGGATCTTTCATTCATTTTAAACTCTTTTAGCACTACTCTCTGCAGGAATATGATGGGAAAGAACACATGATCACCATTCCTGACTCAGAGCCCCTGGAACAGGTCTGGTCACCACCACAATCACAGTTGCAGTGGACGGTGAAAAAGCACTTGGTGTGAAAATAAGATTTTAGGAGCTCACGATAGGATGGCAAATAGGGATACATTGTGATTTGAGGGTTTCACTTCTTTCTTTCCTACTTGGCCCATGATGAGGGAAACTAGATCTCAAGATTCAAGAATATGTTGAATCCTTATCTATTTAAATTTAGAGATTTAACCAAGAAGTCCCATTGTAAAAATAACTCCGGGGCTGAGATGTGGCGATCCAAATTCCTGAAAATTGTTAACCCCCAATAATTCTTACTGCCTTGAATTCCCCAGGAATGACAGTATATTTCTAATTTCCAGGTGTGCTGCGGCTAACTTAAACAAGATAAAACACCTTTCATGGTATTTAAAAACACCAGTGGGTTTTCTCCCTATAGTCTCCACTCCCAGCTCAGAGGACTGTAATCCTAAACTTGGAGCACCATCTTAGATAAGTGAAAGCGGAGTAGATAATTTTGAACTGGATCCATCTTGGAAATTTGATCGGAGTCTGAGAATACCGCCTAGGTTGTTCCTGCACTGCCGTCGGGAGCCAACGCACCTGGGCTCTTGCCAGTACTTGCTTTCTGCCCAGTCACCAGATGCATTCTGGGATGTTTCTGCCCACAAGCAAAACTTTGGCTTGTTTTTCTTCACAGCAACTAATGCCTCAGAAAATAAAAAATAAAAAAACAACAACAACAAAAAAAATAACTCTGGCTTTGCAGTTTCCCTGCTGCCTTTAAACCTGTAATGCTAAATGACGTGCCCACAATAAAATAAGAATAAGTGCTCTTTTCTCCTTTTAAAAATCACCAGTGGCTACAAGATCTTTGGCTAAATTGTCCAAAAGTCCAGGTGTTCTCTCTCTTGCTCTTTCTCTGATATATACACATGCATTTCGAGACAAACACCCTTATACACGGTTGTAAGACAGTTTCAACTTTATTTGACAGCTGTTTGCAAATTTAGCCCTGTTACTGAAGCATGCATTCACCAGCTGGCTGGTGACCATGGAAAACTAATAAATACTTAAAGAGGTCTCCAATCAGTGAGCAAAGAAGCTTAGATTGATACTATGACTTCTGAGTTTTGAGGCAATCACCAGTAACATAGAACAGGCCAATTCAGAGAGGACGTGCAAAGGGGAAGAAACCAAAAACACACAGGTTAGAACCAGCAATTGGCTGGATCTTTTCTCCCAGAGGGAGCTGTGTTCAAAGGCAATTCACCCACAGAGCCTGGATGTGTCACCAGCCAGGAGCTCTCGCTGGGCATTCTAAGCTTTGTTTCTGTTTCCTTGACTGCTATTTGTTTACTTCAAGGCTCATAAACTTGCCTCTTGATATTTTAACTCCCAATCCTGACAGTGACAAAATACCCCAAGAGATGGCTTGGCTAATAAAGATCACTAGATATAGGCTAAAATTAGGCAGGGTGGGGCTGTGAAAATAGGTATTACATTAACGTACTAAAGAGAATGTTGAAAATCCACATTCTTGTGCCATAATTAGAATAACATTGTAATATTCTGGCATCTATATTTTACTCGTAAAATATGAAAGCAGGTAAATATTAAGAATTTAATAAATATATACTTAATATAAAATGAAGGAATCTGAGGAACATGCTCCACCAAATTGAATTCTATGGAATTTTACTGTCTTGTGCATTAGTAATGTGTGTTCTATGGGAAAGGAAGGTTGTGGTTAGAAAATAATGTACTAGACATTTTTTTGTTTGCTTGTTTGTTTTACTGTGGGTCTTAGCAACACCTGTATTATATCGACATACACATCTTCATCGTTCCTTATACTCATTTAACCACAGAACCATTTTGGTGTATGTGGTGAAACTAGATTTTGCGTAAATCAATTTGGAATGTCTTCTACTGAACACATCTTAGGAAATGTTGATCTAAGGAAAAACGCAAAATAGATAAAAATTATGACTAGATCTTGAATAAATTCAATGTTTTAAACTGGTTCAACTATTCAATCGCTTAGAACTTTCTCATCCAAAGCAATGTGCTAGGCACTTAAGCCCTATCTGGAGGAATTCACAGCAAGAGACCCATATACCAAGCTTGCTCTTACTGCATGGTATTTGTATTTGCTGTTTCCTCTAACTGGAATGCTCCTCCTCATGGTCCTTACTTTATCTGGGTCACTTCTCCAGTGTTGCCTATAGAGAAGTCTTCCCTCATAACTTATCTAAAATAGCACTTCCATCACTCTCTAACTCTCTACCTTGCTTAATTTTTTTCAAAGTACCCAAAATGATTTTATGTATTTCCTTATATACTTATTGTTCATCTACTCTATTGAAACCTAGCCCTATCAAAGACATAACTGTTTTATTCAACCTTGTATCTTCAGCACTTAGTATAGTATGTGGCATTTAGTAGGTGCTTAATAATACTTGTCAAATGAATGAATGAATAAATAAATGAATGAAAATAATTCTAGGCCAGGCGGAATTACTGGTGGCACACATCTGTAATCCCAGCACTTTGGCAGGCCAAGTTCACTTGAGCCCAGGAGTTTGAGACCAGCTTAGGCAACATAGTGAGACCCTGTCTACACAAAAATGTTTTTAAAGAATTAGTCAGGCATGATGATGTATGCCTGTAGTCCCAGCTACTTGGGAGGCTGAAGCAGAAGGATCACTTGAGCCTAGGAGGTTGAGGTTTCAGGGAGCCATGATTGCACCACTGAACTCCAGCCTCAGTGACAGAGCAAGACCAACTCAGAAAAAGAGGAGAGGAGGGGAGAGGAGGAGACAGAGGTGAGAGAAGAGAGAAGAGAGGGGAGAGAGGAGGAGAGGAGGGGAGGGGAGAGGAGAGAGGAGACAGGAGAGGGGAGGGGGATAAGGGAGAGGGGAGGAGAGGAGACAGGAGAGGGGAGAGGGGAGGAGGGAAGAGGAGAGGAGGGAACAGAAAAGAATTCCATAAAAGTAACATAGGAGGAGCTAGAGGAATTTGGGTTGAGGCTGCTAAGAAAGGCTTTATGGAGAAGATGACATTTGAGCTTTGCATTGAATATGGGAAGGTTTCTGACATGGCGCAAATAGAATAAATAGTTTAGGATAAGAAAGAAAGCTTAAAGGCCCAGAAGTAGCCTTGAAAAAGTAACCTTTAGACAGGCAGGAAAAGAGATCATCGGCCGGGCGCGGTGGCTCACGCCTGTAATCCCAGCACTTTGGGAGGCCAAGGCAGGCGGATCACGAGGTCAGGAGATCGAGACCATCCTGGCTAACATGGTGAAACCCTAACACGGTGAAACCCTGTCTCTCAAAATACAAAAATTAGCCGGGCGTAGTGGCGGGTGCCTGTAGTCCCAGCTACTCAGGAGGCTGAGGCAGGAGAATGGCGTGAACCCGGGAGGCGAAGCTTGCAGTGAGCAGAGATCGTGCCACTGCACTCCAGCCTGAGCGACAGTGACAGAGCAGGACTCTGTCTCAAAAAAAAAAAAAAAAAAAGATCATCACAACCTGGGGCTAGCAGCCTATTCGCTGCACTCAGGAATGAGACACTTCCAAAGCAACACAAGTCCTCAAACCGGGGTTCCCTTTAGATGTCTGAGCCTGGCCTATTCTATTCATGTTTTCCTGGTTCAATAGTTTGTTCATTCATTATATTATTTATTATGTGCCAGGTACACTTCAAGGTGACAGATAAAGCAGACATAAAAATCCTGGCATTCATAGAACTTACATCTAATGAGGAAATAATATAATAAATGTCATAATTATAGTACATATTAGAAGATGGCAAGCATTACAGAAAAATAGAGTAACAGAGATGAAAAGTGTTGGGGTAAAAATTGCATTTTCTAAACTTTCTATTGCAGTATAATACACACACAGAAAAGTATCATATCATTAATGTACAACTCTGAGTTTGCACACAATATATGACCTTTATGTAACTAGCTTGGAGAACAAAAAACAAAACATTACCAACAGTCTAAAAAACCTCCTTGGCTGGGCACGGTGGCTCACACCTGTAATCCCAGCACTTTGGGAGGCCGAGGCGGGTGGATCACCTGAGGTCAGGAGTTTGAGAACAGCCTGACCAACATGGTGAAACCTCGTCTCTACTAAAAATACAAAAATTAGCTGGGCATGGTGGTGGGCGCCTGTAATCCTAGCTACCCAGGAGGCTGAGGTACGAGAATTGCTTGAACCCAGGAGGCGGGGGTTGCAGTGAGCCGAGATCGTGCCACTGCACTCCCTTCTGGGCGACAGAGTGAGACTTTGTCTCAAAGAAAAACAAAACAAAAGAAACCTCCTGTGTACTTCTCATAACTAACCACCCTGCCTAAGATAACTATTATTCTGTTTTCAAATAGCAAAGCTCAGTGCTGACTGTTTTTGTACTTTTATTTATATAAATGGAATTGTATATTATGTATTTTTAATCAGGCTTCTTTCTCTTCAACATTATGCTTCTGAGATTCATCCACGTTGTTGCATGTAGTTGTAGATCAGTCATTCATTGTGATTGCTGTAGAGTATGTTCCAGTATGTGATTATACCACAATTTATTTACCCTTCCAGTTGCTGATGGGCACTTGGGTATTTTCTAGTTGCTGGCTATCCTAAATATTGCTGCTATGAACATTCTGAACACATGGATTTTGGTAAGGGTATGGATTTTCAAGTAGGTTGGTTACAGCAGGGCTCATTAAACAGGTGATATTCAAGGCCAGGTGTGGTGGCTCACACCAGTAATCCCAGCACTTTGGGAGGCTGAGGCAAGTGGATCACTTGAGGTCAGGAGTTCAAGACCAGCCTGGCCAACATAGTGAAACCCCCTCTCTACTAAAAATACAAAAAAAAAAAAAATTTAGCCGGGCATAGTGGTGGGTGCCTGTGGTCCCAGCTACTCAGGAGGCTGAGGCAGGAGAATTGCTTGAGCCCAGGAGGTGGAGGTTACAGTGAGCCAGCCTGGGCAACAGAGTGAGACTCCATAAAAAGAAAGAAAGAAGGAAAGGAAGGAAAGGAAGGAAGGGAAGGAAGGGAAGGAAGGAGGAAGGGAAAGAAAGAAAGAAAGAAAAAAGAAGGTGGTATTCAAGCAAAACTTGAAGAGTCTATGGAGGTGATCCATGGTCATCTGGAGGAAGTGTGTTCCATTGCGTTTCAGTCAGTAGGAACCTCCATCAGGCAAGAGTGTGCCTGATGTATGAGAAATTGTAAGGAAGCCAAACTAGCTGGAGTGAGTGATTTTTTTTTTTTCTGAAATGCCTATTAAATCTGTCCTTTCTCCCAGTTTCCATTGTCTGCCTGGATCTAGCCCTTCTCTTTTTTCTTTCTTTTTTTTGGGGGACAGAGTTTCACTTTGTTGCCCAGGCTGGAGTGCAATGGCGCATCTCGGCTCATAGCAACCTCCGCCTCCCAGGTTCAAGCGATTCTCCTGCCTCAGCCTCTTGAGTAGCTGGGATTACAGGCATATGCCACCACGCCCGGCTAATTTTTTTTTTTTTTTTTTTGAGACAGAGTCTTGCTCTGTTGCCCAGGCTGGAGTGCAGTGGCACGATCTTGGCTCACTGCAAGCTCCACCTCCCGGGTTCAGGCCATTCTCCTGCCTCAGCCTCCCGAGTGGCTGGGACTACAGGCGCCCGCCACCATGCCTGGCTAATTTTTTGTATTTTTAGTAGAGACGAGGTTTTACCGTGTTAGCCAGGATGGTCTCGATCTCCTGACCTCGTGATCCACCTGCCTTGGCCTCTCCGAAAGTGCTGGGATTACAGGCGTGAGCCACCATGCCCATCCATACCAGGCTATTTTTGTATTTTTAGTAGAGACCAGGTTTCTCCATGTTGGTGAGGCTGGTCTCGAGCTCCCGACCTCAGATGATCCACCTGCCTCGGCCTCCCAAAGTGCTGGATTACAGGCGTGAGCCAGTGTGCCCAGCTGCCTTCTCTTTTTTCTCAGGGACTACTGCAGTAACCTCCCGTGGTCTTCCCCACTGAGGTCAGAGCCACCCTTCTCAAACCCATACGTAACCATGTCACACTTTTATTTAAAATCCCAATTTAGCTCCCTACCGTATAAAGTCTAAAGCCTTTAGCCTGAAAACCAAAGTCCTTCACCATTGGCTCCCATCCTACCTTTTCGTCTTTAAGCCAGGCCTGTTCCCCATGAAGCCTTTTCTCCATCTTCCTTATTTACCTAATGTCACAAAGCTCAATGAAGTCCTTGTTAAGATGATGCTTGTTACCAACCAATCGTTAACGTTCTTTTTTTTTTTTTTTTTTGCGACGGAGTCTAGCTCTGTCACCCAGGCTGGAGTGCAGTGGTGCCACCTCTGCTCACTGCGTCCTCCAACTTCTGGGTTCAAGCAATTCTCCTGCTTCAGCCTCCTGAGTAGCTAGGACTACAGGCATGTACCACCACACCCGGCTAATTTTTTGTATTTTTAGTAGAGATGGGGTTTCACCATGTTGGCCAGGCTGATCTCAAACTCCTGGCCTCAAGTGATCTTCCCGCCTTAGCCTCCCAAAGTGCTGGGATTACAGGCATGAGCCACCACCCGGCGAATCCTTAACATTCTCTTGTCTGGGTACCACCTTTAATTTAGTACTGGGTTCTCCAGGGAACACACAAAGAACACCATCTTTATCTTAGATCAGCTAAATTATTACTTTACTTTTATATCAACGGAAGGAAGGACCAACAGCTAATACTGATATCATTTTACAAACAGGAACACAAAAGATCAGACACATTAGCTAATGGATTTGGGTTCTAACTAGCAAAATTTGCTTCCTGTCCCAGAATCAGCACTATGACTAGAGAGTACAGACAGGGAGGTCCAGGCAGAAGGTCCAATCCCCCTGTCCAGGAACAGAAAAGTACTTCAAAAGAAGGAACAACATAAAGAAGCCTTATAAAAGTTCTCAAATGGAAATGAGAAAAAAACTCTGCCATCTGGGCTACAGAGAAAGAGCTACAAGGGCTGCCAAATATACTTTAATGGTCACTGGTGGAAACCTGGTCTCCCCATATAAAGGGAAAGGATTCTGGAACTTATGCTGCACACAGATGGTAAAGTAATTTGCATTTAATATAAAAATTTTCCCATCAGAGGAAGACCAGAATCGATGAGAAATCCCTGTTCATTTCCTCTGGTTAAAACAACAACAAAAACTAAATGGATGATAGAATGTCTGGTTGAATAATTCAACTATAACAAAATATTTTTTGGGCAGGCAATTATTCTGCATGAAGCACTGCACTAAGCAATAATGGTGCCACAGAGGTGACTATGGGGCAGTGTTTTCTTTCTAGGAACTTTCAGTTGAAAGGATTAGAAAAACACACAGTAACTATCCTACTAAGAAGAAAATAAGAATGCCTTCCAACAGAGGCATTCAAAGAAAGGGTTCCCTAAGTGCTGGTGGTAACTCTGGTAGTAACTTCCATAATGGACTTAAAATAAGTAGATGAAGGTAATCATCTATGTCAATCAGGTGAGTAATGGCCCAGGGCCTATGGCCCATGGAGACAAAGGCAGGTGTGGAGTACACAAAGCCAGAGGGAAATCCTGGAAATCACACCTTGTATGAAGGTTACAAGCTAAGGTAGGAATCCAAGACTGTGTTGCTAACCAAGGGACTGGATAAACAATGGGAACCAAGCTGTGGAACAAGAACAGGGCCCGAAAATTCTTGGGTCTCAGAAGTGCTGGGGTATCTGGCTGGGCAAGAGGGAGGCGTGCCTGGAAGGGTTTTGGTGGTGGACTCTAGGTGCCAGCAGCAGTTTTTCACATGGTTGCATGGATGCCTTAAGTATTTTGTAGAATATAGGACAGAACACACACAACCTATTTGTCATGACATGTAGGGTGGTGGTAAAGGTTCTCTGCTCCCAGTTTTTCCCTTCCCTGCCTACTGCACAAATTCAACCATTCTTTGGGTATAAAATTCCCCCCATTCTCTCCCTTCCTCTCCTTTCATATGGTTATTGAGTATATATTATGTCCCAGGCATTGTGCTAGGCTTAAGAATTCCTATTAAAACACAAATACCCTAGGAGAAACCTTAATCTTGGCATAGAGGGAGTGCTCAATAATTATATTTGGAATGAATGCATGAGGCCATGATCAGCTAACATCTTAGAAAGGATTGTGACTGCAAGCCAGGAAAGAGCAACCATGCAGGTAGCTGGGATGATATACAAGCATTAGCTGCTGAAGTGAATCAAGAGAAAAAGAGGTCCATTGGCAAGTTTTTCTGACTGTACAATTTTGTTCAGAGATGAATCTGTCTCACCTATTTGGAAATGAAAGTTGTTGACGAAAAACTAAGTCATTCAACTCCTTGAAGATGAGGTATTTTTGTCTTCATCCATTGTAATGAAAGGGCTCTTGTTCCAGATAAAAGTATCAGGATGACTTTCGTGAATCAGGATATGCCTGCACTTAGTGTGAGTCTCTTGATCATGCACACTCTTAGGACAGGACCACTGCAGATACACTCATGGAGGTTTTGCCTACACAAGAGCACTTGGTTGAAAAAGCAAGTTAAGACTGAAATATATCCATCCTGCACTTCACCAAGCCTTGCACCCAGGGTGGGTGGGTGGAGATGGGGGTGGTGGTGGTGGATAGGCCCTAAGGAAGAGCAGCCTTTTTCTAATTTGCTCAAAGGTTTTCCTGTATCTGGTGATTTAGGTCATATGGATGTCCCTGGTCACCCGTACTGAGCAAAGTCATTTTTGTTCATCAAGTTCTATATTAACTGTTGGAGCTAGAACAAAAAGCCATTCTTTATCTGCTGTGAGAGAGTATGGTGCCTGCATATTACGGAATCAGAAAAGAACTGAGGCTAAGAAGACCTGGGTGAACCCTAGTCCTGCCACTTCCTTTTTGTGTGGCAGAGGGGAGTTCACCTCTCAGCCTCAGTTTCCTCATCTGTGAGATTAATGTTACAGATTTGGGAATGTCTGAGATCTCCCCAAACCTCAGATGTCTATGATTCTCTCCTAATGCCATCAAAGATTAAGTCCTTTACCCCTTCAATAGTCCTTTCTTGCCATTCAAAACCAGTTTCAACAAAACAAAACAACAATCAGAAAGAAAAATTGGTGTGTATAGAAAGTAACGTTTGGGCTGAACCAAAATTCTTTGGTTCAATTTAATTCTTAATTTAAGAACAGGTCACAGAGAAAACAATTCACCAAATAAAAGGAATATTTTGTCACTCAGATAACTGAGTTAAACAGAGAATACCCTCCAAGTGGATGAAACTTCCTTGTAGAGCCTAGAAGATAAATCGAGACAAACTGGTGACCTCAGGAAACATTTGATTGCCAAAGTGATGTAATAATGGGATTTTTTTTCCCTCGTAACCTTTTGCTGCCCCTCTTTATTTTTCTCCCAGTCAGCACACTTCTGTTTTTTTTTTTTTTTTCCCCCATTCCTGTTATTGTTTTTGGTTTTGCCCTTGGCCTTCTGTTTTGTTAGGTCTTATTTCTGAACGAAAGGCTGCTAACCCACAGAATTTACTTTTGAAAGAAGTGAACGATTTCTTTCTCCTTCTCCTTCACTTGCCTCCTGCCATGCCAGCAGGCAGCGCTGCTTGGTAAGAGAAACTGGCAGGAGTATGCGTCTGAGTTGGGGGAGGAGGAGAGAGGGGAGCAGGCAGGGGGCAGGAGGGAGGATTCTGACCAGCGCAGGTGAGGTAGAAGCAGAGCTAATGAGAAGCATATGCCGCCAACCATTTTAAAGGCAGGCTCGAGCCAAGAGACGTGATGAATTGCAAGAATGTGTTGTGTTCATAGCCGGGGAGCTGGCAGAAATAGCCCAGCTAAAGGACTAGGATGGAAGGGTTTTTTTTGTTGTTGGTTTTTTTTTTCTTTTAAGAACTCAGGCTTAAAAATACATTTCTCTTTGTCAGCAAAATGTTCTAGTTTCAAAACTATGAATGGTAGACTACCTCTGTCAGACTAATGCTTTTCTTTTTACCTCAGATACTGTAAGATACGAGTTACCTTCAAATTAAAGGTAATACCTATACCAAATAGACTTAGATGATAGCAGCTCTGAGCAACTTGGGACATTCTGAATACACAGGACAATTCTAGCCCCTGGATTTGAACAGGTGAACTCTGCTTACATCAGAAGGCCCTGAGGAGGACAGGTAGAAACAGAGCAAAGGCCCAGGAAGATTTTTTCCTTCCTTTCCTTCTCTTTCCACCCTCTCTCCTTCTCTCTCTCCCTTCCTTCCTCCCCAAATTATTTGTAAAGTATCTTCTAAGTGTCAGAGTCTGTTTAGGAAAAGATA
The DNA here is from genome assembly GCF_000001405.40 of Homo sapiens. Lineage (NCBI taxonomy): Eukaryota > Metazoa > Chordata > Mammalia > Primates > Hominidae > Homo > Homo sapiens. The sequence goes on from NC_000011.10 coordinate 96,046,792, forward strand.
TGGTGGAGAAATGGAATCTAGGTATCACCTCCAAAACCTGTGCCCTCCAGATCACCCAGGAAGTTGACAGAGGCTTTCCTTCAGAGGCCTACACTAAAGCTCTCTCAAAATGTTTAGTTGGCAGAATCATAGTCCCTACTTTCCAACAATAAGTTTGTTAGAATTGACTCTTGAGTAAGAGCTTAGCCCAAGACTAGATCAGGACCTTACAATGAGAAGACTGTATTTTTAAGTTGAGGCTATCAATAAATAGACAGAAACAAAATTTTGCCTTTGGTACCTTCTATCTTCTTTTTACATGTCTAAGTTTGCTTGTGTTGTTCCTGGCCACTCAGTTTCCAACTGACAGGAGTATAGTGTCCACATAGATGTTGTTTACTCCTGCTTCCCCTAGTGCCTGGCATAGGGCTGGCACTTAATAGCTAATTAAATAGTTGTTCAATGAATAAATGAGTGCTTTCCCTTCAAATGCCCCTATTCTAAATTTCCTTTCACTTTCTTGTTGCTCAACTAACTCACCTCCCAACCCAAACTCCAAGCAGTTTTATCTCAAATCCTTGTTCTGTCATTTTATAATAAAAAACCTTGGGCAAATTACTGAATTCTCTAAGCTTCAGTATCCTCTTCTTTAAGTGGGGTTAATAAAATTTACTTTACAGGTATGCTTTGAGGATTCATTGGAAATTTATATACAGAAAACTTAAATAAAATGCCTTGTCCATCTCTTGGCATGTAGTAAGCATCCAAAAGAGACTGATTACCTCTTTCTTCTTTTCACCCCTTCTGATAATCTCCATCAAGTATTAGAAAAAAAATGTAGTTAAAACTAGGCTTGTTGGCCGGGCGCGGTGGCTCATGCCTGTAATCCCAGCACGTTGAAAGGCCGAGGCAGGTAGATCACGAAGTCACGAGCTCGAGACCAGCCTGGCCAAGATGGTGAAACCCTGTCTCTACTAAAAATACAAAAATTAGCTGGGCATGGTGGTGGTGGGCACCTGTAATCCCAGCTACTCGGGAGTCTGAGGCAGGAGAATCGTTTGAACCCAGGAGGCGGAGGTTGCAGTGAGCCAAGATCATGCCACTGCACTCCAGCCTGGGCGACAGGCAAGACTCTGCCTCAAAAAAAAAAAAAAAAAAAAAAAAGAAAAAAGAGAGAGAGAAAGAAAAAACAACAAAAAACAAGTCTTGTTAAGTTATGAATGAGGAATGAGTCTAATCCTTCTAGACTACAGTAGAAAATATGGAGGTGGTAGGTGGGGTAGTTTGAGAAGCCAAGACGTTTTAGGGTTCATACCCACTCTGTGCTATCTCCATCCTCCATGCTCTGTTTGGACAGCCAGTACCCACTCTAGTTACCTCAGCACTTCAGATCAGGTGTCATAAAAAGGTGCACCACTTTTAAAAGGTTGCTGACACCCCCATACACTGCAGTTAACATTATTCTAACTTAATTTAATAGGTGAGCAAGTTAATGGAAAACAATGAAATCTGGATCAAGAAATAAGAATTTATAAGAATCAAAATGTAGTATAAAATTACATGATCAAAGAAAACAAAGTAAATCCATAAATGTTCATTCCCAATGTTTATTTGATGTCCCAAATAAATAAAGTTTAGGAGGATGAAATCATGCCAATAAAATCCACTCTGAATTTTTTTATACAACTAATTTTTTGCACTGTAATTTAGGCAGAAAGAAAATGATTTTAAATTAAAATTTTTAACACATATAGGTAATTAAATTTATGTGGCTATTTTCTAAGAAAATGTCTTAAGAGGAGTTCAAGGAAATAAAGTATAAAATTTCATTAAATTTACCTTCATTGGAAGAATATATGATGAAATAGATTTTTAAAGTTTCCTAAAGAAACTGTTATTCTATCTGACAGAACCAAAGTCTTTCTTTTTTTTTCCTTCTCTTAGATTGGCATGACCTACAAGAAAATACCCATTTATGGTTTCCAAATGCCAACATGTCGACATTTCTATATTTTTTCCATCCTTCATGCAAGTTTTAAAATTTACTTGACAATTAAACTGCCTAATTTAGAATTTTGCTTGCCAATTGCAAATTCTTTCGTTGCACAGATCTATGAATTAATCAGAACAAAGTAGAAAAGTGCTAGCCATAGTGGAAGAATTTAGTTTAATTTTTCTTCTTGGCAGGAATATGTGTTCAAGTACATTATAAGCAGACAAAACATGTAGCTGAAAATTTTTTGGAAGAGCTATTAAACTTTCCACTATAATGAACCAGTGATGCTTCTAATATCTCAAATAGAATTCTATTGATTTGGAACCTGTTCTCATGTTACTTAGCAGGTCTTCAAGGTAGATAATGAGTTGTAATTACTATTTCCTTTAAAAGGACTTGGACAAGATGAGCTGCAGGGTGGTGACTTCAGAACTGGCATACTATGCTCTATTTTTCTTTACTCCTCTTTGTACTTTGTGTCCTTTTAAAATCATTTGTATTATCAACTCCATTTTAGAATAGGTAATAATATAAAGTAGAGAAATTTACATAAAATGAAGATTTCCCTTTGTCTCACATATATTTTCATCCAAATTTAACTTTCTTTCCATTTCAATAAAGTCCCTTTTCTTTTTTTGACAAAGAAGGTAAAAGTAATTTTTAAAGGAAACATGGAATCTGTTCCCAGTGTGTTTATAGATTGGCTTAATAGAAATAATGCATAGTTTATAAAGCATCTCCATGAAGATATCACTGAACACAGGACATAGGATTTGGACTAACACTAAACCTGACTAAACTCTTGGCTCCACTATGTATAGCTGAGCGACCGTGGGCAAGTGTTGTAATCTCTCTGAGCTTTGGTTTTTGCTAAGAAGTAAGGCCAATAATACTTGGTGACTAATCAAGAGGCTGTAAGTAAAGCATTTTGCACAGTCCCTGGTATACAGTAAGAATTTAATAAACAGAAACTACTATTATCATCCAGGCAGAAGAATAAATGGAGTACTTAATCCTTTTACTAATTCAAGTGTGTGCTAATTGAAATCTCTAACACCTCATTAATGTGGAATGACTTGGGAGTTTAGTGGTTCTCACTGGTCAAAAATTTCCCTAATTACTTAAAGATGTTTATTATCATTAATAATTTAAATCAGGGAAGTCACGACTTCTCTGAGCTACTCACTTAAGTAGATCAAACCCCATCCAACCGTGTTGGAATTCACTCACGTTCTTTCCGAACAGTAAAGCTACCATAGATTTTTACCATGGTCCTTTCAACTTTTTACCTCTCTGATCTCATTTTATTCCATTTTACCCTCAAAACAACCCAGTAAGGAAGGGTAAAACTCAAAAGATCCTTACCGGTGTGGCTCCTGGACCTATTTAATAATCTATTAAGATCATACAGATCTAAGGAAACTGACATCCCTGGGTATTTATACAAGTGAGTGTATGTGTGAGAGAGTCAACTACACTTGAGTTCTGAAGAATGGGACTGTCGGTAGGGGCTGATGTGAAGGGCAGGCATAGGGTGAAAGATCACTGGGCTTGACTCTTGGTTGTTGAAGGGAGGACACCGACTGGCAAATATGGCCATGCCTGTATTATTCCACTCTGGGACATATTTGTGGCATATATGAGATGTAAGAATGAATCCTTCACAGGGACATTGGATGGGTTTTTCAGGCTATGTAGTAAATAACTATTTGGATGGTGCAGGCAAAGAGTTAACAAAAACTCTTTTCCTTTTTGCATGAGAATCTGACCTTTGGTTAACTTCTTAACTTGGTTTCCCTGGAAACAGATAAAGATGGTATGTGTCAACTATGTTACTAGGCAACATTGCATATGGTAAAAATGACCCCTCATTGGTAGAGTGCATCTGGACTGGGAGGAACTATAAATGAACTGCAAATACCTGCTGGCTATGCTTTGGACTTCCCTGAATGCAGCAGTTCTTGTAACTAGCATGTCTCTGGAGAGGACCTTGCAAACTATGTCTATGGAGTTGTTACAAGAGTTACTGACTCCTATGGGAAATAAGGCTCTTAAGTAAAGGCAATTCCTTCACCTGCCCAGTGTGGATCTCATCATTTGGCACCCGAGCTTCCATGGCTCTAATTGCAGAAGAATACCTGATGCTGGCCTACTGGCAAGCTATAGTTCTGATCCTATATTCTTCTGGGCAGACTGATGTCAAATGTGATGTGTGATAGTCTTAGGAGTCTAAATGTCTAGCTGAGCCTAAGAAATCCCCCTGCTGGCTGTTGCATGTTGGTTTAGTGTCATTTCCTTTGGATAATCTGTGAGGCATGACTTTCTGGAAGAGATCTGAAAACAAGGAGGTCTTCTGTAGTGCCTTTATCTATAGAAACTTAAAATTAATTCATCCATCCATCTATCCAACCATCCATCCGTCCAATATTTATTTAGAATCTACAATGTGGTAAGAATTGTGGCAGATAAAACATATATTCAAGGTCCTTTCTCTCAATTAGTCCTCACATTCTATGGAAGGAAAAGAGGTATATATTGATCATTAGTAATACCAGTAATACTAATATCCAATATTTATTAAATACCAGATACTTTGTTAAACCCTTTACATTTAATCTTTAGTTTGACCCTTTCATTTAATCCTTAATAAGAATTCTGTGAAGTATGTATTATTCTACCTACTAATAATACTAATGTGTATTATTCTACACATTTTATAGACAATAAATTTGAGGCATGCAGAAGCTGCCTCAAGGTCACACCCCTAGCATGGCATCTGAGCTCAGGCAGTCTGATTCTAGATCTCATGCCCTCAACTAGTGTGTTATTTAGTGTGATGTGCAACTAAATAGAGGTTCACATCAAGGACTTCATTCAACAGTTTTCTATGCAGGGTCTTCTGCCTCCACTTTCCCATCTCCTCAAATGCCTGAAAGCCCACCAGTTAAAATTAATTTGCGTTAACAAGCAACCATTCAGGAGGCATCAGGAGAACCAGGGAGATAGGCAAAGAGCAGAAAAAGGGCAAACTTTACCTGGATTTAATTGTCTATCAGTTTTATGCCTCCCTGTCTCCAGAGATGGCTTAAACTACTCTCTGACCCAACTTGACCAGCTTCCTTGTCCAGTTCTGAAGGGCCTGGCTCACAATTAGGCAGAAGTGAGCATTGTGGCATTGTATGTCTTCAAGGATTCCGTTTAGAAACTAGACTATGAGATGAAATGAAACAATGCATGTAAAGTGACCACAACTGTACCTGTCATGTCTTAAACACTCTATAAGTCATAGCTATTATTATTCTTTCTTCCTGTATTGCTTGCAAAATGCTACAAACTATCAGAAAGTCAGACCTCTCAGTGGCTTTAGCACCTAGTATTATTTTCAGTCATATACATTCTTTGCATGTCTGTCAGGAACATATTTGTTAAGTGCTTGTTGGGTGAACCAAGGTAGTGACTACAGAAAGTACAGGGAGCCATATTAATCAATATCCATATGATACATTTAGGAACACATACTAGGAAATTTGAAAATGCATTAAGAACCCTTACCATGAGGCATCTACCACATGGAAATTGTCAGGTCTCCAGTTCTTACTCCCCAGAAAGGGGACTGTTTTGACTACAGAGAAAATTTGCTATTATTAATGCTTATCAAGCTAAGTTCATACAGAAATAAGTAAGAGAGTCAGGAGCCACTCTCCTCTTTGTCACACTCCTTGGACTTAACGACACCACTCTGCTTCTGCCCAGTTTTTAGTAAACATGGCCTTCACCATCAGCCAACCTTAGTTCCAAACACTTCTCAGGAGAAACCTTAATGATAGGCTGTGGTTCCTTTTTATCCACCAGAGCTGTCTTGTCTGATATCACATTGATGCCCTGTGTCAATGCCATTTGGATCTTTCCTGTGTATAGAGTCTTAGACCAATTTTCCATTTTGTGAGTTTCCTTCTGCTCCTAACAAAGAACAGAGAAATGCTCTCCACATTCTGCTTCCAGAGCTGCTCAAGTCTCTCTGAAGATTCAGTACCTAGTCTAGGTTTCTTTTGCTGGGGGTTAGATTCTGAAACATTGAGTTCCCTGGCTTCTTTGCCTAGAATGAAGCCTAGAGCCAGAAACGATCTAAGGCAAAGATCTCAGAAGAAGGTCCCACCTCAGGTGATGAGCCTTGCCTGGCCTGAAGTCTAGGGTGAGACTTAAGTGCTGGACTGTCAGCATAGCTTACATTTCACAGAACAAACCAGAACTCCATTCAGCACTCCACTTACTTCATCTGGCAAACATTATGAAGCAGGTACTGTACTAAGTTTGGGGAACAGAAAGTTGGCAAAGACAAGGTGTCTTCCCTTGAGAAATTCAAAGTCATTAATTGTTCATGTAACACAGAATACATTCATGAGTTCATTTTTTTAGAAAAAGGAATATTGATTCTCAAACTCTCATAGAGAAATGTTCACTACTTCCTCTAGCCTGGAGTCCTAAAATGTCTGACTCAATGAAGAAAAATGCCAACTGCCACTAGAGCCTACTCAAATGAAAACTCTGTAGCAGAATGATCTTGATTATCTCAGAAATCCCTGACAGAAATGGAAGCAATATAAATAAACACAAAAGAAAATAGAGGTACTGTAACACAACTATAAATTGCTCTTCTCCCCGACTTTCTTCCAATCATCCAGGGCAAAAGAAGGAAGTTGGTCTTTGTGGCAGAGAATAGACCAGCAGCTGTTCTCTATCCTGCCAAGAGGGGAGAGACTTATTATAAACAATAGCCAACAATATGTCCTTTGGGACGGGAAACTCAGCCAATTTGGAGGGGGCCAGTCTGGAAGAGAGAAGGAGGGTTAATGGGATGGGGGGGTGACCAACATAACAGAGGATGAATTAGGAGAAAACACTATCAAATTTTCCTGTGTACTTATGTTTCTATTACCTCATTAGGGTGATTACATAATGTGACTCCATTTATAAACTAAGAGGGAAGGAAGGGGCGACATTCTCCTTAGCGGTGGCTGATGTGAGACATTAACATACCAATAAGTCATGTGGGCAAACAGTTAACATGTTTGGGAACATCTTTCCTTTCTCTCTTCATCTGTTTGGTATTTTGTCTGCTCCTTCCCTCCTTTCAGCCATATATGTGTATCTGTGACTCAGAAATGGAAATGGAGCTGACAACTTGGGTGCCGCCATTTTGAGAGCTCTTCATGTAAGAAATATATGGAGTTTGTTTTACTGTTTTATATTCCATTGGGAGAAAAAAAAATGAACAATCTTACTTACATGTATTACTATGCATGGGTCCCTTGCCCATTCCTCTCTGCAAAATCCCCAGAGGAGTTCTTAGCCAGGTGCAGATTGGAATTTTAAAGGTTCTTATTTCTTAGGACATTTTTCTACATGTGGAGAAATGCCATTCTTTTCACAGACTAACTTGTCAGTGTCCTGATTCTAAGTAGTAACTCTAGACGGGGATATTTTAGGGGAATGCTGTTTATGGATATACTATTAATTTGTGCCTTAACTTTTTAAATAGCTCACTAGGACAGTAAAATTCACTGAGTGATATTTAACAAATGAGGAAAATGGGTTTCAAAAATGTGAAACAACCTGTTCTGATAGTTAGAGAAGGAGGCCAGACTGCGATCCTGTAACAACAGCAGTTATACAGAACATGACTGTAATAAACAATTTCTAAGGGAGGTTGGACAGTTTAAGGAGGGGTTCCTTTATCCATGGGTTCTTCCAATGAGGGAGCAGTGTGGGAGTGTGACGGTGTTAAGTAGGACCAATTCTATTTAAAAGGGTCCCTCAGAGAGAGAGAAAAAAAGAATTAACTATTTAGCCTGTATTTGTCTTACATATGGTTTTAATTTGATATACTTACCCTTTGTTCCCATATAACCATATTAACCCTTCCCCATTTTGTTATATTACTTCTGGTTTTAATTTTGGGGGCTTCCAAAGGCATTTTTGCAGTTATCATTTCTCAGAAGATGTGCACTGATTCTGTTTGTTCTTATGATGGCAAACTAAATAAAGAGTTTGAGGATCTGCATTACACATGAACAGGAAGGGATTTCTTTATTCAGATTAGAAAAAAATAAATTTTAAATATTTCTATTGTAGACAGTATAGTAGGGAGATTTCACTCTACCTGGGGCCTGGGAAGTAGTATTTACTTAAATTAGCAATCAGTCCATTCATTTAGATCTACTGTTCCATATGTTTTCTGTTCACATTATTTTGGTTACAGTATCTTAGCTATCCAGCAGATGGCATCTGCTTCAAAACTCTCCTAACTTCCATTTACATTTCAGGACAAACAGGATACTGATACATTGAAACCTCCCTTAATTGACTTCTACATTTAGTACCTAGAAAAGGTTGCTGGAAATATAATTAAGGGTAGACCATTCATTCCCTTTTTCTTGGTAAGAGTCATACTTCTCTCTTGCCATGCCCATGGCACTACCATGGACGCCTAAGAAAACCTCAATAATTTGAAAGGAAACATAATCAGAATTAAACCCACAAGCTCTCTTTAAAAATCTATTACTTTAATTGCTTTCAGCACTACACAAGAGCTTAGTATTAATGGCAGATTTAGACAAGCAAAGCTAATCTCAAACCTCCTCTAAGAGAGGAAAGAGGCAGGGGGGAAAAAAAAGAGCCAGCTACTCCAAGAAGTGAGGGTAAATGAATACACAAAGCTTTATGCATAGTTACCATACAGAGCCTTTTCTCTCTATACTTTGTATGAAAAGATGGGTGTGATTGAATGACTTCTAACGTTTAATGACACCTTTGCTCCAGTGCTTTGTAAAGCTCACACATGAATACACTGATCCATTTCCAGATGATCCTGGGGCCCCCATCCTTTTGTGTCAAGCACAAAGAAAAAGGAGAGAGAGGGAGAGACAGAGACAAAGAAACAGCCCATGTAACCAAGCGCCGAACATGATTTGAACAACCAACTTAGTAAACATCAATCTTAGGCTGTGTTATGTGAAATGGAGTCATACTCCAAAAGAAATGTTGGCTACATTTAAAAGATCACTTTGTCTAAAGAAAATGCCAAGTTGAATTTTCATGTACTAAGTCATCTTTCTACAAGAAGCTGACAAGACAAAAGCAACAAAGTGAAAAGGTAAAAAATGGCTCATTTGAAAAAAAGTAATAGCATTATAACCTTTTTTTTAAAAGGGTCTGGTTTCCTTGTTTTATATTATTTGTCAGGGATCAATGTGGCCATGACAAAAGCAATGGGTTAGAAATCAAAAGACTTGTGTGACTTGCTGTGTTACTTTGTGAATCACTTCACCTCCCTGGAAGGCGGTTTTCATCTATGTAATATAAAGGATGGAACCAAATTACTTTTGGGTTCACCTTCAGCTCATGTTTGTTCTAACAGGGCATCCCTGCCCCCACAGGGCAGGCTCTTAGCACTCATTTGTGAGTGTGAGTCATAAGAAAGGATGGTGGAGCTTGGATAGTGGTGGGGTCTGGAGCTAGTTTGCCCAAACTGAGCCATTGGAAAGGATTCTAAAATTCTGAAGCATTTTAGAATCCTTTGGGTCACATGTTCTCTCTTTTAGTTTTATGGCTATTTTCTGAGGAAAAAAAAAAAAAAAAAAGCCCAGGTTGGGAATCCAAAGTCTTTGACATGAATCTCTTTTGTTCTAACTTTTAGCTCAAAATAAAGTGCATTTGACCATTCAATTCTTTATGTGTAGCATCATGCACATTCATGAATCTCTTTAAATCTGGAATTTAAAAATGCCTGACATCTCCTGCCACAGCCGCTGTTAATATACACAATAGATTCTTCAGAAATGCAAGGTTAGAACATTTGAAGCATGAGAATACTGATTTACATGGAAGCTGAGAGTATACAGTATCAATAAAATGTACCTTTGACATCTTGGCTTCCAGAGAAATACACTTTCTTTGTTCATTCACAAGTCTACTCTATTTCCACCTCAGATTTAATTATCTTCCCAGTTCTCATTTGCGTATGTGTAGGCTACCATTCACAATACACCAAGCCCTACGTGTGGGAGGCACAAATCTTTTCATTCAAAAAATAATAATGTGGACAAGCCATTTTGACTGCAAAGTAAGTGCTTTAGACAAAGGCAAGAGGATGTTAATTGTATTCTAAGAATACCAATGTCCTTGAAATGAAATTTGTTGTTTGGTGTATTGATCTACATCAGTAGTGTAGACTTTCAATGATCTAGTTTCACCTTCTGAGTTTGCTGATTAAAGAAATGCAGCCCGAGAAGTATAAAAGGTTTGCCCCCAAATCACCCAGATCTACAGTAGCAGAAGTAGGACAAGAACTTGGGGTTTTCTTTTTTGTTTATGACTTACACACTAGAATCAGTTATACATCCATGAGTGCCATGGATGCCAGGATCTCACTACTGCTGTGCATCCTTTCTGTTTCTCTGACTCTCAAATTTATTCTCTTTGAAGTGAGCTCTCTAGAAGCCATTTCGTTCCTGATTTGGAGTTGATATCCCCTGCATGCCTCTCTCACATCCTTTTAACTTCTCCTAAATGCAACTTAAGCCAAAATAACGTCATTTATCCATCCCTCCATCTCTTCAATGTCTGTCCATTTATCTATCCATCTATTCATTCATACATCCAGGCATCTATCCATTTCTCCATCCAAAAACAAACAACCTCAGAGTGTCGAGTCCTAATCTAGACCTGGTAACCAAAATAAAATAGTATTGTTCCTCAAAAAGCTCCTAATAGAGCTGAGTTTGCTCCTGAATAATCTTTTTAAAAAGTATGCCAGTTTTATAGTTTTTCTTAACAATTATTTTAAAAAGATTCACATTATTACGACAAATGTTTCACTTTCCTTATTTTCTAAATACAGCAACACTTCATCTATTTGGCTTTGGCAGAGAACGAGGTGTTCCACAAAAGTAAACTCTGTAGACCACTGAAACCAAAACTTCTGAACAGAAATCTTCCTTAAAGTGCATTTCATACTTCTCTGCCTTTGGAAACAAAATATACCAAACACAATTTAATCTTTTTCATTTTACACAACTGAGAGTGATCTTTAAGGAAAATCCACTATCATAGTGGACAGGGATATTGTTTTGTATAGAACTTTCCGGGTTTCTCTTTTAATATCGAGCAGTTATCACTTTTCACTGCAAGTTGTGCTTCCTTCCAGCAGTCCTTTCATGAACTCTTCTAATTTGCAGGACCAGGAATCAGAAAATTCACTAAAAGTTAGGTCTTAAATCTGTGTCAGAGCCAGGAAGGCCTCAAGTAAGGGTGTGAAGTAGAGTATCCACATGGTTTTAATGAGTAGATTTGGGGACCAAAATTCCATACTATTTTCTTCTGACTACTTCCAAACTTAGAATAATGTAGAGAGGGCTGGGGATACCATGCCTTCTGGCAAGCTGGCCAGTGCCAGTCAGCCTGATTGGAGCCTTTCATCTTATCCCCAGAAAAGGAGGCAATGATGAGGCCATCCAAGTCCAAGCAGTTTTTGTTTGTTTGTTTGTTTTGTTTTGCTTGTTTTGTTTCTTTTGAGATGGAGTCGCACCCCGTTGCCCAGGCTGGAGTGCAGTGGCCCGATCTTGGCTCACTGCAACATCTGCCTCTCGAGTTCAAGTGATTCTCCTGCCTCAGTCTCCTGAGTAACTGGGACTACGGGCATGCGCCACCATGCCTGGCTAATTTTTGTATTTTTAGTAGAGATGGAGGTTTCACCATATTGGCCAGGCTGGTCTCGAACTCCTGACCTCATGATCCACCCACCTCAGCCTCCCAAAGTGCTGGGATTACAGGCATGAGCCATCACGTCCGGCCCAGGCAGTTTTAAACAAGAGCGAGATTGCCTCTTTGAGGTACCTTGTTTAAATGGAACCCAGTTCTTTCTATTCCTGTTGTAGGAGCCATCAGAATTCTGCCCATCTGCCTGCCAGAATATTTCCTGTTCCATGAGTTATAGTCCAACAATCCCAGCTTCTACTTACAGTGCAACCTACTGCCAAGTCCTATGCCAAGCCCTTCTCTATAATAGGATTTCCTACATCTCTGAGAGTGCTACTATCTTATTTTAAAGGAGGAACTTCCAGCCTGGCCAACATGGTAAAACCCTGTCTCTACTAAAAATACAAAAATTAGCTAGGCATGGTGGTGCACACCTATAATCCCAGCTACTTGGGAGGCTGAGGCACGAGAATTGCTTGAACCCGGGAGGTGGAGGTTGCAGTGGGCAGAGATCGTGCCACTGCACTCCAGCCTAGGTAAGAGAGTGAGACTCTATATCAAAAATGATAATAGCAATAAAAAATAAAAGAGGAACCTGAGGCACAGAGAGTTTAGGCAATTTACCTAGGGTAAGTTAGTAAGAAGGTACCTTGGACTCTTAGCTTGGTTCTCTTTGTCACAAATATTTACATGCATAAGATGGTAATTCTGCAAAACTATGACTTAAATGGATGATAGAATTTCATGATCACTTTAAATTTATACTTCATAATAGCACTAGGTTATAAAATAAGAGCTGCATGGCCATAGGTGAGTAGATAAAAAGCAATAGTTTAAAAAATCAATCTGGATTGTAGCTCATTCCTTGTCCATTTGCAGACTTTGAGTCAGATTTTTAAAACCCCTACTTTCTTGTTCTCTGTGCATGGTTTATGATAAATTGTAAGGTTGAGGAAAACAGAAAGAAGTCAATGTTATGTAATAAACATAGAAGTGAATAAAACTATCCTATTTCGTGTACAAGTTGAGTATCCCTTATCTGAAATACTAGGGACCAGAGGTGATTCAAATTTCTCTTTTTTGGGGGTGGGGAGGATTTTGGAATATTTGCATTATTCTTACCAGTTCAGCATCCTAATCCAAAAATCTGAAAACCAAAATGCTCCAATGAGCATTTCCTTTGAACATCATGTCGGCACTCAAAAAGTTTGAGATCTTGAAGCATTTTGAATTTTGGATTTTTGGATTAGGGATACTCAACCTGCATTTCAAAAATGTTTATTGGGAACTGGTCATGGGATAGACATTTTCCTAGTCACGAAGTACTTAAGGATGGAAGAAAAGTGGTCCTTGCCCTTGAGCATCTGACAGCCCCAAGGGAGATGTAGGATTGTAAGTAAACCACTAGATCAATGTGTTAAGTGCTAAAAGAGAAATATGCTAAAAGGTGCTGGGGGATCCTAACATTTATCTCTGCTGAAGGCGAAGATGTTCAATAAGCTAGTGGGTCTAGTTGGTTGAATAAAGCCAAGAGGGAAGAGGAAGAGTACTTCAGGTCCAGGGAACAGCACAAAGGCATGAAGGAATAAGAGCTTCATGTGGTAGAAGCTGTTATGGTAAAGTGAGGCAAGAACTTTATGTGTTCAAGTTGAAAATCGTTTTGTAAGGTTATAAATGCAATAACTAAAGAAATGTATGATTAAATTTTCTGGCACCATTTTAAGTAGACAAAACATGCAGTTAAGCTTTTCAGAAAAACTAGTAAATTTTACAGTACAGTAAACCAGTGATGTTTCTAATATACCAAACAGGATTCAATTGATTTGGAACCTATTCTTGTGTTATTTAAAATGACTTCCTCAATTTACAATTTTTTGTCCCTATGTCTCTATACGTGGATCCGGACTTGTTAGACCATTTGTTCTATTTTTTTTTTTCCAGAAAAGATCACTATTTATGTTATCGCCCAGTACAAAATCACCCACATATCTATTTTATGACATTTCAAATATAACAGAAACACTGAAGCATGCACAGAGGCCCCAGATCTAAATGAAAAGACCTAATGAGAAGAAAGTGGGAATTTAAGTGAAAATTGCACGGTAGCACACTTCTGTGAGTACAAATGTGCTGCAATTCGTTAAAGCTGAGGCCTTCTTTTTGGAGACCAAAGTGCCATTTCAATGCTACTACTCCCTGGGAGAAAATTAGGGTTCTTTGGCAATAAAATCACCTCTTTAAAATCACTGCCAAGTTTTAGTTTATTAGATGGTAGTCTTGTGGCTGAGATCTAAGAGTTCTTCCTTTTAATACTGTAACAAAGCAGTAGCTCAATGGATAATATAATTCTGTTTTTTTAAAAACATAACTTGTTTTTCATGAGGCCAGTCTAAAGAAGCATTCTTCCATGTCATAGAAAGAGAGACTGAGAACTCAAGAGGTTTAGTGATCTCTGGGTCTGATGAGAAAGTGGACCTAGAACGAGCTTTCTTAATCCCCAAGTTATTCTGGCTCTGAAATATAAACAGACACATACATGAAAGAAAGCAAAATGAAGGGCAGCTGTGCTCCTGTGTATCTGATGATCGGGAACAATAATTGTTTGTTCTATGATTTCTCCTTAAGGAACTTCTCTGCAGGTTGTCGAATTCCCAAGAAAATATTCACATAAGGGATTCATTTAGAAATCCTGTGAATTTGTCTTAAGCAAAATGACAGTTATTCTTTTGATTACCAGAAGTAGTCTGCTTGGATTATTCTTCCCCTCTGGCTTTTCTGGATGCAGAGATGGTGCAATTTCAACAGTTGGGTGAAGGACAGAAGTTCACATGACAGTGTGTGCATCTGAAGGTGACTGAATGCTGTTTGAAATGAGCTGGAGGCAGGAAAGCCATGCAATGCAGGTTCCTTTTTCTGAACAATGTCTCAGGAGAGGAAAATATAAAGGTGAAAATAAATTTGAGAAGATAAATACGGTTCCCTGTTAAGTGCATCAATTGTTAAAATAGAGAGAAACCAGAAATCAGAATTGCTTCCTTGGAATATAGGTGCCTACTACCAGCCCATTTTTGACATCAGAATGTCATGACATGAATAAAGAGCAGAAGATCCACAAATCCTACAAGACAGGCCACTTTCCTCCTAGATAAAAGGCATAACAACCCGTAATTCAGAATTTCAAAAGTAATTTTTTCAGATAAGAAATTTCCATTTCAAACAAAACTTTCCTTTTTCCTTTTCTTTCCTCCTTTTTCTTCTTCCCTTCTTCTTTTCCTTTTTTTTTAATATCTTAATTTTTCTTTCTGTTAGGGGAAAGTATCTTAAATTTATCCTGCTTACTCTTAATACACCTCATAGATATACATTCCAAGTAAGGTGAATCAGATGTTTAACGTGAAAGCTTTGTTCAGCATAGACATTTCACTGAATATAAACCACATAGCAAAATGCGAAACTATCATACTATGAGAGACGAGTTCCACTTTAAGCATTATTTATAGAAAAAAGTGCATATTTTAAAGAAAAAATGATGATTTTAATCATCTTAAAACATTCTACCACTTTAGTAGTCTTTTCTGATAAATTTAATCAATTAAGATAAAATAAGTTGAAAGGGAAGGTTGGAGTATGGTACTTTTTTTTTGCCTTGGTTTGTGTTACATGGAGTGACTCAAAGGAAACAGAAAATTACTACAACTGTGATGTGGCATTTATAATAAGTGCCTCAACCTCATATTGCCCAGACATTAGGAGATTTAACTGGTAATGCCAGTGAGATGATGTAGTATTTCCTGTACTGTTTTAACTTCTCAATAAGCATGTAGACACTGCAGTGAAGTGCAGGTAAAAAGTTCACAGCTGGAGGGGGTGTATAGGAAGTGCTCTGCAAAGCTATAAGCTTACATAGGCATCCAGCTGGAAATAACCTTGTAACAGTGGAGGAGGGAAATACACATGGTAATGATTTACAATTTACAGAATGTGGATTTTAGGGGCTACAATAAGGGTGGCAGAGTTTTCTCTCAAAGGGATTCTGAAATATGGAGTGGTGGAAGGAAGGGAAATGTAGAATCCAGTTAACAAAGCTGGGAGCACTTTAAGAGTATGCCTGCTAATTTTACCTCTTAGACAGGATATCCAGGAGGCAGCGCCCCTTCCCACCAGCAGCTCTCCTTATCCAAAGGGTGCCCAGTCCATTTTTAACATCTGTTTCAAATGTCACATCACAGAGATGTGGTCACTCCCTTTTTAAAAATTTCACCTAGAATTTTGTACCTAAGAACATTTTTTGTTCCTGAGCCTTCTTTAACTGTGACCCCTTCAACTTCTGCCGCCATGAGATTATATTGTTTCGATGACAAGGGACTGTGTCTTACTCATCTCTATTATACTGAAGCCAAATATGATTATGTTGCCAACCCCCCAACCTAATAACAGCTTTTTCAATGGCTTCCCATTGATTTTAGGATAAAACCCAAAACAAACTCTTTAGTATGGCTTATACTCATACAAAGTCTTTTATGATTTGGTGCCCGTCTCAGTCCACCCCTCTGTCCACCTCTCTGGCACTTTGGTGATTTTTCTTTCCCAGTACATTCCTGCTGTCTCACTTCTTGGCCTTGCACGCATTGCTCCTTGGCCTGGGACATGCTGTACACCTATCTCCACCTCTGTTGCTGACTCTGTCCTCAGGGTTCACAATCTTCTGTAGGGGCCCCTTCCTTAACCTCAGAGTTATGCATCTGCACACTCTTTTATGCTTCTCCCTCTCATAACTTGTTCTTTGTTTTATTACTCACTCAGTATTGGTTTTCCCAGCTAGACTGCAGGTTCTGAGAAGTTAGGGGCTGTCTCTGCCTTTTTAGCACTGTACCCACAGTGCCTGGGGCATGTAGCTTGAATGCATGGTTCTACTATATAAGAACTCAATAAATTTTATTTTTTGATTAAGTGAATGATTAATAACCACCATGGACTGAGTAGTAACTATGTATCGATGAGCATGTTAAATACTTTATACACATTATGTTACAAAATCATCACAGTAGTCCCATTATTACCCATAATATGTAATATTACTCCTATTTATAGAAAAGAGGCAATCAAATCTTAGAGAGGTTGCTAATTGCCCAGGATACCTAGCTCCAAATGAGCTGAGGGATGCTTACTCCAAAGCCTATGGCTTTTTATGGAGCTATATTGTTTCTCAAATAACTACCCAATAAATGCTCATTAAAAACAAAACAAAACAAAAAAGTGTAAAAACTTGTGACTATATCAGCTTCTTCCAGTTTGAGAATCTCTCTGTTATTGCATTTGATTTGCAAATTTAGTCTAAATATTCTTTTTTGCCTGTTGATACGATGTCTGCAGGACTAGAGTTCAACCAAGGGCCTCAGTTCTGTTCAGATGCTCCCTGTGTGATTAGAAGTGAGATGAGTTCATGTCTGTAAAATAAGCCAAGAATGGCCAGGACATCTTTTACCTAAGATTTCCAAGCCTCCTGATTGGCTGGCTGTAGGATGTTGTTGTACAGTGCCTTCTAACTCTATTTTCCTGAAGATACATGATTCAGTGTAATGCCAGGTTAGTACCAAGGCTCCTAAGCACGGCAATATTTACCCTACAAATTACGAAAAATATAAAATTAGGTCACAGCACAGCACCTCAATATAAGAAAATTCCCAACCAGCAGGGTGATTCAGTAATGAACCATCTGTGTTCCTGGATGGATCATCTGTGTTCCTGGGCAGATGGATGGAAGCAAAAGCTAGGTGGCCATTGGTCAAGTCCGCTCTAGAAAATAATAAGTTCACTGGTCATGTCTCCTCTAGAAAATATTCATTAGACAAGAGGACTTCTAATGTTCCCTCAGATTCTCTAAGAAGGAACATTTGATAAAACATTTATGTAAGTTATTCTGATAGTTTGTCCGAATGTGGAAAAATAGTTGTATATGTATATATGAAGAGCCCAAACTTTGGATTCAGATGTTACTAAGTTCAAGTCCTTACTCTGACCTTATAGCTATGCATCTTTGGCAAATCTTTGGGGATCTTTCCACCTCAGTATTCTTTTCTACGAATAATAAAGTTCACTATTATATTTGTAGAGGGCAATATATTCAGACTGTGGACTATACCAAGTGCATGATTTTGTGTAAGTTAATTAACCCACATGCACTTCAGTGTGTCATAAAATGTGGAGGGTAACAGTATCTTCTTCAAAATAGCGTGTGAGGGTGAAAGGAACTAACAATGTAAAGTGCTTAGAACAGTGCCTAGCACAAAATAAATCTTCAATTGGTTTTAATTATTAATGTTAACATAATCTTGGAAACAACTGATTTTTTCTCGCTTTTCATATAGAAGTTTTATATTTTATAAACTTGATCATTGTCATTTTGCTTGAACTCTAAGTGTAGAATAAAAGTTAGAAGTTTAAAAGTGATTAGAATTCATGCCATAAACCAAGAAGCCAACATCTCAACAAAGTACTGTGTTCTTAAAAAACTAGAAGGAATGTTTTTGTGTCAAAGTGGACAGAAAATAGCTTTTCCCCAGAACCTAAAGTATCTGAACAAAATTGATCTTTAAGAAAACAATTTGGGAAATGTTCTGAATATATCTGATAGATTTTAAAATGCTTAATTACATTTTAAAAAGCTTCAAGAAAAGTTGCTATGAAAATTGCCCTCGTTTTATCAAATATTTATTCCAAAGCAAATATAAAAAAATAGAGAGAAGTTCTTGTAATATACCCAGGATAGCAATTGTTAGTTTCCATGGCATATCAGGGCAAAGTATGTGATTTTAAAAAAATATCTCCTGTGTCAGTCCTGGTATACAGCACTCTCTCCCTTTCTCTCTCTAGTGCACATGCGTGCGTGCATGCACACACACACACACACACACACACACAGGAAAGAAAATAGAGCAAAGAACCCTGGTTTAGCTGTTAGCTTCCCAAAGTTATTTGGATAACAACTTAGAGAATCTAGCAAGAAGAATCATGATTCATTCCATAAATCTCTCTAGTATTCATAAAGGATGATCCAGGTCTTGTCTGATTCTGGGAGTTGCCATTTATTGTGACCTTTTTATATGCCAGGAACTACAGTAACTGCTTGTCATAAGTGGTATTACTTAATCCTTATAACAATCATGTGTGGTGGGTATTATTCTCATTTTACAGTGATGGAACACAGAGAATTTAGGTACCTTGATGACGGTCACACAGCTAGGAATTGACAAAGCCAGGATTTGAACCAGAGCCCATCTGACTACAAAGCTGAGGCTGTCAGTTGCTGCTCTGTGCTGCCTTGCACTGGGAGAACATGGCAGAGCTGGTGCTGCTGGGATAGGGCAGGCTCCCAGCATTCCACCTGCTCTTGTGCTGGGCCCAGGCGCAATAGGAAACTGGTTAGGTTGGGCTTTGATCCACACATTCTCCTGCATCGAATCCCCCTTTTCTCCCCAATCTCTTCTAAAGAAAGACTGAAAACTCGCTCCAAGAAAAGTGTCAATGACTGCTAATCACCTAATTACCCCTCTTATGGCTCTGGAGCTCAACAAGCAGCCACACCAGTGGTCCTTCAGGAATCTTTTCCACAGGGTGTAGGAAGAGGTATCTTGTTTTCCTTAAGCCCAAGGCTGGCCCTTCCTATCACTGCCTAGTCCTTGCTGATCTAAGCATCAGTGCTGAAGGGTCCTGTCACCAATAGTGCCAATGAGTCTGTAAATAGTGTCATCGTGTTAAATGACTCACTGGGGCTGGCACACACTGACATTCTGAGGGCACAAGGCAGAGCCCCATCTTTGTCCAGGGGAGGACAGAAGCTCCTGAAGCGGGAGAAGATCAAGGTCTCCATCCTCAAAGGACCCTCTGCCCACTGTGGCTCAATGTGTGTGGGAGAAGGGACACAGAGGATGAATAAAATTATATAGGTGGACTGGACAACACACACTTGGCCTTGAGCTACCTATATTTAGACACTTACTCTATATTGATGTTGAATCTAATGATGTTTCCTTGGATAAGAGTTTAGACCTAAAGTGAGACCAGAGTCCATTGAATCCCATAGGAATGAATTATAATAAAGAGTAGGATGAAAAGTCTTTTATTTTTCAGCAAATATTAATTAAACATTTATTATGTGCCAGAAACCCTTTGAGGTGCTAGGAATATGACAGTGAACAAAACTAGGAAGGCTGCAGCTTTCATGGTGCTTAACTTCTAGTGAAGACAGACAGATACTAACAAAAACACAAGTAAATAGAACAGAATGTCCAAAGGTGATAAAGGCTATGGAGACAAATAAACCCAGGTAAAAAGAAGAGAGGTGCAGGGGGAAAGGAAAGAGCAAAGACTCTGAGATGGGCTTGTACTTGGTGCATTCTGGGAAGGCAGGAGCGGCTGGAGGATAGAGAAATAGAGAGAGCGGAGGGAGCTGTGGTAGGAGCAGTGGGCAGTGTGTGTGCACACGCATGCATGATGTGGTAGGCAGATCTTGTAGGGCCTGTGAGGACTTTGCCTTTCACACCTAGTGAGATGGGAAACCAGTGGAGGGTTCTGAGTGGGGAGGAGACATCACAGAACACATAGCCAGAGTCCCTTGTGACATATCACAAACAACACCTAACATGCCTTCCCAAACCAAAACACTAGCCTTGCCCTTCAGAACTGTTTCTTCTGCTGGTAGCTACCATTTGCATGCATTTTTCTCAAGCCATAGCATCTCCAGAATCAATGTTCATCTGTCCAGTGTAGCCTGACACTCTTTTAAAAACAACTCTTCAAGACACGGACTGCCTTTCAAAATGCCTTCTTCCGCCAACAGAGCACACATTTAGAGAAGTAACAAAGGCCATTTCTATCCAAGCAAACGTGTTTCTTGCAGCCAACAGCATAGCCTTATAACAGTAATGTTTCTATTTCAGAGAGTAAATCTATCATCTCAGTAACAACCCTTTAAAACACAAAGTTATCACATGATCTTCTTACTCTATGCAGGATAAGTCAAGACCCAACAAATGAAACACTTCTCCTGGAAATTATATCCCATTTGGTTTTTTTTTTAAATCATCTTTTAAACCTGTCATTGGTAAACCAGATTTAGAACATTAGAACTGCTGCAAAGATTTGTTATGAGAAATCTACTGAGGGTCTATTGAGTTATTTGAATATGATATTTCACATTAATATGGACATTAAAACAGAGACATGACAACGCATATCCGTGACTGCCTCTCTTGCTCTAATTTTCATTTCAAACCCATATTACTTATACATTCCCAAAGAACAACTTCAAATATTATATTTTGCAAGCTTGTGTTTTCAAATTGCTGATTTAAAGGTCTTCTTGACCTTTGTACAGAATTCTAACATTTTTTTCCTGCTTTGTTGGCCTGAGGGTGGTGATAGAATCAAACATGTTTATAAATAGGGCCAAATAAATTGAAAATTTTTTCCTGAGAGAGAGAGTTTTATGAAGAAAATACCTGCCCAAGTTCGTTTTTTAAAAATCCCTCACCCACTGACATTTCTGGTTCAACAAGTTTTCTTCTTAATGTAGTTAAATGTCAACAAAAGTGTTACTGCTTAATTATCTGAGTATCCTGAGTCATAATAATGCATATATCACTTCACTTAGGAAATGTCTTTTCTCAATTAAATTAGCTGTTTTCACTAGAATCCTTAGTCAGCCAATGGAAAAAATAATTTTCCCCCTTATGACTTTCTCTACTACAATAATTGACCTGGGTTCGTTGTCTTTGATATTACAGAAGAAAGTCTGACTTTTCAAATACAGAGGTAAAGTAAGTCTATGAACCTATGAACTTCACTTTTGGTACTTCCCCTAGAACAGCAGTTCTCAGCTCTGATGCACAGTAGAATTTCCTGGGGGAGCTTACTTCACACACACACACACACACACACACACACACACACACACAGAGGGAGGGAGGGAGAGAGAGAGAGAGAGGCCCAACCTGAAGAGACTCTGACTTAATTGGTCTTGGGTAAGCCTGGGCATTTTTTAAAAGTACGTATTTTAGCACTTTGGGAGGCCAAGGTGAGCGGATCATGAGGTCAGGAGATCGAGACCATCCTGGCTAACACGGTGAAACCCCGTGTCAACTAAAAATACAAAAAAAATTAGCTGGGCATGGTGGCAGGCACCTGTAGTCCCAGCTACTCAGGAGGCTGAGGCAGGAGAATGGCGTGAACTCAGGAGGCAGAGCTTGCAGTGAGCTGAGATGGCGCCATTGCACTCCAGCCTGGGCGACAGAGCAAGACTCCTTCTCAAAAAAAAAAAAAAAGAAGGTATGTATTTTAGCTTGAGAACTATAGATAAAAAAGAAGCGATAATTTTTCCTTCCTTCTTCCCTCCTTTTTTTTTTTTTTTTTTTTTTTAAAGAGACAGTCTTCCTCTTCCATCTAGGCTGGAGTGTGGTGGTGTGATCATAGCTCACTGCGGTCTCAAACTCCTGGGTTTATGTGATCCTCCTGTCTCAGCTTCATGAGTAGCTAGGACTACAGGCTACAGGCATGTGCCACCAGCCCAGCTAGTTTTTAATTTTTTTGTAGAGATGGGGTCTCACTATGCTGTGCAGGCTGGTCTGTAACTTCTGGCCTCAGGCAATTTTCCCACCATGGTCTCCCAAAGTGTTGGCATTACAAGGGTGAGCCACTGAGTCTGGCCTATTTTCTTCCTTTCCCTCCCTCCCTCCCTTCCTCCCTTCCTCTCTTTCTTTTCTCTTTCTTTGTCTTTATCCTTCTTTCTTTTCTTCTCCTTTTTCTTCCTTTGTTTTCACCTATAGTGACTATTTGAAGCATTTCTATTTTTTAATTAAGATAAACAAAATTGGCTGGGCGAGGTGGCTCACGCCTGTAATCCCAAAACTTTGGGAAGCCGAGGTGGGCAGATCATTTCGGCCCAGAAGTTTGAGACCAGCCTGGGCAACATGGTAAAACCCCATCTCTACAAAAAAAGTACACAAAAATTAGCCGGGCGTGGCACATGCCTGTAGTCTCTCAGCCACTGGAGAGGCTGAGGTGGGAGGATCACTAGAGCCCAGGAGGTTGAGACGGCAGTGAGTCGCCATAATGCCAGTGCACTCCAGCTTGGGTGAGAGAATGAGTCCCTATCTCAAAAATAAATGAATAAATAATAAAATTCATATAAATAATAATGTAACTTTAGAAGATCTAATTACAGGCAGGGCGCAGTGGCTCACACCTGTAATCCCAGCACTTTGGGAGGCCGAGGCGGGCGGATCACAAGGTCAAGAGATGGAGACCATCCTGGCCAAGATGGTGAAACCCCGTCTCTACTAAAAATACAAAAATTAGCTGGGTGTGGTGGTGCGTGCCTGTAATCCCAGCTACTTAGGAGGCTGAGGCAGGAGGAATCACTTGAACCTGAGAGGCGGAGGTTGCAGTGAGCCAAGATCACGCCACTGTACTCCAGCCTGGTGACAGAGTGAGACTCTGTCTCAAAAATAAATAAATAAATAAATAAATAAGGAGGCCAAGGCAGGTGGATCACGAGGTCAGGAGATCGAGACCATCCTGGCTAACACAGTGAAACCCCGTCTCTACTAAAAATACAAAAAATTAGCCGGCGTGGTGGCGGGCGCCTGTAGTCCCAGCTACTCGGGAGGCTGAGGCAGGAGAATGGCGTGAACCCGGAAGGCAGAGCTTGCAGTGAGCTGAGATGGCGCCACTGCACTCCAGCCTGGGCGACACAGCGAGACTCCGTTTCAATAAAAATAAAAATAATAAATAAATAAATAAGGCATAACAAAAACAGGGCTGAAACATGCCCCTTGTTCACCACATTGCAGGTGAAGAGAAGGAGAGAAGAGCTGCAGCCCCTTAGGGAGCCCAGACCTGGGAGCTTCCCAAGCCAGGGCTGGGACTCCCTCTTTGGGGTCCTGCGGTGCCTGTCATCTCCAAGCTTCTGGGCACCACTGTGTTCCCTGGTGCTAGCCAGGGAAGCTGCTTGCAGTGCCTCTGGTCCAGCTGCAGCCTTGCAGAGAGCTGGTACCTGTGTAGGCACCTGGAGCTGCCCACCCCACTGGCGTGTCTGCCTGCACAGTTGCCAGACCCCGTGCTCGTTCACACACCCTTTTCTGCTCCATGCGACTTGCCCTTGGCAAGTGTGGGATCCAGGTCGGTAGTGTGAGCTGAGCACAGCCTGCTGAGTGGGCGGAACAAGCCCAGTGGGCCGAACAAAACTCAGGCAAAAGTGCCACTGGCCAGAGGTTTCAGGCCTGAAAGGCCACACCTCAAGGATCCTGTAACACAACTATGGGATGCACACAGCTATGTGTTCAGTGCAGGCAGCAAATAAATCTCATTTTAATCTCATGGGTACTAACTACAAAAGGTCTTTGACTTTTTCCTATTGTGTATCTCTGTCTTCACTGGTTAATTTGTTGTTACTTCAGCATCTCTTGTGTAGCTGAGATTTGAATACACCTGCCAGGTGGAAATAGATGAGCCTTCCCTCTAGATATTTACATGAAAGCTAAGGGGCCTTCTGAGTGGAGAAGGTGGGTAGAGGCTTAAGCTGTATTCCTAATTTATTTTCAGTTATTTAGGCATATATGCAGAATGGGACAAGAGTCAAAAGGAAACCAAGTTTTCAGGAGGGACTGGAGCTTCCCGAGGAAATAAAACTATGAAGAACTGTAGAGTCTGGTATAAACAGGGTGCTTCAGCTATAAGACCACAGAGTCAAAGGGCAGTGATTTTGCCAGCATGGCACTGGCACCTGGAACCGTCCTGAACCAGCCATCCTGGCTGTATGTGACCTAGCAAAGGAAAGAGCTGTGTGGAAAATGAAAGAGATGTCACACTAAACTTGGAATTATTTTGAAATCCACAGCCCATGGAGACGTGTAGCTCCAGGCAGTATTGGCCAGTCGGCCCACAGTGTAGCCTGGAGTGGCAGCTGCTAGTATTCAGCAGTTGCTCCTATTTAGGAGAGCTTGTCAAACTCTTGTTTTGGACTCCCAAATACCTGGGGTATAGTTGAGGGTTAGGAGTAACTTTGAACAGGATTGGAATTCTCAAATGAGAAGGTGCAGTAGAAAGGTTGTAACCTGTGAGAATCTGGTCTTGATGTTCTGTAACCTCATGGACTGGTAGACTGAAAAGACTCATGGATATTTAGGTGCACTGGAATTTATTTTTAAATTCTCCAGTCACCAAATCTCATCTCCATCTTTATTACTCCAAAGGCCTTCTTTTCTTTTTCCTCCCCAGTCCATCCTGCATATACCTAACATAGAGGGATACATTAAAACAGGTCAACACAACATATTGCCACTGGCCATTTTGAAGATTGGCTGTCTTTGTAGAAAAATCACCCCTTAAGGCAGACTTCTCTAATTGCACTGCTGGATTGTTAGAGATGAGTCCGTCTTCAGTTATCTTGATTGTTGAGCCAAATATACCATAAATCCTCAAAATGTATATTGTATTTTTTTTAAAGTTAGGTGGGGCGTAAGATTTTACAGGATGTAGAAATGTACTTAATTAGTTCAGCCTTGAAATAATTATTCTTTAAAAAACTGAAAATTTCAAGTAGCTATAGAATATCTCTAATTCCTCTCTGGCTACCATTATTTCCAACATGCAGTGTTCTTACATAGCCCACTTGCCAAAAAAAAAGCTCTTGTTATAAGGTTAAGGCCACATTTCTGTGTAGTTAAAACTTTGCTTCAGGGTATGTCCTGACTGCATATAGGTTAATGGAGCACTGCATGTTTCTTATACAATATTACCTGCATACTTGCTAATACTCGAATTCTAGAGATTCACTGGGGGATACAAATGGATCCAGCATTGATCTTGAAATCAGAAGTTCACAGTTCTAATCAGGTTTCTGAGTAGTGAATGAACTTAGAGAGAAGCTATTAAATTTCTCTTACATATATAAAAAGGGAATAATGATTTTACTAGAAACGTCTCTAAGATTCACACCACCTCTGATATTCTGAACCTAAATTTGAGTATTTACATAGTTTACATAAAGTAAGCTCTTTTGCATCAACGGACAGGGTGGCATGCAGGTAAGGAAGAAAAGGAAGAAGACGGAGTCCCCTCAACTTGAAAGAGCTCGCTGTCAAGGAGAAGGCCACTTACTGAAAGACCTACCTCATTTTAAGGACGGATTGATTACAAAGTGAACCCTGGATGGGACCAGAGATCCAACCTCATGCCAAAAGGACTGTGTGTCTAAAGCAATGACGCCAAAGCCGGCCTCTTACCCTGCTCTGCCAAAGGAAACAAGAAGGCAAATCCGCAAGTCTCCCAACATGATAAACTCCATTTGTCACCCGCTTACATGTGCCTCCAAGACTAAACTTGTCTCATGGTGGCTCCATTTCAGTTAAGTACTTTTAGACCTCAGTCCAAACCCCTTCTCTTAGGATTTGGCTCAAACTATTGATAATCATAAATTTCCATATTTATATTTCCAATCTGTGAGGACTTAAAAAAACTATTATGGAAACCAAGTACAATCTTAGGGAACAGACTGTGTATTTAATTTACACAATGAAACTTGGGCTGTAGCATTAATACTGTAACAATACTGAATAATTTAACTGAAGTGTATTACATTCTTTGTGCTGTAAATCTTTTACTTGTGAGTTTTGTGCAAAATCACCAATTTAGCCTTGCATAAAAGCTTTTGTTTGGCATTTACAGTCTCCTGTCCCTTGGACACCTCCTCCATTTAAAAAAATTAGAATTCCTTGTTGCAGATTCATTTCTTTTCTTTTCTTTTTTTTTTTTTTTTTTTGAGACAGTCTCGCTGTGTTGCCCAGGCTGGAGTGCAGTGGTGCTATCTCAGCTCACTGCAAGCTCCACCTCTCGGATTCACACCATTCTCCTGCCTCAGCCTCCCAAGTAGCTGGGACTACAGGCGCCCGCCACCATGCCTGGCTAATTTTTTGTATATTTAGTAGAGACGGGGTTTCACTGTGTTAGCCAGGATGGTCTCGATCTCTTGACCTCATGATCCACCTGCCTCTGCCTCCCAAAGTGCTGGGATTACAGGTGTGAGCCAATTAAAGGAGTCATGGCAGCTGAAGACAATGACGATTTAATGGAGTGAAGCCGATCTACTATCTTGGGTGGAAAGAGTATGATGTGGTTGGCAGTGCCTTCCACATTCCAGTTAGCCGAGTGCTGTAAAATATTAACACCAACACTGTAATAAAGTAGAAGGTGATACGGCTCTGGTTGGCTATTTATTTACTTATTTGGTAAGTTCCAGTATTGTGCTTAGAATGTACAGGTAAAAGGATCTGTGTAGATTGTGCAGGCTAATGGTGTTCTGTGGACGTGTGTTCATTTCTGAATAAGTTTTTGTTTGCTAAAGGAACTGAAAAAAATAAGATTCATGCAAGGGATTTACCAAACCGTTAAATTTATTCACTTTTCAAGGACCATCGCTTACTCTGAGGTTATGTTCGTCTCAATGCTTTCAGGCTAAAAAATATTTTTTTTCATGAAAGATGGTAATAGTAGGCAGTAGTTTTGATTTTTAATGTACTTACACAGAAAAATGAAATATAGCAAATCCATGTCCGCTTCCATACTATAAGATGTAAAAGTCTGAGGACCACTCAACTGACTATCCATTTCATTGTATTTTTAGGGAAACTGAGGCAGAGTGGCTAACTGCTTGCATGCAGTCACCCAGCTAGTCAGTTCCACTGATGCCGTGTGGCTTTCGATAAGCTCAGATTCTCAAAATACAGCAGGTGTGTGAAGGACAGTATATGCTGTACCTAACAAGTTCAAAGAGTTACCCAGAAACTATTGTCATGTTGTTTTCTGTTTATCAAACTCTTATTTGCAGTCTTTTTGGTCACATGAGAGTTTCATCAGATATCTGCAAGATGTAATTTCTCTCCCAAAACCCCAAGGAAATGCTATCAAAAGATTCATGTCTTCAATAGATTCTATTCTTGGAGAGGTTAATATGGAGGAAAGATCCATGGTCAGTCCACATTTTGTGCAGATGACGATGGCGGCGCAAAGCCACCTGAAGTCATTCACCTTTGCAACTGCATTTGGATTCTATATTGTCTGCATCAGGCATGGAGACGCCCACCGGCTGCTGTGAGAGGAATAAAAGGAGTACTGACAAACGTCATCATACAAAAAAGGTTTCAAATCATTTTTGACACCAGAATAAAAGTTAGATTCCTGTGTCTGTCTGAGATTTCGAGTTATCTTTCTAAATGGCTCTCTAATCGCATCAGCAAACCCTCAGGGAAGAGCCTTCACTTCCTTTCTGTTGTCTGTTAAGCCAAGCACACCCAGAGTGGTCAATAAATAATACTGTGGGAGTACTGGAGGGCAGGGAGTGGTGTTGCATATTTTGCTTTTGATTTTTCCTCTGGAAAAAAAGATGAATTAAGTGACAGAGTGGCAAAAGGAGTAGGCAACAAAGAAACATAGCCGGAAACTTGAGCGTGACTCTTAATTTCACTCTTTTTAGAGCTTTAATGCAAATCCAATTATGTATTTGCTTTCAGTTCTGAAGGTGAGAAATTCGAGGTTAGACATCACAAAGCTAATACATAGATTCCCTAGAGAGGATATTGATAATATTTCATGTTTTCCTCCTGACATAATATTCCCCCAAGTGAAATCCATTGCCTATTATTATTGATACTGTGCTATCCTGGTAGCAAACTTGAAATGTAAGGAAATAGGATTCTGTTCATTATTTCTTACCAGTAAAATTAATGAATCAGAGAAGAAGCTAATGTAGGTCTGTTTTATCACTAAGGTGCTCAGAAGTTCAACCTTCCTTTTGTTCTCCTTTAGAGAAGCTGTACTTACAAGCATTGCAAAGTCTGACAAATTGTATGGTGTCTATTATTATCTGTCTGTCTCCTTCCCAGACAGGGCAGGGATTCTATCTTCTCTATTTTCATACCCTCCAAGACCTAACACAAGCCAATAATATTCCATCAACCATCGAACACATATTTAAGTGCCTACAGAGTGCTAGGGAGTGTGCTGGGTGCTGGGGACTGAAAGAGGGAAGACAGATAATTCTGGAAGGTATAATGTAAAAGAAGAGAAGAGCTGAGCTAGGGGAAGTCGGGTGGGGGTGGATTTGTCTGAGTGGCTTCCCAAAGGAAGTGATGTTTAAGGGGAAACCTGACTGATGAATAGGAGTTTCCCCAAGTTCTCTTTTTCTTTGTCTTTTCAGGTTACTGGAAAAGCTAGTGAGGTTTGTGGCTGGTATCATACTGTTTAATGTGTCATCTGCTACCATGGTCAATGTGACTCTTACTAATCGGCATTCAGATAGCGCCTTGCATATTGATTGTATGCTAATACATTTGAGCCAGTTGGCCTTGCTATGTGACATTCTCATGCTTCCCCAAACGTGAACACTGAAGTGAACCTTGGGTGGCCCTGCTTTGTGGATCACATATCTCCCACATCTCTACTTTCAGAATAAATTTGTTAATACATTCTCCTCTCTCCTGCAAGGCCTAGATAGAAGAAACTCTTAATTTAAAATATTACAACAGAAAGTTATTCTGCCTTTTGCCAAGAGGTGTGATCCTCATAGTCGTTTGAAATATCATCAAGCTGAGTCTCACAGATGCTCAGGGGTGAAAGAAATATGTGTAAAACCTGGAGGTATGAATGGTGTGCATCATGTATTGTATGCATGAGCAGAAACACCAGCCTTGGAGAGAAACACCAGCTTTGGAGAGACACACCAACCTTGGAGAGACACACCAGCTCCCCTCTTACTCTGTTTACTGTTTTCTTTCTGTGAAATTTAAAATTGATTCCATGTGTACTATAATGCAAGCAATGGGGCAAGGCTGCTCTCTTTTGTCTCTCTCTCTCTCTCACACACACACACACACACACACACACACACACACACACACAGCCCTTCAGAGCTGCCTGCTTAACTTCTCACAGCAACTTCCTCCACTCGGATGGGCTGTGGTCCCTGAGGGAAGCCTCGGCATCTGAATTTGGCAGGGAATCCCATTCCCATGGAAGTCAGGGCTGCCCTCACTCCCAAGGAACAGCCTGGGGAGGTTCTCACACATTTGCCTCTGGCTTCACTACAGAATATGTACACTCAAAGGGGACAATAGAGGGGTCTCCCACACCCCACAACTCATGCAGACCCACAGACAGTTGGGAACGTCTTGCTCTGAATATGAGGAAAATGAGATCTATGTGAATCTTCACCAGGCCACAGCTCATACTTCTTGCTGCTGTCTATAAATGAATGTTAGCAGCACTTTACATATCAAAATTGTCCAAGTGGGACCTGACCTTTGGGCCTTTGGATCCATGTTGCATTCATAGCCATTTAGATCTGACCCCATTTCAAGTGTTCAGAAAAATGAGAAACAATTTTACAATAGCAAAATTGGGCCCTCCAACCCTTCCCCACAAAATTGAATGAAATACAAGGAGGAAAAACAAATGGAGATATTTGTGAGAATGACTGACTTCCTTCTGCAAACAGAAATGGGCAAGTTATCAGAGTTAAAATTGCCTTATAAAGTATCTTTATACAGCAGAAGAGATCATCAGAAATGCATTTTTTGGCTCAAATTTCCTTTTATTTCTCCCTTGGGATCTCTCTTTCTGACTTTTTACCCCAACTCTCTCTCTCTTTTTTTTTTTTTTTTTTTTAAAGACAGTCTCGCTCTGTCACCCAGGCTGGAGTGCAGTGGTGCGATCTAGGCTCACTGCAACCTCTGCCTTCTGGGTTCAAGTGATTTTCCTGCCCCAGCCTCCCAAGCAGTTGGGACTACAGGCATACGCCACCATGCCCAGCTAATTTTTGTATTTTTGGTAGAGACAGGGTTTCACTATGTTGGCCAGGCTGGTCTTGAACTCCTGACCTCAAGTCATCCACCCGCCTCAGCCTCCCAAAGTACTGGGATTACAGGCATGAGCCACCGCAACTGGCCTACCCCATCTTTTTTACTCTCTTTCTGGCTTTGCCAATGTAGGCAGTTTCAATTTCATTATATATGTGGGTCGAAACTTTATTTTAGGAATAATCTTGGATGTAAGACTACTACTGCTTTTTCAGAAGCAAACCATTTTGTGGACTGTACTCAGAAATGCAAAACACAGCCTCATCCACTGAGTCCTGCCTCCCAGGTCTGATGTGGAGTCCACAGTACAGGATGGGGAAGACTCTGGGTGTGGCTGCAGCGGTGGTGGGCCCTGCCTTGCCTGGTGCTCTTTTTATAGGCTATAGAAATACAACTGATGACTCAAAACTATTATATCTTGATAAATGAAATAAACAAAATTCAGTCCCTAACACTGGTGTGGATGGGCATTTGGGCAGTACCTACACTGTAAATGTCCATGCTATAAAGAACCCCTGGGAATGAAGAGCTCTGTGCTCCCTCCCAGGTGTTCTTCTGGCCAGTCTCCTTTTCTGTCTTCCCCTGGTCTGAAGGATTGTTCCTCTCTTCTATGAGAGTGCAGCTGAAAATGCTCATAGTCTCTCCATTTCGAACCTGGAGCCAGGCTGAGGTGGATGCCCCTTCTCTGTGGTTTCCATAGCAAAGTGCTCTGTGCACATCTGGGACTTACATTTCTCTCTTGTCCTGCAATTTTCCATTTCACTAAATAGATTGTATTTCTCATTCCACCACCATGCCTGGCTCAATCAGTGTACACTGAACACATCTCTTCTTTTTAAAAGAATGTAATATTCTAGAAATCATGGATAGTACACTGTGTTATCATGGATAGTACACTGTGTTATCATGGATAGTTCAATCATAGATAGTTCAATGTCATATAAGTCAAACAGACTTTGGATAGGCTAGCAGGAGGACTTAATGCACTTTCTTTAAATTGTTCCTACAGGAAAATCTGTACCAGAAATGCCAAACAACTGAATTCAAAATGAATTTCTGGAACTCAACACTCAAAATCAGAGACGGTTCAGAGAGCAGGTATCTACTGCTAATTTCTAACTAAATGAAAGGGCTTCTGCTTCTGAGAGCAATGATACCGGAACAGGAACGAAATGCTGCTAGAGAACAGTGCTGGAAGTGTGTCGACAAAACTGTCTTCTTGTTCTAGTCTATGCAACTTCCCTTGATTAATGAGAGCCATGTCTAGGTGAGAAAAGCAATCAGAGGGCTTCAGCTGTGCCAGCATAAATGGAATACATCAATGGTACTGTTGGTGCTTGCACATGAGACCTGTCAGTAAATTATCCACTAAAAAGTAATGATTCTACCTTCTTTCATTCATTTTAAATCCTATCCTATGTCTCTACTCTTTGTGCTTACTATTCTGCTTTGTTTCCAACAAGGATATCAATTCAAATTTTAAGGTGTGGAGCTTGGAGTAGTCTGCTGGTACAGCAAGCAGTAAGAAGTGTGCTTCATTCCTTCTACGTAGTGAATTTTCCACCTGTAATTCTGAAAGTCCTTTAGGCAGGAGCTAAATGTGATAAATGTCAGCAAATGAACTGATTGGCATAAAAACCAAAATTCACCAGAGAGAAGGGCAAAACCACCAACATATTTTCAGTTGTAACCAGATCAGACTCTAATTGCCTAATACCTAATAAATAGGGGAATAAAAATCTGAAATCTCCTTTAGAAATAACTATTTTAGAATTTCATGGAAAATCTAATAATAAAACTTGATGTACTTGGGACTATGAAAATAATTTAAGTCTTTAACCAGACTTAAATTATATACATACACATGTATATTACACACACATGTGAAAAGGGAGAAAATAGGCCCAGAAAAATAACAATTATCTGACATTGGATTAAACACATGATTGAGCAAATTCCTTGAGGGCAAGGATTGTGTATTTAAGCTTTTTGGCTGAGAGATGCGGTGTGTGGAGAATGGCAAGAATCAGATAAACATGGATCTGGATTCCAGTTCTGCCACCTGCTTAACCTTAAGCAAATTACTAAGCCACTCCACTCTCAACCTCTTCATCTGCAAAGAGGAGAAAATTATTTCTATTTCCTAGAAATGTCATGGAGAAAGCACTTGGCATATAGTAGGTGCTCAACAAATGAGGCTTACCTCCTTATCCCTTCTTTGCATACTCTGTGGCACCAAAGACACCTAGGAAGCTTCTAACACTTTCCCCTTCACACGCCCTTGGTCAGGAAGCGACCATCAGATGAAATGCAACAAAATGAGAGAGTAAACAAACAAATAGAGAGACAAAAGGGATCCAGAAACAGGGAACCTGATCAAGGAAAGGAGTGAAGAGACTCTAAATATGGTGGCAGGAAGTCGTAGGACGACAGCTGTATCAGCAGGCCTAGGGAACACCCATTAAGGCTGTGGCTGGGCACAGAGGGCTGCTGTGGAGATGAGATGTATCAGTGTGGAAAACATATTGAGAAATGTTTCACAGAGCTGTTAGATGGTATGAGATGACAGCCAGAGATGTAAGGAAACTTCACAAATGAAAGAAAAGTTAGGTATATGACCCCTGGATAAGAATTATAATTACAGTGTACTGCTTATCTCAGCAGTAAATACTATTTATCCCTTCATAAATTCTGAAAACACTTATCTAAATTTTTTATCTGACTATATTGTGGCTAAAGGGAAGAGGAAGAAAGGGTTGAAAATAGAACTAAAATCTTCATCTACTATAATAAGATGTAATGGATACGGCCTAAAGTTAATAAATCAAGAGGTATCAGGTATGGATGCATTTAGGCACATAATGGTAAATACCAGGAGAAGCAACTAAAAATGATGAAAGTGGTTTCCTCCTGAGACTGAAAAGAGTGAGGGAAAAGGGGCCAGGGAATAGCTTTTGCATTTTAATATGATTTGTCTTTTCAAACTATATTTACGTGTTACTTTGATAAAGGTAAGACTCAAATTTAAACATGAAGACAGTAATTGCATTTTGGAATCATAAAATTCAAAATAATAGAATAAAATTGTAACAAAGGCAGTGAGCAAGGCCTGATGAGTCAAGGTAAAATCCTTAGCAGCAAGTTTGGGTCCAGACTTCTTGTGTTACGTCTCTCATTCCCATGCTCTTCCTACCACACAGCATACCCCAGTTATTACATTTCTCATGCAGTTGGCATGGTTTGCCACATATAGGCAATGATTAAGTATTTGCCGAATGATAAATAACTACACCAATTGCTGAATTGTTTTTTCTTCATGGTGATTTTGAATGAGTTTCGTCTGGGAAGTGCAGGCGTCATACCTGGAGTTCATAGTTTTGTTCTATCTGAAGGAGTAAGATTATCACATATTGAAAGGTTTCAGAAAGCTGGCCCTGAAACCTGAACCTGATTCTGAGGTAGACACTCCTCAGGTCTAATCCATTTTACATAATGCATGGGTTTGCCAGAGACTCGTTTGAGAAAACTGTTATTTGAGTGAGGCAATATAATGGGCATTTTAATTATGCATTCCTATAAGGTCTGTATGCCCTCTTCATGGGTTAAGCTACAACACTGGTTTGCAAACTAAGTCCTGAAGGAACTTAAAGTTCTGGGAGGTGCCTTAGGAAAATCCTGAAAAGGCAGGGGGTGAGGGAGTGGGGAGGAGGATAAGGGATGAAAGACGTGTTCTTGCTAAAAGAAAGTGTGAAAACTATTGAAATACATCTTCCGAAAACATTATACCTATAACCACATTATCTCAGCTTCCTGGAGGAAAGCCTTTACTGAATTAAAGTATAATACTGAATTAAAGCATAATATTCATTATGAATATGAATATTTATAATATTCATATAAGATTTTATAATGCAGCTTAAAAACAGAAACATCAAAGTCAACAGTGTCATGGTGTCTTTCCAAAATTCCCAGTGGAAGATGTCCATCAAGTTACCTAATTCCCCTGATGATAAATGTACCTTTGAATTTATTTCCAGGAAAAATTTGCCTCCATTTAATGAATGTGTATGGTTTTCATATATTTAAAAAAAAAACTTCTGTATTCCCACATTCTTCCTTTTGACCTTAGTTGCTTGGAAACTCAGAGTTAAATGAGGGCTCAGTTTTGAAAATCACCCATTGCAAGTTTCTACTAATATTTAATTTGTATTATTTTATCGGAGGGTGCTTATTTGCAATGAGAAGCAAACTAACGTTTGTCAATTGCCTTCAAGGCGCAGGCCCTGTGTTCGTTGTATATCTCATGGGTTATTTCATGCACCATGGAAAATTTTCAACAATCCTGAAAAACAGGTATTGTCATTGTCATTTTACAGATGACACAGCTTAGTTTCAGGGAATTTAAGTAAGTTGGCCAGAGTCACATGGACATGAAGATATTTGCAACAGTTTTGAAGTAATATATAAATTCTCAATAATGTATATTTTATATTAAAATTCATATAAAATTATTCAAACCCATTTCATTTTCGTTGATTTCAAGATTATACAGCCTACATATACACACACCCCCATCGCATAACTTCTTTTCTTTCTTTCCTTTGTCCTGCCTTTTTTTCTTTGCCTGTATATTGACACTTTCTCTCAGGCACTGTGTTTGCCCTTGGTGGTACAAAGATCAATTACATACAGACATGGTTTCCAGGAGCTTGAAGTCTAGTAGATGGGTTAAGGTATGGACTTAACTACAATTCAAGGTAGAAAGCAATGAATGTAATGAGAGATGCAAAATGCTTTGTGAGTTCAGAGAGGGGAAAAAGCAATGTCATGGTCCCAGCCCTCCAGGAGTTCACAGTTCGGTGGACCAGAGACCTAAACGAAATTATAATACAGTATGGTAAGAACTATACTGAAAGGTTTGCACTGTGCTGTGGGTACTAGAGGGAGAAGAAACTAACTTTGTTTCATGAAAAGGAGTGATTATAGCAACATGGACACTCAGGGAAGGGGATGGAGAGAGTGAAGGGCTGGGGTTCCAAGATACCAGCAGAACTGCCTAACAAAGTGGACAGGATGTTACAGCCAGTAGGGATCAGACAGTGGTAGGGCAAAAGGCATTCATAGGGAGGAGAGCTGACGCTGTGAGGTCGAGCCCCAGGAAATGATTGTATCTGGGGTAAAGCTGCAATTCCAGGAAGGAGGTCTGGCAAAAGCAATAGAGATAACTAGAACGCCAGTTACTGGCCTCATCCCTAAGGAGTATGGAGCAAGGCAGAATTGCTTAGACACGCTGTCCAACTACCATCTGGAGGGACAAGGTAGCTGGAAAGAAGGAGGTAAAAAGGAGAATTACAGTATCAAAGCACGAAGGCAGCAGCAGTGGAGGCAGAGACGTGGATGGTCATGCAGTGGTGTCGGCAGTAGCACCTGGGAAGGGAGAGAGGAAGTATGCTGACTGCAACGGTTCTAAGCCTGGTTCAAAACGGGGCTCAAAGGGGTACAAGAGTTAATGAAAGTCATTTTTGAAGAATGCTGGGGTTTGAACATGATTGAAGATAGAAAGGAGAGAGTAAAGATGTAAGATACAATGATTGATGGAATACATCTCCTGGAGCAAGAGCTGAAGTTCAATGTTGGCCTCTGAGAAGTGGCACGTGGGGTGCAAGGGAGAAAATGAGACAGAGGATGGGTGAATTCTTGACATTCTGATGTCGGTAGGAGCTGCCCCCCTCCAGTGTGTTCTTTATCCTGCTACTAGAGTGACTTTTCTACAAAGCAATTTTGATTCACTGACATTCAATGCATTTGAATTAAGTGATTACCTTTTGCCAGGTACAAGTTATATTTCTGCTTATAAACTACCTGTGCAGTTTTTTTCATGACTTTCCATTGCCTTCAGGATGAGAGAAAAAAAGTCACTTGGAGTATCCTCAGTGAAACTCTCTTACTTTACTTTTATCCGTATGATTTCCCCAGCATATAGGCCAGTCCAGCCCCCATCAATAGGGCCTCTTCAGAATCACATCTCATAGATTTGATCCATGGGGCAGCTGAGAGGGAATTCTCTGCTTTCCAGCTCTGACTAGAACTGGAAGGACTAGGACTCAAACTAAGACTAGGTCCATGGGCAAATGTTGTTTAGAGAGCAGACTTGGTATGGAGGAAGGTGGAAGTGCTAGCTCCTGTTCCTAACTTCTGTTGGGGGAGGGGATGGGCTCTTAAAGCCCCAGAACAGAAGAAAGGACGATAAGTCAATGGTATAATTTATTTGTCCACATGTTCAACAACTAAGTTTTGGGTCCCTGCAACATAGTAGATGTGTTAGGGGTTGGAATACAGTGGTGAATAAGACAGATGCCACCCCTGTATTCAACTAGCTTGCAGTGTAGTTGGGGGAGATTCACAAGAACAAAGATATATGAGAGGTAATCCATGCTCAAAGAGAAGAAGCAGAGGGAGCTACCAGACCATATAGGATGGGAGCTAATCCATATTAGGAGACCAGGGAAACCTTCTGGGGGAAATGAAGTCTTAGCTGAGACTGAAGAAAATTTAGGATTAGGTTAGCCAAGCTGAGTAGATCAGAAGTGTTCCAGGCAGAAGGAACAGCGTATTTGAAGACCTGGGGGTGAGAGAAAGCATGACACTTCTCAGGAACTGGAGGACATTTATTATGAAGGTTGCTAAGTGTAGAGTGTATATGAGTTTGGGGAGAGGATGGGTGAATGGGTAGGAGTCAAGGGAAGAGAAAGGCTGGGAATGAAAACCAATGACTTTGGAGACTTCGGCAGGATTCAGATCATACAGGGCTTTATAAGCTGCCTATGGAGTTGGACTTTCTCCTGAGAAAATGAAGGCCATTTAAAGGTTTTATGCAGGTGATGACATGATCAAATTCCTATTTTAGAATGCTCACTCTGGTTTCATGTTGGCAAGACTGGAAGGAGGCAGGCCAGTTAGCAAGCATGAGAGGCAAGCAGGAACAATGGTCAGAAGCTGTTCTGGATATGTTTTATCCAAGGGCATGTCCATCCAGAGACTGGGGGATGTGGAGATGGGCTGGCCAGCTTATTAGCCTCATGCCTCTTCCCAGCATGGGAACATCCCTTCACCACTGTTGCCAATAATAACTCCAGCGGCTACATGTCCCCACCCTTCCACCTTTCAAGGCCTGCGATGAAACAGTCTTAAGTCAGTCAGGGCAAAGAGGCTGGTTCAAAATTGGTCTGCAGGGAAAGGGTCAAAGAAGAGAGAGTACAGCCAAGGGGAGAAAGAACTGGACAAAGACTCAGAGTCACACAGTAGAGACGTGAGCCAAAGACCAGAAAGTGCGATACACACACTCCTGTGCTCACCCACACAGACCTGTGGACTACCAAGCAGGACCCAGTAAGCTCCCTGTTTATGAAATTCATGTTTCATAAAGGTGGAGCTGAACTTAAGAGCCCGTGAAAAGCAAACTGTGGAAAATGCTAGTGGTTAAGGGTGGAGAGAACTCACAGTAGAATGAAGGGGAAACAGGTCAACCACCCCTGTTCTTTCATCATCGAGGATCTTGAAAACTTGATTTAGCAGGATGCACAGGGAAGCAGTCATTGGCTTCCCTCTATTATGTTCAACTTAATTTATTGCTTGGAGAATTAGGCACCACTTTATTGTTCAGATTCATTGCATCAAATGCAAACATTCAGCCAGAGTTCTCTAATTAGTATCCAGAGAGCTGCCTAGGCTATGCGTATGTGTGTGTGTGTGTGTTTAAGTTTGGTTTCTCCTGCTTGAGACACAATGTAAAAGGGTTAAGATGATTCACTGACATTACACTTCTCTGATCCTACTAGTCTAAACATTTGTACGGTCTTCTGTTTGAAACCCAGAACTCCTTATAGTAAACACCTTCTGAATCTCAAGTCTTTGTGCCTAACTTTAATTAACCATTAATGTGCAAATTTACTGATTAGTGAACTGGCTAAATGGGTTTTTGCCTCCTTTGGATTTCACAAAAAGAACCACCACCCCCTTCTACCAAACTGATAACAACTGACATCTGATTAGAAAAGGCAAAACTAATTAGAATGAGTGCAAAGGGGATTGTTTGAGTCACCTACATTAATGCACATTACAGTTAAATATCTGTCAGATTTTCCATTAACCCTCTTGCATTTCCATCTCCAGGTTCAAATCTATTTCTTAACCCTACACCCCTTCTTTCCCTAGTTGGAAACTTGGTATTCAACAGGCTAACTTACCCACTAATGCTTTAAATGCACAGCTCTTATTGATGGATGTGACACACAGACAAAGACCTTGGAATGAGAATAATAGAAGCCATTCCCCTAACTGTGGAGTTGAACCGTATGTATTATGATCCCAAGGCTAACATGTTCTTCTTGTTATTGTGTTCATTTCTTTATGGAGGGAAAGAGGAGTTAATTGTTGCCTTACACAAATTCACTCCATTGTGCTCTGAGCTATTACATACTAGGATAACAAAATAAAATAGAAAATAAAGTAGAATATCCAGCAAAGAGAGTTCTATTCTGTGAAAGGTTAAAAAACATGTTTAAAATGAAATTTGTTGACTTAGGGGAAATGCCCACATGATTTTTGCTCACTTCTTATATAGAATGGATTGTTAAGGATTGAGAAAACGTAATGTAATTACTCAATGGGAATTCACAAAGTAATAAGGACAGATACCTCCTTCAGATCAAAAGCTCAGCCAGGGAAGGAACCATGTTTTCCTGATCTTTGAGATTATATGAGTATGAAGGGGGTCATTTAATCTTTTAATCCCCAGTTCCTGGCACATTGTAGGTGCTCAATACATTTTCATCATATGAACGAATGAAGGCAAGAATTATGGTTTCATCCCATTGTGAAACTCTAACAGTAATCCTGAAAAGATTCTTAAATTTGAATGGATGATGTTAAAGAGAAAGAGAATGAATGAATTTTCTTTATTATGTAAAATACCTAACAAAACTCCAGAAATGTTTGCTTTAAAAATTAAACTGCATTCTCACTTCCTTGTGTTTTTTTTTTCCCATTTTAATCTGGGAACAGAGGTACCAAGAAGCCCAGCAGCAAATCAGCCTAGCAATAGAAACAAGAATATGCCTGCAATATGATGAAAATAGCTCAATTTGAAAACAATCTGATTGTTTAATTTTTTAAAAACTCTGAAAATTTTACACTTCCATTACTGCACCACAATTTCTTATTTGATCTCAGGTGTAGCATCAGTAATCCAGAACTGTGCTTGGCAAATAGCAGGCACACAATAAATATGTTTTTAAACAAGTGAATAGAAGCTTAGCTAGAGCTAAGAATGGAGCAATATTCAGTAAGCTCATGGCTCCTGGTAGGCATATCAGGAAACTGAGAGATCTGTGGATTCAGATAAGGCAAGGTCAGTGTGAATTTGACTAAAGATCCCTCCCTACATTCGAATTGACCTAAATTTTTCCCGAGGTGGTGATTTTGCCTGGGACTGTAGAAAACAGTGAAATTTCAAACATATATCATAAAGAAGGCCCTGACAGCACAACCCAAACCACCTCTACCTATTTCCTTAATTTAGGCAGCATAGTAATTATGAGCCCTGACTGTAAAATCAGGCCAATTACTAACCATAACCCTGAGCAAGTGATTTGATCTTTCTGAGCATCAGTGTCCTCACCTGTGAAAAACGGTTGATTATAGCTACCATTTGAGTTATTCGTATATGGCACAAAGTTAGTGCTAATGTTAAAACCAACCAACCAACAGAATAACGACAGAAGAACAAAAAAGACACCAAGTTCCTCCTGCTAATTTTCCAATTATGATTCTTCAATACTAATTATATCAACATATGTATCTGGAAATTCACTCTACATTCTAGTCAAGCACTAGTTTCACGGAGTATTAAAGACAAATTTTTCTTTCCTTTGTAACTTAAAAGATAAATGGTGAAATATCAAAAATAAAATGAAAATGTAAACATAATGCTCCTGGCCTCCCACAGACAACCCACAGTATGTCTGTATCAACCTTGTTCCCTTTTGCCAAGAGTCAGCCAAGGTGAGTTATAAAGAAATCATCAAATGGTGAAGAGTCACTTGCAGTGATCACCTACCATCTCTCGAGTCTCTATCCCATCTTCACTATAGATTTCATGTCATTATATTTACCCTTGACCGCAGGTATGTCACCATTTTTTTAGCCTCCTTCTTTGTTCTGAATATACTGACAAATTTTGTTTCTCAGCTTTTTTAGGACTTTGGCTTGGTTTTACTTTGGCCCTCCAGGCTCCTGACTTCCTCTAACCTATTCTAGCCTATGAACCCAAACTCTGGCACCAGCCTAATTGGGTTACCCTTCAGGCAACCTCTAGGATCCAGCAAAGGAGTGGCTTGGATATCATACTATTGCAAAACACCAAATTCATGATTATTTTCCCATTGGAAAAGGCGTTTCCAGCTGATACAAGATTTCTATTTCTTCTCTGGCCCTTTCATTGGACAATTATAAGGATTTAGAGGTATTGTCAGCATATGAAAGTTACATTGATTTCCCCACTGCCACCCAGGCCAATTTGGAAACAATTTTCTGTGTGTTCATCCTTAAGATTAGATATATACAATACTACCTTAAAGAAGTGGGGCAGAGAACATTAGGAGATGTGCCTGATTTACACCAAGGGTTGATATGGTGTAGAGAAGGATAAACTTGGCTAGGAAGAGAGAGTAGGGTGAGGTTATTAATATATGATTGAGGAACTTGGCTTTAAACTAAGGAGGCAATGTACAAATTTATGTTTCAGTCATAACAAACCATCCATTCACTGGCTGCCTTCCCTCCAAGAAGTTTTAGATATGGGAGAATTCTAAGCCAAATATAGAATCCACTTGAGTTGCATGGATCCAATGTTAGAAAAAAATTCACACTTTTAAGTGACTGATTATATAGCTCTGAAAAAGATCACTTTTTGGTTCAAGAGGTAAGCACTTTTGGCTTAAACCCTCATGAGCCCTGATCAGCCAATAACTCTTTCACAACTTAAGTAAGTGCTCACTGACTTGAAGATAAATCAGAAATGCATTCATTGCATCCCCGTCTTGCCCTATCCCATAATCCTCAAATCAGGAAGGGAAGAAAATTATAGCCAAGAGGTATCTCCATGTGCCAAGCTACAAATATTAGCAAGACAAGAGTCTGCTATAGACATTTTGTAAAACACCAAATAGCATTTGTTTTCCCCATCTCTGGAGAAGAGGTTACTTAAAACCACCCCAAACATGGAGCAATAAGGATTTATTAAACAATTTTATTATGCTGCATCCATCTCTCAGGCATCATTTACCTGTAGGAAAATAGAGGTAGGTACACAGTAAAAGAGAAGGGGCACAGGAATTGCCCACATTCAGTCTCTAGCTGCAAATATGGATCTGTCTGGGTTCAGAGTTCCGACAGGTAAAGGGAAGGTCACCTTGCATATCTATGAGGTGAACTGCAAGCAACTGATCAACAAATTTAGTCTACCAATTTGTAGCAGAGAACCAAGATTTTCATCAGGCTAAAGAGCTTCAAGTAACAAATCCCACAGTAAATCGTCCTGTTTGACACAAAGTGAGTATGACAAGCAGAAAAAAAAAATACATGACTAGTGTTTTCCTTTAAGATGTTTCAGTTGATAAATTTAAGAGTTGCTTAACTCCAAATCCCCCACCCTACCCATGACTTTGGTCATCGGTAACAGAGATTTAGCTGTTCTGGAATGAGAACAGACATTTGTACTGTCTATTATAGATGGAAGAGTTAAAACTACTCTGAGTTGAGAATACATGCCAACACACTGGATGAGACAACGAGAATCAGAAGAACCTTAGAAGTATGTATATCAAATACAAGTTGCTTCCCAAAATTAACATCTTGAGAAGGAGCTCACTTTCTTTAACTGCCTTCAGAGAAAGCTCACACACCACACTTGCAATGCAGCCTTGTCACATCATAGTTACCCCTTGGTTTTGACCCAAAGCAGCATTACCTGACTTGACTGTTTGCAAAAATTGCCCTGATAGGATGAATGTTACTGTGTTGGTAATAATCTACCAAATGTGCTATAAGCCCTAGAGACAATCCCCAGAGAAAATTCTATAGCTGTATTGAACAATAGCATCATTATCAGAATGTGTATACTTCCCTCCTAAATGTGAATGCTTTCCAAAGGGCAATACTTACTTGACTACACAGCTGAAGTATACTTGCTTAAAACTCAGCCACATGATTTTGGGATCATATGTTATAGAATTATTGATCTGGAAGGGACAATGTGGTTCAGTCTATAAAGCTGGGATAAAGCTTTAAATGGGTGGCTACTCCCTGTATCGAAGAGAGGCCCTTAACTTGAAATACTGCCACATTTCCACCACTTTTTAAGGGCCTTTTGGAAGAGATGAAAATTACCTCTGTATCATATATGTCATATGCCCTAGGAGAATGTAAAAAATTATCTAAGGCATTGGAACATGTTTGTTGATTTGGCCGTCAGCACCAGAGCTATTGAACCTCTCTGTGCCTCAATTCTCTTACTCGTAACATGGAAATAATGGCATTTCCCTCATACGGATGAAATGAGATGCCACAAGTAAGGGAGGCAGAAGTCATGCCGGTTATAAATGCTAACTCATTGCTATCTCATTATTTATAATTTCCATTTTTATGGTCAGAAGTCTGGGCCTAGAAAGGGTAAACTGCAATACACTCAAGCTGCTGGATAGTGAAAAATTAGAGATAATTCTCTTTTATTTATTTCCCCGATACTGGTTATGTTAGAACTTGGGATTTACTCCAATGCCTCTCCTATAAAATAGCAGTGCTTTTTTAAAAATAACATTTTGGTGATTTATGGCTCTTTCCATAATCATTATAGTAATCAACTTATTCTAGACTCTGGACTGAGAATTACCTCATTTTATTTTCAATACACTCCTAGGAGATTTTCTTTTCACTCCTATTGATAGGTGAGGAAATAGGCTTAGAGAAGTTCAGTGAGTCCCTTGAGGTGACACAGCTAAGACTGTCAGAGTAAGAATTTGAACCTACATTCATCCAAATCAAAGTGCCTGCATATAGCATTAGAAAATAGTTCTACGACTTGTTTTTAAATGCTCCCAAAATTCCCTGGGTTAAAAAAGGAATTTTGTAAAAAAACATATGTGTGTATATATATGTCTGTACTCCAAGTCCATTCTCCAAAATCTATAATTTTTTAAAAACACACTTCTTAAGTAGAAAAGGGCTGAAAGCTGTGCTTAGTGCATAACTTTTGAATCCTCTTTGAGTCTGGTGTTCTCTTGGCCAACAACTAGGGCAAAGGTTAGCTTGGACAGAGTTTGTGGTGTTTGTGGCATTCTTTTCTGGGCAATAGCCACGAAAACTACTCTAGGAATGTTATTGGAATTAGGATCTGCACCATCGCACTGTCCTG
This sequence comes from Homo sapiens, assembly GCF_000001405.40. Classification (NCBI taxonomy): domain Eukaryota; kingdom Metazoa; phylum Chordata; class Mammalia; order Primates; family Hominidae; genus Homo; species Homo sapiens. Next base: position 96,090,902 of record NC_000011.10, read on the forward strand.
AGATAATTTTTTGACATATAATGTGCTATCTTTGTGCTTAGATAGATAACGCAGACCTGTCAAATTACACGCACAAAGCTATATTCAAAGTTCCTTCCTTCCTTCCAGAAAGAGTTTTTTCTTTTAGGTTCCCTGGGGATCAGGACTTACTCATCAATATGTGCTCTGGAGGCACAGAGCTATGCCTTCATATTGTTCACGTTTGGGGCGGAATAAACCTCTGTTTTATGTTAACCAAACGATGTAAGGTTACCAGAGATTTTTTTTATCTGTAGTCGTGATAATTTCATCTTTTAACATTTAACTCAGACTTTGGTTTTCCAGAAGCCTTCCCTGATTTCCCTTTGCCGGGTAAGATACCCAAACTCTGTGCTCTCATACCTAGCATTGAAATGGTAGTTTAAAAATCCCGTCTCCCTTTCCTTACTGTGCTTGCAGACAGGGATCATGTTTTATTTCAGGCTGATATTCGGTCCACATGCATCACAGGGAGTCATCGCAGGATCATTATGATCATTGGGCATTTAAATATTCCAGTTGGTTGGTGCAGGTGTAGATCAGTCATTTAATACTCAATCCCACCTCCAGCTTTATTCAATACTCAGCATAATAACAACATCTTGCACATGGTAGGTACTCAGCAAGTGCACATTGACTTAATGACTAATTTACTGCTTGGATAAGTGACCATCTGATTGACAACTGGATATGTCACTAACAGCATACATTATAATGCTCTATTCTGAGTAAGCAAGAACCTTTGATCATTACAGATCACAATGATACTAATGCTCTACAGGGAAGTACTAGTCCTTGCCTCTAGATGCCCTCAACGAACCAGGCTTTATGAGGTCTTCATATGACTCCATCAAGACCACTACTGTCTTTGGTCTTGATCTTGTCCCAATACAAACATAATGGTAACCACAGCATAAAGATCAAGCTAAATGGTCTCTGGGAACTCTGTATTTGGAGTAGTAGAGCCCTTACCTGTCTCTGTTGTTGGGAGACTTGGTATCCCATTCCTGCAATGGGCTGATTCTGCATTTGCTGAAGTAGGAGCTTTTGCTGAAGTGGCAAAGGTGACCTTAGCAAAGGCTGGCTTGGTAGAGATTGGGCAGGCTGAGAAGATGGTTGTTGCTGCTGCTGCTGCTGCTGTTGTTGCTGTTGTTGTTGCTGCTGCTGCTGCTGTTGTTGCTGCTGCTGCTGCTGTTGGGCTGAAATTGAGCTCTGCTGCTGTTGCTGTTGTTGAGCTGAAATTGAACTCTGCTGTTGCTGTTGCTGTTGCTGTTGCTGCTGCTGCTGCTGTTGCTGCTGCTGCTGCTGCTGCTGCTGCTGCTGCTGCTGCTGTTGCTGCTGTTGCTGTTGGGTGTAGTGTAGGAGAGAAGGCTTGTTCTGGGAAGGCAAAACAGAAGGCATCTGCTGGTTCGCTTGATCTGAGTTAAAATGAAACAAAGGCTTGGTGTTGCCCTGACGGGGCTCCATGGCTGGGTGCGGGTTGTTAATAAAACTTCGACTGAGATCCTGAGGCTTTTGCTGCATGAGGACATCTAGGTGCCCACCCTGGGCTGAGGGGCCGGCCTTGTACATGTAGTTAGCCATTACTTTCGACTGGCCGCTGCCGCCAGCTACCCCAGGCATGGGGGAGCTCTGTGGGCTGAATGTCTGCTGACCAAAAGAAGGGCTGGGGATTTTCTCCTGCCCAAATGGACCTGGTGATGGTCCAGCAGAAGAGGGCAAGGCTGACCAGTTGGTAGGCTGGTGCTGCTGCTGGTGCTGCTGCATCCGGGCATGCTGCTGACGATTAGCAGCTATCTGTTTGAGCTGCTGGGCATGGGATACTTCCTGCCAGCTTGGCAAGGCCCGGCTTGCTCCGGAGCCTGTCTGAGGCTGAGCCTGGCTCTGAGGGACTGAAGGGATTGGAGACGAAGTGGAGAGGGCAGAGTTGGCCATGGAGAATGCGGGGCCAGCTGATGGGGGCCTCAGCTGAGGAGAGCCTGAGGGGCCCTGAGTCAAGCCCGGTGAGTATTCACTTTTGATCACTATTTTCTCCATGGGTAAGGAGGGCCTAGGTGTGCTCCTCTGGCTTTGCTGACCCAAGTCAATGTTAAATGGGTCATCCTGCTTTATGGTGGCATTGATCATGTTCTCCAGTTCAAGGTCACTCATGGGAGGCACAGATATGTTGGTCAGTTCATTGAACAGTTCCTGCAGCTCAGGATCCATCAGTTGTTCTCCAGGGTCGTCTCCGTACCTATTAGGAAAAATATTCTCTTGGGTCATTTGGCCATCCATGTGCTTACTGCAAGACAGAGTCTCTCCTGGCTCCTTCTTTACCTCCTTTAAGCCCATGTTAAACAGGCCATTGCCAGGAGAATGTGTATGGGATGGCAGAGTGTTAGTCTTTCGCAGGGGTGCTTGGCTCATAGGCAAGGTCCCTGACATAATCTGACTTTGTCCATTGTTTATTTGGAGGCCACCTTGTCCTGCAGAGAGATTCTCCCCAACACGAATTCTTTTGATATCAAGAAATGAGTTGTCCACAAAGCCATTGGGTCGCTTGCTGTTGGCAGGAGATAGGTTAACTACCTGTTTTCTTTTCAAGGAACCCTGGAGCTGAAAGACAGAAGGGAATAAAAAGGAAAAATAAGAAATATGAATCCAATGATGCTTCTCATAAAAAGTGATGTGATATTTAAATGTTTCTTCTATTTACACACAAGATTCAGTTTTTTAAAAAAATGGCACAGAGAGAGCACAAATGAAGCACAATCTGGATTATAATAAAACTCTCAGTAGCACAAACACAACAAAATAAAATATTTCTGGAGGAGCAGATCAATTAGGTTAGAGATCAGTGGTTCCCATGAGTGGTTCATAGGTCAATGGATACAGATTCCTTCAAATATCATAAGAAGTTATTCACAGTACCTAAGATTAAAGCATTGTTATTTTCTGGAGCAAGCCAAAATATTCCACATGCATGCACACACAACTCCTCGCAGCTACAGATGATCAGAGTGTGCACAATTTTAAGCAAGATAGAAAACACTCACAAGTCTAAAGCTGGGAACAAATCTCTAGTTTCTTTTTTTTTTCACAGACCCAACCCCTTCATCACTATTATCCTCTAAGTAAGTAATTAGAATAGTTCTCAGGCCTAAGGAGATATGCTATTATTGTTCATCTACTTTTCTTCCTATAATTCCACTGCTTTGCATCCAAGCCTATGTAGCAACCTTATGTGGACACACAAAAGTCATGAGATGATCATTCCTCATATGAGATACTTTAAGCACTGATTTTCCTGGGAATTCATTTCTTCTGTTTCCTGTAACTAAATCTCGTTACCAAAACGAAAGTGTTAATTGCTTAGGCTCTGGAAGCAGACAAAACTGAGCTCAAGTGCCAATTCTGTCACTGGGTGCTATGTGACCTCAGCAACTTACCTGAGCCTCAATTTTCTCATCTAGAAAATGGGGACAATAGCACTTAACTCACAGGAAGGGATGAGATAATGCATATAAAAGTTTAGAAAGTGCCTGTTACAGTAACAACTCAATAAACAACAATTTGTAGAAAAAGTATGGCTTACTACATGCTGAAAGGGGAGCTTGTCTAAACAGCAACATGTTTAAGTTTTTTTGTGACTGTTAAAGTACTTCATTCACAAACTAGCAATCAGATTATACTTTATGAGCCTTAAAATTTACAGAGAAAGTCTTAAGGGCCATATAAGCACACTAATACATTAAAAAAGAAACATAAAGCATTCATCATTCGTCCTCATATCCTTGTTGATTTGTCTCTGAAGTGAGAGACCATATCTACCAAAGTGTGGCTTTCCCAGTGCTGCAGACCCACTGAAATTATTCAATGTTTTCTCAGCATAACTGTAAAATACACGAGGCAAGAAAACATTTCCTAGATAGAAAATTCTATCACTTCTCCTATCTTCTCTTCTCACTTATGGCTGCTCTCTCACCTGCCTGAAGATTTCTAGGTAGACTAATCAAGAAAAGGAAATTAACATAACTGAGTATATATTACATATCAAACACTTGAATATGGTTACTTTATTTCCCTTAATCTGCACAACAATCCCATTAGAAAGGTATTATTACCCTTAATTTATAAATAAGGAAAGCAATACTCAGAGAGACTAAGTAACTTGCCCAGGGTCACACAGCTAGCAAGTGGGCTTTAACTCAAAGTTTGTGTGGTTCTAAAGCATATGTCATTTACACTCTAACATGCTCTAATTAGTTTGTTCAGGGCTAGGATCAACCTAGTATAAAGGGGCCAGGGGCAGTAACTACAGAGACATCCTAGATTTCAGGTAAAATGATGAGGAATATGGGAATGGCCAGGATGCAGTATAGAGCTGAGTGGGAAAAATCTGCTTTTTGTCATCTGGCTCATCAATATTTGTTTCAATCATCCCTTATTTGTAGTTTTTCTCACTCACAGGTGGTAAATAGTTATGGTGAATGTGTCATGTTGGTACAACAGATTATAACCTTATATCATTGCTGATTGGTAATCAGAGAAAGGAACCTGACCCAAGACAGGGCAATTACTCCCTTCCATGGGAATTTTGGATTTGGAGAAAGTGAGACCAGGCTCTCTTTAGGTGGCTGTATCTACAGAACTTGTGAGCTGTTGTTCCATTGTGTTAACTAGAGCCATAGAGGAAGCAAATCTGTAGAAAGAGAGAAAAATGAAGCAGAGGAGAGACACGTTTTAATACCATTCGGGGGCTTGTTTCCAATCCCAGGTCAGCTCTGCTTGTTTTCTTTGATACATTATGGAATCTTTATAATGAATTTCCCTATTGCTTAAGCTAATACAAATTGGGCATCTGTTACTTTCAACAAAGAGTTCTAACCAAGTTGCCTGAGACTTCACATTTAGTGATGAACAATTTGCAGCAAGGGGCTAGGCATGCTTTGTACCTGGGTGTGAAGCTTCCCCTCTCCCCACATCTCTGCTGTCTCTGCATGATTTGCTGACTCCTAATCTTGTCCACTCACTGGTGTAGACATCATCACAGAACATGGTCAGCTATCACCACATCCAGCAGAAACTCAGAGTTACCACTGTCTATCCTCATGGGGTCAGGAAGAACACAGACCAGAGAGAGTCAGCCATGTTGCTTCTGATTTATTTCAGCATAAATTGCATTTTGAAGGTTCTTTCACAACTAGGAAAGAACAAACAAAGGAGTACATTCTTTTTCCGAATTTGGGTTATCACCTTTGATTTATTTTCCACTGCTTTGAAAAAACCTGTTCAGCCAGATTCTCTCACTGCTCTGGCCACTCCCTGGGCAGTGCAGTATGCGCTCTGGGAAACAGCACTCACACTTTCTTTAGGCTATGAGGAGTGTAGAGACAGTAATAGAATTAGTGATAATTGTATAATAATGAGTCATTTATTGAAGGTCTGCATGTGAGACATCGTACTAAGCACTTTATGTGGATAATCTTATTTAACTCTCACAACTCTCAGAATCTTCACAACTCTATATAAAGTTGATATTATTTCTTCCCCTCCCCGCTTTTGCAGATGAGAAAACAGGTTTAGAGGTTGAGTATCTTTTCAAAGGACAGACAGAGTAAGCAATGAAGTCAGGAATCAAACCACACATTCCCACTGCACAGCCTGTGCTCTGTAGTAAGTGACACCCTAGGCCCTGACAGAGGTAAATGGTACCTACACCTGTGTCTTCAGGAAGCCAGGGATCTCGTCCCGATTCTTCCATTAATTTGTTTTGTTACTTTAGGGAAAATACTCAACTTTTCTGGGCCACAGTTTTCTTCTCCTTTATAAATGGGATTATCTCTGAGATCATTATCCTGCCCAAAGCCAGAAAATAACAAGCACTAAAGGAGGGAAGTTTGTGTTCCAGGCACTATGTGTGGTGGTGTAAGGTCACCACCAAGCACAGCTGGAGGGATTCCTTAAGATGGGGGACAGAAGAAGTCATGTGTGATTCCATTAGGATAAAAGACACCCATCAAAACTTCACTGGGCATGATACTTTACCAAGAGAATTTTGGGGATAGGCTGTGCCCTGCCTTCTAGAAGTTTTTAATCTAGTTATATCACCGAGGCCCACTGTGAATGCCTACATGCAGTAGGCACCAAGCTACTGGCACCAGCACCATACAATCTAAATGATTCTCAAGGATCACTTTTTGCTTTGAAATATCTCCTTTGCTGGACTAAAATTCTTTCATTAGATACATGGTTTGAATTATGGTATAGAGTCTCTCAAGATGCAAATACTCCAGAAGCAACAGAGGAGGAAAACAGTCAATAATACCTCAAGGACAAATAGCTTATGAGAAAATTCAAAGCCAACTTACCAGAACAAGAATAAAGCTCTAAGGGAACAAGACCTAACCAGGGGAATGGTAGAGAATAAAGGCAAGGGTTTAAATAGAGAAGGATGGGGGCAGGACTATGGGAGTTGGGAGCTCCACACTGTGGACCTTTTGGGTGGCTGGAAGAAAAGAGAAGGGAGAAAGGAGAAGTATTAGGGTAGTAATATCCTGAGGGGCTGCAGGGCCTGAATCTTCCAGAAAACAGTTAATGATACTGGAAAGGTAAAGGGAAGGATCTCCAAAACAAATCTTTCACCCAAGGGCTGACCTACCAATTAGGCATGGGACACACAGTGCCCAGGGCTCACAACAGTTATAGAACAGAAGGAAAAAAATAAGATTTTAGGTTAAAGAACTGTTTCAAAATATATTAATTTATCTTTTTGCCAACACGGTCATAAAATATAATTTTTAATATTTTTTAAGGAATAAGGGGCTTCAAAGGCAAGGGTACCTATGTTCTATGAAAGCCTCTCACCTCTTAACTATTGTATACTGAAGGCTTATTCTAGGCAGGCACTCTGTGGTGTAAGTCCTTGTTTAATCTCATGGCTCTCTGAGGCTTGTGCTCTTATATACCCATTTCATAAGTGAAAAAATTGAGGTTCCTGACATTAAGATTACACAGTAAAGATATGGAGGCAGGATGCCAGCCCAGACATGTCTCGTTCCAAAGTCCTAATTCTGAACCACTAGCCATACTGCTGTCTTCCCTTTCGGCCTCTACCTTGCCAAATGCTGACAGTGTGCTGGACACAGATAGCCCAGACAGCCAAGACAAAAGTCCAATAGAATGAAGATGCCTTGTGAGCACAGGGCAGAGGTAAAGGCATTCGGGACACAGGGGGTTGGATGGCAAGGAGAGAATGATGACATCACTGGTGGGAGGTTGATGGTGAAAGTTCAGGCCATCACTCCTGAGGCTCCAATATAGGAGAGGAAAGAGACAAAGGTCATTCGGTCAGTCAAAAAGATTTACTAAGCACCAGAGAGAGTTCTGAACCATATCCTATCAAATCATCCCTGGCATGAGGGAAAATATGCAGATGATTAAGCCAGCAGCAGGATGTAAAGGCTTCCAATCAGCACTACACTCAATCTTTGCACTTTTCCCACTACCTAGGTGGGTGAGAAGCATTTTTTATTTTGCATGATAAATCTGTGCCCCACAATTACGTTTAATTCATGAGACTGTGCATTTAATATCACCCTTTCACTGGCCATCCGAGGAAGGGGCTTGTTTTGGGAATGATTTTCAACAAGGGAAGTCCAGTCTGGTTTGCAGATGACACAGAAATCACTGTACTTTCTTTTGCTGAGATCCAGCAAACTGTTTCTTTTCACTCCCGTCCTTGTTCTCATTCTTCCATTTGGACACCTAGATGCTATTTGAGGCCTGCGGTCTCTGCTGGGGAAAGGCATAGGCCTGTCCGGGGCAGGGTTCCAGACACAGTAGCCTGCCTGCCCCAACAGCTGGGGTTGAAGGTATGAGAACGCCTAGGAACAAGGAAAATCCTGCACAGCAGAACTGGGGCTGGGGTCCTCAGTAAACTGCTTCTTTTTAAGTAGCTATGCTTCACTTTTCCAAAAGACTTGAAACATAAACTTTCTGGAGGGATTTGAAAATGCCATTATTGCACAATCCTCTGGTTTCTGTTTCTTCCCCTGCCCCCATCCCTTTCCACAAAATAAATGCATTCTTTGTCTCCGGTGCTGCCCTAGAAACAGGGAATGTGCCACACAAAGGTAACAATTCAGTCCATAGGTCACTTTTTTTCACCCCAGGTAGACTTCTGTCTTTCTCAACCAGGCATAAACACAAGAACCAAATCTGCCACTGCCTACATACTCAAGGGAATATCTTGGTTCCATCATCTGCAAACTTTCCTCGGGCTATTTTACTCATGGCTGATTAGAGATAGGACTGGGGATAGATAACATTAGAAAGAGACCAATCCGAAAGCTAATATATGACTCTTGATTTGATTCTTGAAGTAAAAATGTTTAGGATCCAGGAATAGTAAATTCTAGCTCCTCAAGTACTTGGAGGTGAGAGTAATTCCTTTCTGCCTTTCCAGTCCTAGCACAAAATAGGTTTGTCAGGCTTTTTACTAAACACAGAAAGAATCTTCACTTCTTATTTGGCCCTACCAAGATCTGAGCTTCCTTGTATTACTAGATATTATTTTATGGCCACACAGTAATTAGGTTTGCCCAACCAGATTTTAAGCTCTTTGAGGGTGGGCATTCATTGCCTTATACTTCTCCAAGTTTCTTTCAGTACCTACCACAATGCTGGGCATATTCTAGGTGTTTTAATAATTATTCGTTGACCTCAGTGCCTGGGAAACGGGATCCTTCTAACTATTGAGTGGGAGCAGTAAAACAATGCTAAAAAGGAGGTTGTGGGTTGTGGGGAATATTTTCATACCAAATTCACAAGCAAATTAATGGTTCCACCAGAATTTTGCTTCAGTGATTATTTACCTTTTGTTTTTACTTTTTTAAAGACATTTTTATACATTTTTTAGTAGAGATGCAGTACTGCCATGTTGCCCAGGCTGGTCTTGAACTCCTGGGCTCTAGCAATCCTCCTGCTTCAGCCTCCCAAAGGTTATAGAGATTACAAGCATGAGCCACCATACTTGCCCATTGATTATTTTCCTTTAAACTCTGAAGTCACGAGAATGTGAAGCCCTGAGAACCGGAACTGTGAAGAAAATGTATTGTCACTCATGTGAACCAGAAGTGAAGGGGTGTATGAAGCTTTGTGATGGACACAAAGTGTTGTTGCCCCTCCTGATGGGACTGCAAAGCTGGGATGCAAGTTGAAGCCCCATCTGGACTCCATGCCCTTCCTGGGTGAAAGCACTGGAGCAGACATGGAGCCAGGGCATGCTTCCTTATGAATTTCAGTAACTCGTACTTTCACTCCTTCAAGAAAACATGTGAGGTGTTTTTGTTTGTTTGTTGTTTTATGTTTTAGGGTTTTTTGTTGTTATTGTTGTTGTTGTTTTTCTTTCTTTTTTTTTTTCTTGAGATGGAGTCTCACTCTCTCGCCCAGGCTGGAGTGCAGTGGCACGATCTTGGCTCACTGCAACCTCCGCCTCCCAGGTTCATGTGATTCTCCTGCCTCAGCCTCCCGAGTAGCTGGGATTAAAGGTGTGCACCACCACATCTGGCTAATTTTTGTATTTTTAGTAGAGACAGGGTTTCACCATGTTGGTCAGGCTGGTCTTGAACTCCCGACCTCAAGTGATCTGCCTGCATCGGCCTCCCAAAGTGCTGGGATTACAGGCGTGAGCCACCACACCTGGCCTTTTTGTTGTTGTCTTTAGTGTAAGGGTCAGAGGAGGCATATTAGATCTTTCTAGAAAATTTGTTCCATAACTTTGTTCCATAAGGTTTGGACCCTGAGAAATGTTACTAGTTTAGTCAAAATAGCTTTTTTTTTTTTCTTTTTTTTTTTTTCTGAAACAGGATCTGGTTCTGTCATCCAGGCTGGAGTGTAGTGGCACAATCTTGGCTCACTGCAGCCTCAACCTCCCAGGCTTAAGTGATCCTTTCCCCTCAGCCACTGGAGTAGCTGGGACTACAGGAAAGTGACAACACACTTGGCTGATTTTAAATTTTTTTGTAGAGATGGAGTCTCACTATGTTGCCCAGGGTAGTCTGGAACTCCTGGACTCAAGGTGTCCTCCTGCCTTGATCTCCCAAAGTGCTGGGATTACAGCTGTGAGCCATTGTGTCTAGCCCAAAATAGCTACTCTTTATGAAGCCCAAGATAAAGCTTTATATAGAAGCAGGAGCAATGCAAATTCAGGTTCTATATAGAGAAAAGAAGTCAACATACTGCCCTTCTGAAGGTACTCAATACCAAGCTCTCCTGTATTCAAAATTTATTTGATGCCTTCCCCACCTCCCCTTTCTTAGATTTAATGGTTGGCTTGTGGAAGAGTAACTCAACGACTTGGAATTTGCCTCGGAAACACTCTTCATTACAGGGCAGAAAAAAGGCATTTCATGATAGCATTTTGTCAGCGTGGACACTTCCATCACTTCCCTGTGGAGAATGTTCCAAGTTTATCTTTAACCAACAAAATAGTCATTGAGGAGAAAGGGAAGGGAACCAGTACAACACTACCTCGGAGAGGCAGACATCTTCTCTTATCAAGACAAATGGGAAGCTGTGGGATCTAGAAAGAGCACAAGACTCAACTGCCAATAAACCTGGGTTCCAAATGCTTCTCTGTTCCTACTTACTGTACAAGTCTAAACTAGTCACTTACCTTACCTGTATGATATGGACAATAATACCCCATGTCTCAGGGTTTTAGTGGGGCTTAGCAACACACATGTAAAGCACCAGCATTATTCCAAGCTCAAAGCAGAGCTCCATCACCGGCAGCTCTTTTTCAGTCAGAGAGATGAACTTGAACCTTAGGCTGGTCTGACACTTCCCACTGTCATCCTGACTATCCTATGGACAAGGCATGTGCTAGAAAAAGAGAAAATGAAGGTAACAAAACCAGATTTTTTTCTCCTCATCTGTAACACTGAATTTGTTTACCCATTCATTCAACAGATACTTATTTAGCACCAGCTGTATATTCTATAAGGGTGCCTACATCATAGGTTAATGCAAGAACCATGTAGCTAAAGCTCAAAAAGAGCTCAGAACATTGCTCTTAAAATACTGTTTTCAGCCAGGCATGGTGGCTCATGCCTGTAATCCCAGCACTTTGGGAGGCTGAGGCAGACGGATCACCAGGTCAGGAGATCGAGACCATCCTAGCTAACACGGTGAAACACCATCTCTACTAAAGACACAAAAAATTAGCCGGGCGTGGTGGCGGGTGCCTGTAGTCCCAGCTACTTGGGAGGCTGAGGCAGGAAAACGGCGTGAACCTGGGAGGCGGAGCTTGCAGTGAGCCGAGATCGCGTCACTGCACTCCAGCCTGGGTGACAGAGAGAGACTCTGTCTCAAAACAAAAACAAAAACAACAACAACAAAAACCACTGTTTTCAATTAACGTTAGAATTAACAAAAAGAAACAAACAAAAAGGAATTTACCAGTCTGTCTGGAAACATAGTGAAAAATAGTAATACAGTATGATCATTGTTCTGGAGACTTGAGCATGGCCTTATTGTTGTAGATGGGAGAGACTCTGCCTAAGAAAGCTAGAAAAGGAATCCCACTCCCTTATAATGAAGTACCCCTCAAATATTCAAATGAATATCATGTTTCATATTATGATATTCTGTTAGTGGCAGTGTAAACAAAACTTGTTGTCCAGCAACAAGGGGATGTTTATATTAAATTAAAAAGTTCAAAGTAGAGTTATTTTCCCATGTAGTCTACTACATTAAACAATATCATTCTAGATCCATTCAGTGATAACCAATAGGATGACCCTACTGACTATATCCTTAGTCATCCTGACTAGTTACTGCAATTGTTATAAAGCAAGGATCTGAGGGGACATTCAGAGATGGACCCTTTGTGTTTAACAGAGAAATGCACATAATATTCTGTAAAAGCCTGAAAAATCCAGCTGCTTTGTGCATGAAATACTTTAACCATGACTCACTTTTTGCCCAAAATATATCGAAGCAAATCCAAAGTAAATGCTATGTCTAAAATGTTTGCAATTCTCATGAAATCTCTAAATGCCCTCCTCAGCAGAATTTACGATGCATTAAGTATCATTAATCAAGTGGCTTCTCTCTCTCCTTTTGCTTGGAGGGCCCAGTCTGGAAAGCTTTCTCTAAAGGGCATACCTCAAGGTCCATCCTACTTTCCCTCATATTTTTTCTCCCTGCTTTAATGATTTTAGCACTTTCTGTCTTATATTGTTCTTGGTAATTGATTCAGGTCTGTAAGTTTTTGACTTCAGTATGATTATAGAAGCCAACAGAAGAGACAGTATCTTGTACTTCTCATCCACTCCCACATGCCCCTCCAAACTCTATTCCAGGAAAGTGCTCAATGACTGCCTGACAATGTGACTTATCAGGCACCTAGTGGCCTGGGAACATCAGATGAGTCAGTTTATGGAGCATCTATGTTTCTCTGCCATTGGCCATGAACCATGCCCCCTTTATAAGCCATATAGCTGATTCTTAGCAACTCTTTGTCCAACTGTAGAGGGACCACTTTAAATATCAGCAAATCCCATATGGCAGGGAGAGTGCCCTAACAGTGTTCGAGGGTTGTTTATTCATTATTTTCGGGTTTGTACTTGGCTACCAAAAAGGTCCCTTCTTTTTGGGAAATAATATGAAACACAGCCATCCCTAACCTCATGGCAGCATTTCTCCCTTCATCTTCAGTGGTTTACCCAACATCAATGGGTATGAAAGGCCCCTATCCTGTCCTTCCCTGTCTGTTTCTCTCAGGTCACATTCTTCATTCTTCTTCAGGCTCCTTCTGCTTTAAGCGCGGTAAGCAATCAAGTATTCTCCATCTACATTCAGTGACTCTGACCCCACATCTCGCCTCTCTCTGCCCCACTGTGTTCTCTGGATAGCAACAAAAGGGATCTCCTTCTCAACCCAAACTCCAGCTACACTACTTTTTTGTTTGTTTGTTTTTCATTCTAAGAACACAAAAGATCATTTCCGTTTCAGATGCAGGCCTTTTGCATATACTGTTTCCTCTCACCGGATATGCTCTGCCTTCATGTAACTCTTCCTTCTCCTATCATAGTTAGCTCCTTCTTTTCCTTAAGTCTCGACTTAATGTGACCCTCACAGAGATATTCCATGGCCATTCCATCTAAAGTACATGTTCATGTTTGTTTTCCATCTCTTGTTTCCTTTACAGTACCTACTATAATTTCCAAATATTTTTATTAATTAGCTTCCAATTTTTAAGTCTGTCTCCACATGTTATAAAATAAACCCTAGAAAGGGAAGCCTGAGTCACATTTGTCTTGTTGACCACTGTATCTCATTCTTAATATAATCCAAATAAATATAAAATAAAAAAGATTATTTAAAGCAAATAAAAATGTGTAGAAGAAAACACGTCGAGATGCCGAAGTACTTTCCGATGGTGGCATGATGATAAATTTTTCTCTTCTACTTTGCTCATATGTCTGTGCCAATTTTTCTACATTGAACATATATTAATTAAATAATTAAGACTGAAATGAACATTTATTGAATACATCTGCCCTTGCTAACTCCCCTTCTCTGATAATCTGACCCCACATTTCCTAGTAGAGGGAGCCTGAAGTGGAACATTTCATTTGTCCCAGCAGACTGGATCAAAGTAGACAGTTGACTCAAGCTGACCCTTTTAAATGCTCTTCTAGTAATCCAGAACTGAAACAAGGTCTTTTTAACAGTATCTGTAGGCATTTGAATTAAGAGATATGGAAGGCTGCCTATATTGTAGTCATTCTCAGCCGTGCACAGCAACAGACAGGGAAAGCAAGTCTAAAGAGATAAGAGAATAAAACTCCTGCACAAGGAGAAGCTAGAATGAGAAACTAGATTGAAAGAAGGAGAAGGGGAGAGGAAGAAGTGAAGAGGGAGAGGGGCAATGAAAGGGGGAGGGAGAAAAATATCCTGAAAACTTTCCAATTCCTAATTCCAGAACTTTGGGAGACTCAATTATATCTGCTACAGTAGAAACAACCCATAACCTTCCAATAAATCTCCCCCTCTCCCAATTTTCTTTTTTGCTTGAGATACTTCAAGAGGGCTTTTATTAGCTGCAGCAAATAATTCCCAACTAAAACAAAGAATAAAACCAATAATCACACTCAATAAAGTTTTCATAAGATAAATTCATATTTTTCTTGATTAATTAAAGTTGAAATGCTGGAAAGAGGCCAAATGGACACATTTATTTTGGTTTCTCTTTCAACTTTCCACGTGTGGTCATTAATCCCACTCTTCCACATCTTTTATGAAAGAAGAGCATTATGAATGAAGACTGAGAGGTGCCGTTCCATGACAGCAGAATTCCAACAGCATGTCTATTGTTTCCACATCTCTCTCCATGGCATTCCCAGGGGAGGTCTGGAGATTACATCTCCACCAATTCTCCCCTCAATGCACAAAAGCATTCTGAAAGTAAAACTTCAATCTGAATCATGTTTGGACAACCCAGGACTGCAATGTGTTAACTGGTTTGGATACAATCACCTGGAGACACAGGTAGGGTGATCAGACATTTTAAGAGGTCCCTGCAATTTCAGGCTCATCTTTAACTCCATTACAAAGGAATGTTAAGCAGCATTTAGAAGGTAGTTTGGCAAAGTACCTGAAAGCAACAAACAGCTTCTTTGATGTTCTTGGCATTGATGTCATCATTCTTTTGAAAGTTTTGAAGAAATATTTTTCTTATAGCAACTGTATCTAGGCTCAATATAAAGTGTTGATATGTGTTTTCTCTGGGCTAATGTTAGCCTGAGTAACTATGAACCATTTAGACAGATACTCTCTTAGAAGGTACCTCAACTTTCACTCCAGTCTATGTTTATTTTCACATCAAAGATACATCTAAGGGGAAATTGCCTAACTAGCTCTATGAAATATGAAGAAGTTTACTAAGATATTTGGTTATAATGGAAAAAAAAAAACCAAAACCTACACTCCAGGCAATTTAAGCCTTTCATGCCTGGAAATGAGAATTTGTAATGGCTGATAGAAAAGGTCCTTTGCTTTCTATAAGGCCTGAATGCAGACTTTTTTAACCAGGCATTAAAATCCCACTACTTGCCACTTATGGAAAATGTTTCTTGATTATTTAAATGACGTTAGGATGGAGGACAATAAAGCCTTTATATTGTTTGCAGTTCAACTCTTCTTTGAAGCAATGTCCTATAGCAATACAATGCCCTCACTTTGATCTGACTTGCTCAGCTCAGTAATTATATGACTGAGATGAATTCTCCACCTGACAGATTCTAATTCTTCATGTGTGGCCATATTCTTTGAAGAGAAAAAAATACCACCTCACCTATATTGAAAAATAAAACTTTTGGCAGGTCAAAATTGTGAATCAATGGTAATTCTCTTTGTCAAAGCAGTAAGCCCTCTTCATTTGATGAGAATCACTGTTTCTCAGAACACGCTTATGAATTTCTTGAAGCTTATCTTTAAACAAGAATATGTTACAGTTCCTTTCTATGAATTCATCATCTTAAAGGAGAGACAGCAGAGTACACTAACCTGGGCCTTGGGTATCTGCTAACTGACTGCCCCTGATTAGAAGGAAATATCCACCCATTCTGAATGGGCATGAGATAATCAGACACTTCAAGGACCTCATTCTGTATCATTCCTTAAAGAACACTTTACAGTGTTGCTTGAGTCTGCTTAAAATTTCAAAAGCACAGCCTTAACTCAGTGAGTCCCTAATCCTTGAAAATATTACTGCTGTTTATTTCATTTGCCTTTCAGACACAATGCAGGACAGATTTAAACAGAGAAAGCTCACCAGCTACAGCCTTGTAAATTGCTTTTAATCCAAGATGTCAGCAGGATTGATGCCACTGGGACTTAACTCCCCCCTACCCAAAACATACATTTCTTCGCTGTACCTGCCTCATGATTAATATCTTGTATCCACTCGTTAGATTGCTAGCTAGAGGATAAAGTGCTTCCTTACACATGACCACTTCGCTGCATTTGTCAAGACTCTAAACATGCCATTGTAACTATGAAAAGAGTCCTTTTTTTTTTTTTGACCAGTGTATTTTCTTCACTGGCCTCAAATCTCAGCTCAAAACTCACTCCTCAGAGCCTAATTCTGATCACTGCTCTATTATTTGTGCCCCTGAAAGCCATTCTGTTCATGGTTTGATTTCTTTGTGTATTTCATGTTTTTGGCTTGTAACTGTTATTATGTCTTTTGCAGTCCCCCGGCAAGATTATAAACACCATTTTGTGTCTCCTATTATCTTTTGAGGCAATATATTGTAGTGGTTAAGAGCCCAAGCTTTGGCATCAGAGATCTGAATTTAAGTCCTTGTTCTGTCTTCTATGAGATAGGAGCTTTGGGGGTAGTTTATGTAATCTCTCTGGGCCTCAGTCTCCTCCTCTGAATAATGGGGTTAATAGTTCCAATTCAGTGGTTGTAGTGAGTCTCAAATAAGATAATGTCTATAAAGTCTGTAACTCAAAATGTGACCAATAATAAATGTTTAATAAATGCTAGTGTGACACTGTGATATAATAAGAAACATATTTGCTCTCTGCCCCTGGGTCCTGGCATACAGTTACTAAAACCCTTGGACTCTCTAACATGATAAGTGTTTCTTTGTAAGCTAATGAGATGACTGATGGCTGGGGGCTCCTGGATAGCCTCAGGAGGCGGGACTGGTTGCCAGGGAAACCAGCCTTCTGATGAGAGGTTTGGGACTTTTGGCTTCACCACCCAACCTCCAGGGAGGAGAGAGGGGCTAAAGGTTGCGTTGATCACCGGTGGCCAATGATTTAATCAACCACGTCTATGTAATGAGGCTTCCATAAAAATCCAAAAGGACAGGGTTCAGGAGCTTCCAGGTTGCTGAACACCTGAGGGTGCCTAGAGGTAGGGCACCCAGGGAGGGCATGGAAGCTTTGAGCCTCTTTCCACCAACCTTGCCATATGCATCTCTTCCATCTGGCTGTTCTGTGTAGCTCTTATAATATCCTTTATAATAAACTGGTAAATGTTAAGTGTTTCCCTGAGTTCTACGAGCTACTCTAGCAAATGAATCAAACCCGAAGAAGAGGTGATAGGAACCCCAATTTATAGCTTGTCGGTCAGAAGCACAGGTCACAACCTAAGGCTTGTGACTGGCATCTGAAGTGAGAGGGAGTCTTATGGGACTGAGCCCTTAATCTGTGAAATCTGGTGCTATCTCAGGTAGACAGTGTAATAATTGAGTTAATTTATGAAACACCCAGTTCGTGTCAGCTGGAAAATTGCTTGGTTGGTGTGTGGGGACCTCTCCACTATCACCACCAAACTCCTGGTATCAGAAGTATTCTGTGGTGAGCGAGAGTAGAAAACACACTTTGGCTGTCTCCATCTTTAATAGTCAGCTATTATTTTTATGTAGTCTTCGGGGTCTCCCATAGAACACAGCATGCAGCAAGAAAGAGAAGGAGTGAACGGCATTTATTGGGTGACTACTTAATAGAAGACACTTTCTAAATATCATCTCATGAATCCCAGCTCCCCTACTTACTAGTAGTGTGACCTTGGGCAAGTCACCTAACTAATGTACCTCAGTTATCTCATCTGTAAAATACACATAATCATTATCCTTATAGGGCTGCGGTAATATAAAGATTAAATAAATACACGTAGACTGCTTAAAGCAGTTTCTGACACATAGAAACTGACCAATAATACCAGCTATTATTGCTATTAAATCCTTACAACAACGTTGAGAGATGGATAAAAGAAACTTCATTTTATAGATGAGAAAAATAAGACTATAAAAGTGTAAGCAGGCTGGACACAATGGCTCGTACCTACAATCTCAGCACTTTGGAAGGCCAAGACAGGCAGATCGCTTGAGTCCAGGAGTTCGAGACCAGCCTGGGCAAGACGGCAAAACCCAGATTCTACAAAAAATACAAAAAATTAGCTATGCATGGTGGTGGCATCTTAGTCCCAGCTACTTGGGGGACTGTGGTGGGAGGATCGCTTGAGCCCAAGAGAACAAGGCTGCAGTGATCATGCCACTGCACAACAGCCTGGGCAACAGTTTGAGTGTTTCAAAAAAAAAAAAATGTATAAGCAACTTGACTAAGTTCATCCAGTCAGTAATTGAACCAGATTTTCCTGACTGAAAATCCATGCTCTCTACAAAATGTATTCAGTAGAGGAAACATCCATTTCATTCTGGAGGGTTATTCCAGGGAACCACTATAGTGATAAGTAGGCCCTCAGAGAACTAGACATCATGGGCAGGGATGAGAGTCAAGCAGGCCTGGGAAGAATGGGTACAAGTGAGCTCAGTGAGATGCAGAAGTCTGGTCTGGCTTTGACGCCATGCAGAGGAACGTGGGCTTCATTATGAAGATCGTGGGTAGGCATTAGTGGACTTCAAGCAGGGGAGTGACATGTCAGTAATGTATTTTGGAAAAATAACTCTAACTACCAAATATTTGCGTGTGGGTGGGAGATAGGATAGCTTAAGCCTGAAGATGGATGAGGTGTCAGCACTCAGTAAGAGAGAGTGAAAGCTGGACCTGGGCTAAGGTGGTAGCAGCAGACATGGAGAGAATGAGAAAGAACTTAGGAACCAGAAACCAAACAAAGTTTATGATTAATTCCATGTGGGAAGTGTAACAGAGAGAGAGGAATTAGGACTAAATACAAATTTCCGGATTAGTGACTGGGTAGATGATGGAGTTATTTGCTGCTGAGTAAAGGAATGTAGGGAGAGGAGTGTGTTTCATGATGGGGATGGCAGGCAAGCAAACGATGGGTTCAAGTTTGGGCATGTTGAATGTGAGATGTCTGTGGGGCATGTAAGTGGAGACATCCCCTGCTAGTGAGATATTCAGGTTTACAGATCAGGAGCGAACTTTGGTCTGTCTGTGCAGATTGGGTTGAAATGCACATAAGCATTGGTTGAAGGAATGAATGTGGCTGTGAGTGTCTAAATGGATTGCAAGGAACAAGAAGAGAAAAGGGTGGGAATGAAACTCTGGGGAACATCAAGATTTAAGGAGCTAGGAGGAAAGGAATAAAGTGGAGGAGATGAAGAGCTGAACGATTATGAAAAAAAGAAGAGAGTGTTTCAAGGAGGGAGTGAGCAACCTCGTCAAATGCTACAGAGGTCACCTGCGATAGGGCAGAGCCATATCGGTGGCATCTGGCATTTGATTGTGATTGGGGGCAGGTGCCAAGTTGCAATGTTTTGAGGAGTGGATGGAAGGTAAAAAAAGGGAAACAAAGTAGGTAGATTCTTCTTCTTAAAAGCTCTACTGGAGGAAGGAGAGAGAGGACAGTGGCTAGAGAGAGTTACAGGGTAGAAGACTTCCTCATCATTTTTAAATACTTCACAGCAGTTGGTACAATACTTGGTATTTTGTAGGTACAAAGTTAAACATTCTAGAATGGAGGATTCCGCCATCTTGCCTAATTCTTTCACTTTATGTTGTTCCTAGTCTTCCAAATTTTCCTCCTTTTCTCTATCCCAACAGGAAATGCAGAGAGGCTGCAATTCCTTGTTCAAATACTAGGTGGAAGGCATACAGTTTGTTTCTTCTGCAGTAGCTAAACAGGTTGTATGTAATAGGAACTTCCGTATGCATCTGAAGCAGAAAAGATAAGAAAGAAGCCAGGCCACAATAAACACAGATATTACAGAGAAAGCATCGGTGTTGCATTCAGGTATTCTTTTGGTTGGGTTTTATTTCCAAATAAATATACGTATATGGCAAAATCTTATTTAAGGAACAACAAAAAAAAATACTCCATGGGAGACTTACAAAAGAGATGGACGGCATTGAGTGGGTTGAATGAAAATTTTGGCAGCATATATTTTCAGGAAATCTGAGGATACTAAAAGCCTATTTAAAATAGTATCCTATTTGATCTTGATAACCAAAGATATTTCAAAGCATCAGGATTGGGTCTAATCGCTTGTTAAATTAAGGTCACATATGGGACTTGCTTTTGACCAGACAGTTTCATGCTCCTGAATAAGAAGGCTCTAATAAAGTTTGATCTTTGGATGCCTATCATGTATTATCAAGCCTATCATTTTCTCCATCAAAGAAAATATAGTCAGAGGTCAGAAAATAAGGGAGTGGGGAGGGGTAGTGGGAAGGACAGAGCAATCCAACAACCCTTGATCCATCTCTGCATCAATTGAGACCATTCTCCACTATCTGTGCTCACATAGTAAGCACACATCATTTTATTTCTTGCTTTTGCTTCCCATCATATTTTTAAACTTTCAATATCATTAAGTAACACCCTTTTTTCCTCCATGATAGCTAGTGTCACAGGTGCTTTTTTCCTCCTTTTTATTATTTTTGGCAGCAGAGAGATTTTTTTTCTCTCCCATTGACCTGTACCTATTCCTAGCAAATTCACTGCTTCATGACAAGCGCCAACAGTCATACGCAGATGCAATTTATCTTTGCGCGCAGCTGGTCTGTGTGCATGTGTGTCTGTGTGAGTGTTCTTCTTTCCCATTGTTTGACTCCTTTTAACTCCACTCAGATCTCTCTAATCACAGTTTGGAATTCACCTGAATTTCCCTGCTGGGAGAGCTGAAAAAGCTGACATCAAGTTGCTAAGACCACAGCTCTGAAAAGGAAATGGCACATCTTTATTGGTGGAACACATTAAAAGATGTGAATGTGAGGTTTTTAAGTAAGATGCTGCATACGCATAACCTCTAGGTGCTTGACAGTGACATTGTCCCACATGTTGGCCATCTCCTCCATAATTAAAGAAAAGCTTTGAAAAAAGAATACAAGTGTTTGATTTTCACACTAAAACATTATTCTGGGAATTCAGAGCCCACAGCTGGCTATGCCCAATCCAAAGCATGGAAATTGTTCACACAAATCTTTTCATGAGGTTGAGGGAGACTTCAGCATTCCAGCTATATTCTGCTCTGAGGGAAACATTTTAATTTCTTTTGATTTCTTATGTGTCCATTCACAAGGTTAGTTTTCTTTTTTTCTAAAAAAAAAAGAAAGTTGCTATAGTAACAATCATCTATCACAGGGCCCCTACTTGAGTACTTACAAATGCTGCTCGTTAAACAAGCAGATCCTTGTGCCACGTGGAAGGCCAGAGAGAAACATCAGTATATCAAGATTGTCAAAGATTAAATGGTGAAAATAAAAGATTTTTAAAAATGGAAACAGAAGCATCAGTGGATGCTTCCATCGGATAGGGCACTCTATACATAACACAGCTATTTCTCTACCACAAGGCCAACCAAACAATTTCATAGTGATCAGACTTGACAGGGCCTTGAAGAAAGCAATTAAGAGGAAATGGGCTTAGGCCATTCCCAAAGACAGTCTGATGTCTGGTTTTTGCTCAAAACTCAGCAGCCATGTTGTGTGGCATGAAGCATGACCTGGGGCAGTGTCCATCTCAGGAGCATGGCCTCGGGCCTGCCTCTCAGAGGCCCTGGAGTGAAAGCAGGGCTCCGCCCAAGAACCTGTGTACATCCATTTCCTTTTCCTGGGAGTAGCTGGACTAAAATGCCTGAGCCGCTGGGTATGCTTCTTGACTTACACAAATGTCACCAGGAGTATTTGTGTGAAGATCATTTCAGTCTACGAAGTACTAACAGGATATAAAAAGCCATCACAGAACCAGAAGGAGACCATTCTTCCCTCCCCTCTGATTCTACTTTCTAGGTAAGAGGAGGATAGGCCTCTGACCTCCCACTCTTGCCCCAACTTCACCTTCTGTGATTATGTGTCTGATATCTATGCATTAGCCATCCCTTTCTTCCATAAGCCTATTAATTTGAAAGAATAACTGATAATACAGGCTTGATTGACTCATTACTTTTTGTGATATAAGGAACATAGGTGGCTTAATTGAAAGTGTTTTCAGAAAGAAACAGAAAAAGAAAGGCAAGAAAGAAAGTGTGAGGGCCACTTGGTCAACTGCTGAGAAGAAACACTGGGGTTTCCCTTTCTGGTTGTGGGCTAAGCAAAAGTTCGCCCTCTGCACTATGGGCTCTCTCTGCATTTGAGTCACAGAAAATCAGTGAGCAAAAAGGCAACAATACAGAAATATGTTTGGCTTCATCTTTTATGAACAATCTGAATTCAGTTTGCATTTTGCAGGGCAAAAAAAAAGGATAGTTTTTCTAGAAAATAGATGGGAAGGAGGAAGAGGAGGAGGAAAATAGAACCCAATAGAAAAGTCTTTAAAAGACAAAAAAAAAAAAAAAAAACTTTGAGGCTTTCTTTTTCTTAGCGACAAGCTAGGGCTACTCACATTTAATCATGCTGTTCAAAAGGAAG
Organism: Homo sapiens; assembly: GCF_000001405.40. Taxonomy (NCBI): domain Eukaryota; kingdom Metazoa; phylum Chordata; class Mammalia; order Primates; family Hominidae; genus Homo; species Homo sapiens. Next base: position 96,113,261 of record NC_000011.10, read on the forward strand.
CATATTGTGCCAAAATTTCCATGAGGAAAATTTCACTGCCTTGCATTGTTTTATTTCAGACTGCTCTTTACTTTGAGTCTGTATTTTCAAATTCTTTCTTTGAATATTTATGCCCTTAGGCAGACATATTAACTCATTTTACATTGAGAATCTCATTACATCAAGTAAAAATCCTAAGCCTGATAAAATGATTTACCCCCTCAATTTAACTTTTATTTTAGTCTCCCACCAGCTTCCCTGAAGTAGATTTGCTGCCAAGCTATAATACTATTTTAGACTGAGTCATCCAAGCACACTGAACAGCTTTTACTCTGCTCCTAATGTTTCTCCATCCCCGTTGTTTGAAAAAAAAAAAAAAGAAAAGAAAAAAAAGAGAAAGGAACGTGTTTTTCTATGGGTTTGCATTTGAAATGGTTACGAATGATGAAAAAGAAAAATAGGAGGCTTTAATCCAGGGTGTTTGGCCCCTAGGGAACATAGACTACTCTCTCCCCCATCTCTTAACTCCCTAAAGGGGGCATGTAGTGCTATACATTTTTAAGCTCTACTGAGGCCTTGAAACCACTGAAAGCATATGAAGGCGGTTGTATAAGTTTAAGTACACAATGCTTCATTTATTCATGGAGAGAATTTGAAGTCATTCATAGAGAGTGTGGTTGAAAACACCTACTGGAAAAATTAAAAATAAAAATAAAAATAAAACATTTGATGAAGCCCCGCTCTAGGAAACTGACATACCATCTCCAGAGTTGGAGAATTTGAAGAAAAAAAAAATCAGGGAAACAGGCCTTGGTTTTTTAAACATCTAATTTAATTATCTTTAATTTGTTAAATTTTTTTCAAAGACAGAGTCTTGCTACATTGCCTAGGCTGGTCTTGAACTCCTGACCTCAAGTGATCCTCCTACCTTGGCCTCCCAAAGTGCTGGGATTACAGGCATGAGCCATCATGCCTGGCCCCAGGAATCATGTCTTCTGAGGGAAATCCTGACCATTCCTTGATGGTTCAGACTTTGCTATGGGCAAAAATATTCCAGACTGAGAAAGGTACCAAGAGTCTTGGTGAGAAATCAGTCTAGAGGTACCAGATTTCAGTTTCTGTCACCTAATTTCATCGTTTGATCCTAATCTCCTTAGCTCTTGTTCCTTCTCACTCCCTCTTCCCTCCCCACTCAGAACCTCAGTTTGAAATGAATTCATGCAAATCCACCCCACCTATCTCTGCTTTTGCAAGTCCCACTTTACAGCCTCTGGCTTCTGTAGCTTGTGATCTCACATACTCACACCCTCCCTAGACTCTTAGTGATTTATATTGTTGGCTGTGCTGATGGGAAAGCCCAAAATATTTTTGGAAATAAAGAAGTAGCATCTAAAGTTTCACCAGAGAGGCTCTCACCATGAAAGGGAATTGTGAATACTGAAAAGTGTTGCCGGCCTCCCTCCTTTCTGAACTCCTTGAGAACTGGTTAAATGGCAGACTTGAGGGCCCCACATAGGTGTCTTTGTCAGTAGAAAAGGCTCAGGCCCCATCTGCTGAGCTACCATGGCAAGGATTAAGTATACCTGGAATGTGGAACAGAGCCAAGAACTCTGATCCCAATAGGCAAAGAAATAAACAGGAGTAGGGAGGGTGGAGAGGGAAGAGGTGAGCTGGCTGGGATCAAAAAGACTGTTGTCAAGATCTCTAGTGAGGCAGAGGCAGCCGGTATGGAGGTTGGTTAGAAACTGAGCTGTCAGAAGTACGTTTCTGCTGAGGTTCTTCAGGAGAGGACACGGAAGTTCATGGGCTGGCATAGGTCACAGATGGGAATTGCATACAAAGATCCAAAGATACAAGGTAGTGAGGTTTAAGGGGTACATATTAAATGTTTGGTGCTGTGAGGTAGATTATTGGTCTTTTTTTGCTTTTTTTTTTTTCTGTAAGAGATGGGGTCTTGCTCTGTGCCCGGGCTGGAGTACAGTAGCTTGATCATAGCTCACTGTAACATCAAACTCCTGTGCTCAAGAGATCCTCCTGTTTTAGCCTACCAAGTAGCTGGGACTACAGGTGTGTACCATCATGCTTGGCTATGTATTTATTTATTTTTTGGTAGAGATGGGGGCGTCTTTGTAGGTTGCCCAGGCTGGTCGTGAACTCTTGGTCTCAAGCAAATCTCTTGCCTCAGCTGAAGCACTGCGATTACAGACATGTAATCCACCACCACACCTGGCGGATTTTTTTTTTTTTAAACCCCATTCATACTCCAAGTAATCCTGGCTCAGAAATTAAATTAATTCAACTGACCAATATGTGTCTCATCTGTTACCTCCTGCAGGGTCTGATCAGTATAAGCATTCGACAAATATTGAATACCTCTGTGCTGGGCTCTGTCATACACGTGTTCAAGGAGTCACTGGAGTCCAGTGGGGAAGACTGACAATCAATGAATACATAAAATGTCAGGAAGTGATGAATGCTCTGGAGAAACATAAAGCACAGTAAGGGAAGGGAGAGTTCTGTTTTATAGGATGGTCGGTGATAGTGGAGTAGATACCTGAATCAGAAGAAGGTAGCTACAAGCATTCCAGGTCCCAGGATCTCAACTTGAAGCACTGAGAGGTGGAATGGACCAAGTGTTCGGATCCCATCTTAGTGTCTATTCAGGCAATGTTTTCATAGGTCCCCAAAGAAACTGGCTTTGATGAACCTGAAGAGCTATCTCAGCATATCTATGAAAATCAGACTCTGGGGCTGAGAGGGTCTCTCCAAAGCTGGTAAACTTTTTTTTCCCCACCCTGACAAGTCTGAGGCCAGGAAGCTAGGTATCTACTGGGATTCTAATGTAGCAACACAGACAGCAGAGGGGCATTAAGCTCCTGTAAATAACATATGTTTTCTTAGTTGGAGGCAGGGCAGTGCTTTTTGGTTTCTCTTTATACCGCTATAAGTGTGAATAATGCAATTCTGCTTGAAATTCTACATGCTTTTTATTCCTCATCAGACTCTAACTGTACACTAACATTTGCATATGTCCCTTCTCACTGGGTGGGTTCTTAAATGGACTCAATGTACTCTATGCTTCTCTCTCTGGGGATGACTGACAAGAGACGACAAAGACAACACTCAGATATTCCAACCCAACCTGCAGAAGGGCCATATTATAACACTGAAGATTTGGATTCTCTTGGCTCCCTGTATTGCAGTGGGACGCAAACAGAGTCAGCCTGTAGCACGATGTACCTTTTCTGTGTTCTACTCTGGTCTGACAACATGGCAAGTAGGAGGTCCTGGCTTGTGTGTGTAATTTAGAGACAGGTTTTGTACTCAACTGCTAAGCTTTCTGGTGTTCAGCCACTGGGACATATGGAGCTGAACTCTCAGAATCTCTGCAGGATTGGGAGGAAGAAGGTGGGAAAACAAATCAGGTTTCCAAAGTGCTTCTACTAAACAAGTGGATTCCTTTAGCTTGAATGTGTTCCCCTCAGTGGAATATGGTGATGATTCATATGTATGGCGAAGAGAGTGAGGATTTCAACTTTTAGTTTATCAAGAGAATCACTCAATAATGGATATATTGAGTATCTACTAAGTGCAAAGTACTATAGTAGCCTGTAAGAGAAACACACAGAAATAAAATACGTAGCACATGAGGAGGACAACAAAAGCTAAGTAGCGTTTTATAAAGAACAAAGGCAAAGACATCAGCAAGAAGTTAATGATTACTAATAACAAATGATGAATTGAATTGACAGCCATTAATTCAGGTATCTGAATGAACTATCTCCAGAAGGTAAATCCCAGTATTTTTCTTTGTGAGATTAAACAGGGACAATTTAAGATAGATAAAATTTAGATAAGCAGAGATGTGAGGGGAGGGCATCCCAAGGGAAGTGAATCTACAGCAAATGTGGGCAGAAAGGAAATAAAAAAAATATGGAAGTCAATAAGGTACGGGCACACCACTAGCCTTGCAAATTTCCATAACTGGATTACCTTCACAAAGCAACTGGACTCCTTGACATACCCAGTATCTGTCATGCTGCAAAGCTCTTTTTTTTTTTTTTTAAATTTTTTGAGACAGGGTCTCGCTCTGTTGCCTAGGCTGGAGTACAGTGGCGTGATCTCAGCTCACTACAGCCTCAACCTCCTGGGTTCGAAAGATCCTTCCACCTCAGCCTCTTGAAGAGCTGAGATTACAGGCACATGTCACCACACCCAGCTGATTTTTTTTTGTATTTTTTGTTGAGACAAGGTTTTGCCACATTGCCCAAGCTGATCTCAAACTCCTGAGCTCAAGCAATCTACCTGCCTTGGCCTCCCAAAGTGCTGGGATTACAGACATGAGCCACCATGCCCAGCACAAAGCTCTTGTGCTGAGAAAAGTATTGCAGCAAGAATGAAATATGCAAATAAGCATCATTAACAACTAACCCTTCACTACCTTGACAATATACAATCTTCCACTTAGATTAGACCAGAAGATTCTTAGAACAAAAATGGTCTACAATCTGCTGAAAGCTCACCACACCCCAGGACTTAAAAATTGTACTTAATCAAGACAATCAGAGTTATAAGAAGAAGCCTGGAAAAGAACTAAAAAATAATTTGGTCTAGGGCTCTGCCTTTTACCAGGTGACTCCAAACTATCCCAGAAAGACTTCTGTTCTCTTCTTTATATATATACAGATCAAAGACTTCCAAAAGCACCCTCATTTTGTAAGAAATAATTGTGATGAATAAGAATTCATCATTCTGTTGAATTCACCCAACATCTGTGAAACCTGTAATTGTAAGACACTGGGCTTGGGTCATGGCAGATGCAAAGTTGACTTATATTTGATTTCAGTGTTCAGGAAGCACATCATCTGGTAGAGGAAGCAAACATATACACCAATAACTATAAATCAAGGCAGTGAGTGATAGGGGCTCTAGGAGAGCATGCTAAACTACAAGCTACTTGCACGAAAAGACTGTCTTTTTCATCTGCAAATTCCCAACTGCAATGTCCAGCTATACGGTTTGGCTCTGTGTCCCCAACCAAATCTCATCTCAAATTGTAATCATTGTAATCCCCATGGTGATTGGATCATGGGGGCATTTTCCCCATGGTTTTTCTTGATAGTGAGTGAGTTCTCAGGTTTAAAAGTGAAACTCCTCCCTTTGCGGTCTTTCTTCTACTGCCATGAAAGACGTGCCTTGCTTCCATTCATGCCTTCTGCCATGATTGTAAGTTTCCTGGGGCCTCCTAAGCCATGTGGAACTCTCAGTCAATTAAACCTCTTTCCTTTATAAATTACCCAGTCTCAGGTATGTGTTTATAGCAGTGTGAAAATGGACTAACACACTCATCATATAGTAATTTCTCAATAAATGTTTGTTGAACTAAGAAAGACATGAAAAGGGCTAACAGAAAACAATATGGAGAGATGGATCCACAATAATGAAGGTAGGAACAATCTTCTGGCTCTGATTTAGGTCTTGAAGGGAGGAAAGGAACAGAATAAGTCAAGAAGTGATGCAAAAAAATCTCCTGCCTCTTGCTTGGTCTGTAGTAGACATGAGTATGTCCGATGAACAGCCTTGTCATAGTATTTCTACATAATCAAAGACAAAAAAAAATTCTTTTTTTTTCCTTTAGGTTAAACACAACCTCCCCCTTTAACCTTTACTCTTAGTACCTTTTTCCTATTGTTTCATTCCATGATGCTTCTTTTACTCTGAACCCTCTGTCTCTCCATAGTAAAAGAAGGATAAAACTCCTTCTACATCTATTGACTCTTACCATTTGTAAAAACATTTTTATGTCCATTACTGCATTTGATTCTCATAATAGCCCTGTGAGGTGGGTCAGGAAAATCACAGTATCCCTATTATAAGGAGAAAGAAAAGCAGTATTATGGTAGGCAGGATAATATCCCCTCCAAAGACATTCATGCCTTAATCCCTGGGACCTGTGAATATGTGAACTTACATGGCAAAAGAGACTGTGTTCTAAAATTTAGTTAAGGATCTTAACATGAGGTGTTTAGCCTGGATTATCCAGGTGAATGTCATGTAATCACAAGGGTCCTTACAAGGAAGGAGGCAGGAGAGCCAATGAGATTTGAAGATGCTACATTAGCTTTGAAGATGGAAGGGAGCCATGAACCAAGGCACACAGGCAGCCTTTCAAAGCTGGAACAGACCTGGAAACAGGTTGTCCCCTAGAGCCTCCAGAAGGAAGGCAGCCCGGCCGACACTGATTTTAGCCCAGTGAGGTTCATTTCAATTTCTGACCCCTTGAAGTGTAATGTGATGTATTTAAGTTATTTTAAGCGACTCAATTTGTGGTAATTTGTTATGGCAACAATAGGAAACTAATACAGTCACAGTTTAACGACTTGCTGAAATTCTCACATAACCCAGTTATCAGAGCTGGGTCTAGAACTCCTGTAAGCCTGGCTCTATTTACCACTTGGCTCTCTCTCTTAGAGCTACTGTATTTCCTTTAATTAACTATTCCTTCCCCACACACCCTCTTTTCTATCACAGTGCCTCGTTTCTTTCAAATCACTTATCATGATTTGTAATAATTTTATTTATTTAAATATTAATTGTAGCTCTCCTCCTAACAGAATGCAAGTTCAATGAGAGGGCATAGGCCCTAAATTTGCTCACCATTAAGTCCCTAATGCCTACAATAGTAGTCTGACAAATATATATTTGCGAGAAGATTCAGATTTTTTTTTTTTTTTTTGAGACGGAGTCTCACTCTGTTACCCAGGCTGGAGTGCAGTGACACGATCTCAGCTCACTGCAAGCTCCGCCTCCCAGGTTCACGCCATTCTCCTGCCTCAGCCTCCCGAGTAGCTGGGACTACAGGCGCCTGCCAGCACGCCCGGCTAATTTTTTGTATTTTTAGTAGAGACAGGGTTTTGCCGTGTTAGCCAGGATGGTCTCGATCTCCTGACCTTGTGATCCGCCCTCCTCGGCCTCCCAAAGTGCTGGGTTTACAGGCGTGAGCCACCGCGTCCGGCCAAGAAGATTCAGATTCTTAAGGTATGAGGATGCAACAGCTGAGTAGAGGCAGAGAGGCTGCCATGGTGGTCCATGGTCCACTGCAGATCTGAAGGATCAGGAGTAATCTATATGCACTTGCTTCTTTGGGAAGTTGAGATGGAAACTGTGTGATCAGTTGCTGTCCCTGATGACCCCAACAGAGGTCCTCTCCACATGCTCAGGTATGAAGCCAGAAGCCCAGATCCTGACAGATCGCACCACGGTGACACTTTACTCTTCCATCCTCTTTGTTAGTAAGTCTACCTCCCAGCTCCTTAAGCACTTTGTTTCCACTCTGCATCTAATTGCTTTTGGATAATTATATCATTAAGTCTTTGTAATGAATAATAAAAAATAAATCACATCTGTGGAGGGCTGTGGAGCAAGACGCTAGGGTAAGCAAATTGTCAGTTATTTTCCCTTTCTTTGTCCTCATTCCCCTCCTCCCTCTAACCTTCTGAATTAGAATATCGGCCAAGTGGGGACCAAGAATTGTATTTTTAAAAGAGTCCCTGGATGATGATGATGATGATCAGTGAGGTTTGGAAACCACTGACCTAGAGGATGAGGATTCTCAGAGTCTAAAGGAGAAACCGAAGAATGCAGTTAAATTACAAAGATCCTCATGTTTCCTTAGTTCTTGCCTCCAAATCGCTCAAGGGATAGTGTCTTGCTCTACTCAGTAATTCTAGGGCAAGTGCTGTGATTTTGAACCTACAAGATGGGAAAATGGTGCAACAGTCCCTTGGGAGGTAGCCAGATTCATAACTAACGAAAAAGTAGTAATCTGAAGGCAGCCAGAGTCAGGGGGGAGTGAAGGATACTTTGGATGCTATTCCAGGTCACAGGCTCATTTCTGAGAGAGAGAGAAAGGTTCCTAGATCCCCTACTCCGCACCAGCCTTGAAGAGAATCCAAACCCCATCTTTGGCCCTGGGAGACGCTGGCTTCTCAGAGTCTCTGGCACCCCAGTGGTCTCAGATCTTGGTCAGAAATAAGCAGACTCCCAGGGATATTCATTACAGTATATTTCCACTGAGATATAGACGTTCAATATTTGTTCAATTATAGCTTGAACTGCCTGCTATGGGGGAAGCCATTAACACAAGGAGACATGATTCCCCAGTAACAGGAAGGAAAGAATTGGATTTGTCCAGTGGATATTATTAGCACATGGCAAAAAACATTTAACAGACATGTACTTTGGTGAAGTGTCAATAAACCCTCAATAAACATGCTTCAGAGAAGCACCATATTATTTTTGCCTTGCTTCAAATTTAAATTTCAGCTTATCAAAGTATTCCTTATTAATCATAATGAACTCATCCAGTATTAATATAAAATTGTTCTGATTAATGGGCTAGTGCTCTGGCATCTTTCAGGTCACCACAGTGAGGCATTCTTTTTCGCAACATAAAGAAAAAAAAGAGAGAAGACTAGAAAGGCAGAAATGGGAAAGCAATGCCCTTAATTTTGTGTCCATTCCATATTCCCAACTGCGTGATTTTTTTTTTTTTTTTTTTTTTTTGAGACGGAGTCTTGCTCTGTCACCCAGGCTGGGGTGCAGTGGCGCGATCTCGGCTCTCTGCAAGCTCCGCCTCCCGGGTTCACGCGATTCTGCTGCTCCAGCCTCCCTAGCAGCTGGGACTACAGGCACCCGCCACCACGCCCGGCTTTTTTTTTTTTTTTTTTTTTTTTTTTTTTTTGTATTTTTTAGTAGAGACGGGGTTTCACTGTGTTAGCCAGAATGGTCTCGATCTCTTGACCTCGTGATCCGCCTGCCTCGGCCTCCCAAAGTGCTCGGATTACAGGCGTGAGCCACCCCGCCCGGCCCCTGTCTGCTATGATTTTAACTGGCCTGAGAACTGACCTGTGTATGTTAACTACTGCCCTGGGGCGACAGCACAGAAAAGCTCACAATTCTCCAGCCATGTAGATACAGCTATGCTTTGGCCTCCTGACTTGCAGATAATCTCTCTGAATTTCTAAAACCTAATTCTCTACTAAAGGGGTGGAAAACCTGCAGATTTTTTTTTTTTCCTCTAGGGTGATTCTCCAAACTCTTCTGCTCTCCCCTGGAGCTGCAGAAAATCCTTCAGCCTACTTAAGTGCCCTACTGTATATGGGTTCTGTGGAGCAGTCATAAAGAACGGGAAAGAAAGTCAAAGAAGGGAGTTGCATAAGAAATGGATGTAGGACAAATACAAATCTTTTAGGCTGGGTGTGTGTGTGTGTGTGTGTGTGTGTGTGTGTGCACGTGCACGTGCATGTTTGTGTATGAGATTTTTTCCCCATAGAAAATATAAGCAATTCAGTCATAAGAAATTCTATCTCCAAGGCTGCAGTAAACTATCACACCTGTAGGCTTTTATTTTTCACAGAGGACCCTGTAAAATCCAAGGCAGCAAATCAGAATTCTGTGTGGTTTAGAGGGAATGCAACCACAGATTCCAGCCAAGAGGGAAAAGCTCAATTATACCATTCTTTACATGCCCAGTCTCGTTCTCAGAAAGCCCCATGTAAGTGAAATGTGATCCACGATCATGGCCAGGGCAGAGGAAATACAAGCTGCAAGCCCCTGCATTATGCATAGTGAATATCCTTTAAGGTGTTGGTGCTGGAACAGCAGGTCTAATACCCACTTGCCTGATGGGCATGATGAGCAAGGATTTCTGAGTGATGTCATTCCCTTTCAGGGACTGTAGTTGACTCATGGGCTGGCTGAATCCATCTATTCAAAACCATTCAATGCTGAGAGTCCAGCCTTCTACTCCTGGATACTTTTGTGCACAGGACAATCAAGGAAGGAGATCTAAGATGATGAGATGCCCATGTCTGTTTCTCTCACACTGTCTTACTGCCCCCACTGCTGGAAGCATTCTTCTTTCAATCCCCATCCTTCCACACCATTGACTGCAGTCATAGCCAGCTCCTAAGCAGCCCCGTAAAGGCAGGAACCACTAGATCTCCAAAAAAATGCCATCACAATATACCTGAGCAAGGTGTGCTTGAGAGACATTTACAGTCTTTTTTTTTTTTCACGTATCTGCCTGCTTCTACAGGTGACAGCTCCTCCAGGTCAGGGAGCTCACCTGGGTGTTCATGGAGTCCTCCGCAACTCATCCAGAGACTTGCACCTAGTAAGAGCCCAGTAATGCTTGTTGAATAAAGGGGCTGGCAATTTACCATTTGCCTTTGATGTGGTTAATAGCCCACACGTGTCTAGCTTTGTGGTCACATGCAGTGCCCCCAACTAGGCTACGGTGCTTCCGTCCTGTACAGAGAAGTCTGAATTCAGATATGATGACATTTTTAGAGCCTGCTTTATAGTAAGGTTGCACCAGTTATTCAGAGTTTCCTCTGGAATCACCAAGTGGTGAGGTAGGAAACAAGGGAATTAGCAGCCACTGCAGCCTTTATAAATAAGAGACTTCTGTAAGCTGAGGAACAGTGTGCACAGATGGGGAAGGGAGGGAGGAGGACATCGGCTTCACAGACAGAAATTAAGAGTAACCCGGCCGGCATGGTGGCTCACGCCTGTAATCCCAGCACTTTGGGAGGCCGAGGTAGGTGGATCACCTGAGGTCAGGAGTTTGAGACTAGCCTAACATGGTGAAAACCCGTCTCTACTAATAATACAAAAATTAGCCGGGCATGGTGGCACGCACCTGTAATCCTAGCTACTCGGGAGGCTGTAGTAGGAGAGTCGCTTGACCCCGGGAGGCGGAGGTTGCAGTGAGCCGAGATCGGGCCACTATACTCCAGCCTGGGCAACGAGCAACGAGCAACCAGCAACGAGCAACGAGCAAAACTCTGTCTCAAAAAAAAAAAAAAAAAAAAAGGAGTAAACCCAGCAGGTGTCGTGATTTAGAAATGGCTGTCACAGTTCTGTGGCCCACTGATTCCTACACTATTTCCTCTAGGTTCTGTTTCTACCAATGTTCCAGAAGGCATTTATCTTCTCTCCCTCTCTTCCATACACAGCGTTCCTCTGTGTTGGAAGTGGGAGATAGGCATGAATAAGACCTGTCTCTGCCTTTGAACACTCACAGCTAGGTGGGGAGGAGTGGTGTGTTAGCCAGTAATTACGACACAGGATGTTCTCTGGTTTGATTCCAGTGTGCTATGGTAAGAGAACCACCTAAGAAGAAGAATAGAAAGATAGTCTGATCCTGGCTTTACTACTATTTTTTTAACAAGTCAGCCCCAATTTCCTCATCTGTTAAATGTAAACCATAACACTTACTTTACCTAACAAAGATGATTGAGTTGTTTTAAACATTTATTGAGTTAATCCATGAAAATGCACACTCAAAGGATAAAGTTCTGTAGACACCAGGCCTCCTTCTCCTTATCATCATCATCATCACTACCATCATTATGATTTTGTCTATTTAAACACACGCGTGTGTGTGCGTGTGTGTGAGACAGAGAGAGAGAGAGACTGCACATGAACGGATGTGCATACACCTCGTGAAAGGGCATGAGAGGAGGGAAGAAGGACCACCGATCAGGAAAATACTTAAAAGGGTCCATGTAGAACGAGGAATCAAATGCAAAACCTGCCATGATTTGCAAAAAGAAGCTGCTTATGTATTATGCTCAGATGCAGCTTTCTCAAGATATTCTCAATCCTAGGTTCTTTGGCTTCTGTTTCCTCCTGTGTCATCCACTGGTAAGAATGAGTGATGGCCGCATTAATTGACACCTGTCTCCTAAATTGGGCCTTTTGTTACATATCACATGAGAGTCATTTTATTATTTTATTATTACCTTTTTATAAAGCATTATCTGCTTGTGGCCATTAAGCCACCACTTTGGAAGAAAAGACATTGCTGGCTTTTCCTAAGGGAGTTAATGAGTTGCCCTTGAATGACCTGAGAAGCTCATTATTTATACAGATTCTTAGGGGTAGAGGCAGAGAAGCAAATAAACTGAGAGGGAAGAGATAGACACTGGACAAAGACTGTGGTTATTCAAGCAGGAGCACTTTGCCTTGCACAGGGTGACCTTTAGGCTGTGAGGTCCCTGAGCCACACTGTGCAGAGATGGTGCAAAAATACTCTTCCCATCTCCAAGTCTCAGCATCTGAGACTTGTTAGGGGAAGGTGCAGGAGAGGCATGAGGTGACATCTGTAACACAAGTGGGTGGCTACCGCTGGAAGGCTCTGACCCCCACCAGACAAACGTCAGTTTTACAAAAGAGAATCCTGACATCTGTGTACCCAGTCTCTCCAGGGTCTGGGCAAGTGGACAGGGGAGAAGCAGGTTCTGCAGTGTGTGTGCTGGGTTGGCACACATATTACGAAATCCTACGTGTGTCAGTACTATCTGCCTGTTCTCTGCTCTCCGTGCCATGAACGGTTCGTGTTATTTATGATCCAAGCAGCTCTTGACATGTTACTAATGGTGAAGTGAAAGGCAATGAGTAAAGGTCCTCCAGTGAGAGAAGCCTAAAATAAGGCTCTTAATCATCTCCTCTTCCCTTTCCTTGTCATAATCCAGAAAGGCTTTTTTTGTACAGCATTAGACCCAGCAATAATATGAATTTGGCCATGAGGCTGATGTAGAAAGTTAGGGATCAAAGCGTTCTTTATGGGACATTTACCTGCTGAGAAGCAAAGGGCGTAGATTCTGGTTGTAATTGTGCTAGTGGGCAGAACAAGAGTGGCAAAGAGGCCCATTATGGTCCCTGGCCTACAGAAACCCCAAATTCACATTCAGAACAAGAACTCAGACTTCAAGTGGAGCCTTTCCTGGTACACCAGGAAAAAGCTTTCCTTCTGATACGGTCGTAATACTTTCGTGACATGCTGACTTATAAGCCCTAACTATGTAGTCAGCATCTGGATGTGCAAGGTGTTATGCTGGGAGATCTGAGGGATATAGGACATTGTCACTGGTCTTCTGGAACTCAGAGTGTTGAGAAGATAAAGTATAGAAACAAGAATGTAAGATTTTCTGAGAGAAAATGACAGCAGTAAAAACAATAGCAGAGAGGCCCGGTTTGGTGGCTCACTCCTGTAATTCCAGCACTTTGGAAGGCTGAGGCGGGTGGATCACCTGAGGTCAGGAGTTCCAGACAAGCCTGACCAATATGGTGAAACCCTGTCTCTACTGAAAATACAAAAATTAGCCAGGTGTAGTAGCATACACTTGTAGTCCCAGCTAGCTACTTGGGAGGCTGAGACAAGAGAATCACTTGAACCCAGGAGGCGGAGCTTGCAGTGAGCCCAGATCACACCACTGCACTCCAGCTTGGGCAACAGAGCGAGACTCCATCTCACAAAACAAAAAAATAGAATAGTAGAGAAAGCAAGTACTGTATCCGGATTCTGATGACGAGGTGTTAGTTTAGACTGAAAATTAAAGAGGCTTCAGGCAGCACATTGTGCTTGAATTGGATCTTAGAGACTGGGAAGCGCTTTGAAAGCACAGAGGAGGACAACTATTGCAAATTGGCTGAAAAACAATATAAATCCAATTATATATTCATTGATTCATTCAACAAATGTCATTGAGCAGTTCTCATGCGCTGGACACCTTGCTAGGCCCTTAGGATATAGTGGTGAACAACACAAAAAAACATGGAGAACTAAGCGTGATGACAGTGCATGTGGTATGGACATGGGGGGGGTCAAATGGTAGGTATGAGAAAAAGGCTTGAGCAGTATGGCCAGTGCAGTCATCTCAGGTGCGGTTCCTACAGGCTGCCATAGAACACAGTCTCATCACTTGTTGACCCGGTGTTGGTGTTTCCATCTGCAAATTAGGGAAACCACACCCACTGTTTCTTGAAACCATTCGTAAAGTTCAGCTTGAAAGGTGCAGAGTGTTGATGGGCAAAATTACCTAAGCAGTTACATGTGGTTTCTCTTTATCTGTTTCAACTGGATGGGTGATTTGTTGAAGTGTGCACAAGGAAATCATGCTAACAGGTTGGCCAATATGTTAAGATCATAGCTCTCCCTGCATAGTGCCATTTCAATTATTGCTCAGTTAAAAGAAAGTCTTTTCTCTGGATTGAATGGTCCACTATTGTTAGATTACTTATTAAAAAGGATTGATAGGCTGAGGCTGTTTTCACTTAGGATTTGTATGACATGTTCATAACTGAAATGGAGAGTTGCCATAGTTACCTGAGTGAGCTGTTAAACAGAGCAGAGTCTCCACTAAAATCTCTCCATCAAGGTCAACTAGACATTTTCCATCAGCGCCAAATAATTTGCTGGCTAATGGAAGTTAATGAAATTATTAAAAGAGTAGAAGAAATTGCAAATGAAGTTAATAGGGATATATTTTATATTTAAATATGTTTTAGTGACCAGCCATTTCTATGGGGTTCTAACCAGCTGGAAATTTTGGAGTATAACTAGACATCTGGAGAGAAGTTTAGAGTAAAAACACATTTGGATTTTGGCACAGATTACTGCCTTCGAATCCAGCCCATCATTAACAGCTTCTGTACAGTATTGTTCTTCCTCCAGGGGCAATAAAAATGAAGCAAACCTTTGTTCAACCTAAACTTCCTTTCTTGGTCAGCTGTTCCTGCTGACTTCCCATCCTAGTGGCCCTACTGTTTCCATTGGAAACGTCAGAATGGAGAGAACCACAGACTGCTTGCTTTAGAAGTGGCATGTTCAAATCCAGTAATGCAAGAAGAAAATAGACACTGTTTATGAAACAATCACTAGCTTAGTGCTTCTCAAACCTTAGTGTGTATACAAGTCACCTGGATATCTTGTTACCATGTAGATTCTGATTCAGCAGGTACAGGATGCGGACTGGGTGTCTGGGTCTAAAAAGCTCCCAGGTGCTATCAATACTCCTAATCCAGCCGTGTGCAGTGGCTCACGTCTGTAATCCCAGCACTTTGGGAGGCCGAGGCGGGTGGATCACCTGAGGTCAGGAGTTTGAGATCAGCCTGACGAATATGGTGAGACCCCATCTCTACTAAAAATACAAAAATTAGCCGGGTGTGGTGGCTCATGCCTGTAGTCCCAACTACTTGGGAGGCTGAGACAGGAAAATTGCTTGAACCTGGAAGGCGGAGGTTGCAGTGAGCCAAGATCATGCCACTGCACTCTAGCCTGGGCAACAGACAGTGGGAGGCTCAGTCTCGGGAAAAAAAAATACTCCTAGTTCACACACCAAATCTTGAGAAGGAAGGCCTTTGTTTGTTTCATCATTTGCTTATTGGTATCATCATATACATATCAACCTTATATGCCACACCATCTTCTTGCTTGACACACACATGATCTGTCCCACTGACACTGGTGTTAGAGTTTGCTGACACTAAGATATTACACAGCTTCCTATTTATCAGGTTTACATGGCATGGTGCACCTAGGGCTCTCCAATACCTTTTGTGGGATTGTGCTCTCAATTTACAATTACCACTCTTCATAAACACGTAAATAACTCAATAAACAAGTAAACATGGAAACAGCTCAAATGTAGAGTTAGTGACATGTTTCATCACAGGGCAAAATGGCATTTAAGTGATCTTTACTCTTTAGCAATGAATGAAGCATAAATCAAATGTAAATCTGTCAACTCAAGGCAAACCAGAATTCTACTGGCAGGTGGCATTGACGAAAAAAGTATAGAGTATGAGTGAAGTCCAAAATTGTTATTTATATAAAACATGGAGTCTCAGTATGGCTCAGGCTGAAATTTTACAGTATAGTCTATTTTTGAGGACAATCCATTGTTAGGCATTTTGCGTGCATGTATCTGGGGGATGGGGGTAATCTATACATTAGCCAGATTAGCCATCTACATGGCACAAATCTACTGGACAGTATCTAACTCAAGATTTACCAATAATCATACATGGAAAAAAGGTGCTCAGGGCAGCCGTTATGTTCAACTTAGAGATTTGCATTATTCTATACCAGTCTGAAAAATGGCACCCCACCTTGAACATACATACACTGAATTGGTCAGATTCTCACTTTTTCTTTTCCTTCAAAAAAGATGTTCTAAAAATAAGTAAAGAAGAGGTCTCTTCATTATAGACCAGTGGTTCACCTGGAGGACTTTTTAAAACACAGATTGCTGGGCTCTACCTCTAGAGTTTCAGGTCTGAGGTGGGCCTAAGAATCCGGATTTCTAACAAGTTTCCATGTGATGCTGATGCTGCTCATCCAGGAACCACAATTTGCAAACCACTGTTCTAGATCATTACTTTATACCCTTGGCTGCATGCTAGAATCATCTGGGAGCACTTTTGAAAATACCAACACCTGTGCTGAAATCCACACAAACTAAATCCAAATAGGGGGAGGGGTGGGTAGTGGGACACAACTATGGGTAATTTTTTGTTTTGTTTTGTTTTGTTTTTATTTAAATTTTTATTTTAGATTCAGGTGGTACATGTGCAGATTTGTTCCAAGGGTATATTGTGTTATGCTGAGGTTCAGCTTCTCTTGATCCCAACATCCAGATAGTGAACACAGTACTCAACAGGAAGTTTTTCAGCCCTTACTCCTCCTCCTCTGTCCCTACTTTTGGAGTCCCTGGTGTGTTCCCATCTTTATGTCCATGTGTACCCATGGTTAGCTCCCACTTATAAGTGAGAACATGCAATATTTGGTTTACTGCTTCCCAACTATCAGTAATTTTTAAAGCTCCCCATTTGGATCTAACCTTCAGCCAAGGCTAAGAACTACTAGGTATAATGGAAAGTTACCATCTTGCAGCTGAGTACAAGGACATTACCTCAAGATTATACTAGCCCAGGTATATTATAATGATTCTGAGACCATAACTGAACAAAATAATGGGCAGATAAAATGTTCCACAGCTATGGAGATATAAGCCTGTGGAATATTTCAGCTCTATCACCTAATGTGAAGATTATCTTCCTGGCATTTGCTGTGTGTGTGGGTGTTTGGCACTTGGACTCCAAAAAGGCTGTCAGTTCTCCCAGGCAGGGCTTCTTGTGCAGAAGATAAACCAGAGGATCCACCTGCTTCACTAAGTCCACTCCTCTCAAGGGGACTTCCAAAAGGGTGTCATTTTTCTAGTGAAATCATAACATGGTTCAGAAACTCAAGAAGGATATGTGATACTTCTTTCTGCTTCCTCACTCAACAGCTTTCTCTACCTCCTGTCTCATCACAATCTTCCAGTTGGCAAGAAGTTAGAGAGGGATAAGTAAGAAGATTCCAAAATGCTCTAAGCTTGCCAAGCCATAATATGTACCATGGCTTGCTGTTTTAATCTTGAAGAAAGGATCCAATCTAGGGACACGAAAGATGAAGTAAAATCTATAAGTTGGATTTTAGTTGCGTTTAAGAATTATTTGCTATAGTTAGAACATCTGCCATTCTTACACTCAAGGCTTGAGATTTCTTTACAAGGAAAAAAATTTAAGATTTTAAAATTCTAAATAGAAAGATTCTCCATTTCCTACAAATGGTCCTTCAGTCTTTGCCTTAACTACTTGGAGGGAAATATTTTACTTGACCAAATTGTTTATTCTGATTTTTTTTTTTTTAGTAATTAAAACGTTATTTTCTTTTCTTTAAAAAATGGAACTAAAATACGCTTCCTATTAACTTCTACCCTTTGTCCTACACCAATTGTCTAGGACCATCCAAAAAAACCTAATTCTTTTTCTATGTTAGAAATATTTATTAAATGCCTACCATACTAGGCATGGAATGAGGTACAAAGATGAAACAATCCCTTTAATTAGGGGTAGAAAGACAAAAGCATAAATTTCATAACAGAGCTATACAAAATCTGTAGCGAGAGTAATCACAACTACCAGAAAGTCTGAGAACTACCTCAAAATAAACACTATTTAAGATGTATGTTGGGAGAATGGGTAAAATATCAGCAGGGTCCAGGGTAGAAATAAAAAGATACTCCAGACATTCCTGGGAAAGAGAACAGCATACATAAAGGCAAAGAATGACAAAAGGCTTAATCCACCTAGAAGACATAACAATTATAAATATATATGCACCTGAAAACAGAGCTTAAAAACATGTGAAAAAATCACAGAATTGAAGGGAGAAATAATAAAAATAAAAATAGTTTGAGATTTCAAAACCCTACTTTCAATAATGCACAGAACAACTAGACATAAGATAAACAAGGGAAAACAAAGCTTCTACAACACTATAAACCAAGTAGAGCTGACATATATAGAACATATACTTAACAACAACTTGTTGTACACTTGAGAAAATAATATATGCTTTTCTCAAGTGTACATGAAACATTCTCCAGGATAAACTACATACTTACAATTGCGTTTATATGAAATACCAAGAATAGGCAAACTGATAGATTCAGAAAGTATATTAGTAGTTACAGGAATCCATGAAAACAGGAATATGAGGAGTGACTGCTAAGGGACGTGGAGTTTCTTTATAGGGTGATAGAAGTGTTCTAGAATTAGATAGTGGTGATGGTTGCACAACTTTAAAAATTGCCTGGGTGTGGTGGCTCATGCCTGTAATCCCAGCACTTTGAGAGGCTAAGGCAAGTGGATAACTTGAGGTCAGGCATTCGAGACCAGCCTGGCCAACATGGTGAAACACCGTCTCTACTAAAAATACAAAAATTAGCCAGGCATGGTGGCACACTCCTGTAATCCCAGCTACTTGGGAGGCTGAGGTAGGAGAATCTCTTGAACCCAGGAGGTAGAGGTTGCAGTGAGCCGAGACTGTGCTATTGCACTCCAGCCTGGGCAACAGAGTGAGACTCTGTCTCAAAAAATAAAAATATACTAAAAAGCCAATGAATTGTACATTTTAAGGTAAAAATTTCCTAGTGGGCAAGGATCACATCTGTCTTGCACAGAAATAGAATACATAGCTCATGGTGTGTGCACGTACATATTTTGTTCTCACCCATGTCACGTGCAGAAAAAGATCTCCAAAAAGTTAGCCTATGAGCAGGAAATTAGGAAAAAATGAATATGCAAAATGAGGTGAGGCATTTGTTGCAGTACCTTTTACCCTTTAATTCATTTATTCAACAAATAAGTTATTAAGGACCTATTGTGTGCCAGGCCTGCAAGGTAGTAAGGATTCAGCAGTGAACAAGACAGACAATAGTTTGCCAGAGTGCATGCCCTAGTAAGTCTAATTACCTCAGAACTAACCACATTTAGATTTTAGATATCAAGTACAAACTGGCAAAGATAGTTATTTTTGCATTTATAAAGTTATAGAGTAATTCTTTGATTTACATACTCTGAAGAAACAATATGTGAATGACAACAGAAAGGTCAGCATGACAGTAACAAGAAAGTAGAACTCAAAAATAGGAATCTGTTCATGTGTGTTTGCCTTGTTCACAGACAGATATGAGTCATTCTGCAAACATAAACCTATAGTGGAGATGGATATAGCGTGTTCTTAGCGTTCTGACAACAGCCATGACAATATTTCTACCAAATACTGTAGCTCTGATTCCATATCTAACAAGTAACTTACCTTGTAATTTGTCCTCTCTACCTGTAGGAAAGGATTAATTCATCAGTGTATTTGGGTGTTCTGGACTGCTGTATGTTACAGTTCTCATTGTAAAAGTCCAAGTGGTATTTGGGCTTATATATTAGTCTCTTCTGAGTTTGGCAATGTGAGCTATTTCTGAAAGTTTGATAACATTTATATTAAATTCTGTAACATGATGACCATGCCCAACATACTGCTACTTTCTGATGCTTATGGATACAATATTAGAGTAAAAATTAAAATATGTCTACTTAAGTGTTACATCTCATTCAATAATATATAGTGAGTGCCTTCTTCATTGCATGATATCTACAAGGAGATATGTGGATACAGAATGTGTAAGAGAAAACATCGCCCTCAAGTAGGCTTTCCTGGATAAAGATATTTCTTGATAACTTTTATCCAAGGTACTTAAATTTCAAACATAATGAACACATTGAAAAGGAACCATTAAAAGAAATCATTCTATTAATATAAAATAAATATATTCCTGTGTCAGTGTTCTGCAACCTATATTCTGATTTCAATTTTTGTTGAATGCCATTTGGGAGAATGTAGATCGGTAAGCAAAGTAAAATATATTACATTTTCTTATCATTTTTTATTAGTCATTATTATCATTTTCTTATCGATTTTAAAATTTCGCAAGCACCCAGATCTGCTATTTTTCAGCCATTTACATGTCTTCATGCATGGGAGTGGTAGCCCGTATACAGTCATTACACACCTGGATTATTTTCCCTATGAAAGACCTGTGTGAACATTCAGCCTTCTCTTGGTCAATCGACTTGGCAGAAAAACAGTTTAAGAAAATAAAAATATTAAAATATGGAATATTAATTGAAATATATTTTATGTTTTTAAGAAACATATTTGTACTTCAGATGAGGAGTATGAGAATACAATAGAAACCTTTAAAGGCTGTGTATATTACCAGATAAGAATGGTTTATAGGCCAGGCATGGGGGCTCATGCCTATAATCCCAGCACTTTGGGAGGCTGAGGCAGGCAGATTGCTTGAGCCCAGGAGTTTGAGACCAACCTGGGCAACATGGTGAAACCCTGTCTCTACAAAAAATACAAAAATTAGCTGGGCGTGATGGCATGTGCCTCTAGTCCCAGCTACTCAAGAGGCTGAGGTGGGAGTATCACTTGAGCCCAGGAGGCAGAGGTTGCAGTAAGCTGAGATCATGCCACTGCACTCCAGCCTGAGCAACGGAGCAAGACCCTGCCTCATTGAAAAGAAAAAAAAAAGAAAACAGAAAAAAGAAAGAAAGAACAGTTTATAATTAGACATTGCTGACAATTATTCTTTGTAGTTGTTTAGTGCTTTATAGCTCATAAGGTCTTTGTAATGGTTCTCTAAGACTTCTTTACATTCTATTAGTCTCTGAATATGACTTACTGAAGATTATACAGCTAAGTGGCAGGACACAGGACTCTATTTTTTCCTTTAAAGTCCTTATTACAAAATAAATACAAACTACTTTGTTTACTTGTTTACTGTGTTTCTCACCTATTGTGTTACTCACCACTACTAAAGTTCCAGGTAAGCAGGCACCACACCTGCTTTATTCCTCATTGTACCCCAATGCCTGGAATAGTCCTTGCACATAATACATTTTTGATGCATTTTTAATGAATTAAGGCAAGATATCAAATGTCTCTGATTCTAGTGCTTTCCTCCTTATACAACATTAGTGAGTACTTCAGGATTCTGGGATTATTTATTTGTTTAGAAGATCATGCTTCCCATATATTTGAAGGCAGTCAAACTCTTGTTCAAATACTATACTGAAATAAAAAGAGTCAAAGAAGTTTTGCTGTATGTAAATTAGTCTATACTTCTTTCCTTCAAATTCTATTCAACATGTCCAGCTACTTGATACATAGAAATTTTATAATAATATTCTCTACTTTTACTTACCACATTGTGGTAAAAAGTAAGTGGCA
The DNA here is from genome assembly GCF_000001405.40 of Homo sapiens. Classification (NCBI taxonomy): domain Eukaryota; kingdom Metazoa; phylum Chordata; class Mammalia; order Primates; family Hominidae; genus Homo; species Homo sapiens. The sequence goes on from NC_000011.10 coordinate 96,134,712, forward strand.
TGTTTCAACTAATCCAGCCAGTATTGCTTTTATTTCCTCAAGCTAAGAGGGGTAAACAGAAATGGTTACCATGGAAAGTCATAAATACCACTGACTGCTATTTCCTCATTTGCTACTCTATCATGTATTAGGAGAATAAACCAAACTCTCCTTCTAAAAGTCGAGTTGCAGGCATGTGTAGGGCATTACATCCAGAGCTTCTGCAGTTCATTAGATTGCCCAGCTATAGCAGAAGTAGGGATGATAATAACAGTGGACACATATTGAGCATTTACCCAATGCCTGGTATTGCACTAGCAACATGCTATGGTTTGAATGTGCCCCACAAAGTTCATGTGTTGGAAACTTAATCCCCAAAGCAAGTGTTGAGAGGTGAAACCATTAAGAGGTGATTAGGCACAGTCCTCATGAATGAGTTAATGCTGTTATTGTGAGAGTGAGTTAGTTATCATGGGCGTGGGTTCCTAATAAAATAATAACTTTGTCTCTGTTCCCCCTTTATCTCTTGCCTTTCCATCTTCTACCACGGTATGACACAGCAAGATGGCACCTTACAAGATGCCAGCCCCTTGGACTTCCCAGTCTCCAAAACTGTGAGAAATAAATCTTCATTCTTAATAAATTACCCAGTCTCAGGTATTCTGTTATAGCAACACAAAACGGACTAAGACAATACATTATCTCATTTCATCCTCACACCAGGCCTATCAGTTAGGCCTGATATTTCTTCTTATTATTACACTTTTACAGAGGAAGAAGCTGATACTTAGAGATGTTAAGTTTTTAAAGTTCACTCAGCTAGTAGGTGGCAGAAGAGAGGTCCCAATCCAAGGCTTTTTTTTTTTTTTTTTAAACCGTGGTAATGATTTTATAGTATTTTTGTGCTGGAAATAGATAACTGAATGAAACAAAACTGAATAATTACTTACAGTAAAGGTCAGCTTTTTCTTACAATTTGTGTAGCTTTATTTCCTAAAAATTGGCATTTTTTTCCTATCTTTAGAGGAGTGATTCTTCTGGCTCGCTGCTCAAGGCTGCATTCTTAATTCCTAATAGTGACATACATCTCTGAACCTGGGAGGTGGAGGTTGCAGTGAGCCAAGATCATGCCACTACACTCCAGCCTGGGCAACAGAGTGAGACACCATCTCAAAAAAAAAAAAAAAAATTATATTGAAATTAACTGTGGACTCCTTGCACCCAGCTAAGAGCTTGGGACACAGTAGATACTTAATAGATTTTTGTTGAAATGAATTAATTTTGAACTAAACTTTAGTAACTAATCCCATTAAGTGAAAACCAGCATGGCACCAAGCCGACCTGCACTGAGGTGCCAGTGAACTCAATTATACGTGATATGTAAACACATCTAGGAATCAACGTTTTGATCTAGAGTATGAAGAAATCCAAGACTATAGGTAGACATAAATTATTTGAAGAAGTCCAGGTTATATCTAAATATAAATCTATACAGTAAGTCACAATTATCTAAACTTTTCCCACTTACCATCAGTTTTCTCCTCTTCCTTTTTTTTCTTTGCAGAATGAGCCGCATAATTGCTTCAATTTGCCACTTCCCTCTGACAGATGTAGTTATATGTATATATGTAATACATACACACATACATACATATGAGTTGAAGTCAATTAAGATAACAACTGACAAGAAATTAAATATTTAAAGATGTTGTTGATTATGTAGTTATCACAAATGTCTATTTAGCATCCCATATTGGAAAGAAAACCCCACCATGATTATCTCATGTTGGCAGTCTTCCCCCACCCCCCAAACTACAACTGCTACATAGTTACTTAGAGCCTTAATTCACAGTTGTTTATTTCCTGCTTTCACATCCAAAGTTGGGGAAAACAGACCATGGTGAATTTCAAATTTCAGAGCTAATAGCATACTTCTAGTATGGTAGGTATTTATTTAACTTTAATATGAGAAGTTAGGCATCTGTTTTTCTTTCAGCTGATGACACAGTTCATTTTCTCCTCAATAATAAAGAAATTTCAAAATGCATGAAAGCCCACTTTTTGCTTCATTTCCTGTAAATAACTTTACACTTACTTCAAAGCTGACCTTTCACTTAGATCAAAATCCCTGTTACTAAGACCTTGCAGAGAAGAGAACTGAATCAATAGGATGAACATTAAAATAATTGTATCTTGCTTTATTTACTGTACCCTGAACATCTTTGAGGGGTTATAATTTCTGGGGATGCCCTGAGCACTTTGAGTGAAGTATCTGCCAAAAATCACATCTGACTAGTGCCTTGTTATTTTTTTCCACTGTTGTTTTTTAAAAAATGCCATCAGGGAAGCTTAACTACAACAATTCTCTTTCAGTGTCGTCAATTTTCCATGAGTTCAGGCAGGCCACCAAACAGATCTCAAATACACAGAAAACTGTAAGTGGAAACCGGGTTAAAAGGGAAGGAAATGTTGCATGCACTTAATATCATAGAAATCAAGTATAAAGAACAGACTGCTAAATTGTAGAGTGAAATCAGGTTAACCATATTGACTGGAAACCGAATTCAAATTACCTTGCACTTGGTTCTGGGGAGAAATGAGGAGGCTTTAAAAATAGACACCACTGTTTTTGGCCTTTGTTTAAAATAGTGATTCCCAAGACTAAATTTCTCTTACTGTCTCTTACACGCCTGGATCAAAAGAAGCAAATCTGACTAGTTTAGAAAAATCTTTAGGGAAAACCCAATTCCTTTGTCTCTTCAACAAAGACTTTGAATAAGAGTTTAAGTTTGCTTTAGCCTGTGCATTTTAAGAACTGGACAACACATGTACTGGGAGCCAGAAAGAGTTTCCTCACATGATCTAAGCTTTGGAATTCCTTTGTTTCTTGCCTTTCAGATGGAAAAAGAATAACAAGTATGGTATTGTCCACAAACTCATTGACCATTCAGTCTCCATTTTAATATACTACACATACACTGTGTGAGTGTGTCTGAAAGACGGTGGGCAGGGGAGACAGAAGAAACTGTGGGTGTTTATGGTTAATATTAATCACTTGGATAATGAATATTATTATTAGAAAATTAGAATTTTATAATTGCATTAAACCTGAAAATTATTAAATATATTGATCTTTAATACTTGGTTCCTAAGACTGTTATTTTTTAACAATCTTTTTTATGTGCTAATTATATGAAAGGGTAGTCTCTTTCAGTGAAATAATTCCCCCTTTCCATCCTTTTCCCCACAATATTCCTGTATCCATCAAGAACAATGTCTTTATAACTGGTAGGCTTTTTGGCCTCTGTCATTCCTATTTTGAACCAAATGATTAAAAAATGACTGTGGTAAATGTTAGCTAACTTGGCGTTATTAGGGCCAAAAGAAGTCCTTCACATATTTAGGCTAATAAGAACACAGGATTCCGGTTTTTTGTATACCTCAAGATCCTCCTTTTGTAATCAAAGATTTGAACACCCAAAAATGGTGACATGAAGCAAGGTGGAATGCCAAAAAATGAAGAAAAATATACTTTCCTGTCGTCCATGCTGATACCTGTGTTTGTTGGCTGAATCCCTGAAAGCTATTCCTTTGTCTCCCTCTTCAAGTACTGATTTCCAGACAGCCACCTGACCGCCACCTGAGCTCATATTACTGCCCCTTGCCTAGGAGATCTTTGTATAGCTCCTAACTCTGAAGCTTTGTGGCCAAAGGAAGTTATTTATGCCATCTGTAAAAGAGGGAGCAAAATGGCTGCCTCTTATATTGTGTTCCACAAGGGTGCTCAGGAAATTTATGAAAAATCTATTCCAGTGACTGCTGAGATATGAATGTTGAACTCCTAATGGCTGCTAATGGGCGATCTTATTGCACTCTTCCTGTTTTCCTTACCCCCAAGTGGTCAGCCAGCATTCAGAGAGGGTAAGAAAGATGGGGGGGTTGGTGAATAATGATTGCCGGGTAAACCACCAGGGACTGGGTTTGATAATGCATCCTCACTTGGAAATGCCTGAGCAGGAAGCACCTCCGAGACATAGTCCAGGAAGGCCCCAAAAAGCTTTCCAGGTAGAGATCGGTGAGTTTCTATGATCCCCAGAACCTGGGAATCCTCCTGACAACTTTGTATTGTCCTAGGGTGCTTGATTTATCTGGCTGAGTCCCTTACTTTTATATAGACCAGTTTTCTAAAACTTGAGGGCAGATGCTTGTCTTCTACCATAAAATGCTGGTAAGAAAGAGATTTCACAACCCATTCTAAAATTTAATTTTTCTTTAGTCTTCCAAAAATATGAAAAGTCACTAGTTATACTTTCTCATGTAGTAAATTCCAGAACTCCCTTGTCATTTGATACTTACAATACCTTACAAGGAAGATATGCCAGAACCATGTGGTAATAAAACCTTTTTCCATATATATATTGGTAATGTTCCACAAACCAAATCAGCTTTCCTAATACAACTTTGTACAGCGATCAGATACATTAGGCCTATCACTCACCACTGAAAAAAGACAGTGGTGGCTCACACCTGTAATCCCAGCACTGTGGGAGGCCGAGGCGGGCAGATCACGAGGTCAGGAGATCGAGACCATCCTGGCTAACACAGTGTAACCCTGTCTCTACTAAAAATACAAAAAATTAGCCGGGCGTGGTGGCGGGCGCCTGTAGCCCCAGCTACTGGGGAGGCTGAGGCAGGAGAATGGCGTGAACCTGGGAGGCAGAGCTTGCACTGAGCTGAGATCCCACCACTGCACTCCAGCCTGGGCGACAGAGCGAGACTCTGTCTTAAAAAAAAAAAAAAGACAGTGGTATCCAACAATTATCATATCAAATACTTGATATATAACAGTTCCTTTTTTTTTTTTGATATATTTAAGAGAGAATAAGAAATCCCCAACCATGTTAAATTCTTTACCAAGAATCACAATAATTTTTTGATCCCTAGAGAAAGGTGATTTGACAGCAGGAAATCTGACCTCTGGGGCTACCTCTCCCCTTTACCTACTCATAATCATTTTGGTCAGCAACAACTGTTGTTTTTCAGTGTTTTTCATAAAGACAGTGCAGAAGCTCAGGGCAATACCAGATGATGGCAAAGACCAAAATAATACAAAATACTCAAGCAAAGGCAAACATTAAGGGCCTTTGAAATTTCCGTCTCTGTTGCCTATTCCCACTCTTTCCACCCACATCTACTCTCCGTGATGCAATGAAGGCCTGGGTATGTGGGTAGTAATGACTGCATAATTCTATCTTTAAAAAAATCTATTGAATTAAGGAAGCTGCAGAAAATGAGGAAAACTTATTGAAAACCATCAGAACGAAAAGTTCTCAAACCCAAGTAAATTGCTGCTGAGGCTTATCATTGATGATGTTTCACTTTCTTTATGTGGTTAATTGCTTCCTGCCTCCATAGATGATTTTATCCATCTTTATCAGCTTTTGTTTTGTTATTAGTGCCCAGGCATTGGCATGGTTCATCTGGTACTCCATTAGACTTGTGGCAAGCACAAAAGCCAGGACTAAAGGAAGAAAATTAATTGCTTACCCTGCTAATATCAATTCATTTTCACCTTCTTGCTTTGGCCTGACTTCACCATACTGTTGACAAGTTATATTTTTCTTGTTAGTTCTTTGATCCTCAAAAGCTAAAAATCAGCCCAGATAGATGAGAAAGAAAAGACAGCATTAAAACCACTGTTATTGCCTCTGGTGAGGTATGTAGTTTTGGGCTAAGGCACAGCCCTTCTGCCCAACATGAACAGGCTGAGATGAATCTAAGCCAATTTTGATGAATGGCCAGCAGAAGACAAGATCTTGGAGTTTCTTTGAGCAAACCATAAGAAGCTACTCTCTAAATTTTGCTGACTTTATACCAGAGCTCTTACATGCAGAGGCACTTCTCAGCTCCAGTTGATATAGCCTGGAGCAGTGCTGCCAGAGGTAGCAGTGTTGCCCCTAGACGTCACTCTCTCCATCGTTCAGTAGTTCCCAAAGGACCTTCCACCACTCCAGATCTACATGACAGATACCTCCAGAGTCTAGAACTTGAGGGTCAGGCGGCTCTTCCTCCCTCTAGAGCCCACCAGTCTGGATTAGGGTAAGCCTATGGGCTAAGGAGGTCAAATACACTTGACTGGCTCCATTTATTCCATCACGGGCCATGCTAGGAGCTGTCATTTTAGGGACACACAGGAACATCACTGTCTCTGTCTTTCAAATGGCTTTATTTGCTGCTTTTGACTCAGGACTAGGTTGGCCAGATGTAATAAGTAAACATATAGGATGCCTAGTTAAATTTGAATTTCAGACAAACAAGTCATTTCTTAGCATAAGTATGTCTCATGTAATATTTGGCCTGTCTTTACCATACTGTTGACCATATCTTTATTGTTAGTTATCCAATACTCAAAGGCTTAAGATAAGCCTAGGTATATGGGGGAAGAAGGATGACATGACATCCTTCTGGTGAGGTGCTTACTTTTAGGCTGGAGTGCAGCACATTTTTAGTACAAATATGTCCCATGCAACATTTGAGACATACTGGAAAACAAAACAAAACATTATTTGCTGTTTACCAGATATTTAATTTTAATTAAGTATCTTGTATTTTAATATTTAAATTTAATTAAATATCTTGTATTTTACCTGGAAACCCTACCAGGACCCTTGACATCTCCCCTGAAATACAAAGGAGCAAAAGATTCCCTATGCACAGATAGTTCTTTATCTTTATACTACGTAAGAGGCCCCAGCTAGAGCCCCAGTTGTGCTTACCCTGAGAACAGGGCATATTTAGGTCTGTCAGATGGAGAAGAGAAATCCCACCAGGGTCCATTTAAATGAGGAACCAAAGAGTATCGCAAGAAAAAACTCATCCTCAGGGATGAGAGCCAAGGTAAATGAGTTTGAGGCACTATCATAGAAAAAGGGGTGATTCTGAGCACAGAAGACCTCCTCCCTCCGATTGCCTTCCTTCTCCACACATAAGGACCAGGCCTTAGCAATGGGGGTGGTGATACAAAGACACAGGGCATAAAACAAACAAAATAATGTAGCTTTGGAATCAGGAGTTTCTGTATCAGCAGGGGAGCACCGTCAGCTTGAAGCTAGGACCGCCTCCATGTCCACATCGATGGGCACTGGCAGCAGAGCTGGCACTGTGGCCAACATTACCAACAGGGCTGTCTCTGCAGGTGCTAGCGGGACGCATCACCACAGCAATCTGAGGCAGGATGAGAGAAAACTAGCCAAGGCGTTGGGGCGATCAAAAAAGCTAGCCTGAGAAGATATTCATTTAATTAACATTTACCAACGTATAGCATGCAGTCTGTTATGTGTAGCTAACAGTACAATGAAAAGATATGATCCCTAATGTCATGGTGCTCACAATCTAGTGCAGGAAAGCAACAAGACCAGAGACAATCACAATATTGTATGGATAGAGCTATAATAATTTGCAAGCACATATGAGGGGCACCTAACCCCTCTTCAGTTTGGTAGAGTAGGTTTTCTGAAGAAATGACTTCTATGTTGAAACCCAAAGGACCAGTAAGAATAATTCAGGAGGAAGAGTCCATATGAGGTGCCCCTAGAAAATTTCTCATCTATTTGGGAGAAATCTGAAGGGGCTAGAGTTCCCATCTGAATGATGGAAGAATTAGGGAAATCTTGATTTGTGAATGTTACTCTGACTCTCTTTTTCCCTGTTAAACTGGTATGACTGGAAAAATACCCACCACTTGCTAAGGGCTTATTCTGAGAGTTAACATTGAGAAAATACCATGGTAAGCGTAAATGACATGGAGATCTAAGATCTCATAACCCTCAGGTTCCAGTACGATGTTATTGCAGATTCTCTGCAGCACCTCACCAGTTTGCTGACATTACATAGGCAAACAGTATTCTTTGCCCTATATTTTGCACTTTGAAAGTCCTTTTATACTAAAGAAAGTATTGCCAATGCCAAAGAACGAAATTATCCTTCCTTCCCATTGTCAGATCCAGGAAGGGATCTCATTTACAAAAGCAACCTAAATGCAGCATTGATGAGGTTATTGCTTCTCCTCTTGACGTATCTCTCCATCAGGTTTTGCAAAACTGATTTCTCTTCCTCTGGTCAGAGCAGCCTCAAAATAATAGGTTTCAGAATAAGAAAACAACTATTTTTTTGTTTAATCTTAATAATAGGGTATTTCAGGTTTGTCTAATGAAAACCAGAAGCTGATGATCTAACACAATCAAATACTAGCTTTTGTGCAAAAAGAAATAGTAAAATAACGTAGGACCTTGTCTAAATAAGACTTACAACTGATGCCAGCTAAATGGGAAAAAATAGCAATAACCTTTTAAAACATTAATTTAGACTTTTATTGGAATACAAAGGATCTCTAGTGTCTGAAAGCAGGCATTGTCTCTCTTTTTTATTTCAACAGAACTGTGGCTTGAATACAACACAGCAGGGTGTGTGTTTTCTAAAGTTGGGTCATTATCAGAGTGTTCACTGCCGTTTGCCAATAAGCCTTTATTTGGCAAAGTTTAAAACTGCTGACAAATGGGATTCTTCCTGTAGCAGTATAACATGGTACAGCTTAAATATGCCTAATTACAAAAGTCCTCCAAGGGCAGTCAAGAAATCTATGCTTTTGAGAAGATTCAGATGGACAGTCCTCAAATATTAATAGGAAACAGGAAAATCTTTGAGCCCTCGGTCATGTCGCTCTTGCTCCTATTATTATGGATTTTAAGTTGCAGGGGCCTGTGAGATTATTCAAAACAATGTCTAGTTTTATCCGAAGCTGCAGGGATTTCCGATTTCCATAAATTTCTCTGGAGACATTTAAGAGGCGGTTTTTTACTTCTGCACACTTTGGTCCGTGGGTTTCTGTGGGTGTGTGTCTGTAACTTTCCTTCCCTGTTCTAATTTGTCCCTGTTCAGAGACAAATAAATTGGAAGATTATTATCCAAAACTCCAAACAACATTAATTCCTTGCACATATTTTGTGCTTTTAGACTCCAAGAATGATAATAGACAATCTCTTTAGAATGTGGAAGGGGGACCAATGTCAAACCATTTAATCACAATCTCCACCTCCAGGAGCCCCTCTGAAAGAACAGAAGCCTTACTTGAACTGGATTTCATGGGAAAATCTGTGCCGCGAACCTTGCTCTCTAATTATAGCTGGGGGAACGTGAGGTTTGTTTGGAATCAGATGTAGCTTTCCACTACCATAATTACACATTTTATTTCAAACACCTCACTGCAGTGTTTGAAGATGTTAGCACAATTGCACTAAGTATCATCCTGGAGTTCTTGCTTGGGAGGTCTGGTAGAGAATGAAGGAACAGGACAGCAATTGAAATGATGAGTTTATAGGAGTCTAATAATTTCATGGCTGGAAGTATGACATAAAGAAATGAGCTTGGGCTTTTTATTCAGAGCTGGGAGTTCTCGTCTCAATTCTGCAGCCTAACTGATAAGACCTTTTACTAACCAGGTAAAACAATTAGCAACTGGGATCACATTGCTGGGAAGATGCTGAGTAACATTAATTAGAGTCTCAAAGGACTTTAAACAAATACGTACATCTAGAGAAGAATTTTTATAATGTAGTTAAGAATGCTTATTGAGAAAGAAACTCAGTGTCTATAATCCATTGCTGACTAGCATGCTTAGCTATGGTTAAATCTTCCAGTAAGCCAAGAATGAGGGGAGAAGAGGGAGGCAGGTTGGGACGAATAGAGTAAGTGGTAGAAGTGGGTTCTGTTCAACCATATGTAGAGGAATTAATCAGCTCTTTTTCATGGATTTAGGGCCCTCAATCCCTATATAATTCCTCAGATATTTGTGCTACCTGCCCCCTTCCCCTCCATGTAGCTGACCTTAGAAGATTAGAAGAGAGAGACCACTGGGCTTATTATCTGATGAATGGCTCTGTTTTTACTGTGAAATTATAGGAAGTGGTTTAAATTGAGAATAATAGAAACAGTAACAAATAATAAGAATACTTGCTATCCTGTGTTAGATCATCTGGCAGGCTATCTGATGAGAGATAGGGTTTCATCTCGGGAAGTTTTAGAAAAGAGGCCAGATATATACCAAGTACTACTCTAGGTATTTCACAGACATTTTGTTTCACTCTTATACAAATCCCGTGGAAGAGAAATGACTTTCCTCATTTTAGATTCTAGGGAGTGACAGGGGACAAGTCAAAGGTAATTTGGAGTGAAGGCTGCCCTGATCAACTTCCAATGCATTGGATTATTTTCATTTCATCATTTTCTCAGTGCTATGGAATCTTTGTGATCCATTAATAATATTAATAATAATCCCTACATTTGTATGGCATTTAATACTAATGGTTTTCAAGGAAGTTTCACATGCATTACCTCACTGGACTCTCAAAAACAAGTCTGTGGGTTGGGCAAACAGGAATTATTACCTTCATTTTAAAAATAGTGAAACTGAAGCTCAGAGAGGTGGCATGCTTTATTTAGGGCTAAGACCAGAGTCCAGCTTCTGTTAGAACTAAGCCTTGCTTCCTGTTTTCCCTTTGGAGACCTTGAGGAAGACCATGAGCCGCCAAATAGCTACCATGATATTGCTAAACCCTGTACCAACTCGTGGACAGTAGTCTCATTAAACGCTCAAGATCCTTGGATGGAGACCAAGAACTCTCTATCTCTGCAAAAATCTCTACAGAAACATTTTTCTCTTTACTCTGCCTCCTCATTTAAATGCTAAAATATTTACAGTGAGTGATAAGTCAGATAACATCATGCTGCCTTGTGAATTTTTAGGGAAAAGATGAAGAGCACATGATAAGGCTGGGAATTTTCAACTGCCTGGCACAGTGGAAGAAATATTTGTCTAGGTGTTAAGACGTGTGGGTTCTGGTCCTGTCTCTTTCACTTATTAGCTGTGTAACCTGTTACTTGTTGTGTTAAAATAAATCCTCTAACAGTTTCCTAAGTTATTAAAGGGACTGTCCTGATAAAATCATGATGTGTGAGGGCTTTTAAAAATTGTATACTTGTTCGGGCGTGGTGGCTCATGCTTGTAATCCCAGTACTTTGGGAGGCCAAGGCAGGCGGATCACCTGAGGTCAGGAGTTCGAGACCAGCCTGGCCAACATGGCGAAACCCCGTCTCTACTAAAAATACAAAAAATTAGCCGGGCATGGTGGTGGGTGCCTGTAATCCCAGCTACTAGGGAGGCTGAGGCAGGAGAATTGCTTGAACCTGGGAGGCGGAGGTTGCAGTGAACCAAGATCATGCCACCTCACTCCAGCCTGGGTGACAGAGCAAGACTCCGTCTCAAAAAAAAAAATTGTATACTTACACGTGTGTGTGCCACACACAAACATTGTGACATGCAGTATGATCACATAAAATATGGATGATTTTCAATCTACTCCTATAACCACAAAGTGAGGGAAAAGGTTTATATATCCATATCATTGTGGTAGCATGGTATCTTACATAAGAGCACCCTCAGGATATAATTTTTATAATATTATTGGTAGCAGGAGCTTAACTATTTGAAGGAAACCAGATAGGTTTCTTATAAGGAATTCCATCTCTTGGGATCCTTGAGCAGGCCATGAGATCTGGTAGGTTTTGACAAGAGAAAATGAGAAACCATGCTCAGGGCCAGTCTGGCTATATGTACTCACTACTTGCTCATAGTTGAAATGATTTTTAAGAATTGTATACAATATTGCTATTAGCAGTGAATCGGGGAGGCAGGACAGGGGACAAACCATGGGACTCAGAGTCAGAAAGGGCTGAGTCCAAATCTAAGATATATCACCTGCCAGCTGTTATGAGTCTGTTGTCTAACATTTTTGACCTTCAGCATCTTCAACTGTGTGAGCTGATCACACCATATCATAGTTTACTTTGAGGATTAGATGAAATCTCTGTGTAAAGGACCTCAAATACTTGCCATGAGATAGGTACTCAGTAAATGGCAGCATCAGGGTTTTCTACACTCCTCATCCTACAACATGGACTCTGAATACAGCAGTGAGGCAGGATTGTGTCATCCAAACTTGAGGATTCCTCATCTATTGACAGTTGTTCATTTGGGTTTGTAAGAGAGAAGTAGTTTGATGTTGAAAATGCTGTTGGTTACTTATTTTTGTTGAGATTCTTTAAAAGTGAAAAGAGGCAGTTGACAGCCTTTTTTAATGCAGAAGCTCTGAGAAAAATGGTGCCAGACCAACCTGTTTTGGCACACTCTTTGCTGAAAATGAAAGGCCATGTGATCTCCTGGGGATCATGAGACTTGAGTTCAACCTTTCAGCTACCCCAGAGTGAGATCATGTTCTATCCTTCATTTATTAAGAAACCATTTATAGAATACCCACTTATGAGTTAGTGTCAAACTCATTGTAGTGTACTTAGTATCTGGCTCATTGTAGGTGCAAGAAAATTTGTAATAAGTAATTATATGCATGACTGAAGAAATAATACTATATATGCTATACAGCTAAACTTTTTTCCTCAATACTTCCTTTTCTATAAGATGAGTGATGTGGACTATAATCTCCCAGCTACCCACAAATCCCCAAGTTTTAACTTATATATTTACATGGCTTTAGATACAATCTAGGTCCCTACATGACTGTAATATGGATACATAAAAGTTTATAGCATAACCCTTATTTTTATACTTCCTGCACTTATCATTTTTTTCATCCTTTATCCTTGAATTCATAACAGTCTTAGGAAATGATTCATGAATGCATTAAACCCTCCCTTAATCAGATACATGAAAAATTATAGTGTTAGTTTATATTTTTTTAAATCGTAGATCTGATTTATGGCTTTTATAGTTCAAGTCAGAAACTTTTGGATTCGACTCTTCCATGAGCAAAGGCTATGTGCTTTAAGTAGAAAAAGTTTCTTTACCTTTTCCACGTAGGTGAAGAAACAAAGACAATTTAACTAAAACTTTCCTTTTTTCTTTCTCTCCATTGATTTCTGGCTAAAACCCTTCTTGGGCAAATTTTGCACCAAAGTAAACTGGTTATAAGGAAAGGAAAATGAATTTAGAGATGATGTAGTTTTTTACACTCCAGTATGATTTCCGAATCTATCACATGCACATTGTAGGGGTATTGTTCGGAGCAAAGTATGCACTTGGGGTACCCCTGTGTTGTGTCTTAAAAGGGGGATTGTTTTTGCCACAGGACATAGAAAAGAATGGTCTGATGCATGCTAGTCACATCACCTGCCACTCTGAAAGAACAGTCAGGGGCTTTAGGCATAATGAAAATGAGGAGTAAAATGCTGGGTGTTTATCTCCAGCATTCCAGATAGAAATATATCTCTGTCCAATGAGAAGCATCTCCTTTAACAAGACTGTGGTGCATTCATCTCTCCTGCGTATACACGACGAGCACACCTCATCTGTCACGTCGGGACATGTTAAAAGGAACCCTCTTCCCCTGCTCCTTTCTACTCTGAATAAGTAATTATGAAAAACAAATCATTGCCATGTCTCTTTCTTTCTTCATTTTTATTGGGTTTTGTCTGCCTGTCTCCCGTGGACATAAAGAATTGTTCTGTTCATTCAGATTCAATGATTTTCTTTGGGGGGTTGTTTCAGATAAAACAGAAGGTCTGATTTTGTCAGGCATGCAGCTCTGAAAGTCTCTTAGAGCAACTATACATATGAATTTGAGGGCAAAATGTCACCCTCTAAGTGAACTGAATGGAGAAAACACAATAGAAGTCTGTTAAAATGCTGCTTTGGGTAACATGAAAAAAAAAAAAGCCTAGGTGTGGTCATTCTTTCTGGAGGCCTGGTAGGTGCCTGTCTACACTATGATTTGCAGGGTGCCTACCCGCCTGAAGCTGAACATTATTTTATTTAATGCATTGCTTTCCCTGAAATGTTGGGGATCAATATGAAGTGGGGAAATGTCCTTCTGGCCTGAAAAGTCTGAAAATTCTGAAAAATACACACACACACACACACACACACACACACACACACACACACACACACATAAGCACGCACACTACCTGATAGGAGAAGGCAGGAAGAAGTAGTGTGTGTGTATGAGAAAGACAGACAGCACATGTGTGAGCTGATTAGATGATCTCATAAAGTGGTTTGGAAACCAAAGGACAGAGGAGTTGAGACAAAGCTTTAAGTCCATCTACATTTTGACGAATGGATTCTGCCCAGGCAGGAAGCTAGAAAGGCGTAAAACAGGCCCAGTTAGCATGGATGTGAAATTGATTTCTGAATCCTGACCTCACATATAGCCCTATTGCTTAAGGCGGCATCTTAAACCTCGTCACTTTAGGATCTCCCTCTTAAAGGTTCCAGTAGCCCTCTGTGACGAACATTGCCTTCCACTGTGACATGCAACCCAGTCATGTGCCTCATCCACGGTATCACAGAAGCTCTTCAAAATTGAAAAGTAGGCCAGGTGTGGTGGCTCACACCTGTAATCTCAGAACTTTGGGAGGCCGAGGTGGGCAGATCACAAGGTCAGGAGTTTGAGACCAGCCTGGCCAACATGGTGAAACCCTGTCTCTACTAAAAATACAAAAAGAAAGTTAGCTGGGCATGGTAGCATACGCCTGTAATCTCAGCTACTCAGGAGGCTAAGGCAGGAGAATTGCTTGAACTCAGGAGGTGGAGGCTGCGGTGAGCTGAGATCACGTCACTGCACTCCAGCCTGGGTGACAGAGTGAGACTCCGTCACAAAAAAAAAAAAAAAATGAGAAGTTAAGTTTTCAGCCAGGCGCAGTGGCTCATGCCTGTAATCCCAGCACTTTGGGAGGCCGAGGCAGATGGATCATTTGAGGTCAGGAGTTCAAGACCAGCCTGGCCCACATGGTGAATCCCCATCTCTACTAAAAATACAAGAATTAGCCGGGCATGGTGGCATGTGCCTGTAGTCCCAGCTACTCAGGAGGCTGAAGCAGGAGAATTGCTTTTGAACCCAGTAGGCGGAGGTTGCAGTAAGCTGAGATCACGCCACTGCACTCCAGCCCAGGCGACAGAGTGAGACTCTGTCTCAAAAAAAGAAAAGTAAAGTTGTCCTCAGTCTGTCTCTGTTTGCCTCTGTCTGCTCTCTGTCTCCTTCTCTTTGTCTCCTTCTGTCTTCTCTCGGTCTCCTTCTCCTTCTCTCTTCTAAATTTCTCTGCTGATCTCTCCTTCTTCCTTTGTCTCTGCCTGGCTCTGCCTGTCTCTCTGTCTTTATTTGATCCACCGCCATGTTCTTAACTGTCACCTCAATGCATATGACTCCTGAGTCATCATGGCCAGTACTAAATTGTCTTCTAATTTGTACTCCAAAACTTCTAACTACTTGTTGGATATCTTCGCCTGAATATTCTACCCCTCAAATTATCATGTACCAATCTAAATTAAATTCAATATCTAAATAATTGACTTGAAATTTCGTTAACAATTTTTGACAAATACAAAAGTTATTGCCATCACAGCAAGAAAAGCTTTGCTCTTCCTCCTGATTCATACATCAAACATTTACTGAGTCTCTACTATGTGGGAGTGATGAAGTCACAAAGCTGAAAAAGATAATCCCTGCTCTCACGAAGCTCAGCTTCAATGACAAGTGTGTAATCAGAATACACAGTGCTTGGATATGAGACCTTGCAAGATAAAGTGAGAGCACATAGGAAGGATACCTAACCCAGACTGGGAGCAGGGAGTGGGTTAGGGTGCCCGGGAAGACTTCTGGGAAGTAGTGACACTTACCTTGAATCCTATGGGTTGTGTAGGAGTTAATCTAGTAAGGGGATGGAGAGAGACGTCAGCATTTCTTGAAGCATTGGCAACAGTACACAAGCCCAGACAGACAGCCTGGCAACTCTGAGGAAATTGCAAGTAGTTCAGGATGATGAGAGCAGAGAGTTAGGGCAGGGACATGCTCAAAGCACCCACACCCACAGCTTTGGGGTCTTAGAGTCATTAATGAGCGACCCATTCCCCCTCACCCTACATAAGATAGTATTAAGCCCTGAAAATTTGACTGCCACCAGATAGTCCTCGTCTCCATCCCTGTGGTCACTACTCTAGTTCAGACCTGCTTTACCCTTGTAGGGCCACCATACTAACCCCTGCTTGACAGTTTCCAGGCCTCCCCAACTCTAGTTTATTTTGCCTCCCATTACAGCATTTTTCTGAAGTCTCCCTGCTTAAAGCGTGTTCTACAGTCTAGCAGCATCAGCATCACCTGGGAACTTCTTGGCAATGCAGCATCTTAAGCCCCTCCCTAGACCTACCGAATCTAAATGTATACTTTAACAAACTCTTTTGGTGATCTGAATGCACATTAAAGTCTGAAAAGCATTGCTTTCAAGCATAGCTCTACTTATCTCCCATCATTGCTGAAACACAAAACCTTCTGTTGCTCACTGGTGCCTGCTGAATACACTTCAAACTCCCTCGTCTAATTTTCACTTTCTTCTAGCCTACCGGGACACTTTCCTTTTTCAGAACATGCTCCATCCATCCTTCCTCAGCTCCTGCCTTTGCCCTTGCCTGGGACACTCTTTCACCTCTCTTTATCCTTCTGATCCATAGGGCTGAGCTAAAATGCAGCGTCTTTCTTGATTTCTCCAAGGGGTGCCTCTCCCATCATTGGGCATCCAAAATATTTCCATTATTTCTTCTTAGTCTGTCATATCTTGCATTACAGTTATGAGTTATATTTCTTGACAGCAAGTAATCCGAAAGCTCCTGAAGGGCAGAAACTATATCTAACTCATATAACCGGCCCTTGATATGGTTTGGATCTGTGTTCCCACCCAAATCTCATGTTCAGTTGTAATTCTCAGTATTGGAGGTGAGGCCTGGTGGGAGGTGATTGGATCGTGGGGATGCTCCTTCATGAATGGTTTAGCACGAACTCCTCAGTGCTGTTCTCATGATGGTGAGTGAGTTCTCACATCTGGTTGTCTAAAAGTATGTAGCACCTTCCCCCTCTTCCTTTGTCCTGTTCCTGGCATGTAAGACACCCGCTCCTACTTTGCCTTTCACCATGAATAAAACTCCCCTGAGGCCTCCCCAGAGCAGATGCTGCCATGCTTCCTGTAAAGCCTGCAGAACTATGAGCCAATGAAACCTCTTTTGTTTATAAATTACTCAGTCTCAGGTATTTTTTATAGCAGTGAGAGACTAATACAGCCCTTAGGATTTTAGTTCATAGGTGATCAATACATATTTTTAAGATAAATTGTTGAAAAAATGTTTATAGCTAGGCATAGTGACTTATGCCTGTAATCTTGGCACTTTGGGAGGCCAAGGCAAGAGGGCTGCTTGCACTTGAGGCTAGGAGTTTAAGACCAGCCTGGGCAACATATTGAGATCTCATCTCTACTATTAATAAAAATATTAGCCAGATATGGTGGTGTGCACCTATAGTCCCAGCTACTTGGGAGGCTGAGGTGGCAAGTTCACTAAGCCCAGGGGTTTGAGGCTGCAATGAGCTATGATTGCACCACTGCACTCCAGGCTGGGCAACAGAGTGAGATTCTGTCTAAAAGAATAGGTGAAAAAGAGTAACTGCATATTGTTATCAACAGCAAAAGAAATGTAGACTCATTCAGCACTCACTTGGTAACATCCAACAAATGACCTCTACTGGATTTAAATGACAAATCGAGAAACAACTTATTCCCAACTACTACAGCTATTAAAAATATAATCGACAGAGAAGATAGAACACCAGTTGAAGTTCTGTCCAAATGTTTAAGTGTTAAAACTCTGCAGTTCTCACTTACCTTAAATATCATATAGCACATGGCCAGCAAGAATTCTAGGTGTATAAAACTCATTCTCTCTTTTCTTCCAACTAAAGCGAGGGACCGTGGGGGCTAGCCATAAACCCTTTGATCATTTTCTTCAGTGTATCATGTGAAATTTGTTTCAGTCTCCTGACACATGAACACATTTACCAGAAATATTCCTTAGAGCCAATTTGTATAAAGCAAGGAAGAGTCATGGTGGGTGTAGCAGAAACTTGCAATGTTTCCAGGCAAGGAAATACTGTGTTCACAGAATGCTGATTTGGTAAAAGAAGGAGAGGAGTTTTGCTGGGAGAATACCAATGTAGTTTAACAATGCAGCTCAAACATGTCGGGGCATTCTAGGTGACCAGCTCTCAATGACAAGCCCTCAAGACAAGCAGCCTGCCTGCCAGAATCTCACAGATTGGATGCAAGCAAGGGAAATGCTCCATCTATCTCTCTCAAGGTGGAGGAACCAAGGAGGACACTGCAGTTATATTAAGTGATTCTAATTATCACATTTCTACAGCCAGAATGCAGGGTAGTTTTACCCACTGATTCTCCCAGCAGGAGCCAGCCAGAAGAAAAATTAAGAGGATGCTTTGGAAATCTTCTTTTTTCATACTTAAATTCATAGATGGTCAAGGTATAAAATTTAGGCCCCATCTGGATTTTCTGCTTCTGTTTTTAGAATTTTTTTTTTTTTTTTGCATGAGGTCCCAATTAGTCCAAAACAATGAGGCATCCCTTAATCCCAAATGACGCTTGCTCCTACGCCTGTACCTTTCCTTGTCCTATCAAAACATCAAGACTTGTAGTGGTATTATTTGTTAGGAGGACCACACGATGGCAGTTAAGCATGTGGTCCCTGGGGTCAACCCACTTGGGTTCAAGTCCTTACCCTGCCTCTTCCTAACTGTATCATCCTGGCAAGTTATTGTAACATTCTGCCTATTGAATCTTGCCTTTCTTTTATATTTTGGTATTTTGATCATCATGAATTTATTAGGATTAATTTTGGTTTTTTAAAGGATTACATTAAAATATTATTAATCTTGATTACTGAGGTTTTTGACATTCTCTCAAATTTTTTACCCAAAGCAAGTGAGGTAGTGGCCTGTGTTTCAGTTGTCTCATCTATAAGGGAAAGTTAAAAATAGTGGCTGGGTGTGGTGGCTCACACCTGTAATCCCAGCACTTTGGGAGGCCAAGGTGGGTAGATCATGAGGTCAGGAGTTCAAGACCAGCCTGACCAACAAGGTGAAACCCCATCTCTACTAAAAATACAAAAAATTTGCTGTGTGTGGTGGCACACACCTGCAATCCTAGCTAATCAGGAGGCTGAGGCAGGAGAATCACTTGAACCTGGGAGGCAGAGGTTGTAGTGAGCCAAGATCGCATCACTGCACTCCAGCTCTGGACAACAGAGCAAGACTCCGTCTCAATAAATAAATAAATAAATAAATAAATAAATAAATAAATATGATAAAACAAAAATAGTAACGATGTCACTGGATTGTCACAAGGAATAAAGATGGTAATATACTTACAGTGTTTAAAACAACACTTTGCAAAATATGTGAGCTCTCACTATGATTTTCTTTGACTCTGCAAATCTGTTCTTCCTACATTAGAGAAGGAGGACTACTTTAACAAAGCTTCTCAAACTGAACTTTAACAAAGAATTACCTAGAGAGCTTGTTAAAAATAGATTCCTGGACCCTGCTCCCAGAAATCCTGATTCAGTAGGTCTCGGGTGGGGCCTGAGAATTTGCATTTCTAACAAGCTCCCAGGTGCGGTAGCTACTCTGGGGACAAAACTTTTGAGCAGTCTGCAACACAGAAAATGCAACTGGAGGGCTCCCTATCAAATCTTGGATTGATTTGCTACCAGCACATACACTTACTCCAAATAATAGCTGCTCCTACCAACCTCCTCTCAGACATTATCCAGGTTCAATTTGAGAAATAGAATCAGTTGCCAGTTGCCTCTGCAGCTTTTATCTGCATATCATAGTCTTCCCTTTAGAACTTGTAGGCTGTCTTATCAGTGCTTATCCTGACTTTGTAAATGAATACTTAGAATAACATTGCAGAAGTGAATAAGACCACCCAACAACAAAGTATTTTCAGTATTGGTTGGTAAAGAGGCCCAGTATCTCAGTTCAGTTCAGTTCAACAAACTCTCAGAGGTAGCAGGCACTGTGAATAAAAAGATGGAAGGACCCAGGATATTCACCCAGAGTGCACAGTCCTTTGAGGGAGAGGGACACATGAACATTAACTTACGATTCAGGATGTGACAAGATAGTAACGTGCAGAGAGTGCCATGGAGGAGCAGAAAGGGCACCTTAACCTATCCTAAAGGTGCCAGGTAAGATGTCCTGGAGGAAGCATTAGGTGAAGTGACTCTTCTCCACATCTGAGGGTTACTGCCAGCAGCCTGTGAAGCCCCAGTAGCTGTAACACTCCGGCCTCTTGGCTCCTGATTCACTGTGCCAGACGTGTGCTGGGTCCTGATCCTCCCCGTTCTCCCAGGGAGTGCCTGCTGGCAGGGAGCAGTGCTCTGCTATTCCACGCGGTAAGTCTCATCAAGCAGGCCCTCCTAGATGCCTATGACTGGGTAAATAAGTCTGCCTAATTGGGGACTTCACTTGCCAAGCTCCATCTTCCACCTTAGTCCTTTTTTAAAATGAAGAACAGCGAAGTTTCTTAATTCATTTGGAATTCAGGTGGGAAAAAGAAATGCTCTACATTGGGCTCCCTTCCAAACTTCAAGAAAGGATAGTATCCAAGCTGGGCCAGAAAGGGTGAAGAGAATGCATCAGATGATGATGAGATTCCCATAAAGGAAGTGGTCCTGGGAATGCTGACAGGGCTGAGAAATATTTAGTTCCACCCTGCCTTCTTGCTGATCACATTCCTTGAAATGGTCCTTTAAAGCAGGGTCAGGTTTTCTATGATGAGACCTTGTACATTTCTCTGAGCCCTATTTTCCTCTAAACAATACTACCCACCTCATGGGCGCTGTAACAATTCAAATATATATATATATATATATATATATATATATATATATATATGAGGAAAGTCTCTGGCTACCTAGAACACCCTGGTCCAATGTTTAGCTGTTATTCTCCAGGTTGCAAAGGACAGTGCTTTGTTTCTACTAAGTTGCTCAGTGATGAATGCTTACTGGAAGCCTAGTCACTTCTTCAGAGCAAGGGAAAGAGAAAGAACTGTCCCTGCCCCGCCCCTCCTGCTCTCCTTGAATGTGTACATTCCAGAAGCAAAGGCCCAACAAGCTAACTCATGGTCTAAACATTTCTAGCTATGCTGCTGGGCAAAATGATTACAGCCTGAATAATGGCTGTCGCCTGATGTGTGTCTGGGACGTAACTGCAATGTGGCCTCTGTGGATTGGGAACCATCAAGTATTACAAGAGGAAACATAAAAGAAAACACAGCACATAAACAAGCTCCCAGGATCACTGACATAACAAGCTTCTTTACTTCACTACGTAAAACCCACAGAGGAAAAGTGTTGTGCTGACCGCCCCCCACTGGTTCCTATTTCCAGCTCATGGAAGAATTGGCCCTCTGCCTGTCTGCAGACAGGAAATGCTCCTGGTTTGCTAACATGCTTCGCCTCCGTAACCCAGGGCTTCCATCTGTCCACATGGTCAGACTCTCTCCCCCAACCACACAGAGGAGCCTGTTTTCTTCTGACCCCTTCTGCTCTCATCTTCTCCTCAACCCCCTGCAAGGACTGGAGATGGCTCATGCTGGCCCTGTGCCCAGGCAGCCTCCTCCTCCTCCTCCGCCCCTCACACACCAGAGGTTCATGAAATTAGTCACTTGGACTTTCCATGGTTTCGCTGAAGGTCACTTGCTTTAACTGTCAGCCAGGGAAGAGGCATCTCTGCGGGGAGTTGCAGGGCTGTGGTCTCCCTCCTTGAGAGGGAGGCTAACTCTCATTGTTGGGATGGCTGCCCCTGGATAGCACCCGTTTACTGCCCTCCAACTAGAAGGCAAGAGCTCCCTCCAAGACACTGAGGAGGAAGTCAGTTCCCCAGTGACCACTCATGCTTCCATCCTTGACAGGATAAGGCGATTGCCTAAGCCTTTCATGCTTCATTTTTTCCAACTAGAAAAACAAGGATACTTTTCAGATCACAGAGGTAATCTGAGGACATATTAACCAATTTCTGAAAGCCACCTTAAGTTTGACCAGAGGAAGTAAAGAATGGTCATGGTTCATCCAGAAGTACTAAGATTAAATAACAACAACAACAATTCCATCTGTTTTGTTGGGGAGGAAAAGCAAATTACCAGTGAAAGCAAACCTAGGTCTCTTTATACAATGTTTCATCTCTGAGATGGAACTTTAGTATTATGAAGCAATAAAAACAAAACACAGCAGAATCCTAAACTCGATGTTCTTTTGGCCTTGTGTCTCACTTGCAGGGGTGGTGGACTCAGTAACTGCAGTGGTTTTAAAGTCCCCAGCCATGTCTCATTCAGGCAGTCAAGGCAGACTCAGAAGGCAAAAGGGTTCAAATTGTTTCCCTGGCAGTGCTGAGATGATTCAGCAGAGGAAGGAAGTGCCAGAAAGGCAGACACTACAAGAAGAGATTGATAAACATTCTGTGTTTTGTAGGTTTCTCAATGCTGACATTCGGAGAATGCAGTGAAGTTTCAAAACTCCAGTAGTAAAGATGCATGTCAGAATGGGTCAGACCTATGATGCACAAGCTTCCTTTCTAATAGGAAGTGACACCTGGTAGGAGAAAGGGGCTGTCCTACTTGATGTTCTCATGTCCAAAGTTAAGAGCTTCCTCAAACATCCTGATATAGCATCTTGGAGCTTTGCCTGTGAAATCACATAAAGCATATAAGGCAATGTTTATCATCCTGTGTCTCACCACTGGTGGTCTGTGGAGGAACAGCGAGTGCTACAGTAGGAGAATAATTTTCATTATGGAACGTCATGGGACTTTGGCAAAATGCCATCAGCCTTCTGACCCACTTAAATGTTACCTCTCCCCACCACCATTCTTGTCAGTTCACTGGCAAGAATAACATGCTCATGGAGTATGCATGAAAATCATTAGAAATAACTGATAAGTATCTCTTATACAAAATTTGACTTTTGCAAGTAAAAGGGTATTTTACTTATCTGTATGTATCTATGATCTACCCATTTATCTCTACATCAATATTAGATATATCTAATCCCTACACAGAATATTCAGATGATTGATAGCTAGATATAGATATAGATAAAGCTTGTACATGTGGGTTCCAAAAGATTTCCATGGCCAGAAAGAATCCAAATAAAAAGGTTGGGAACTATGTATTTGCTGTTTATATTGCCTTTGTGGGTAAGAACTTCTGTAAACTTGCTACCTGATAATTTAAGATTACATTTTGTTTTCTTTTCCTTTCATTATTTTTACCCTCAAATTACCTTTTCCAAGCTTCAAGGGGTGGTCTCTAATTCTTATATCCCTTTCCATTTTAATTCAGTTCAAGGAGAATTATCTATTGTGTTTCCAGGGCTGTGGTTTTAGTATTCAAAAGAAATATAAATCATATTTCCTGTTCTCAAGGTATTCCAAGTCCTGTGGGGAAGGCAAGGCTAAACAGAAAAAGTGTTTGAGAGAGTATAATTCTTGCTAAAATGAATTACATGGATAATAGGTGCTACAAGAGTCCTATACACTCCAAGATTTGGTGAAAAATCATAGTTTATTTACAGATGAAAGAGTCCTAATTCTCATAGTCTGTTGACACGTGTTGGTTTCCCTAACACAGTGGACCACCCAGTTGTCCTTCTCTAGCTTTGTTTTGTTGGTCCTGGGGTGACCAGGCCCACACATAGAGATAGGCTCTGCAAGCAATATGCTGCCCAGGTTGACCATCTGCCCCAGTTTCCCTGTGTGGCACAGGGGAAGTCCAGAGTGGCCTTCAAAGGGCAGCTCATGAGGAGCTGCAAGGGAGAGTCTGGAACTGGCATGGATCTCTACTCCTAAAGCCTCTGAGAACTTCAAGAGATAGAAAAGCTTTTCCTGAAATCACAGCAGATTTCTTTTGCCTGGGTGGAGGCTAGAACTGACAAGTCCTAATTTATATATGAAGTCTATTGTTTAATTTCACAGAGGAGCTGTCACCAGGTTCTAGAAAGAATGGTCAAGACTGAGACTACCATGTGGAGAACTACTAGTCTGGGCATTTGCTGCCTGAAGGCCCCCTAGCTCTTATTAAAATTATTATTTACAACAAGTATTACCCAAATGCCTGGGTAAAGATAGAGTTTGGTAAGAGGATGTGGATAAGGCTTCATCGTCCCAGACTTACCTTTCAGGAAAGGACATAAAATCTACTGTGTTAAGAGAATAAAATCTTTGGGAGAAATGGTAAATGGTAGAGGAGAAAGTGTGAAAATCCCAAAAGGTGTGCCTTTGGGCCCCTCTAACACCGGAGTAGAGCCTTCTGTTTCCTATTAACTAGTGGGGAAAGGGCTGCTTCTGTTTCTTATGATACAGATTTGGAAAATATAGATTTGCAAGGAATCCCTGAAGGGTTAGTGAAGTTAATATGATTTTCATAAAGACAAGTTGTATCAGAACTTTTGTCATAGAAACTTGAGTGGAAAGAACAGCAGAAATATGAAAAAGAGGAGAAATCAGTGGTCAGTTTTTACTTAGATGGCACAGTCCCTTTTGAAACTTACTGCCAAGCAGTAATCTTTCTAAAATGTAAAGCTTACCAAATGGCTTGCCATCCACTGTTGGATGAAGTCTCCACAGCAGTAAGTTCAATGCCTTTAAATCATCAGCCCTAAATTACCTTTCCAGGCGGATTTGTTGTCAGTCCCTTACCCCATCTCCTGTGAAGCCAATTCAGTTACTAACCGTGCCTCTAAACCACTGATTCTTTTTTTTTTTTTTTTTTTTTTTGAGACGGAGTCTCGCTCTGTCACCCAGGCTGGAGTGCAGTGGTGCGATCTCGGCTGCGAGCCGAGATCACTGCGAGCTCCGGCCTCCCGGGTTCACGCCACTCTCCCGCCTCAGCCTCCCGAGTTGCTGGGACTACAGGCGCCCGCCACCATGCCCAGCTAATTTTTGTATTTTTAGTAGAGACGGCGTTTCACCGTGTTAGCCAGGATGGTCTCGATCTCCTGACCTCGTGATCCGCCCACCTCGGCCTCCCAAAGTGCTGGGATTACAGGTGTGAGCGACCGCGCCCGGCCTAAACCACTGATTCTTAAACTTCACGGAGAATCTGAATCACCTGTAGGGCTAAAGTACAGCTTACGCTGCCAGCCCCGTTTCTCCAGTAGGGCCTGGAAATTTGCATTGCTATTAAGTTCCTAGGTGAGGTGATACTGATGCTGCTGGTCTGGGAAAAAACTACAATTTAAAAACTCCTAACCCACTGCCTCTACTCTATATACTAGTTCTACTTTATTTAGAGTAATATCATATTCCGAATTTATTATAGTTATTAATAGCTGCGTGCTCTGTAGTGTTTATTGCCTTGAATCAGGAAAGAGTATATGTTTTAATAAGTTTTGTATCTCTCTTGCCTGCCACAGTGCTTTTCCCCTATAGAAAGAGATTAATAAGCACTTGTATGTTAAATCAGCAGGAAACCAGGCAGAAGAGATGTGTCTTGTGAGCCTACAAAAAGCCCTGGGGTGCTTATGTTTAGATGATCTCACAGAGTTATTTACATCAAGGCACGGGGGAAGAGCCCCTGATCCTTTATTCTTCAATGCACTCTTCAGGTTGCCTCCTATTTCGTCTCTTCCCTTGGAAGGTATTCTGAATTCTCATTCGAACCTGGCCGACAGAATGGGCTTCCGAATCAGAAAGCTGGATTTGAACCCAACTGTGATACTTACAAATTTTATGGCCTTTAGCAAATAGGTTGACCGAAGTCTCAGTTTTCCAATTTTTTTTTTTTTTTTTGGAGACAGAGTCTTACTCTGTCACCCAGGCTGGAGTGCAATGGCATGATCTCGGCTCCCTGTAACCTCCCCTTCCAGGGTTCAAGTGATTCTCCTGCCTCAGCCTCCTGAGTAGCTGGGATTACAGGCGCCTGCCACTATGTCCAGCTAATTTTTCTATTTTTAGTACATATGGGGTTTTGCCATATTGGCCAGGCTGGTCTCGAACTCCTGACCTCAGGTGATCCGCCTGCCTCTGCTTCCCAAAGTGCTGGAATTACAAGCGTGAGCCACTGAGCCCAACCCAGTTTTCTGATTTTTAAAGTAGGGACTAACACTCCCCAATTTAAAGATTCGTTTTGAGGATTCAATAAAATAAGGAATAGAATCTATGTAGCCCTGTGCTTGCTACACAGTATGTCCTCTTGCAGTATCTATTATTGATTATAAGTGCGCACTTGGGTGAGAGCACACAGTGTGGTTTGAACCAGAGTCCCCGCCCTCTGCGAGTGACCCTTGTCGAACACTTTCCTATTAATCACTCTGCAGGGTTTGACAAAGAGTTGCAGGATAACTGGAGAGGCACTGCACCTTTCCCTGAATATCAGTGACCTCAATTTCTGCCAGGGGAATAAATCTTCCATTTTAATATAATATCTCAAGAGTCAATGAAAAGTAGGAATGTCACTGAAGGAAGCCACTAGAAACTGCAGAGCTGAGGAGAGTGGGAAGTGTCCCTGAGGACCGCTCTCTGAGAAGATGCCTCTGTACTGCAATTAGGAACATTTAGACCCTGAAACGGGAGGAATGTGGTGGGGAAGGCAAGGGAATTAAATTTCCTCAGCCTCCCCCACACAAATCAATCACAAAGGAAATAGGCATTTGAGGGAAAAGTTCCTTTAGAATGTATTTTTCTATTTGTATGTCTATTACCTCATCTCATAAATCTCATTCCCTGCTAGTATGACTACTTGAGCAGAACAGCCCGGATCTTTTTCAGTCTCTTAATAGGTTCATTTTTTACCCTGTAAAACGGACAGAGGAATCTCGGGATCCAGCAGATGGGGAAGTCGCATGTTAAGAGACTGGCAGGGAGGTCACTTGAGATTGAGAATGGGGGATGTGCAGCTGACCCTCCAACTGTCTTCCAGATACTGGAATTATTTACTTCCATGCCAAAAGAAGAATGTGAGGCAATAAAAACATGATCTCAGGGTCTATTCTATATCTTATTTAAGATTGTTTTGTTTCACGTTCAGCATTCCTATGTCCTGAGTTTACTCCACAACTATAGAGTTCGTATGCGACTCCACCGTTTGCACAGCATCAACATGTCCAGGAACTTTCCACATTTTACCTTCCAGATATATCTCCCAGTTTGCCTCCTGTCTCCCAAATCATAAGGAACTGGACGATGAGTTTTGGTTTAGGAAATATAATCATGGCAATAGATGCCCTTCATTTTGCAGCGGAGGAAAGCTGGATCTTACAACAGGTTGGTGCCAGTACCTGTGGGCTGAAAGCTAGCTCTTCAGGCCCTCAGCACATTACTCCCTTCTACTATACCATGCAGCCATCATATTCATTTTCAGCTCTTGAAAACATGTTTTAAATTAAGAAGCATTTAAATGCTGAGAAGACATCCCAGACCCCAGCCTCTGTCTGGTTAGAGACAGAAGAAAAATAAAGTTAAAGGGCATGTACATAACCTCACACATGGAAGCATTCTCTTAATTTTACTTTATCAATCTAACTTTTTTTTTTTTTTTTTTTTTTTCTGCAATGAACATATCCAGTTCTTTACATGCAGAATCAGGTCTGACTTTTTTTTTTTTTTTAATTCATAAGAGGCTCATAAAGTCAAGTCCTGGTACCTCGACATGGTACAAAACAAAGCATTTTATTAAAAAGCTAGTTAGATACTCAGAGATCTTCCAGACCAGATCTAGCGATTGCTATGCTCCCGGAATTGTAGTAGGTTTTAGGTATTAGAGGTTAATAAAAAGATAGGCTGGGCACGGTGGCTCACACCTGTAATCCTAGCACTTTGGGAGGCTGAGGCGGGCGGATCACCTGAGGTTGGGAGTTGGAGACCAGCCTGACCCACGTGGAGAAACCCTGTCTACTAAAAATACGAAATTAGCCGGGCATGGTGGTGCATGCCGGTAATCCCAGCTACTCGGGAGGCTGAGGCAGGAGAATCGCTTGAACCCGAGAGGTGGAGGTTTCGGTGAGCCGAGATTGCGCCCTTGCACTCCAGCCTGGGCCAAAAGAGTAAAACTCCGTCTCAAAAAAAGAAAAAAAAAAAAGGAAGTTAATAAAAAGATAAAGTCCCTGTCCTCATGGAACTTACAGTTGAGCTTAACTACCCTGAACAAGGGGGTCTGAGGAGGGCTCTTTCCTAGGCTGCCCTAGATGCGAAAAGCCTGGAGTCTGGCATAGTTTGATTAAATGACCATCCTTCCCAATTAGCCATGAAAAACACTGCTTGTGTAGCTATGTCATTATCATTTCCTGCTTGGATTAGTGTAATCCATGATATGCAGGCCTTCTGTGCTCCAGCATTTCCTCTGGGGATTTGCAACTTTTGCAAAACCCAGCTTTAGAATGTTGGCTGGAGCCAAGACTTCATTACTCACATTACTCCTATGCCAAGCAAACTTCACGGGCTTCCTTTACAGTGGAGTGCACACTATAAACGTTCCGTAGTTTAAAGAGATGAACAGAAATCTCTTTCCCAAACCCGAGACTGTCTCGGCAGTTTAAGTATACACTTCCCTCCCTTCAAGAAAAAGTTGGCAGTTGCCAGCCCCAGACAAGGTATGTGTTCATCTCTCATTCCCTGTCAAAAAAAAGCTGGATGCTGTAGAAATGATTCAGGCCTTCAGTAGAGTTGATGAGGCTCCTTCCAGTTCTATCAACTCTTCCAGCTTTTCTATTTGTCTACAGTGGCTATTTCCTGGGAGACTCCCTTAGGTATGTCAACTATCTTATACCCACAATATCATTCTTCCAATCATAAGCTCTTATTATCTTCACAAACAAAATAACCCTGGAGATCAACCAGAAATATTTCAAATGAGAAAACTGAAGCTGAGAAAGACAAGGTACTTAGACAAGGTCACGGCTAGGATTAGAACCCAAGTCTCCTAACTGACCTATACAGCTACTCCATCTTCTCCACTAAATAGTTCCTACTCCAGTGACCTGTGACATCTATCTAGTCTCTCTCTACATTTTCAGCAATGATCATTTTTATCTGTAGGTTGTCCAAACCTTTGGTACTGTTCTGGAAGGGTCCTGAATACCAAATACCACTTCGTATTGATAATATTGCTGAGGTAATATCTCAAAATAGATTTTCATTGCCAGAGCAGGCAGAAGCCCATTAAAGGATATTCTATCTTCTGAAGAAATACTGAGCTTTCTTTCTCTCTTTCTTTTTTTTTTTTTTTTTGAGATGGAGTTTTGCTCTTGTTGCCCATGCGGGAGTGCAATGGTGTGATCTCGGCTCACTGCAACCTCTGCCTCCCGGGTTCAAGCGATTCTCCTACCTCAGCCTCCTGAGTAGCTGGGACTACAGGTACCCATCCACGCCTGGCTATTTTTTTTTGTTTTTTTTTGGTATTTTTAGTAAAGATGGGGATTTCACCATGTTGGCCAAGCTGGTCTCGAACTCCTGACCTCAAGTTATCCACCTGCCTCAGCTTCCAAAAGTGCTGTGATTATAGGCATGAGCCACCGTGCCCAGCCAATACTGCGCTTTCACAAATCCAAGCTGCAGGAAACAGATGAAAGAGCATTATATTGCCTTCTGGTTATGGGTCAGTCTATCTCTGTGAATCTAGTCATAAAAGCATAGAAATCAGAGCTGAAAGGGACTTCAGAGATCATCTTGTCAACTCTTTCAGTTTAAAGGTGAAGAAAGCAAGACCCAGAGAATACTAAAGATTTGCCCAAGGCTACAGAACTAGTTACAAGGAACCTGGGCCTGTCCTTTTTTCCCTATCACACAGTGTAGTAACAGAGTCCTATGGCACCTGATATACCCAGTGTTTTTTCCATCCCAGTATTTTACCAATAATACTGTTGCTATTTAGGATTCTATAAGAAATTCCCAAGAAAGAAGAACATGCTCTTGATCTTCTTTTTAGAGTGATACAGATTGTGCCAAAGCCCCAAACTCACCTATTCCATAGCAGGAGGCACAAGCCAACATACAACAAATCCCTGAACACAACACAGAAAAAAGAAGAAAAACCACCCTATCGTGATCTCAAAGAAAGTAGGGTCAAAGATCTGATGGGCACCGCGGACCATGTACCCTTTGATGTACAATGCTTAAGACAGATAGTGTGTCACTTTCATAAGTAAAGCAAGCACAAAAAATGTCAAATTCTGCTTCAAGGGCAATGAGCCTCCCAACAGGACTGATTAGGGGAGAAACCCACCCATCCTTTCTATTTTCCTCTTCATTGAACTTGTGCAATATATTTCCATAAATGTCTTAGTGGCCAGAACTTTCAAGGGCAAGAACTTTCCATTATATAAATAATAGACAACAATTATAGAAAACTTGGAAAATACAGAATATTATACAGAAGAAAACGAAAGAGATCTATCTACCATCTGTAGATAAATTCTGTTAATTTTTCAAATATATCTCACCACTGTTTCTTCTAGGCATGCATATGCACAATATTTTTCAGATAAATTGACCTCACATCATTATACATTGCTTTGTAGTGTGTTTTTTTCCCTACACGTTGCAATTTATTAAGAATATTTTTTTTTGCAAGTGGTTCTTAAACTTTAGTGAGCATCAGAATCACCTTGAAAGGCTTGTTAAAACACAGAGTGCTGAATCTTAATCCCAGTTTCCGATGTGGTGGCTTTAGGGCAGAGATCCATAATTTGCATTTCTAACAAGTTTTCAGGAGATATCATTGATGGTGTTGGTCTGGCAAACACACTTTAAGAACCAAAGTTGTACCTTAACGTAATTTTTTTAATGGCTATATTCTTTTGAGCAGATGTGGCATACAACAGACATTAGGGCTTTTCCAATTTTTCAGTTATAAATAATACTGTAATAAATATTTACATTTTACATATCTCTGTTTTTTTAAAAAAATGGCTTTATTGAGGTATATTTCACATACCATAAAAATCCAATTCGTTGTTTCTTGCACATAAATTCTAAAAAGAAGAATTGCTGGGTGGGTCAAAGATTACGAATATTTTTAAGGTTTTTGATACATATCGACAAATTGTCCTCTGAGGTTATACATAATTACGCTCTCACAGCAGAGTACCAGAGTCTCATTTTCTGATTTCCTGGGGGCAACCCAGGGTATTACAATTTTAAAAACAGCATTACCAATTTTAAAAGAGAAAAACAGTATCACATTGTCGCTTTTATTTGTATTTCTTTGACATCAATTGAGGTTGAACATTTCCCCCATATATTTATTTGACATTAGTATCTATGATTTTGTAAATTGCTCTGCCTTAGGCAGGATATTTGTGCAGGTATCATGCACAGCACAAGACCATGAGGACACAGTCATCTTATGGACAGACTAATGGACACAGAGAATATCCTTTGTACAATATCATTTCCCTACAATTCTCATTGAATGCCAGCATTTCTCTCGCTCTCTCTCTCTGTTTCTCTCTCTGCCTGTCTCTTCCTCTCTGTCTCTCTTTCTCTGTCTCTCTCTCTCTGTCTGTCTCTCTCTCTCTCTCTCTCTCTCACACACACACACACACACACACACACACACACACACACCCCACATTATGAAGGACTTTCAGGCTGTGGGAAGCCCCAGGGATTGCAAAAACATGCTAGACTAAAAACTCCCAACTGAATTGAGTGAGTCAGTTTTCTGCAAATAGCCAACTGAATTTAAAGGATAAGTGTGATCATGTTTGTTTAGCTAATTTTAAAAGAAAGTGGTTATTTTCGTTAAGTTAAATAGTTTTCTTATTGTTTCCTTATTTTCTTGTTTTCTTATTGTTTCTGCTCTGAGGGTGTGCAGACTGATAGACGTTCCCCTTGCACAGTGGAAGTTAGAAGAAAGAGGACCCAACCAGACAGCTGTAATTGCTGATGTTTGAAGTTTCCTAACTTGCTGCCACCGAAGGCTTAAGGTCGAATGTCAATAGCTAAAGCATTGGTGAAGAATTCTGCATTCTGAGGTTCGCTGGCATTCACCCAGATGGGGAAGGGGATGTTATGTGTCTGTCACAGGTGAAGGAGGGCTGGTGCCCAAAGCATCCAATACAAAGGTACTGTCTGTTT
Organism: Homo sapiens; assembly: GCF_000001405.40. Taxonomy (NCBI): domain Eukaryota; kingdom Metazoa; phylum Chordata; class Mammalia; order Primates; family Hominidae; genus Homo; species Homo sapiens. The sequence continues at coordinate 96,166,730 of NC_000011.10, forward strand.
TAGGTTTCAGCCTATCTAGAACTTTTTAGAGGAGTTTCATTTTCCTAAAATTCTTCTGAATAAAAACAAGGTGACTCCTCTATTAGACCACCCTGATTTGAAATAACAGCATCTTGTTCTGCCCTACTGACTGCTCACCCGCTAAAGGCTACTTTTCATGAATACATTCTTAGTCCTCTCTCTTCTCCCTTTATGCACTTTTCCTGAGGGATGTTCTCTGCTCCCATGGCTTCACCTCCCTCCCTGATGCTGATGATACCAAACACCATGTCCCCATTTGAAAACTTGCTGTTCATTCATCTTAATAAATGCCTGCTGGGAATTTCTCTTCCCTGGAAGGACTGACAGGTGACTGCAACCTAACCTGTTTAAAACTGAGCTCTTTAACTCTCTCCACCTCATACTTCCCTTTCTTGGAGTCCTTATTTCAGTTAATGCCATTGCCATTTGTGTTAGAAAATAAAGTCTAATCTGGACACTCGCTGCTCACTTGAATCCTGCCTCTCCTGCCTCAAACAAGTGTCTCTAATGGGTCCTCCTTTTCTATTCCTGTTGGCCTGTGCGGTAGCTCAGACCTTCCAAATCTCTTGCTCTTACTCCTTCAATCTTCCTAGCTGGCCTTCCTCCTGCCAGACTTCCTTCACACTAATCCACTTTATGCCTTCCACACTGGCCCCCAGAGGTGTCTTCCCATCAGAGAAATCTGATAATGTCACTCCCCTGCCTGAGGAGGCTGCCCAGAGAACTAATCTAAATTCTTTCGCACAGAGCAGAAGATCTTTCACTCTCAGCCTCCTCTTTGTCCCTGCTCCTCACATCAGTCCCATCACCCCTCTCCCAGGCACCTTTGCTCCTGTCACATTTAATGTCTTTTGCCAAAACAAATTATTTGTAGCCATTTACTCCTCCAGGCTGTGTGCATGCTTCTCCCTCTTACTTGTCACAAAATCTCCTCCCGATTCTTCAATACCAGCTGCAATGAATCATCTCATTCATTAATTCACTCATTCAACATATTTATTTTGAGCACCTAATATTTGTAAAATACTGTGCTAGAAGAAGCTAAAGAGACAGAAATCCTGTTCTCACTGAGCCATATATTTTTCTGGAAGCCTTTCTTGACACCGTTGGCAGTTAATAATTTCCTCCTAATTCTCATAGCATTCTGTTCATACATTATCATAGCAATTAACAAGCATATGTAATGACCTATGTATATGTCTGAAGTCTGGATTCCTGCTGAGACTGTGAGCTCCTGCGGTTGGGGCTGGGAGGGTTGCTGCAATAACCAAGTCTTATTCCTCTCCAGCTTTGAGAAGAGTATATCATATAGTAGTTAAGCTCATGGGTTCTGGAGCTGACTACCTGGGTTCAAACTCTGTGCCATTTACAGGCTCTCTAATCTTGAAAATTTTTCTTAATCTCTCTGTGCTTTGGTTTGCTCCTCCGTTGAATGAATATAACAGTAGTAACTATAAAGTTGTAAGGATCAAAGGAGTTAATTTATGAAAGCAATCAGTATAGAATATGGTAGGTGTTCTACCTTTATTAATTCCATTATGGTGCCTAGTAATAGAAAGCCTTCAATAAAAGCTGACTGAATTAGTAGATAGATATTATTTAAATGTAAGATCTATCTATCTACCTATCTAACTCTAGTCAAAGACCATATCATCTCATTCCCAGGAATGAAAATGGTGAGGAGAGATGAAGTCCAGGCAGCCCAGGGCAGTGGCTCTCAGGCTTTAGTGTGCTTTAAAATCTCCTAGGAAACCCATTAAATTTTCATATTTCTGCTCCATTTCTGATTTGGTAATTTTGGAATAGATCTCAGAACCTGCATTTCTAATGAGCCCCCTGTGGATGGAGGGTTGTTGGATCACATTTTGAAAAATACTAGTCCTTGAGAGATCTCTTAGATGCCTTTCCTCATTGAGGGTCCCAGAATGACACACTGTCCCCTGCACAGGGACTGGAGAAATCCTGCTGTTCAAGATGGCATAGTGCCCTGTGAACCTCAGGGTCCTTCCATGGAAGAACATCAGGGAGGAAATGAAGTACATAAAATTCACTATGCTGAGATCAGCTACAAACACATGAGTCATAAAGTTGTGCTGGCTGGTGTGGGGATTTGAGAAACGTTTCTGTGTAATCCACTTGGGTTATTTCACAAGAATTGGCAACGCAGCAATGGTATTTAGGGTGCCTAGTGGTGCTATTCAGATTTGAACTACACCATAAGTTTCATGTAGGCTTAATTTATTATTATTAATCTGCCATAAATTGCTGATGTGACTTTTAGCAGGCCACTTTGCTTTTCTGGCCTCTTCTTTCTACGATGGGTGGGTTAAGTTTCTCTTAACCTTCCAACTTTGTTGTTCTGACTCCCATGCAGGGAATTACATACCACTGACAGAAGGCCTGAACGAGTTAATAACCCTTCATAAGAGAGAATAGTTTACTCTGTATTAACCTCAGCTTCAGTTTCCAAATGTCAATCAATAGCAACACAACTGGATTTTTTAAAGTGAAGAGAGAGTGCCAGCTCCACTGTGCATCCTTATCCAGCACTCAGCTGTAACAGGAATGAAAAAGCACACCTGAAACAAAGACCCATTCTCTTTCCTCCTGCTCTGCCTGCAGCAAACCTGTTCCATCTAGCACTTTCTCCAAATGCTGCATTTTCCTGCTCCCAGGCCCTGGGGATGGGCAACCCAGGAGGTGGGTGCTCGAGCTCCTCCTTCTAAAAAAGTCCTGCTGAGGTCATCTGTAGGAAGTAACCTGGTCACGTCCTGGGACGCAAATTGAAAGGCACTAGCAATAGTGAGTTCATGGCTGGTTTTCTGTAAAGCCAATTCCCATTCTTAACCTCTATTTCTGTTATGCCAGCAGAATGGGGTAAGAAAAGACAAACAGAAAAGAAAGTAAACTTTTTTTTTTTTTTGAGATGGAGTCTAGCTCTGTCACTAGGCTGGAATGCAGTGGCGTGATCTCAGCTCACTGCAACCTCTACCTCCCAGGTTCAAGCGATTCTCCTGCCTCAGCCTCCTGAGTAGCTGGGACTACAGGTGCGTGCCACCATGCCCAGATAATTTTTGTATTTTTAGTAGAGACGGGGTTTCCCCGTGTTGCCCAGGTTGGTCTCAATCTTTTGACCTCGTGATCTGCCCGTCTCGGCCTCCCAAAGTATTGGGATTGCAGGCGTGGGCCACCGTGCCCGACCAGTAAAACTTTATTCTTCTAGTATTACCTAACATGGAGCAACATCTCTGGTTCTGAGTTATTTTGCTGTACATTGTACAGAGGGCTCCACAACAAAAATGCCTTCTGTTTGTTGGTTTCAAGAGGATACAGGTTCAGAGAATGCACAGCATCACACGGTCCCTTTCCACTGGTTCAGGGCACATCATGTGCTACAGTGCACCTGCCCAGCATCGTGCTCACATTCTACATTCCAATGTCCACTTGGGTGGTATTTTCCAACCTTTTCACAAACAAGGGAATCCCAGCCTTTTATTATTTCTCCCTCCTCTGCCCATATCATGGGATGAAAGATTTTTCTTCCAAATTGCATTAATAAGTAATTAATGGAATTTAAAAATTAATCAGACACAGATAATGGCTAATCCATGCTTCTCATCTTCACCAGAGTACCAGTGTAATTATTTTTATCATACCAGCGAAAAGCACAGAAAATTGGCCTCTCAGTGAGTTTATTCAGTCTTATCACAGATACAGTTTGCTTTCTGATAAGCTTTTTAGAAAATTGAAGGTAGCTCAAAGAACCTCGATTATTCCTTGAACACTACATTTTGACAGGAAGCTAAGCAAGAAGAGTGTAGATTCTATTCCTTCACAAAGAAGGGGTAGATGTTTGATGCGTGGATTATCAGGCAGCAAAGGACAGAAGAATGCCTTGGCTAATGCATGGGGCTGGAAGCTGTGGAGAGAAAGGATGAGGGAGAAGGGTGGCTTCTGTGTGTAGATTCTACTTTTTTGTTTTGAGATGGAGTCTTGCTCTGTCGCCCAGGCTGGAGTGCAGTGGCGTGATCTTGGCTCACTGCAAGCTCCGCCTCCCGGGTTCACGCCATTCTCCTGCCTCAGCCTCCCGAGTAGCTGGGACTACAGGTGACCGCCACCACACCTGTCTAATTTTTTGTATTTTTAGCAGAGATTGGGTTTCACCATGTTAGCCAGGATGGTCTCGATCTCCTGACCTCAAATGATCCGCCCGCCTCGGCCTCCCAAAGTGCTGGGATTACAGGCGTGAGCCAACGTGCCTGGCCTCTACTTTTTTTTTTTTTAAACTACTGGTTGAGGAGGTGCAGACTAGTTGAGCCCTGGGTTCCCACTTGTCTTTCCTCTCTCTTACCTCCACCTCTTTTCTTTTTCATTTCCTACTGTCTCCAAGGTAATTGATGGTGGGACCAGAAAGAGGATGGAGTAAAAACCATTGGAGGGAAGAGTGAACTGGGCTATCAGATTGTATGTGAGCTGAGAAGAATACACACTCTTCATTGTCTGCGATTATTATCTAACGGTGATATGTCATCACCTTATTGCATATGTGTTATACCTCCCCAAGACCGGGCGCGTTCTTCTCTGTCTTATTCCCCTCGTGTTTCAAGACTCCATCCAGTATGGGTAGGTGCTCCTCTTCTGTGTTCAAGATATTATATTTAATTATTGGTTCATTTTTCCGACCTTCCCACTCCACTCTGCAATCCAATGAGGGCATCTCTATTCCCAGGGCCCCAGTAAAATGCTTGCATGTGATTCGTGTTCAATAAATACATTTTTAATATATTAGTGAAAATATGTGTAAATACATGTCAGATAAAGGACAGTGTTCCTTCTGGTTGTCAATGCAGTCATGGGACTAATGAAACAGAAAACAGGTACCACCCAAAGTTAAACTCCAGTGAGAGAATAAACAACACGCCAAAGTTCAGTAATGAAGAGCCAAATCAGAGCTGGAGACAGGGTGATAGTAGAAACCAAATAATGAATGGCAGATGCCAAGGGATATGGGTCCAGTTAAAGGCAACCCAGGAAGCAAGCAAGGGCAAAGGAGGTTGTGCATTCTTTAGGGGAGGGAGGCGTCTGTGGAAGGCCCTTGCCTGCCACCTTCTCCATTCTCAGCAGTGTCCCTCAGAAGAAGCACTGCTGGTGTCACAAGGGCTGGGATGCTAACCCCTAAATCTGACAACTTTGGTGAAATTGCTACTTTGATATCAGAGACCATGCCTTCCATGTCTTGGGTATTCCAACAATATTGTCCCACAGTGCCTTGTAGAGAGCGACACTTGGGCAAAGCCCTGATTCAACTAAAACACAAAGCACAGTATATTCTGATAAATATGGCTGGAATTTTTGGTTCTTTTGTACACTTATGTATCCAAAAAGTTTAGACCTCTGCTTATCACATAGTTGGTGCTCAATAAATATTTTTTGAATGAATACATGAATGCTTAAAACCTCATTGCAGGCCATTCTCCCTGTGGTCAGAATTGAGTAGTATTTCTAATTAACCCTCAACAAGGTAGCTTATGGCTCATCAGCAAAGCAAAAGTGGATACTAAATCTTAATGCATATGGATTCATCACTTGATGAAGTGCATCAGAGCCAGACTGGTGGTGTTCAGAGAGTCTCCTTCTCAGGTAGCTTCTTTGCTCATTTCTGAAGCAATCTAAGCCTGCTCCTTTTACAAGATTTGGGTAAGTTATAGCAGCAAGAGAACAGCTTCTTTTCTCAAATTGGTTTCTGTTCACGTCCTCTTACGCGAGAAGGAGGGCTCTGTGCCTAATGCTACATTTCAGAATTTAGAGTAAGATTCAGTGTCTGCAGCCATGCATTTTTGTCCTGAAATGTTGCCCTTGAAATCAATGACATGAAAACACAATATGAGTAGTGGAATAAATTTCATATGAAGTAGCATATGTGTTAAAGGCATTTACAATCCCAGAGAATGTGAGTTTACATTTCACTTGTCCTGCTACAATGCTCTATGAATTTACTCAGCTGGTTTTAATAATAATTTTTTAAGTGGTGGGAATATTTTTCTGTGTGTATATTATGGAATGAGAGACTCTTCCAACAAGAATTTAACACCAGCAGAACACATGTGTACAGATGGAAAAACATGAGTAGTTCTCTTTCATATGTTTTCCAGCCTCTCGATATGTAGAACACCACACACTGAATCAGAGCCAAAGTGCCTTTCAAATGGGCATGCACCCTTTTTGCCAGTTGCCATGGATGATAAGATTCTACTTCCTTCCTAATATCGTTCTCCTCCTTGCACCCCATCATGATCGTTTTTGGCATTTACAAGCCATCTCTTGCCAGGTTCTTGCCTATGCAAACATACTACTCCTCTTTCCCTTTTACAGAGGGGCTCTGGGACCCAGGGGCTGTCGGGGAGATGTGTCCCAGAGCACTTGGACACAAGACTACAGCTATCAACCACAAATATCTTGGAGGAAATGTTTCACCACCAAAGGAAGAGCCTCAAATGTAGAGTATATTTTTTCTCTTTCTACCATGACAGGAAGCAAGAAAGAAGAAAAAGCATTCTAAACAAAATGGTTTTGTAAATAAGAAACCAGAGGGAGGAGCTGATTTTCAGTGGGACAGAGTTCCATCTTTAACAGGTTCAGTTTGAGGGGCCTGGGAAGTCCTGGAGATAAAGGCCTGGAGCTCAGGGCAGAAATCGGGTCCATCCTGGAAAGACTAAGATTTTCAGAACCATCCACACAGAAATGGCAATTCTGGGGGAAGAAACGGGTAGGACACTAAGAGCTGAGACTGAGCTTTATGGGTCATCCACCTCTAGGAGGGTACAGGAAGAAGTATGAAAGGGGCAGAATAACTCGTAAGAGGAAGAGGAAGTACACAAGCTCATTGAATGCCATGCAAGCCACAGGAGACAGAATTTCAGGAAGCAAGGAAGTGGACCCTCAGCGATGGCAGAGGCCACAGGGGCGTCGAGAAGGTAAGGACAGGGACTTCTTTGTCTTCGTTTCTTCTCTCTTGTCCCCCAACATCATTATGTACTCCTCACTTTCTCCAGCTCCTGCCTCACTCCAATAACATTCTGATTAGAACTGCTTCTCCTGAAGGAGGCAAAAGATATGTACTATTGTTTTTGCTCTTTTATTTTTCAGAAGTATGGCCATTTTGTCACCTGTTTCTCTTCAGGACAAGGGGACAGCAGGAAACACTTGTGGCATATCCCCCATGTGCTAACCACTGAGTGGAGTAAAACGGTGATGAAAACATTTAAGCAGCAATGACTTCACAAAAGGCGGCAACAGAATCGTCAAGGCAGAGGAGTTGATCTTGGGAGCAGATGGCCTGTCCTCCCATCCCAGTCCTTCCACATGGCATGAGGGGCAGGTCAAATTCGCCTCTCCTTTCCTTCATACCCTAGAAGGAAAACCCTTCCTGGCTCAGCCAGTTGTCATGAGGTCACATAAGATCTAAAGGCTGCATGAATAGGAAGTCCTGTTAAGGGGATGCCTTGCTTTTCTGTCCTGGAAGGTTCTTACCAATCGCATATCCTCTGTGAACACTCCCCCAGGACACTGCCATCTATGGTGATTTCCCTCATCTGAAATTCTCCAGCCAACATTTAGACATTACCTATTTCACTTTATTTTATTTTATTTTGAGATGGAGTATTGCTCTGTCTCCCGGGCTCGAGTGCAATGGCACAGTCTCGGGTCACTGCAACCTCTGCCTCCTGGGTTCAAGCAATTCTCCTGCCTCAGCCTCCTGAGTAGCTTGGATTACAGGCACCCGCCGCCATGCCCAGCTAATTTTTGTATTTTTAGTAGAGACGGGGTTTCACCATGTTGGTCAGGCTGGTCTAGAACTCCTGACCTCAGGTGATCCACCCGCCTTGGCCTCCCAAAGTGCTAGGATTACAGGTGTGAACCCCACACCCAGCCTACTTATTTCACTTTATTACTTAAGTACCCACAAGCCCAAGTGAAACAATCTCCTTGAGAAGAGCAACTGTGACATACACTTGTGGGATACCCACAAAGCCTGAAGCATGTGCAATTGTTAACCTGCAATAAATGCCTCTTGTGGCACCTATGATCATTCAAATCTCTTGCCACTATTTCCCTCTGACAGTGGATCTGTTTTAAGGGACATCTTCTTGTCTTGGCCTTTGGCTAGAGTAATATTCTTGGAGCGCAGAAACCCTAAGGCATTGTTTTATAATCGCCATTCAGCATTTCCGAGCACTTTGGAAAACATGGTGCGAAGCAGCTCCTTCTTAGCATGTTACACAAGCAACGTTAAGCAAAGCAGGAAGGGGAAAACTAGAGGGAAGGATGGCCCAAACTCCTGGGGCTGACTTCTTAATCTAAGCCTTCTAATAATTACCACAAAGGAATATTTATTTTAGGAGTCTTGCATGCAACTTCATTTCTTCCTCTACTGCTTATTTTGTGACCCAGAAAATTTTACCATCCTTGCAAGAATAAAGGAGTGTCAGGTTTTCTTGCAGTAGAGATGCTATTCCTCATCAAGGGAAATGGAAACCAAATTAAACTTTGTTCTGCAATTTTAAAAACATATCTCAAATGCAAGCCAACAAAAATCTCCCTGGGTCTAGTTGCATTAATTTTTGTATGATGTGCAAAGCAAACCACTGTAGTAGCCCCTGGCTGCAAAAACCCATAGAGGTACCACAGACCTTGTCATACAGTCTAAAAAATCAGAAGACGTGGGTTTACCACCATCTTTCTCCACTTTAGCAATATTTGTCCTTAGCATAACAAGGACATGGAAAGTCAGTGTCTTAATGCATGTAGCAATACTTTCTGAAATCTCAGTTCTTTTGTTTTGTTTTGTTTTTTTTTAGATGGAGTGTCACCCTGTCATCACTCAGGATGGAGTGCAGTGGCGTGATCTCGGCTCACTGCAACCTCCACCTCCTGGGTTCAAGCTTTTCTCCTGCCTCAGCCTCCCAAGTAGCTGGAACTACAGGCACCCGCCACCATGCCTGGCTATTATTTATTTATTTATTGTATTTTTAGTACAGACGGGGTTTCACCATGTTGGTCAGGCTGGTCTTAAACTCCTGACCTCAAATGATCCACCCACCTCTGCCTCCCAAAGTGCTGGGATTACAGGCATGAGCCACAGCGCCTGGCCTTAAACCTCAGTTCTATAACTTACCTATTGTGAATGCAAAATATAGGTTGCCTCTAATTCACATAACACATTGGAGAATAGGAGCATAGGGAAAAAAAGACTCCTCAATGTGTATAGTGCTTTATTGTTTAGAATATGCAATCACTGGAATTATCTCCTTTAATCCCTATATCTACCTTTTGAGGTAAGTATGAGGACCCAAATTTTACTCAAGAAGATGCGGTTCAGAGATGCTGGGTCATTAGCCCAAAATCCTTGAAGAAGTCATTGTCAAAGCCAGTACTTAAAGCAAGGTTAAATCTCCTGGGAAATCCACACTTATTTAACCCCACAAAGTTGTCTCCATATAAAAACTTAATATTTGTTACAATCCATCTTTATGGAAAGATAGATTTCAATGTTTAACTCAGAAAACTGAATAAGCTGTCAATCACTGAATGCTTACTGTAATATGCTAGATACTATATTATGCGATTTATATACATTATTACACTTAATCCTAAAATGATTCTGAGAAAATAATTAAGTGTTTTAGGGAGTAAAGCAGGGGACTCATCTTGAGGTAGGAGAGAGCTAAGGTACCCTGGATCTATTCTGCGGTGCTGCTGATGGTCAGTAGGAAGGACCGCTTTTGGATGGGGCACAGAGTCTTCTTGCCACTCTATGAAACCCTTCAACACAGCTCTGGTCCTGTGAGGGGCCTATGAGAAAATGGAAAAGGTGAGACCACCTTTTCGAAGCCTAGTCTTGTTGTAACTGAACCATGTCTGATGAGGAGGATAGGTGTTGGCAGTTATGGAAATGGCATCAAGGGCTCCTAATTAAGGCCACCAGGTAGTGGGAAGGAAGTAGCTCTGGTTGTTGAGGGCTGGATGAATGTCAGGCACTTTAATCTTTCCAGGGTTTAAAGGGGCTTGGAGGAGCTTCAATGTAGTGATACCGATAGGTGTGAGATCAAAATCAAAGAATTTTCCTGATCGGCATACCACCAGGCAGGGAAAAGAATGACTGAGCACGCTATATGCCAAGCACCATCCTAGGCACTAAAAATACGGAGATAAAAAGGAGAACATATTTTTACCTTTGTAGGACTTAGGGTCTAATAAGGAATAAATATACCATTCATGGTCCTTTTTCAGGTCACCATGCCTGGAGAGGCCAGAGTCACATATGTAAAACAGACATGAAAATGTATCAGGAGAATGTAATTTTACTGAAAGTCTCTCCAGATATACTGCTGGTTTAACTCTTGATTGAACCATAAAAGTGAAGTCACCCCCAAACTGCATGGTGTTCTCAATTACTTGAGTTCAGCTGTCACTGGCAGGAGGCCCTTTGAGGATTATGAATCATTACCTGTATCATGTTATTAAATGGGAAAAATATGTTCTAATAGAATGTGACTGTCAATTTTCAGGGGCATTACAGTCCCCTGGGAACTGAACTGCATCACAAGAGGACAGGCATGTCACCGGGAAAGAAGCAGGCATGCATGTGATATGTACAATCATTCCTTTTCACAACATACGTGGTAATGAGGTAGGTTTTATCCAAAATAGCATAGGAGTACTTGCAGACAACCGTCCAAGTGACAGGCCACTGCCAAAGTTACAAGGTATGTCAATGTTTAATACTAAAAATCTGACAATGTGGTGGGGGATGGGTTTTTATTTGGGGCTGAGTCTTCCCCAGGCCATAAAATACACCTAGAAATATACTCTTTTTCATAGAAAAGCTGCAATCACATTCAGTCTCTTTCTATTATTTTCAAATACCTTTGTGTCTGACCTAAACATTTGTCCTGAAATTATTAGCAACTCCAAGCCTACATTTTGTCAAAAGGATTTCCATGAAAGATAGGATAAGGCATGGGGTGTGGGAGAGAAGTGAGCATTTGAGAGTGGAAATATAGTTTGGGAATAATTAATTTCTTCATGTTGGAATTCACAGACAGTGGCGTTTTTGAGGGAATTTTTGAGGGAAGTAGAAAAAATTGAATATCTGGAGACCTTAGTTGTGTGTGTGTGTGTGTGTGTGTGTGTGTGTGTGTGTGTGTTTAAATAAGATCCTCTACCTGGGATACAATTTAAATCCTGATGAGATCTACAATTTTGTACTCTTTAACTTAAAAAAAAAATAAATATCACAATTCATATAAGCGTTTCTTTCTGGGAATTTTTCTTTCTTTTTTTTCTTTTTTTTTTGCTGACACAGCCAGGCTGAGACATCAACACCTACAAAAACTGTGGGAAAACACATTAAAAGTGATTAGAAAAACAATAAAAGACATCCGTGGGTTTGTGCAACTCTCTCAGACAGTTTTATGAGGAGGATCAAAGATGTGGGCCTCGACTCTGTGATAAACCGAGGTCGGCTGCCATGATGAGGACATGGTTTCACATGAGTGCCTTGTTTTTAATGCCCGTGGAGAGAGAGCAGGCGCACAGCATCTGACTGAGTGAAGGGCCACCTCTCTGAAATCACCCCTGACTTTGATCAGGAGGCAGAGCCAGGGGTGGAACAAATATATTTGATCTGAAGAGTTAAATTCTCCCTCAGCCAGCTTTTTAGGAATGACCTTACTGTGCACTAGGTCACCAGCCACAGAGAAACATCAGTTCCTCCCTGGCATATGTCAGGAAATGGCTGCAGGAGTGATTGCCTCTGAGGGGGAAAAGGGAGCTGTACAACCAATCGCCTAAAACTACCAACACCACATGGAATCAGGGGATGTCACAAAAGCCAGCTTTAATCAAGCTTGATTGTGGAAAACATAAAAACATACGCAGCTGCAGCACAATATCTTATTAATCGTCACCAGTGTTCCAAGAGGTAGGTGTTAATTGTCTCTTGTGCTTCTCTGGGTATGTCTGGTAGCCGGTTTTGCTGTTAACTTGAACACGGATTAGATGTGAGGAAGAACAAAAGGATCAGGAGGATTTCTAGGCAACACAATCTCTTATAAAATGGCATGGCTATTGGGGGAAGAAGATAATGCTTTGCAGAATTCTAATTTTGACCCTCTTCTGAAAAAGGAATCCAATTTTAATAATCATTGCCCGATGAAATGGTCACCCTTGCAGTGCTGCAGGCTGTACACGTGCCTGAATTTGATTAGACGGCATCCCGAGAAAGGGTTCATCTGCTTTTGTCTCTGGGTGATTACGTCTGTGCAAGTGTCTGTCAAGTCTGAATTATTCTGCCTCACATTATATTTCTGCCCAGCAACATAGTGCTGCATGTTGTGACAATGACCTTACCTTCCAAACACCTTTCAAACAAAATGTCTGGTTCACCCCGGCTCATTATAACTAGATATGCCAACTGTTATCCTTCAATCTGAAAAGAGAGAAATAGTTCAGATGTCCAAAAGGAAGGATATGAATAGATGTTACAGAAGCCAGAGAATGGAGAAAATACACAGGATCAAGTAACAATATCAAAGAGAAAAATATGACTTCGAGGTCCACAGCCTTCTCTTTTTTGTTCTTTACCTTCCAGTCCTTCCTTATTTCTTTAACCCCCTCCTCCCAAACTCTTAATGATGTCAAGATTTCTGTTTCTTCCCTCTCAAACCTACATATAGGAAAGAATGTAAGATGAAAAATGGGATCAGATGGCCGAGACTTAAGTCCAGGCTGCTTCCCTAATCAGCTTGGGACTCTGCAAAAGTCAGGATCCTGCTCCAGGTCTCTGAAGGTTAGATGATATTTCAGACTCTTCTGGCCACAAAACAAAAATAAAAAACAAAAAGCCAGCAACCATCACTCCTACTTCAAGCCATTTTAGTATATGTGGTCTAGGAGGGACCTGGGAAGCCACCAAGGTCCAAGATGCTGCTTTCCCCTCCAACTCTCTTTCACTCTTTCATGCCACTCTCAGGACATCTGTGTTTCCCTTGATGCTCCATTCTCCTTTCACTGCCAACTTGTCAGTTTCTCAGAGAAGAGCCACCTTGGTTCAGGTACCAATCCATGGTTCAGCCAGTGGCCACCTTGGCCAACTAGGAGCTGACATTGCTTTCTAGCCACAAGGGCTCCAGACAGGACCATCAATCAGAAAAGGATAGTAGGGAAAAGCAGGTACTATAACCATAGTGGTTTCAAAATCTATTCTCAAGGTCCATTCGAAACTAAGAAACCATGACTTTGAGAAATAAGGTTTTGGATCCCCTTCTGGAGTAATACTGAAGAATGCAGAATTGCCTAAGAAGGTCATAGCTGAAGACCTAGTGTGGGCAGTAGTGATACCAAAGAAGCCAAAAAAAAGGCTGCTGTAAGTTTGTGATGGATGGTGTTTTTCTAAAGGACCACAGCAATACCTCCATTTCATAGGCTCTTCTGGCGATGTGATTTTGACACTCCTCCCCCTGAGAGGTGGGTCTACGTTCCCTCCTCTCGAATCAGAGCCAGAATGTGTGACTTCTCTGACCAACAAAATAGAGTGGCAGTAATGCTCTGTGACTTCCAAGGCTAGGTTATAAAAAGGATACAGTTTCCACTTGGCTCTCTTTTTCAGGATGCTTATGCTGGGAATCCAGCCACTATGTTGTGAAGAAGCCTGGGTCACAGAGAGAGACTACATGTAGGTGTTCTGGCTGACTGCTCAAGTTAAGATCTCAGCCAACAGCCAGCAGCAACCACTAAACATGTGAGTGAGAGAACCTTCATATGACTCCAGTCCCTTGGTCTGTAAGCTGCTCCATCAGAAGCCAAAGGGAGCCAATCTGGACTGACTCCTGCTCAAATTATAGGCTCAAGGGCAAAACAGATGTTGTCATTGCTTGAAACCAGTAGGTTTTGGGGCAATTTGTTATGCAGTTATAGGAACTGGTACCTTCATGTGTGTCCGTGTGAAGAGACCACCAAACAGGCTTTGTGTGAGCAATAAAGCTGTTTATTTCACCTGGGTACAGGCGGGCTGAGTCCGAAAAGAGTCAGCGAAGGGAGATAAGGGTGGGGCCGTTTTATAGGATTTGTATAGGTAAAGGAAAATTACAGTCAAAGGGGGTTTGTTCTCTGGCGGGTAGGAGTGGGGGTCACAAGGTGCTCAGTGGGCAGGAGTGGGGGTCGCAAGGTGCTCAGTGGGGGTGCTTTCTGAGCCAGGATGAGCCAGGAAAAGGACTTTCACAAGGTAATGTCATCAGTTAAGGCAAGGACCGGCCATTTACACTTCTTTTGTGGTGTAATATCATCAGTTAAGGTGGGGCAGGGCATATTCACTTCTTTTGTGATTCTTCAGTTACTTCAGGCCACTGGGCGTATACGTGCAAGTCACAGGGGATGTGATGGCTTGGTTTGGGCTCAGAGGCCTGACAGTACCTCCACTATGTTACAAATTTCACCTAAGAAGAAGGCAGACACACCTCCAGAAAAAGTACAAGTCTAGTGGTTAAATACTGGTGACCCTATAAGGCAGGAGCTGCTTAGCTACTACTTGTCTTATCTCTGCAATGCTTCATGAGAGGATAATTGGGAGTTGGCTCTCCAGATCGAGACTATTTTTTTCTCCTTCACAATAACTTAAAATCTCTGCCTTTCTTTTGAACCTATGCAAACATCAGCAGTATACTTTGTGCAACTATATTAATAACCAAAAAACTTTCTATTAATAGGAAAATCTTCCTTTACTTTCTTTTCTCCTTGCCCTCCCACCCCCTTCAAGTCTTTACAACGTTGAGAATAAGCTCCTAAGATGCAAAAAAATTACAGCTTTTGGCCAAGTGTCAAGGAGAGCTGACATCATATAGAAGAATGGTCATTAATAGTCAACACTCATCCATAGTGGCCTCACACACTGGGCAATGAATGCTGATGGCCATCAGTGACCATCATATCCCAAACTGAAAAGATACTGAGTATCTTTTCTACTGATACTGAAGATACTGAGTATGCTTCACTAAAGCAATAGAACGCTTTAGTGAAATGCACGATCACTGATCAATTCTTTTCTACATTTGTCCTCAGCCATTTTTTTCTTTATATAATATCACAACCACTATCTAATTCAGCGAAAATCTTCCCTTTTATTGTAAATTTCCTAAACTCAGTTTTATGTCTCATCTTGGCTCCCTTAAATGTTAGAATTACTTTTTCATTTGCAGTAGGTATGAGGAAAAAAGACAAACTAATTTTCAAAAGACGTGGTGGAAAATGGATTGTAAATTCAAAGACCTGAGCTTTAGTCCTACTCCTTTGCTGAAGTTTCTTGTGTGATTCTCTGCGTGCCTCCGTTTTAATTTCTATAAAATTGAATATAAGGTCTGCCTTACCTGCCTCCCAGGTTTTGGTTTGTTTGCTTTGTTAAATAGGTATAAAAGCACTTTGGAAAATGTAATGTTCTACAAATATCGAAACAATGGGTCTGAGGATAAAAACAACCAACTATATGAAATTTTAGGTACTCCTAGTCCAGAGCCTTACGCATTCAACAAATATCTATTTAGGGCTTACTGTGTATCAGGCAGATCGCTAGGCACTTGCCTATGTACCAACAGGTTTCATGTCTTCCCTGGTTTCCTTCCCCACAAATTGACCTCTCATCTGATTGACATGATTTCCCTCATCATAGAATTAAACTACAAAAGCAGGGTATTGCTACTAGATGTAGAATTAAAGCACAAAGGCAGGGTATTGCTACTAGAAGCAGGTTAAATTCAACAAACATTAGCTAAGCACAGACTGGCTAGTGTTTTCATTAACAATATTTTATTTAATCCCCATAATAATGCCATCATGTGTATGTCCTTATTACTGTTTTATAGATGAGAAAGTTTAAGATCAAAGTAGTTAAGTAGCTTGCACAAGTCCACACAGCTAGTAAGAGGGCATACCTGAGATTCAAACTCAGGTCTCACTCTAAGCAAATTGTTCTTTTCATTTCAACATGCTCCTTGTCAAGATGTTTGCTCTCGCTGGAGAAGGAATGGGATGGAGATCTCCTTACCATCCACTAGAGGAACAGAGTTTTTTTTTGTTGTCGCTATCATACCCGTTAATTATGATGTAGCAATAGAAAACTTTTGGAAGCTCTTCTTCTTGGACATCCTTTCTTTTCTTTTTTTTTTTTTTTTTTTGAGACAGAGTCTTGCTCTGTCACCAGGCTGGAGTGCAGTGGCATGATCTCAGCTCACTGCAACCTCTGCCTCCCAGGTTCAAGTGATTCTCCTGCCTCAGCCTCCCAAGTAGCTGGGACTACAGGCGTGTACCACGACGCCTGGCTAATTTTTTGTATTTTTAGTAGAGACAGGGTTACATCATGTTGGCCAGGCTGGTTTTGAACTCCTCACCTCAAGTGATCCACCCGCCTCGGCCTCCCAACGCGCTGGGATTACAGGCACGAGTCACTGCACCTGGCCTTGAACATCATGTCTATACATGTTCTATATTCAGCATATTTGCTTATATTTTCCAAAGTCATGAATTTTAGATTTTTTATTTCTTTTTTCTTCCTCTCTTTCTCTCTTCCTTCCTCCTTCCCTTCCTCCGTTCCTCCCCCCCCCCCCTTTCTTTTGAGACAAGGGTTCTCTCTCTGTTGCCAGGGCTGGAGTACAGTGGCACAATCACAGCTCACTGCAGCCTTGACCTCCTGGGCACAAGTAATCCCTCTCACCTCAGCCTCCTGATAACTGGGACCACAGGCACATGCCACCACACCCAGCTAGATTTTTTTTTTTTTCAAATCTTTGTAGCAACAGGGGGATCTCCCTGTGTTGCCCAGACTGGTCTCAAACTCCTGAGCTCAAATGATCCTCCCGCCTCAGCCTCCCAAAGTGCTAGGATTATAAGCATAAGCCACCACACCCAGCCCATTTCTTTTATTATTACTTTATGTTTCAGAGCAGTCTTAGGTTTACTGCAAAATTGTGAAGAAATTACAGAGTTCCACATACTCCCAACTTTGCATTTTTACATGACTGTTTTTCTCTATTTCTATAACCTAATAAGCATGCTTTTCCTACCTTCCTACTGAACTTTTTACTAATATATTATCTAATTGAAATGAGCATACCCAGTACATTTACTAGAATTAGATGTGGGACTCAGAAATAAATCTGCAGGTTTGTTTTGGACCAACTATGGAAAAGCTACCTCAAATATGTGGAGGCCAAAAGTTTGCATTTGCACTCTACTGAACAGGGAGAGATTATGCACTCAGTTCTGTCCTTTGAGGATGGTACTCCCGGGCAGCACTACATCTCTTGTCACTGGGTCAGGCCAAGCAAAGCCCTAAAAAGCAACATTAGAAAAAAACGCATAAAGCTGGGCACGGCGGCTCACGCCTGTAATCCCAGCACTTTGGGATGCTGAGGTGGGCAGATCACGAGGTCAGGAGTTCGAGACCAGCCTGACCATCATGGTGAAACCCTGTCTCTACTAAAAACGTAAAAATTAGTGGGCGTGGTGGCACATACCTGTAATCCCAGCTACTCAGGAGGCTGAGGCAGGAGAATCACTTGAACCCAGGAGGCAGAAGTTTCAGTGAGCCGAGATCATGCCACTGCACTCCAGCCTGGGTGACAGAGCGAGACTCCATCTCAAATAAATAAATAAATAAATAAATAAATAAATAAATAAAAATAATGCATGAACAATGGTAAAGGTGGCGATTTCAACCCTTTATAATTCAGAGCCTATGGATTATTCAAATTCCAAATGGAATGCAAGCAACTCTGAATATAGTCATTTTACTTTTTTTTTTTTTTTTTGAGATGAGTCTCACTCTGTTTCCCAGGCTGGAGTGCGGTGGCGCTGTCTGGGCTCACTGCTAGCTCCGCCTCCCAGGTTCACGCCATTCTCCTGCCTCAGCCTCTCGAGGAGCTGGGACTACAGGCGCCCACCGCCACACCTGTCTAATTTTTTGTATTCTTAGTAGAGACGGGGTTTCACCGTGTTAGCCAGGATGTTCTCGACCTCCTGACCTCGTGATCCAAAAGTGAGACCTCGGCCTCCCAAAGTGCTGGGATTACAGGCGTGAGCCACTGCGCCCAGCCCAAAAAATGTTTTTTAAATTTGTCTAGGATTCGCTCTTGGGCACTAAGTCATTTGGGGAGGGTTTGTGATTTTTCTCCCTCTCAGAAGAACTATCATAGGAAGAAATGAAGAAACTTAAGAGTTCCTTCCTCATACTGTTTAGATTTTATTCATCCAATTGGCACCCAAAATCCACTACATAAAGACTTTGAGTGCTCTGATTTAAAGAAATCTATGAGATGTATGAGTGAGAAATGGTCCACCGAGGCTGAGCTGCTCTCAGTGGAGCTCCTTATCGTAGTGACAAAACTCAGGACAAAACTCCATCTGTGTTACAACCACCTCAGGGACTTTTGGTTACACGCAGTTGTCAGAAATAACAGGACTTTGGTGGAACTGCCTTTCTAGAAAAGGAGCAGTGAAGTGTTAAAACCAGTCTGCTTTCTCTCAGTTGCACAGCTGTGGGCTGACCAGGTGTCACACTGTAGGTTTTTCTCTCTTTATAGCCTGTTTCCAATATGTTTTCACAGGTGCTAGCATAGGAGGGCAGTGTTTTCCAGGGAGGCTCGACCATGTTCATGGAGGCTGAGCGCTGGGTCTTCCACAGAAAACAACTGCTCTCAAGGAAATTACTCATGACTGGAGGATTGTTCATGCCTGTTACCCAGCCTTGTCCACACACATTGCTACTAGTTTGGGGTCTAGATGAACATGTGGGCCGCAGACTGGCATCACCTGGGAACTTGCAAGAAATGCTGACTCTCAGCCTCTCCCCCAGACCTGCTGAATGAGAAGCTGATTAAGCAAGATTCTCAGGTGATTTGCATGTTACTGCTCAGTGTTCCTCAAATTTGAATGTGCATATGGAGTCCAGACTTGGGCTTTAGAACCTTGTGTATGCATCACCTCTTTTGGGCCCTCCAGTCTTCTGGTCTTTGTTTTTATACATTTTTCTCAGCCTTGATAGCCTGCATCTATTTTACCTTGTGCCACAATCCAGATGAGGCACAGTTTAATGTAATATGTATAGCATCAATGCGTGGTGCACAGATCCACAGCATAGGTACCAACAGAAAGCACCTTTCAAATACAGACTCCCAGCCCCTCCCCAGACCTACTGGGTCAGAATCTGCATTTTAACGAGACCTAGGATTTATTTACACCTTACAGTTTGAGGACCCCAAGTGTATAGAACCCACAAATTCTCCCATTCTGATAGACAGCATAGTTTACTTTCTTACTTTAATAAGCTGCATCACATACCTGCACACTAGAGGAAATTATACAGCAATAAAGCATAATTAGGTTTTGCTCCTAAATGAATTAAATATTAGCTTTTACAAATTGCCTATCAAATCACAGGAGAATCAAAGTACTTTTTTGAGTCCCTAGAAAGAACAGATACACAAAAGTGTACTATAAAAGTGGGATGAAGGCCGGGTGCAGTGGCTCACGCCTGTAATCCCAGCACTTTGGGAGGCCACGGTGGGCGGATCACCTGAGGTCGGGAGTTTGAGATCAGCCTGACCAACATGGAGAAACCTTGTCTCTACTAAAAATACAAAATTAGCCAAGCGTGGTGGTGCATGCCTATAATCCCAGCTACTCAGGAGGCTGAGACAGGAGAATCTCTTGAACCCGGGAGGTGGAGGTTGCGGTGAGCTGAGATTGTGCCATTGCACTCCAGCCTGGGCAACAAGAGTGAGAATCCGTCTCAAAAAAAAATGTGATGAAAAGAGGGGCAGATGCAATGATAATTATTTTGTGAATGTTGGCTACTATGTTAAGTAACTCACATGCATTTTATTTTCACAACTCCACTATGTAGGAAGTAGCATTATCCTCATTTTACAGATGAGAAACCGATAGAGAGAGCTTGAAATCACTTTCTCAAGGCTACATAGTAGGTGAGTGTTAGAGTGGCAGTTTGAACCCAATAGCCCCTGGCTTTAGAGCCGGGCCCCTTAACAACTATTAGCCAGTGTATCTCATAGAGAGAAGCTTTTTACACAGAGGCTACCATATGCACAAATATCACAAGCACAGTATGATTTGGTAAATGATACTGAATTCAAAGACACAAGTTTCACTCATTTTAAAATTGTGACTCAAACAAATGTGAATAGTGCCTAGAGGCTTCCTTGCTACTGAACTGTGGTCCATTTTTTGAACATTCCTGGTGCCCTGAGTAATGTACCTTTAACCTTATTTGAAATTCCCAGTATCTTCAGTGGGTGTCTGAGGGGTCTTTCTTACCTCTGTGAATCAAGTTGTCTCTGCACATTCATTTGGATACTTTCTCCCCATCTTTTTTAGAAGCTAAGTGTGATAGCTAAATGAGATAACATATAAAATGTGGCACATAGCAGATGATTAATAAAAGCCACTGTTATTCCAGATTGCTGGTTTTCTCAGACTTTCAAATTAACTCATTACCTAGATGCCAAAAGAAATATATTTGGTATTTTCTTGACACTTAGTAGGTATTCTAGAAATATTTTATTTTAAACAGATGAATGAATAAACAAAAGAATTGAGGTATAAACGTAGCTTCACTTAAGGAATCACTGCTGATCCTATCCCAGGTTGTCTTGGAAGTAAATGCTTGAACTCCCAGCATCATTTATCCAAAGTGAGTAAGAAGTTTTAAACAGGCCGGGTGCGGTGGCTCACGCCTGTAATGCCAGCACTTTGGGAGGCCGAGGGTGGTGGATCACAAGGTCAGAAGATGGAGACCATCTTGGCCAACATCTCTAGTAAAAATACAAAAATTAGCTGGGCATGGTGGCATGTGACTGGAACCCCAGCTACTCGGGAGGCTGAGGCAGGAGAATCGCTTGAACCAGGGAGGCAGAGGTTGCAGTGAGCCGAGATCGTGCCACTGCACTCCAGCCTGGCGACAGAGTGAAACTCTGTCTCAAAAAAAAAAAAAAAGTTTTAAATAACTGTCGTGTTTAGGAATGTCCACCTATTACTGTTCTTCTCCTCTGCTCTGATATTTTTCACTCCAGTCTATGGACTAAGCACTCCAGAAGAGGTGTCTGCTTCTGACTCCAGCACTGTGCATACTGATTCATTCGGCTGGCATTTGGCCTGGCCTTCATGTGGCAGAGGTATCTTTGGCCTATGGTTAAATGGAGTTGTCCCTCTGATGTTTCTGACTTGGCAATGAAATCTCAGTAACCAGAATCATCACTACAGCACCCTGCTATTTAATCTTTGCTGGAAAGTGATGAAAACAGACCTCACTTGTATGAGAACTCTTAGGTTTAGTGAAAGCAATGTGAGAAGTCGCCAAGTTTGTGCTTTGAAACAAGCACATGTTTGAAACCTTAGGTTTCTTTTTCTTAAGCTTTCCCAAGTTGGAAGCTTATAACACAGACATGAAAGTCTGATTTAAGCAGTTCCTATAACCTTTCTAATTTCAGATTTTAAAACTGCTTTTGCTTGAATAGAAAATGGAAAGCCAACACATCTCTCTCTACCCCCATCCTTCCCTGAATAACCTAGATACTTAAGCAATCCTTCCCTTCCCTGGGGCTGTGACTGTAGAGTATTATTTTATTGACTCATAATTAAGAACTTCTGATGAGAAAACCAGTCAACAGAGAAAAATGGCTTGGGGGTCCCACAAGCAAAGAGAAAGCCTGTATGTCCCTATTATGGCAAGTACAACAGGCAGGAATGAGGAGATCTTACAAAAGAAAATCTTTTTGAAAACGTTAAGTCCTTTAAAAAATGAACTTTATGTCCTTTTTGAGGAAGTCAGTTTTTTTTTTTCCTTTCCCATAATGTAATGAAAACGTGAGTGGTAGTTTGAGCTGCTGTAAGATTCAGGGAGTGTATGAGAGAGTGAAATTGTGTGTGGGAGGGGACTGACAATGGAAAGTTGGTGGTGAACACAGAGTGTGGGCAGAAGGAAAAAAGCACATGTGAAACATCTCTGAAAGGAAGTGTCACAGGAAAAACTTTTGAGGCAGCATTCTATGGGGCTGGTCAGAGCACCACCAAAGCTGCTGTGCATTTGTTCAACATTAAAAAAAAAATTCTGCTAAACAAATAAGCAAAAGATTTCAAATGTCCAAAGAGCCACTGAGGAGAAACCATTACTCTTTTAACTGAACAAATATTCCTGGAATTCAGTCACATCTTATTAGTAAAGAGAAGCTTCTAGCTCAATGCTAGAAACTGTTTTGTTTTTTTTTTTCTATATCTGGTTCCACTCATGGAAATGACCACCTCTGCACCCATTATTCACCGGCCATATCTAGTTTAATACAAGAGGTGATTTGCCTCTTGGTGCCTTGAGGTATGATTTGATGAGAGTTTGGTAATGCATATAAAATGGATTTCCATTATCCAATTATAGCCAATAGGACCTAATCTGACTTCTCTGAACAATTTTTTAAACAAGTAGCCATTTTGTATGGCACAAGTTTCGTGCTTATAATTTACTTCCTAGGAAATCTTTATGTATTAATGTAGTGTTTTTACATACCAATAGTTACTCCTAGAAGAGAATAGACTTTTAAGACTCATTTAAAGTGGATGCTTTGAATTCTCCATTTGAAATACCTGAAATAAGCTTAAACACTATTGCGGGATAGACTAGAAAGAAAAGTAGTCTCTTACCACTATGACTAATTTCAGGTAACTGAAAATCTACAGCTTTGAAACTGCAGCACTACTAGTTAATTTGCAACAGCAAATCTGTTTTTCTTCTGACAGATTTACTCATTCATGTCATGTTTCATTATATTCATTCTGTGGACATACAACATAAGCTATTAGAATGTGAAATCTACTTGCTACTTTGTTTGTTGGGCATTTTGTTTTGGTTGTTTAGATCTGATTGTAGGTGTCCTTGCTGAAATATTCAGGAACATCTGTGGGAAGCTAATTCTTCATTCAGAAAAGAATCCATCACAAGAGGAAATAGCTTTAAAAACTGGAACTGGGATACTTATATTTTTATTCAGTTGGCTTAATTTATTATTCTAAAATATTGAAGAGGACTAAAAGAATTTTTCTTCTAAAGTTCAGAGCCAAAGAATCTAGGATTGTATATGGCTGAAGTTAAAAGTAGGTGTCACTAGATGACACAAAGATAAAAAAAATCTTAATTCCTATTTTTTTACTCCCTTTTTCAAGGAATGATTTCACACTGAAAATTTGTTAAGAGGAAACTTTAAAAGCCAACATGGATGAAGACATGTTAATAGAGCACTGAATTTTTAGTTTTAGTGATGAACATGGAGTCTGCAATATCCTAGTATACAAAATGTGGACATTTGATGTGAGGTGAGGTTTTTGGGGAGAGATTGATGGTGGATATACATGTGTTAGGCACTGATCCAGACTTCTTAGGCATTACCTCATTTAATCCACCCAACAGCCCTAGAAAGGAAGTACTGTTGCAGATGAGGGGATCTGTTCATGAGAAAGTTTAATGAACTTGTCCCAGGGAAGGTTAATGAGGGGAAGAATGAAATTTTGAAATCAAGGTTTACTGGCCCACAGAATCCATGATGTTACTAGCCACCTCTTTTAGATGGATTTGTAATGAGTTATACATCCATATCTACAGCCAATCCATGAAAGAATGACAAACCACAGGTCACTTATGGTAAGGCAGGGAGCTGATGTCTCCCAGTCTTACAGAAGACTTTGTGTTGATGACTTAGTGAAATTTATGAACGCATGCAGAATAAATTTATCAATTACCTGGAACTGGGGCCAATAAAAATATTTGGGGTAACAATCAGGATAGAAATGATCTCAACAAACTGAAACTATGAGCCAGCCCTAAAGAGATGACATTTAACGGGGATAAATGTAAATCCCTCTTCATGGACATAAAATATCAGTTGTACAAAATGAGCAGAATTGGAGAGAAGTGATCTAGCAGGGGGTCTCATGTGTAAAAACATTTAATGTAACTCAAGTTATCAAATTTTTACTGAGGGCCTATTGTGAAAGAGACAATGGGGTACAGGGAGTTTTAGCTGACAGTAATTTCAATACTAGTCAATCAATGTAGCTGCCAAAACAATTAATGTAATCTGAGGTTGCATTTATAAGGTTAGTCTTTCTCTAATCTCTTCTTGTCACACCATATTGGCAACATAGCATTCAGTTTTGTGTACCCCCTTTTAGAAGGAGGATTGCCAAACTGATACCTGTTCAGAGGAAATACCAGGCTATAGATGCAGAAAGAGTCTAAACTACTATTATGTAAGAAAGATGCAAAGAAGTGAGGATTTTTAGGTAGTAGAGGAGTCATCAAAGGGGAAGCATAAGAATGGAACTAGGCCGGGCGCAGTGGCTCACGACTGTAATCCCAGCACTTTGGGAGGCTGAAGCGGGTGGATCACAAGGTCAAGAGATTGAGACAATCCTGACCAACACGGTGAAACCCCATCTCTACTAAAAATACAAAAATTAGCTGGGTGTGGTGGCGCATGCCTGTAGTCCCAGCTACTCAGGAGGCTGAGGCAGAAGAATCGCTTGAACTCGGGAGACAGAGCTTGCAAGTGAGCCGAGACCACACCACTGCACTCCAGCCTGGGCGACAGAGCGAGAATCCGTCTCAAAAAAATAACAATAATAAAAAAAAAAAGGGCCGGGAGCGGTGGCTCAGCCCGTAATCCCAGCACTTTGGGAGGCTGAGGTGGCTGGATCACGAGGTCAAGAGATGGAGACCATCCTTGCTAACACGGTGAAACCTCGTCTACTAAAAATATAAAAAATTAGCCGGGCATGGTGGCGGGCGCCGGTAGTCTCAGCTACTCGGGAAGCTGAGGCAGGAGAAAGGCGTGATCCCAGGAGGCGGAGCTTGCAGTGAGCCGAGATCACACCACTACACTCCAGCCTGGCAACAGAGCGAAACTCTGTCTCAAAAAAAAAAAAAAAACCACAAAAGAATGGAATTAGTTGAAATTCTACTATGTGAAAGGAGGTTCAGCTAACTGGATGTAGACCCAAGTTCTTGTCTAGGACCAACACATGGAGTTGTAAGAGAAGAGACTCAGGAAATGGATCATCATGTGAGTTCTGTCAGTGACAGTGTTGAAATCCAGCTGGAAGGCCACTGGATTGGGCTGTTCTGGCAGGAATTCCCGCAATGAACGCTTTCCAACTGGGTAGTATACAAGGTATTTTCCCACAAATCCTAACTATGTGAAGGTTACACGTCTGCAGTTTCCCATCTCATGGATAAGCAGAGTCTAAAGGAGGAAAGTAGAGGCTTTGAAGTCAAGTGAGGGTGAGCTTTCTGCAAAGCCGAGGGTCGAGGCTGGCTGGAAAACAGGGCTGGGAACCTGGGGCACTAAAACATGGTGGGTTGGATGGGCAGTTAGGGAATCATGTGGTTTCTGGGAAGAATGCGATTTGCTCTCACTTTTGAGAAAAGGTGCATGCAACACTTGCTAGCTCTCCAAGACCAAGTTCTTAGAATTCCCAGCTGTGATCCTTCATAACAAGGAACGTCACTGTGACAGGTCTGTTTCCCTAAATTGTGTCCCAGGAAGAAGGAGCCCATCAGGTGCAGAATGCTAGGTCAGGAGTTAATATCACTGGGACACAGATTTCTTAAATGTACAAAGACTTCCAAGGATGCTTCCAATCATAAGAATCTATGATTCTAAGAAAAATGGAGGTGATCTATGATGAGGAATTTTGATATTTTATAATCATGTCCCTGTCTTCCATCTTAAGTCTTGCTAGCACAGTCAAACTGTTTGAAGATAATTGTTTTCAAAAGATCAGGAAGAAATTTGTCTATATGCTAGCATTCCTTGGAATGACGCCTTCTAACTACTCTCAGTCTTCAAATTATCTGGAGGCAGAATAAGACTGCCTTCCAGTCTTATTAAGGGCAGGCCGGTTATCTATACTTAGGATGCCCTATCTTTGGGACATATGCCAGCATGAATGATCAACTGCAACTAGACATTGCCTAGTGACCGTGAATCATGGAGATTTACCTGGTTTGCTTCGTGCAAGCTATCTGACACTGCCTTTGTGTGCAGCAGAATTGAACTATTTTAAAATCAAAATTCTGGTGGAGCGTATGCCTTAAAATAATTTATTAGACTGTGAACTCTAGGAATCACATTGTGGGTGTACGATTAATACCCAAATAAGTGGTTCAGGAAACATTTTATTCATTCTCTGGCTCTTGCCATCTTCCACTGATTAAAGTATGGTGTTGGGGCCGGGTGCGGTGGCTCAGGCCTATAATCCCAGCACTTTGGGAGGCTGAGGTGGGCGGATCACAAGGTCAGGAGTTTGAGACAAGCCTGACCAATATGGTGAAACCCCATCTCTACTAAAAATACAAAAATTAGCTGGGCATAGTGGTGGGTGCCCCTGTAATCCCAGCTACTCAGGAGGCTGAGACAGGAGAATCATTTGAACCCGGGAGGCGGAGGTTGCAGTGAGTTGAGGTCATGCCATTGCACTCCAGCCTGGGCGACAGGGCGAGACTCCATTTCAACAACAACAAAAAAAAATGTGTCTGGGGAATAGAAATTGTGTGGCATTGTGTTTCCACAGCTAGAAAGACACTATCAGTTTGATCAGTTTGCAATCTCTACTTGGCAGAACACTACGTTAAAGATATGCTGATAGATTTTAGTGAGCTATCCTATCTGTATAACATCTTTAGCTCCAGAAATAAGAAGACACAGTAATAAAACAGTGAATTCTGTGTGATTCAAAAAGACAAATTGTATTTTCTGGAACATATGCAAATCAGCAATATATTTACCAATTTCAAATGAAGTGCTCTCCCGTGTAACAAAAAAAAAGGAATTTTTTCTTTGAAGAGCAAGATGCTTTATTTTTCTTTAGTTTTTATCCTTTTTCTTATGAAATGCAAGAAACACATATTTGACTTATCCATTTACTTTAGCCAAACAGTCTCCTTATTTTTAAATGTCTGTGTATACTACTTTGACCTGCATCTTAAGAAACATATCAAAAGTAGCTGACAAATTCTACCACCATATGGTTCATTTCTCTTTTCTTTGTTCCTTTTTACTTCTCACTGTAGCAGTGTCTGCAGAGGGGAGAGTGCCCAGAGTGGAGAGGATCCCAATCTCCTACTATCAAGATCCAAGCATCCTTTTTATGTCCTTCTTACTGTTTGTCTAAGTGGAACTCAATGAGACAAAGCATAGGCCTATCCGTCAAATGGTAAACGATCTAGAACTGGCCTCAAAATAAGAAACAAAAAATTATAGTTGCAGAAATAAAAGAAAGGCCGAGACTCTAATAGCTGGCCAGGTGGTCAGTTCAATACATTCATGCAAACAAATGGTCAATTGAACTGGAGGCTGGGGTGGGCAGTCTGGGGAGTGGGAAGTGGTGATTAACTAGACAGGTCGGGCTATTCAATTAATGGGTCACTTCAGTCCCAGTGTCTGAACTGGCAATACTGTGTATACATAGTTGAAGCTTACATATGAATAAAGTAAAGGTGAGTGTTTAGAGAACTCTCCAGATAATTTGGAAAAGGAAGTAGCTAGGGGCTCAAATTTTGTAGAGTGACTCTCTCCTCTGTTTGAATCTGCTAGATAATTTCCTGTTTCATTTTGTCTGAGCAAAAAACAAGCCTCCTTTATGCAAAACAGTTTACTGCAGGGAAAGAATAAATTTGTTGGATTAAATAATTTATTCTCTTTAGTTTACAACCTGAGTTGGATGAGATAAAATCTAGAAAATCTACAAGCAAAATAACCACATTTTGAAATGTTGCCTTCTTTTGTTCACAGGAGCTAAATGTGCCTCTTCTTTATTAGCCAAAGGCACAAGAACTAAATACAAAATTCCTTGGGGAAAAATGTTGCTATAGGGCTGAGTCCACTGGCTCCTTTCCCTTTCTTTATTCTCAGGAAGAAAAGGCACCACCGAAGGGAAAGCATTAAAATCCTTCTGAGGTTCAATTCATGATCCCTCCCTGCCCCTCAACCTCTCCAGCTTCTCTGACATTTAAAGGAACACTGTCAAATAGGTGAGGCTTTATATTTAGAATGAAAGGCTTAAAAATTCTTAATGACAATAGATACCATTCTTTGATACATATGCTTGGAAAACAGATTAAAAATATTCACATCTTGAACTTGTTTTTCTGACTGTGTCTATGAGGGCAAATGAAATTAGAAGAGCTAAGCATTTTGAACAGTATAGACATCTAAGTTATATAAACCAAGTCTTTCTACTTCACATTTTACCTCAGTCATAGGCTTTCTTTCTCCTATTGACTTGACCTCTGATAGAACCACAAGTCATCCTACTGAATATTCATGCATTCAAATTAAAAAGAAAAGAAAAGAAAAGAAAAACAGTGTCACTCTCTGCAAAGCCCTATGAATCTACACATTAAGCCACAGTGCTCTCCTAGATTTTACCCATGTTTACAGGAACACCTAAATTCACTGCTTGATAGTACTGGGGAGCTTCAGTGTGGGGTAAGAATATTTTCCCAAGAGCACCCAAAGGGGATAAGTGGCTGAAGGAGGAAAGCTCAGAGGAAGAACTTCCATCAAGAACCCAGGGATTGCAGAGTTCTTCATCCATCCAGAAAAATACAGAGGAAGACAAATGTGATTCTTTCATCAGTTCAAAAACTCAGAAAACTAAATATAAATTCTCTGTGCCTTCTGGGTGTCTGTTTCACCAAGAAAATATTGACTCAATCTCTGCTACGAAACATACAGGCAGAAAGCAGAAAAAGAGTGAGGCATGATATACTATGATCCAAAAGAAGCAAGGTGAAACTTGCACCAGGTAACCAACTAGGACTTATACCTCCATAGAATGGACGACCTGTGTGCATATAATTGTAAAGTCTTTTAGACTTGGTCAAAAGGCAAGGGCCAGATCTGTTTACTTGCAAATGGGCTATTAGCAGTTTATGAGAAAATTATACTGTGACTACCAAACTACTATCCATGTAGCAAAAACGACATGTTCCACCATTTTTTCCTCTCGTGCTGATTTACAGTAAGTCACAAAAGAGTTAATGTTCTCTCTCTCCCTTAATCCCTAAAGCAAGTAGGTTAATAGTACCAGTGGGTTGTGTTTATAGAATTGAAACACTGTTATTGTATATGTCAAGAGAATTAAACCTCTCTGATTATCTATACATTTTAAAATGTATCATTTCCTTGCATAGATACATATCTGCAACAAAGATGAAGAAACTGAACATTTAAAAAAGTAAACTAACAATTACATTGTTAGAGAGTAAATGTAAGTAAAAGTGACTATTGTTAATTAATGTTTTCTACACACATTATTAGTGAATGCATGCCTTTAAAAATCAAAATGGAGGATACAATGAGATCATTGTTCGTGTGTTTCCTTGCAGTGATCAGGAAGATAAATAGTTCATCCCAGTTGCTTCGGTGATTTTCATTTTAGGAAAGGTTTGTCATTTTCAGTCAGCTTCAGACAAGGACTCGGCTTAAAAAACCTTTTTCAAAGTGACCACTGTTTTGGGCTGCATGAACATAAAACCCCTCCTCTTGGGGAAATGCTATCTTGTTTTCCTGGATATCGACTTTCTGATGATCCGTGGATACAGAAAAGGAGACGTGTAAAAAAATCACATGCAGGGATTGACCATTGAAGTCAATCAGAAATAATGCAAATGCAAAGCTGTGTGTCTTGCCCATTTACGGGCAATACCAGGCTGGAGAATACCACAGTAGCTCTAGTGAATAACAGGGGATGCCCCCTCCCCATGCTGGTAGCAGGAGGTTCACTCCTTAGGTCTGTATTACTTCTCGGCTGCCCCTTAAACCCTAAACAAGAAATCACTTCTGTCTGTAATGTCTAGGGTAAATAAGGCTAAGCAAAATTATAAATTAAATGTATTTTATTCTCTATCTTTTCAGCCTGCTTAGAATTCATAGTCTTTTCTGTTTCAAACCATTCTTTTTTTGTTCTCCCCACCTATACCTTCTATAGTCCAATGGTTCTCCCCCAACCACCCTCGGCTTTTTTTTTTTTTTTTCAATAGGAGCCAGTACATCTCTATGTGAATTTAAATCACGTGTTATTATTGTGGTCCTTATATTTGAGGCCTTTTCTATAAATGTGGAATGTTAAGCATCAGGAAGCAAATGGCAGTAGGTATTTGAGGGCAGGAGTTTACTCTGTGCCTGTAAAAATCACTCCAAGAAAAGGCAGAGATGGGTGGCCTGCCCAGGTCACTAAGGTCTGGGAGGCCAAAGCTACTCCTGTACAAATGCTGCATGTGGTGTGGTAAAGACCTGAATTGCTGCCCCACTTACTCAGAGTCACCATTGCTTTCTCCAGAATAGATAATGAAAACCAAAGAAGATTTATGTCCAGAGACACATTAGCAATAGTCTATAGACCAAGAAGCCCCTTGCTCCTCCTTCGACATAACTAATTTTGAGTAATAGAAAATAAATCTGGGTCACTTTTTTGTAGCTGTAAATCCAGCCTTAGTAATACTGACCTCCATTAACATAGCTAGTATTTCAAATTCCACTGTAACAGTTGCTCTGACTCTTTGGGGGCTGGGAGGCAATCCAAGTAGCCAGAGAAGCAATTGTTTCACATGCTTCAATCCTGCCACTCCAGAAAAAATATAAGGGGGACTAGGGCAAAAGAAAATCTCTTATTTGTTTTCCATTTCTCATTTCTCGTATCTTTATTGCTTCTCTCTCATCCTTAACCTGTATCTCCCTTCAGCTGATGCCTGATTACCTTCTACCATGTTCAACATTATGATCAGTCACCTACTATGTGCCAGGAAGTGTGCAGTGTGTGAGGATACCAGACCCTACCTACTGGGAGCTTACAGTCTAGCTCAACAGGCACATCATTAAATAAGCAATTGCAGCAATTATATTAAGTGCTGGGCCAAGGGAGGTACCAGAAGTCATAAGAATCCCTCCTCTGAGGGGATAGAAGTGAAGACTTCAGAGGGGAAGTAATGATTCTGGATGTGTAGGACTCAGCCAGGTGAAGTGTAAAAGTAAGGATGGAGGAGAGTGTTCTAAAAGAGGGAACAACATAATCAAAGTTCTGGACAGGAGAGAGATTTGACATATTTGAGGAAGTGAAAATTTTATCTAGAAACTTGCAATGAGTAAGTAAACACCAGGTCAAGAGGAACTGAGAGATTGGCAGACAATGGAAAACCATTGAAAAGGATTAAACTGGGAAGTGATATGTTCTCTTTTGCATTTAAAAAGATCACCAATGGGGATATGGAGAATGGTCTGGATAGGTCTTAAGACTAGAGCCAGGAAGACATGTTAGAAGGCTATCAATTGACCCTAAAGACACTGCTTCAATCCCTTTGATGACAGTGAGTTTGCTTTCCCCAGAGATAGCTTATTGGACCTCAGGACTGCTGTGAGAAACAGAAAATGCTCCTTTACGTGTTGCCTGAAGTTAGGCTCACTGATTTGGGGCATGTTCTAATTCTACCAGCTAGGAACACACAGAATCGCTTGTCAAACATTCTGAGTCAGATATGTCCTCCCTATGTCTTTTCTGAGAAAGGCATACAGAAATTCCCAGCTAAACATCACCAGTTCCCTCATTTGTTCCTCAGATGATATGGTCCATTCAAGTTTTGTAATCATCATGGGGGTAGATGGAGGGTCCCAGTCCTCACAACCATTCTGGTAATTTACTCTTGAATTTACTGGTTCACATGTATCTATTTTGTAGTGTGGCTCCTGAAACTGAAAAACCTACCCCAGGTATTCTGTGAACAGACAGAGTAGAGAGTCTGTCACTGCCCACGGAGAGATGATTAGGCTTCCGGGAAAAGGTGAGAACACTGGCAAAGTTCCGGAAGGAGGAACAATATCCCTTCTTCCCTTCTTCATGAGTCGTACCATCCCTTACTTTTGGCTGGTCACATAACCACCCAAAATAAGGGCTACATTTTCCAGCCACTCTAGCAGCTAGGGGTGACAGAGTGACTAAGATTTACCTGGAAGTATCGTGTGTGACTTCTGGGAAGGGTCCTTAAAGAGAGGGGTAGTCCTGGCTGGGTGCGGTGGCTCACGTCTGTAATCCCAGCACTTTGGGAGGCCGAGGCAGGCGGATCACAAGGTCAGGAGTTCAAGACCAGCCTGGCCAAGATGCTGAAACCCCATCTCTAATAAAAATACAAAAAAATTAGCCGGGCATGCTGGCGGGCGCCTGTAATCCCAGCTACTTAGGAGGCTGAGATGGAGAATTGCTTGAACTTGGGAGGCAGAGTTTGCAGTGGGCCAAAATGGCGCCACTGCACTCCAGCCTGGGCAACAGAGCAAGCCTCCGTCTCAAAAAAAAAAAAAAAAAAAAAAAAAAGAGAGGGGTAGTCCTTGTTGCTGTTGCTGCAGGTATTTTCTCCTTCTTCCCAGCTGGACCACTAGCAGCCATCTTGTCCGTGACAGGGAAGCCCCATGATAAGGTGGGCAGAACCGCAGAAGAGACGGAACGTGGATCCCTGATACTGTTAAGTGTCTCCCTCCTGGTTTACCTACTCTGGGACTTCTTTTACAAGAGACAGAAAAAAAATTTATGTATTTTAACCTACTATTATTTTGCATTTTCTATCACTCACAGCCAAATGCAAATCTGATTGATATACCTTCCATGTTTCAGATAATTTTTTTTTTTTTTTTGAGCAAGTGATGACACAGATGAGTATTTCTTTGTCCATTCTGTAGAATGTGTCCTGGGAATGTGTGCGGGCTATGGCGGTTCTATTGTTTGGGGAAACTCTTTGTCAGTACTTCTGTCTGAGGTTTTACCACGCCCCTCCTATTTTAGGTTTCCACATCCAATAAATACCGTGATGTACGCAGTCTCGCTAAATCTAACTCTGCTTAGTCGAAAAGGTTTCTGTTGACTCATGTGAATATGCATCAGAGGAAAACAGTGACAACATTAATTGGCAGAAAGCCAAACCTACCCAAAAGTTTCCGCATTTTCTATAAATGATGAACAAAATAATGAATGGAAAAGTCCCTCTATATTTTATCAATTTGGACGAATGCCAAAATGCAGATCAATCATTTCATTAAGTACATTCACCTTCTCGCTCCACTGGGAAGGGAATCACTTAACAGCATAAAGAAAACATTACTGAAAATTATCTCTAGTGTGATAAGGAGGGGGAGGGTGGCCAGGAATCAACTCAGGTAAATTAAGAAATAAAAGTGTGACTACTTTAGTATCAGAGGAATTTAGTTATATTATTATCACCTTTGGAACACAGTAAGAACCTTAGTCCGAACAGATGAAAGATTAGCCACAATAAAAATGTAAACATGACCCTAATTAATGATTTTGCTCACAATTAGTCTCTCTGTATATACTCATTAACACTCTTAATGTTCTAGATAACTTTAACATCCCTTGGTCAGGAGAAGCCATGGCTGAGCTCTGCATGGCCCAGCTGCAAAACAGATATCATCTGTAGCTTGGATTTGCTGAGATTCCATGTCCATTTCTTGAGTCAGATCTCAGAGTAAACACAATTCTTCTAACAAGCTATTAGTGAGACTTCATTCTTTTTCTTCTGTTTCTCTTTGAGGAATGAATGGAATCTCTCCTGGGACCTATCCTGTGCCTAAGAGCAAAACAAGCACAAAAGTTCCCACATTTGGTAAACTAAGAGCCTGACAGATTTCATCAGAGAAAGATGTACTAAGTTAGTGTGTCCCTCACAGCAACCCTCCTGCATTTTAATTATTTCCTTCAGGTCATGGCTATGCCTCAATCCACCATGTCTTCCTGCTGACTTCTCAGGAGCTTCTGGACTTTGACAAGTTAACATCTGTAATAGTGCAAAGCATGTGTATTTGGTGGAGGGTGGTGGGGGGATACGGGTGGAGAAATGTTGAAATAGCTTTAAGGATCTGACTAAAAAGGGCCACTTCAGGAGAGGGAGCACCAGAAGCAAGGCAATCAGAGGGCAATGGTACCATCTCTTAATCACATACCATGAACCAAGAGGTGACAATGAGAGGGGAAAAATAGTAAAGACAATTCTATATAACAAAAACAACCAGGATGATAAGCTTTATTTCTGAATTTCTTTGGTTTTATGTTTTGAAAGCAATATTTCATAAGATTACAATGACATTTAACTCTTGGGGGAAAAAAAAGCTTCTGTTTTTTAATAAAAAAGAAAAAAAAGTCTCATTTACTTAGGCCACGAAATCTGAAATACATTGTAAGGGATCTTCATGGACAGATCAGAGCAATAGATATTTAGGTAGTTCCATATAACTACTTACCATAATTACTTGAACCTACTTGATGGATAGATCTATAAAACATTTCTACTATGTAGACTCAAATATTTACAAAGGGAAGTGAATCTCTGGGTATTCAAGAAGAAAAGGAGAAAGAGTAGGAGAGAGTAAGGGGAGGAGGAAAGGGAAGAAGAGAAGGATGTTTAATTGCCTAAAAGGACCGTTCCCTCCCCAATTATAACAGCATTTTGCCATGTACAATTCCATCATAGGCTCTGGGTGCTTTAGAAGTCTATTTAGATTAAGAAACAATTACGCTTAGTTTGGAGTTTTGTTCAATATGTTTCAAATTCTGAGACCACTAGGACTATTCCACATGAATGGCTTATATCAAGGACCTATTTGTAGACAAAAAAGTAAAAGGATTTGTGAATATATCAAAATGTCTATGAGTATAAAAGCTTAGACCAAGTGGAGTCATATGAAGACCTAAGAAAAGGATTTTAAAAGTCTCAAATGGGGCGGGGTGTGGTGGCTCATGCCTGTAATCCCAGCACTTTGGGAGGCCAAGGCAGGCGGATCACGAGGTCAGGAGATCGAGACCATCCTGGCTAACACGGTGAAACCCCGTCTCTACTAAAAATACAAAAAATTAGCCCAGCGTGGTGGCGGGCACCTGTAGTCCCAGCTACTTGTGAGGCTGAGGCAGGAGAGTGGCGTGAACCTGGGAGGTGGAGGTTGCAGTGAGCCAATATCATGCCACCACACTCCAGCCTGAGCGACAGAGAGAGACTCCATCTCAAAAAAAAAAAGTCTCTAATGGAAGTATAGTACCATGAAGGCCTCATGTTAATCACACACAGGAGGAAAAAGAGTCTATTTTCTACCATTGTGGATGAAGTAGAAAAAATCATGTAAGAATTGATTATGTTTCGGCCGGGCATGGTGGCTCGCGCCTGTAATCCCAGCACTTTGGGAGGCCGAGGCAGGCGCATCATGAGGTCAGGAGATCAAGACTATCCTGGCTAACACGGTGAAACCCTGTCTCTACTAAAAATACAAAAAAAAAAAAAAAAAAAAAAAATTAGCCGGGGGTGGTGGCGGGCGCCTGTAGTCCCAGCTACTCAGGAGGCTGAGGCAGGAGAATGGTGTGAACCCGGGAGGTGGAGATTGCAGCGAGCCGAGATCTCACCACTGCACTCCAGCCTGGGTGACAGAGCAAGACTCCATCTCAAAAAAAAAAAAAAAAAATTGATTATGTTTCAGCAGTTTTATTGGAGTAACCAAGTCTACATGAAAGGCAAAGCATGGTCACCAGTTATGGAATCCCAGGTAGGATCAGGAATGCGTTAGGAAAGTGCTAATTGCTTCAATATAATTCTTCAAAGCCTGCAAAAATCAGGGATTAGGAGAATGAAGGTTAGTAAAGCTTGCTTTGGGTAAAGATGTGATGTGAAAGAAAAGCCATAGAGATAGGATCCATTAAGTAACTATGCTGTGTTCCAGATGAAATTTTTTTTTTTTTTTGAAACGGATTTTCGCTCTTGTCACCCAGGCTGGAGTGCAATGGCACGATCTTGGCTCACTGCAACCTCCACCTCCCGGGTTCAAGCGATTCTCCTGTCCTTAGCCTCCCGAGTAGCTGGGATTACAGGCACATGCCACCACGCCTGGCTAATTTTGTATTTTTGGTAGAGACAGGGTTTCACCACGTTGGCCAGGCTGGTCTCGAATTGCTGACCTCAGGTGATCTATCCGCCTCGGCCTCCCAAAGTGCTCAGATTACAGGTATGAGCCATCACGTCTAGCCTCAGATGATATTTTTTACCTATAGAATGTGAGCTCCCAAAGGAAACACCTAGTAAAGTTTTGAACACAGTAACAAGGCAATAAATATGTTGAAAAAAAGGAATCTAAATTGCCTTTTAAAATCATTTATGAATGACAGCACAGCAATTGCAAATGTAACATATCAGGCTACAATAATATAACCAAGCCTCCATATATTCATTTAATCAACAAATACCTATTGAATACCTTATAGATGCCAGGCTGTGTTTTAGGCACTGGGCATTCAGACATATGCAAAACAGAAAAAGTTGCTGACTTCATGGTGTTTACACATCAGTGACAAAGGCACAGCATATCTGGACAATTACCTGAATTAATATGTTTAACATTCTCTAAAGAACAGATATTTTAATGATTTTTCAAATAATTGCACCATGAATACACCAATTGACTAGGTATTTCACTTCCTTAAGAATTGCTGGCTCTGGAAAAGAATGCAACAAGTCCTATCAGATTATGCCTTAAAAATGTGCAAAATGTTTGTTGTCAGATCTGGCTGTACATTTATTAAGCTGTATTCATAATTAACAAATTTTATTTAGTTTTTTTAGATATAAGTCAGCCGGCAAGCTGCTAGGAGCAAGCCTTTACAAAAAAAAGTAAAAGAAAAACATAGTATCCTTTCTCTTGAGGCACTTATATTCTAATGCAAGAAGTCGCAAGTCACAGAGAAATACACTTAAACACAAATGACCAAACATGAACATACTTACTAATTCAAATGCAAAATACATATATGGTGTAGAAACGGAAATGAATCTGTAACATACTTTGGAATGAGTGAATCAGTGCAGGTCAGCCATGCATGAAAATATTTAGCCTACCCAAGGATCTATTTGTTAAATGTTTTCAAAAAATTCAGTGCGGTTATTCTCAATAATATGAGTGCAAAAACACATTTTAAACAGAAATCTTTCTCCTTTCTAATCTACTGTATTAGTGAGTGCTCTCACAGGAAATAGATGGTGCACTTGACTTAGGATAATTCATGAAGGGGTTAAGGACTAATTATCCAGGTGTAAATAGGGTGTGGGGGAATCTCCAGGGATACAGCGGGAACCCAGGGCTAACTACAGAGATGCTGTCAGCATCCCTAGGCCTGAAGGACTGAGGGAGGGAGAGGTTTCTGGAACTGAGGAGAGAGAGTCCTGTGGGGCAGGCTGCCTTGAAAGGAAGCATGGGCCTTCTGACCAGCAGGGACAAAAGGGTGTAGGTGCACTTGGAGGGGCAAATGGAAGACATGTGACATGCACCACATATACTATTGCCCACCCAAGTTAATTAAATAGTCATTCAATATTTATTGAGCACCTACTACGCGCCAACCCCTGTACTATGGAAGGACGCTAAAAGAAGAGTAGGTCATTGTGTCTGCCCTCAATAATTCAGAGCCTAGCGTAGATGACAGACTTACAAACAGACTAAGTAATGTGCATTGATTCAGGCAAGTTCTGTAACAGAAATTTGCAAAAGTGTTGTGAAAACAAAGAGGGTTGAGAAAGAGCTATCCTTTGGAAAGGGACATTACTAGGGAATTGCTGACACACAGCCTTTACCAGTAAGATCAGGTTAATTGTATTCAAGATAATAAAGAGGTCACTGATTTATGGGCCTATAATTCTGATATATTTACATAGATAAAAGCATATGCATTAAGAGGTCTCACCAAAGACTCCAAGAGTTTTTGTTTTTGTTTTTTTAAACCACAATTTATATCAGAAATAGCGCATTGCAGTCACATTATGTTGAAGGAATCTGCTTAAGTTCATACAGCCACTTAGTAGCAGAGAGAGAGGACAAGGACTCAGGTTTCCTGGCTTTCTGCCAAGGTGAATCTTGAAGGTGTAACATGTTTTCGATGTAATTTTAGGTGCACCTAAATTAAATTAGTTGCCTTTCTCCTCTCATCATTGCTCTACTACATTTCATTTCTCTTTATCCTTCATTCTTATTACATTGATCGGAGGGCCTCTTGAAATTGGCATCAGTGAACTTCTTAAGAATCGAAAGCTCAGAGTCCTATATCTGTTGCTTAGCAGTAAATTTCAGTAATGTGTTTTTCACTTTACTTTGTGGTAGCCTGTACTTTCCTGGCGTAATTTCTTTTCATATAATGTGTGAATTTTACAGTATGATGTCAACATGGTGAAATGCATAACCATATGGTTGCCACATAATTGAATGCTCCAGTCTGTTAATTGTGCTTTGAGCAATTACTGTAGTGACCTAATTGTTGCCATTCCTTGTTTTGTTAGTAACAATTATTCAGTCTACTTGAATGCAGCAAACTTACCAATATATTCATTTACTCATTTCTACAAGACTGTGAGTGAACTCCCAGGGACCATCCCCGGGCCTTAACATGATGCCTGGTATATTGCAGATGCTCTATACTTGTTTAATCATCCAACATGCATTTAGCATCATGCATTTAGCATCTAATGTCTAACACATTTCAGGCACTGCACTTGGGGTACAAATATAAATATGACATAGTCACTGCCTTCAAGAGGCTCGGGCTAAGTTTAATTCAATTTTACTGTTTTTTAGGCAGACCAGTACTGTGTGGTAAAACAGCAGGCTTGTGAAGGGACACCTTCAAACATGATAATGAGAGCAGTTGTATGATTCATGTTGCTTAAACTAGAGCCTATGTAGCTCACAGGCTGAATTGACTTGGCAAGCAAAATAATTGCTCTTGCAGTAGCCCAAATGTCGCTGCTTCTGATGAGCTGCCTTCTGCTCTTCTAACTGATGGGACTGATGGCTGGAGGTTGCCTGGCCATCGGAACCCTTTTCTTTTCTTTCCTCTCAAAGGTCAAAGATGTGTCTTCCTTCATCCATCCCTACCTTCTTTGTTGCTCCTTTGGAAAGATTCCCGTCTGGCTTACAGCTAATACAGTTGAGCATTGAGGTTTGTTTCTGCACTTTGTTTTCAAACTTTCAGGTGTTTTGCTCATGTTGTCCATGCAAATTTTTACACGTTTAAGAAGAAACAAAGTTTACTTTTGTGCCTAAGGAAAAACTGATGTCTTTGGTAAAAATGATGCCTTATATGAACTTTCTGGTTCTAAAAGCTTTCTTAATTTCAGTTTTGATTGACTCTTTTTTTTTTTTAATTATTGAGAAGGTTAAGCAATAGAAGTTTTTATGTGTTATCTAGAAATAATTCCTTGATCTTTTCAAAATGCTTTGTGAACATGGAAAATAAGTATAGCTTATATGTTATCAAAAATGAGTTTCTTTATGCAACATGAATATTTGGGGTGAGTATCAGTAATACAAGAGAAAGTAAACAATTCTGCTGAAAAGTGTTTATAATTGCAGAGATATTGAAATTGCCGGATAGGCGGGTGCGGTGGCTCATGCCTGTAATCCCAGCACTTTGGGAGGCCGAGGCGGGCAGATCACGAAGTCAGGAGTTTGAGACCAGCCTGACCAACATGGTAAAACCCTATCTCTACTAAAAATATAAAACAAAATTAGCCAGGCATGGTTGTGTACCTGTAATCCTAGCCACTCAGGAGCCTGAGGCAGGAGAATCGCTTGAACCCAGGAGGCGGAGGTTGCAGTGAGCCGAGATTGTACGACTGCACTGCAGCCTGGGTGAAAGAGCGAGACTCCATCTCAAAAAAATAGAAATTGCCAGAATGGCTGCCAGTGAGTAAAGGTTCATCAGGAAACCCATTTCATTTTGTGCTTTTCAGACCTAAAGTAAAAGAGTACAGATGTTTTCTTCTTTTATTCTTGTCTGCAAAGTCCACACATAAAGTCAACTATGTGAGAAAATAAAAGCTGCTTTGGTTATGGATTTTGGAGCAGCCCTGCAACTCCATATTATTATTTATCAAATACTTTGGAAATTTCTGGAAAAATAGAGGTATGAAAAGGAGCACCGGGAAAACAAATGGTTTTAGAAGAATCTTTTAAAAATATCATGTTTGGTAAATAAAAAACAAAAGTTATATAGACCACGATGAAGTGTTACCAGCATAAAAAAGGGGCAGGGAAATATCATCGCCCAACCTCCTGCAAAAACGCAGTAAATTTAAACCATAACATTCTTTCAAGGTAACTTAAGGAAAGATGTTAAGTCTGCTTCCCTTTTTGTTTTCATACAAGAGATTTAGTCTGCCCTCTATAAAAGGACTTGTTTTCTTGTAACTGCACCAGTTAGACTTCTCTATTGTAATCTGGAAATCTATGGCTTTGGGGTCCTCCAAGCATAGCTTTTTGTTGTGTGCTCTTTCTGCTGGGCAACACTGTGCTGCAAAGGATGTCATTTTAATTATTCACTGGCCCATCTTTTAAGCCTCTTAAAGGTTATAGGGCAAATTCTGTCTAAACACTCAGTAAAAGTCAAGGTAAGGTACCATCTTAGATCCAATTCCCCAAATTAGTTGGTAAATTGTGGTCTCTTTAATGATATTGCTTCATCCTTCAATGAAGTTGATTATAAACAAATTGCAGCCAGCAGCCAAACTCAACACAGATTATGTGCAACTACATAACTGCCTGCCTGGGGCGGCCTCTTTTACCTATGCACATCTTAGGTGAGACTGTGTTCTGGCATGCAGGGCAATAAAACCCAGGCCCTCTGCTGCTCTGCCTGTGAGATAGTGTGGTTGCCTCAGGATATGCCAACACAGTCAAAAGAAAAACAGAGGTGAAATCCACTTTACCGTATGGAGTATAACTGCTGTCCCTTAAAAATTGTCCAGGCAGTATATGCATGGCTGTGAGTAAACCAGTGATGATTACAAAATACAACAGATATCACACCAACTAATCCAAGGGCTCTGCATCTTGCCATTATCGAATAAAGAAGGCACTTTCAAGGCTTTACTGTTTTTAAGATCTATATCCTGGCTTGTGTAAACATATACGGTCATCACTAAATAGATGCCTCTCTGTTACAGAGCCAACAAAGAACTTTTTTTTAAGCCCTCACTTCCTCTCCAGGAAATGGTGTATATTCAGAGAGGAAGCTGTCTTCCTGTTTTCTCCATACTAACACACTTGCTGGGTTTTTTTCTAAGCTCCCAAACTCAGAGTCTCCATCATATGGAACAAACTCTTCTTAGCAACAGGCCACATTTTTTGCTGCAGTGATTTTAAAAAAGATTTATTTTCTGTAAGTCATAAAAAGTATTATTAGTCTAATTTTTCATCTACTGTATTCTCAAGTACTATGTCCCCTCCCAAACTCTATCTTATTCAGCCTATAATAAGGGCATTAGACTCCTCCAATGGGGTTATTCTGTCAAAATTCTTAGCAAAATACATCACCTCCTAGCTTCCCAATTACAAAAGCAACTTGACAGGGCACCTGCTTTTTATTATTTCAGTGTTGTGAGATACAAACCCAGTGTGCCTGGCACCCAAGAATGAAATATAATTCAAGAACGTTTTGTACATTCTGCTCTAATGTTTTAGCATTTCAGCATTGATTTCTGGGACTATTAAAAAAGAACCATTTGGAAACAAACAGAAGTATTTTTCTTTAGTTGTTACAGTCACTTGAGGAACTCTTGTTTCATTTATTTCATGTAGAGATACTTGAAGTAATAAAGTTCAGGTAAACCTGAGAATTAAGGCAGGGCTAACCCTGGATGATATATTAAATGAGATGAATTTTGAGTTTGTTAACTTACTAGTTTATTAATTCTGGTAATATGACAAAATAAAGTTCTTTAACACCCCCCAAAGATAACACTAGTTCACCAGCAATGGATCCAAACCAAGACAAAATCTCTGAATTGCCAGAAAAAGAACTCAGAAGGTCAATTATTAAGCTAATCAAGGAGGCACCAGGGAAAGGTGAAGTCCAACTTAAAGAAATTAAAAAAAAATCATACAGGATATGAATGGAAAAATCTTCAGTGAAATAGACAGCATAAATAAAAACCAATAACAACTTCTGGAAATGAAGGACACATTTAGAGAAATGTAACTTACCAGTTTGTTAACAACTCGATGTGTCAGTTATCTGTTAAGAGTTTTCAAAATGTGGTCCAGAAGACCTCCTGCATCAGAATCATCAAAGTGCTTGTTAAAATGCAGTTTCTCAGTCTCCTTCCAGAATGATCAAATCAGAATCTATGAAGTACCCCTAAGAATTTGCATTTTTGTCATCTTCCCAGTTTGATTACTTAAGTGTGTGACAAAAGACATAAGGGGTTAGTGCTCCCAGGGATATTTACTTGTTCACAGAGAGCAACCAAAGACTTGAAAACTTTGAAAACCTGTAACTTTTTTTGGGTGGGGGGTGGGGGGGCAGTCTTTTGGGACAAGGGTACCTTCTTCACATCCCTCAAATTTTATAATAAAAGCAGCTCCATCTTCATCTACTTATGCATTGGACTCTAGGGATCAAATATCAAGAAAGGCTGGGTGCAGTGGCTCACGCCTGTAATCTCAGCACTTTAGGAGGCCGAGGTAGGTGGATCACTTGAGGTCAGGAGTTCGAGACCAGACTGGCCAACCTGGTAAAAACCTGTCTCTACTGAGGCAGAAGAATCGCTTGAACCTGGGAGACGGAGGTTGCAGTGAGCGGAGATTGGCGCCACTGCACTCCAGCCTGGGTGACAGAGTGAAATTCCATCTCTAAAACAAACAAACAAACAAACAAACAAACAAAAAAGCAAAGTATCAAGAAAAAAATAATTGTATTCTTTATTGGTATCCTGTAACATACTGTATTGGGCAGATATTCTGAAGATAATTAACCTGG
Source organism: Homo sapiens (assembly GCF_000001405.40). NCBI lineage: Eukaryota > Metazoa > Chordata > Mammalia > Primates > Hominidae > Homo > Homo sapiens. Next base: position 96,209,702 of record NC_000011.10, read on the forward strand.
GCATTATAAAATCTGTAGGCTCCTTTAATTGTAATTATTTTGAGTGCATTTCCACTTTAACAGTGCCACGAAACTATCGATTATTTTGTAAATTACCCTCCAGCAGGAAAAGAAAGAAGAAATACAGTTTAATTTCTTATATCAAGCAATAGACCTCAATATCTCCCACTATGCATGGAATAGTTAAGAATAGTTTAATAATATATTAGTGGTCATTTCTGGAGGCATACTTTACGGTGAATGTTCAAAATTTTGATAGAAAAGCAGACTTTAAAACAAACTGAAGTGGTGGATTTAGACAATCAGTAGTTAACAATACCTAACTTCAAAGATTCTCAGTTAATTTTGCTTTTCTTTTGTTCTCAATAATGACTACAAAATGTGCCTTACCATTTTATTTTATTTTATTTTTATTATTTTTTAAGACGGAGTCTCACTCTGTCGCCCAGTTTGGAGTGAGTGCAGTGGCACAATTTTGGCTCACTGCAATCTCCACCTCCTGAGTTCAAGCGATTCTCCTGCCTCAGCCTCTCAAATAGCTGGGATTACAGGCACCCGACACCACGCCTGGCTAATTTTTGTATTTTTGTAGAGATGGGGTTTCACCATGTTGGCCAGGCTGGTCTGGAACTCCTGACCTCAGGTGATCTGCCCACCTCGGCCTCCCAAAGTGCTGGGATTACAGGCATGAGCCACTGTGCCCACCTGCCTTATCATTTTAGATATGTCCAAAACACAGTTTATAGAAATTTACCAAATGATTTATCAGTTACTTACTAATTAGTATAGAATTGAGATACCTAAAAGGTATTCATTCATTTAATATAGAACAACACATCAGATCTATGTTCAAACAGCTCTAAAACTTGTTAAGTCCTCTGACAAGTCAATCACTCTTTCTAAGAATTATTTACTCATCTGGAAAACAGGAGTAACAAGAGGAACTGTGTCAAAGAGATATTGGGGGGATTAAATTATGCATATGATGTACTTAGCACAGCACCTAGCATAGAGCATAGAGTAAGTGCCCAATAAATGTTACTATAAATATTATTAATATTTTCTTATCTCTAAGCATAGTGTTCAACAATTAACTGCATACCATGATACTTTTATAAAACCAATATATAGATATATTGTTCAACTTTTCACACTATTTTACTCTATAGCATATGTGAATATAATTGTTAATTATAAATTCCAAAATTTGAAATTCCTTTGTCTCTTCCTTTTCTGTGGCTTCATATATGCACTACTTCCATAAACTACATGTGAAGCTGACATTTTTCTGTCCATTTATTGGACTACATTTAGATTTATATCCTTACCTATCTTTGGATTTTATATAATAATCAGAAATTTGGAGTCAGATTACCTTATGTATAATGGTTAACTTTTAAAGAAATTTAAGTGGATTAAAGTTAAATAAACTTTAGAGAAACCTAAAAGTCACAGAAGCCTTAAAGGTACATACATATTTTTAAAATCCTAATTTTACACTGTTAGCATCTTGATGTGATATCAACACCATTTATGAAGACACTCTTTGTTAATTAGTTTATGGGGTGTTAGGTGAATTATTCAGTAAATGGTTATCAAAAATCAAATATTTAACTATAAACATTGAATGATAAACAATATTCCTCTGATCTTAATAATTGTCGTAAGTACATTACTTCAACAACTATTTACTGAATTCCTTTTGAGTGGAAGACATTGTCCAATGTGATAGGGTCTTTGAAATTAAAAAAAAAAAAAAAGAAAAGCCTGTTATCCAATTTGATGAGCTCAAAGTCTGTTGGGTGAGACAGATGTAAAAAGATATCATAATATAAAAATAAGAATGAAATACTGACTTGCAGGGGCCCAAGGGGTAGTTGTAAGAGAAGGGAAGATCAGAGGTATGGGGGCGTCTTTGAGGATGTCACACATCTGATGTCAGGCAAGTACTTGAGGAAATGTGACAAGTTTATTGTAAATGAATCACAGGGGCCCACAGGGTACCTAGTGGAGCAGATGGAAAGGGGTTGGAGCTCTAATCCTGGAAATTGCTAATATATTACAATAGTTTGGATTCGTCTTTAAGCACTAGTTGAGGATCTAACATTTTTCCTAATAGAAGATCAACAAAGATAAAATTCAGTTTTGAAAGTTATCTGTGGCAGAATACAGAGGGAAGATTAGATAGAATGGAGAGAACTAGGCCACAGAGAAAAGTTAGGAAGCTATGGTGAAAAAAGATGAGTGCTGAACTGACGCAACTGTATCAGTAAAATAGGAAAGCGATGTGCTGGGTTCAAGAGATATTTCAAGATAAAATAAAAATGATTTGAAAACTGGATAGATATGGAACTTGGGCAAGGAGCTGAGAATGCTTGATTAATTTAGGCTATAAAAGGAAGACAAAGTGTGTGTGTGTGTGTGTGTGTGTGTGTGTGTGTGTGTGTGTGGAAGGGGGACTCGTAATCTCATTTGTGGATACAATTTTTGAAGTACCTGTGGGAAACAGGCAGAGATATTCAAGAGGCAATGAGATCTGGCAGTTAAGTGAGAAAGTTAAGTTAAAGATAATGGATTTAGGAGCCAGTGTCAGATAGATGGTAACTGAGGACACAAGAGTGTCTGCGATCACCGAGAAGAGCAGGCAGAATCAAAGACAGACAAGGACAGATCCTAAAGAATGTAACACATTTAAGGGTTTACCCAGGAAGAGGATCCAGCAAAGAAGGAGCAAGTAGAGCAGAGAGAAGCAAGAGGCAATCTGGAAGGCAAAGTAATGGCAAAAACTGCAATGACTTATGCACCAACTTAATAGTAGAGAAGATTTTTTAGGAAGCAGAGATTGTCATCATCTTATCAGTCAGCAGCAGTGGGTGAGCCTCCTCTCAAGAGACAAGGCTGCTAACAAGGAGTTAATTCACTGTCACCACCCTTTCACAATCTCTAGTAGAAGTGCTAGCAGAAAGAAAATAGTCCCATGATAGAGACGGCAGAAGAGAGAAAGAAGGAACAAGACGTTTAGATAACTCATAAATGAGTCATCAGTCCATAAACAAGAAAAAGTCAGCAATGTGACCATTCCTTCTGACATAAAGGAGCAAGAAGACCTCTCAATTAAAAAGAAGTCTTCCTAAGAATTGAGGCAACATGGTAATTTAAGCAACATTGAATCTCTGCAGGCAAATTGCTTGGTATAACTCAAAAATTATTGATGAATGAACTTGGGTAAGACACTCTACCAGCCAGGGCCTCGGTTTCCTCATCTTACAATTAGGAGGAATGGGTAACATAAACTCTATGAGCCTTTTCAACTCAAGCATACCAAGAGCCCATCTGGTCCTCACAAGTATCATATGTGGTAGGAACTATTTTTAGCCTATTTTACAGGTGAGGTGACCAAGATACAGAGAGTTTAGAAAACTGACCCACACAGGAAAAGAGTAGAAAAGCTAAGTTTTGAATTTGGGGCTTTCTGACTACAAAGCCCATGTGCTACAGGACCCCATTGGAGCTCTTAGAACTTTCAAAGTACTTCAGCATTCTTCCTATTTTAAAAATGTGAGGCTATGAGGGAATATGGATAGGTATTGCTACCTGCACAACAGGTAAAGAAACTGGGAATTTACCTACAACTATACGCCCAGTAATGGAGAGCCCTAATTCAGGTCTCCTAATTCTACTCTACTTTATGATCTTTTAAAGACCAGTAATTACATTACATTAACAAACACTAACCTTGAGACCAAATTTAACATCTTGGAAAGAAACCACTGTTACTCTTATAACTGTATAAAATATCCTTTCTTTCTAGAAATCATAGCATCCCATATGGAAGTAAACTATCTGAGATTCTGCCTTAAGAAGTGTAGATGGCAGTTTAAGTATAGCCCTCTAAAAAGTAGCAGCTTTTCCTACATCATCTTACTAGTTAATCTTCCTGGGAACGGGCTGATATTTACTCATCCCAGGAGACCACTGAATTGTCTGGACTCCAAAAGATACCAAGGATAAGGTTTTAAGTTCCCCACCATTAGTCATCACTTGGAGAAAAGTGACAGAGCTCTTTACAGATGCATTGCCTTGTCTTTGCCCTTAAAATTAACAATTTTCAATGAATTTAAATTAGGAAAAGTCAGTAAAGAGTGCCCTCCCTCCCTTAAAAGTGGTCGGTTCCCTGGGTAAGATGTGAAATACTTGGCAGTCTCCAGACGACAGGATCAGATAGGCTAACAATGAATTTGAGAGCTTGCAAAGAAAAGTTAGACAGAATGGATCAGGTTAAAGTGGACACAAATGCCCAACTACAAATTCTAATTATTTTCCTTCCCACTCTTGGAACAAAGAGACAATTGTAAAATATATTTTGTATGTATATATACACAAATATACATATACATATATACAAATAGTGAAAGTATCTCCTATTATTGATGCTCAGAATTTCTATGGAATATAATATATGTGCAGTTTTAACAGTTGAATAATAAAAAATGAATACTTCCTTAGAACTAGGATATAGCTAATTTCTAATATAGGTCTTTTGAGGCCATGCCTAGGTTATTCTGGTAAACTGATATTGTGGAGAAAACGTTTTTGAGTCACGAAATTCTGGATTCAAATCTTAGCACGTCCTCTTAGAGCTCTGTAGATCCAAGTTACGTAACTTTTCAGAGCTTCAGTTTTCAAAACATCTGTAAGATGGAGGAAAGAACACCAACTTTTGGGGGTTCTTATAAAGATTAAATGTGATAAAGAATGTAATCTCTCTAGAACCTTTAGTTCTCATTTCCTTTATTGCCTCCTATTCCTTTGGTGATCATGTACAACAAAATAGGAAACACTTGCTGATGTTGGTAAACCATGAACTCAACTCCAAAGCAGGAGGTTTAAATAACCAAGAAAACTCCAGGAACTGATGCCATTATTTTCCTAATGAGAAGCACTTATAGTCATGCGAAATACACCACACACTTACTTCTAGGTCATTGGCCAACATTTTTGTCCTGAGTGGCAGTGATTGGCTACTCACATTACCCTCTGAAAGCAGCTCTATTTTAGTAGAAGTTGTCAAGTAGCTGATGTATGCTGAAAACTATAGAAAGTCACCCTTTCCTCAAGTTCTTAATTGCATCCATTTGTTTAAAAATGCCAAAAATGCACATGCTCTGACCTTTCTGAGATTTGAACTCAGATCCAGTGAGGAAGTAGAGGCTGAGGATTAGGAAAGAACCATGTGTCTTTGGAAATTGGCCATGTGCCTCGTCTAGTTGACCTTGGATACTTGAGATTGGGTCCAGTGGTTCCCTCACTTTCTTTGCTTCACAAATTAAAAAGATCTAGCCCATAAGAGATGTCTGTGTGTCCATTTCTTGCACTAGGAATATGGGAAAGCTGCTTAAGAAACTGCTGCTTGCAGCTCATGAAATCATGAGTCATTTGTGTAGTAAAGTGAATTGGCCACTTACATTTGTACAAAGTTGAAAAGAGGGTGGGCTGGGGAATGGGGTAATTCCAACTCAGAAATAAATCATCTGAGTGGACTGTATGCCCCTTGAAATGCTGGGGCAGGTTGCTGGGTTCACAGAGAGCAGGTCCCCAGCACTGACATCCTTCCAAGTAACAAATCTTCATCAAGGCCTCACGACCTCTTTAACACCAGCATATAACACAGAAGATTTCAGATCATAGTGTGCTCTCTCTTCCACTTCCTGTTATTTTTAATTCTCTGCTTTGTTTCATGTTTTTAAAAGTCTTTACTAACACTTCTAGGGGCAGCTTCTGAATGAGACAGTGGCCAGTAATTTCTCTGACGAATACACATTGTTGTCCCCTCTTTGGGGCTGAGGAAATCCGAGGCAGGAAATGGTCAGTGGCTTGTTCAGTGTGGTGTAGAAAGGTAGAGACAGACCGACCTCATGAGCAGTTCACCGGTTAATTAAGCCCACTGAACCCTGCTGCCACCTGGAAATGGGTCCTGGGCTCGTTCCTGCACTTCCTCCTCCACACCTGCAGCTGGGCAGAGCCCAGCTGCAGCCACCCCCCTCGGGTGCTGGCTGCCACTGCTTTGGCTGGTTGTTCCCTCTCTTTAACCCATTTCTTTTCACTCTTGGACCTTTTATCCTTTTCAGTCAAATGATAGATCCAAGTCCAGAAATTACAGAACAACAGATTGGAACAACAAAGGCAATGAGAATGTCTTTCTAGCTTTCTAAACTTAGGCCCCCAAAGACTTCCAAACACATTTCAAAAAATTATTATCTAAAAGCACAGGGGAACAAGTTTAAGGCTGAGACATGTACTGCATATTTTGAGACAGAGTTACATACTCAATTTGCTTAAAAAAAAAATAGAGTATTTAGTATCATATTTGCAGAGTCACATGTCCCAGTCCACAGGAACTACACAAACTGTGTCTTCAGAAGTTGGTAGTTGGTAATCTCTTTTAGGCATGCTTAAACCAGAAGAAGAAGATGTAAAATTGGACACAGGAAAAAGATTCTCAGTGTTGCACAGAGGGAAGAACCAGGAAGATCTTAGCCTACTCCTCAACCTAAACCCTCCATTCATACTTGGCCTTTTCTTTTCAGTCTGTAGTTTGACTTTTCTGCCCTAAAGTCTATGGCCCTGATGAACTCCCAGGAAGAGGAAGCCACTGCTTTCTTCCATTTTAATGCCTCTCTTAAGTCCCACCTCAAATTTCACCTTTCTCATAAGGCTTTCCTCAATTCTTCCCAGAGAATTTTACTTCACTTCTCTTGATTGCACCAATTTTTATTGTTGGTACCATTAAATTTGTAGCTTTACATGTAGACATTTTGGAAGTTTTACATGGGTATGTCTGGTCCTGGTATTCTATTTATCCATACTGCCCCAGAGTGTCCAGGCCATGGTGCACTCCAGATTACTTGTAATAAAATGCTTATGGATCATTTAGGTATGCTGTGTATTACAGACACTCTGTTCTGAAAATGAAAAGCAGAAAGAGACTCAGTCCCTGTTCTCAGGAAGCGTGCAGCCCATTGAGAGAAGAAAGCAGGGAAGCAACTGATTAGAAGCCAACGTAATGTGTTTTCTCACAGAGGGTGTGAATTCAGGGCTGGAGCAACACGGTGCAGGGGCATCCAACTCTGGGTAGGACACTGGGGAGTAGAAGTCAGGGTGACTTTTGAATTGAGACTTGAAAAAGCAAAGGTTCACCAGGAGACAAAGGGCAGGGGTAATTCCACCAGGGGCAGGAGGAGGTGCACAAGCAAATAGGTATGTAAGAGGCCATGAAGCAAAGTATTCAGAGAATTAGGAATATGACTGGAGACCAGGGAGTGTGAGAGCAGGATGGTGGGGATGTGGAATGAAGAAGCAGACCAATATGTTCGAATTCAGTGGATGCATAAGCGCATCCAACATACTTTGCTCAGTGCTCATTACATGTTACACTGCTGTTCCTATTAAAGTATAACAAGTATTTGCTTAGCTATTTCACAATTGATCAATTTTTACTAGCTCCATGTCACTGGAAATATTTCCCTTGATCCTTGCAAATGCAGTGAAGGAAAGTGAGAATGCCACTCCTGTGCATTTACTAAAAGTAACTGCACAAGCGCAAATGCACTGTCCATCTAAATAACCAAAAATATAATAGGACATGGTGACTGTCACTCCACGGTGCTGTTGATACAGTTCACACAGCACTAGATGCTGCCCTGCACTGTTTCCACTTATAGCGTGGTATGTCAGTAGACTCTATGAGACACCATATTTAGATTCCATGCTTCAATCCAGAGAACACTGTCCACCGATAATTTATTCGAGCATCTTCCTTGACTGTGTTATCTGTGTTTTTGCTCTATGGTTTCCTATTTTACAGACCCAACCTTTAAGTCCTTCTCTCTTTTTGACAGTAGAAAAGAATAAGACAGGACAGAGAAGCTTGTAGGAGTAGGTGAAGGTGAATAATGGTTGGCAACTTTCTAGTTGATCATATACCTGAGAATACATTACCCTGATGGAGTGAACGCCTTTTGAAACCACAGCTTCGTTCAGATATGTTATTAGTATTAGATTTTACTATGTAGCCACTGCATTAATTTAGCATCATCGTCTTGACCATTCATCCTTAAAAGTATTAACCCAGTGTAATTCAGTACTTCTTTGGTAAACCTTCCATAGGAAGATTACGACAATTTTAGTGATTATGAACTATCTAGGCTTAGCAGATGCTGGTAATCTATGGGAATCATGACCTGAAAGGATTTATGTCTAAATGTGATTTAAAATCCCCCCTTCAAGACTCCAATTTACCTTTCATGCTTTGCATTCTCTCAAAGTACATTTCTCTGCAGAATACTTTTTCCTACTAAATGATTCCAGGCAAGCTTGATATTACATAGGTAAATACATTTGCTTTCTGCGTCGAGGTACTTGTACTAATTCCAAGTTGCTTTGAAAAATGCACTAGAAAAAACGTTTGGTGTGCCTTTTGAATTTTTCCACAGCAGTGTCAGTGACAGAAGGCAGCTGTAACGCAGCTGTAACCCTGGCTTTGACTTGGTTTAAAGGCTGATATTTGACTCCAACTCCAAAAACAATCATCATTCTTATAATTCAATCCTAAGGCACCATGCATCCTCGGTGAACCCCACTTAATTGTCATCTTTAATAGGGGCACTACTTGGAAATCCAGTTTTCAGCATGTCTTTTTTTATCCTCAGCGTACACAGCATGAAATGCATTTTTATCTTGATGCAGAGCAAGTGACTTACTTGGGTCAACTGACTACTATTTTAAGGCCAGAATTTCTTGAATAAATAAAGTATAAAAACTCAGAGATTTTTATATTATTTCCACAAAATTACTTTTGTGAGGTAACTTCCTGCCCCATTGGTCTCATTTTAAAATGGAGCATATTTTATGGGAATGTATAATACTGACACTTTTTCTTTTTGTTTTTTAGTTTATTTGAGGTCTTCACATAGAAGAGTATTTATGTATGCCAAAAAATTCAAATCTCAAAATTTTCCCTCCAATTCCTGACTGGGTAGGTTGCCAAATAAAATGTAAAAGCCCAGTCAAATTTGAATTTCAGATAAATAACAAATAAGTTTTTAAAAGTTATAAGTATGTCCCATGGAATATTTGAAACATACTTGTACTGAAAGATAATTCATTGTTTATCTGAAATTCAAATTTAACTGAGCATTTTATATTTTTATTTGCTAAATCTGGCAACCCTATATCTGGGGGCACTTGAATTATGATCAGAAGTACATTATCTCCAGATTGTAGGTCTGCAAAATTCCCAAAGGACCATTCTTTTCTTGGGTATGTGCAAAAGTGGAGACTGTCCCACCACGCCATTCCCAAAGGCCCCTGGGGCCATCCGGCTCCGGGTCTAATGGATCTAGACAGTGGAGATTAACCAGTCCCTTCTTTAAAGTATGTTAAAAAGCTTTAAAACAACATAAATAAGGCCCTTCACATACTGGGCACTCAATGTATTTAGGTTGAAATCTTTGATGTTCATTAGTGCCAGTCAAGATGAGGACAGAGATAAAATATGACATCTTAGAAACCATTCCTGTACATGTCTCACCTTTCAATCTAAGCACTTTCGGATTCTTCAAAAACCAGCTATAATTCCACCTTGTTCAAGAGGCCTTCCCAGATCACCTCGGGCATGAGTTCTTTGCCACCTCAACTCTCCAGCATTTATCGTTTATACAGTTCATTTGACGTTTAACATATTTTGCTTAATATGTTAACCATCTTTTCATTTATACATTCTTTTAGGAAAAACATAGATAGTAGAAGCCTTGCACCGTGATTTACAGCATGAGCCTAGGAGTCAGACCAATTTTGGTTTCCAATGCTGCCCTGTCCTGTCTGAGCTTTGTAACCCTGAACAAACATCTTTTCTGAGTCTCAGTTCATTATTATTATTATTTTGAGACAGGGTCTCACTCTGTCATGTAGGCTGGAGTGCAGTGGCACAAGCTCGGCTCACTGCAACTCCACCCTCCTGGGTTCAAGTGGTTCTCATGCCTCAGCCTCCTGAGCATTTGGGATTACAGATACCTGCCACGATACCCAGCTAATTTTTGTATGTTTAGTAGAGATGGGGTTTCATCATGTTGGTCAGGCTGGTCTCGAACTCCTGACCTTGTGATCTGCCCACCTCGGCCTCCCAAAGTGCTGAGATTACAGGTGTGAGCCAACATACTCAGCCATCAGTTTATTATTTTTAATCCCTCAGTAAAATGAGACTATTTCATCATGTTGTATTAAATGAGTTGATGCATGTATAGTGTTAACTCTTGGGAAACACAAAGACACTAAATGGTGGCATGTTGTTATCATTGCCATGATCTTTATATTAATATTACTATCTTCTTTTAATCTCCCACAGTGTCCATGCGTTATCAGGCCCTACGTGAATTGATCAAAGGATCTTTGCCTGAGAGTTGACAGAGGCTCCAAATTCCTTGCTGTCTAGAGAAGGGGGTGGGGGAACACTGCCTGTAAACAAATGAGTGACCCTCCTTCACTCTCTTAGGGTACAGATTTCATTCTCTTATTTCTCTTTCTCTGTGCTCCTTTAAACCTGCAGATTTAAGCCACTGCCTTGTGCTCTGCTTGGGATTATGTGAGAAGCAGGAAAATTTCAACTGCCTTAGAGATTTGTTTCCCTAGTGGCACCGGACATGGTGAGCCCTCCTGGGACTCAGAGTCAGCACATGCTTCCTGCCTTACTCTTTATTGACTATTTGCTGCCTCTTTATTTTTTTCTAAGTCATCAGTGAGGAAGTTGCATAACTTAAAAGCTAAGCTAAGTGGGAGTCTGTTTACTGCAATCTGGAGTCATACATATTATTTATCTTCTTTGCAAGTTGTTACAAAATGCAATGTAAAGTGTTCTTATACATGCAGAATTTTTTTTGTCATCCTTGGGTATGCATGAGCTTGAGTTTTTAACATTTTATTTCTGGTTGTATTATAGGTAATAGAGTAACTTGGAAAAAAGTACAATTTCCTTAACAGTCAGACATAGATTTAAAAAAATACAAGTTTCAAATACATCCTCTGAAACCTCTACTGGATTTTTCAAAATAGCAAATTCAAAATCTTTTATATAAAAAGTGAAAAAAAAAGCATCATCAAACTGAAAGGAGGATGCCTTTCTGGGTTGTTCATTCATCAGGATAATATCTGTAAAACTCTAATCTCTTGGAAGACTCTGGCTAAAACAAATTCATTTTTGGATCAGTACCCAGTGCCTTTTTCATAACAGGTATTCAATGGGCATTTGTTGAACCAACTAATGAGAAAGTATTTATTCAACAAGTATTTATTGAGCACTGAGGAGATGTATTACTATAAAATAAGTTCACAGTATATAGTGTTATTAATACTATGGTCATTAATTAATAATAATTTCACCACCACAACACTGTAATGCAGCCTCCAGAAAGCCAGTGACATAAACTGGAAGTTTGGGTGACAGAGTTTACAGCTTCTGATTATTTAGACTTAAAGCAATTAGCCTTGCTGTTCCCACTGTTAACCACAGAGAAGGACATGTTCCCAAGTTTCCACCTATTCACTTCTTGATTAATAACTTTAAAGTCATTCCAAACCTATCAAGACTCAGAGATAGCGCTGGGCCTTTCCTGTAGTGTGGGGTTTGTCTTCAGGAACAAAATCCCACTTCTGCAGCCTGCAGTGTGACCCATCTGTTTTGTATCCCCTGTCATTTTGGGAACAGTGTAACACTGTGGAGGCCAGGCTATACCCGAGGTTAGAGACCCCACCTTTAAAATTATTACTCTGGGGAAAGCAGGAAATATTGTTTCAATCATAAGGATAAAATATGGACAACTATGAACCACTTAAGAAGTTTCATAGCAGTTGCCTTCAACCACAAAACCAAAATCAGTATTGAGCTCTTTGCTTCTGCACAGTATAGGGAAGATGTGAGTGGCAGTTCAGTCAAGCTTTTTTTTTTTTTTTTTTTTTTACTGTTCTCTGGACCTGATTTTGCACTTGAAAATTTCCAAGCTCTCAGAGTACTTCAGTGTTAATAGAAAACAGCTAAAATGTTGCCACATTTGCAGATGTGGCAGATGTGAGCAGAAGAACAAGGTCAGCACACATAGGACCAGGTCTTGGTACAGCAGGAGCATGTGGAGTTTCCAGAACTGCTTTCAGGTGTTTCTACTCTGTACGGTTTTCATTCCCTATTTCCAATACATCATCCCCTGTGTTTCACCTCATTTCCTCCCAGTTTCCGTTTCTACTTTGTCATATATTAATTTGGACCTTTGTAATCTTTGGTTTCCTTCTAGTGGAATCTGGTGATTTTATTAAAACCAGACCAACGAGAAAATGTTTCCAGGTAAGTCTTCAGGCTGGCAGCCTCTCTTCCAATATCATCCCGGTCCATCAGCTGAGCCTGGTAGGTAATCCCACTGTTGCAGACTGGAGGCTTACAAATGCTGCTCAGGGATAGCACTATGCTTGAAACATACGCCTTGTGCTTTAGAAGCCATGAGTTCCATAAGCGCACGCTGAATATGTTTATTAAAGGACACGTGGTCCCATGGAATGTGGCGCTCAGCACTGCACAGCACTAGCAGTCACCCTGAACACTCACTGTTGTCAGTAGCACCATCCAGACTCTAGTGCAGACACCTCTCCATATCCCCTGCTTTGTGTCTTGGAAGCCCAAGGTGGCTTCTTTTGAGGCTGGATTGTGATGCTGCCCATATCAGAGAAGGACACTTCTTTAGAGAGCAGGGAGGAGTTGAGCAGCAGAAGCACTCAGTTAAGAAAAAGACAAATTAATTAACTTGTCAAGTCTTTCCTCTCAGCACGAATGCAAGGGATAATGAGATATCATTTCCCAGGAGTGCCAAGCTTCCATTTTGCTACTTCTTTTCATGTTCTAATTCGATGCTCCAGAAGTACTCACCTATTACCTTGATAACCCCAAAAGTTGCATATCGTGGCCAAAGAACATCTTGTAATATTAAACAATTCCTATGGCCCTTAAAGTTAAATATATGCAGGTCTAGTAGTGACTAGTGTGCTAGGGATTCTTTGGTAATTGGATCACCATTGAACACTAGAATTACTACCAGTTTTATTTTTATAAAAATATTTAATGTGATTTAAATTTTCAAAAAATATAATTTGTTTCATTTAAATAATTATTTGAATGTTATATTCATTAGTTATACTTTGAATTTTGCCTTTTTTCCCAGAAAACTGAAGATTTTAGAAGAAAACTTTTAGTAGCACAAAAGCTAACCTTTAGTTTTGGATTTTTATTTTTACTTTACATTTTTGATGAAAATAAATTCAAATTGTGTGTACTTTAATATTACACTTCATTTTTAATACTTTAGAATCTAATATTTAGATCATTACTGTCAATAGAAGACACGTTATATGAAAACTGTCATTATAACAACATAATTAGGGAATTGCAGAAATGAAAGCAAAAATAAATTTTACAGATTAAGTAATAATATATTAATTATGTATGACCTAATTTTATTACTCATGGAAACATCACCAACCCCACAACAGAATATTCAGATGTACACAATAATGATTACAGTCATCATGGACATTTTGTTGACTTCAAGAATGACAGCTTTCCATATATTTTTCAATTTTGTCATTATCAACATTTATTTGTCAAGGTAGAAAGACAAAGCATATTTTACTTAACCATTTGTTAGCCTATTTATAATGTTTAATATTTAGACACATAGTATGTAGGCTTTCATTTGTCTTGCCCTGAGTCCTAAAAATGTTAGAGGGTAGATCCAGCCAGGTATTTTCTTTTTTTTTCTTTTTTTCTTTGATTGTCATTTTTTTTAACTTTTATTTTAGGTTTTTGTGCAGGTTTGTATTATATATAAAGTGCATGTCACAGAGATTTGTTGTACAGATAATTTCATCACCCCAGTAATAAGCATAGAACTCGATAGGTATTTTTTTCGGATCCTCTCTCCGCTCCCACCCGCCATACCCAGGTAGTTTCCTCTTTCTGAGGCTTATAGTAGTACTGTTCTTCTGAACTACTGCCTTAAGATGATTAGTTTAGGTACAACACAATTGGGTTTTTTCCCAAGCTATGGAATGTACTCTCTCAATTTGTAGTTTGTTTTACAGATAGGGATAAAAGTGTAAGAGACAGCAGCACTGAATTATTTGATATTATAATCAGTTTCCCAAAGTATTTTTTGACAATCTATGTGTATGATTTAATATGCTCCCATATTTTATGCATAAGGGAAAAGAGAGATACATTATTTTATATTATCTTTGGAGTTAGACAACCCTAGATCTGACTTGTCATTCTGCCACTCACTAACAGGGTGACTTATTTCAACTATTTAAGCCTCAGTTTCTTTATCAGTAAAATGGCACTTAAAACACCCACACCCAGAAGGTTTACAGTCAGTACAAGAAAATACATGTAAATTACTTAGTAGATAGTAAATATAAAATAAATAGTTATTAGTAGTACAATGATCCACATTTTAAAATTCCTAAAGTACCAGTCTATTTATTTACTCAATAACCCTCCTTTTCAAACACTCTGATAACTCTCCACTGCCCAAGGTGTGCCTTGTTACCGTATTCAAGGGGCTCCAATATATCCTTCCAACCTTAAATTCCAACAGTGCCCCAACCCCATGACTACTGTCCCTGGAGATCTATACTTTCCTACCTCTATGCCTTTGCTACCACAATTCTATCTATTTGAATGGCTGTTCTTCTTCCAAGGCCCAATTCAAGTTCTTCCAAGATGTCTTCTCATCTTTCAATGTTAATTAACTTTCTTCTCCTTGTGCCCCCATAACACCTCCTCTGTAGCTCTCTCACAAAACTCAATACAGTGAGCTTCATATCATATTAAGTTTTGTGTATGTGTCCATCATCTCTGTTATACTCTCAGCTTCTCTGGGACAGATTATATCTTTGTCACCTCTGCATAAGTGTATCCCCTTCCCAGAGCACATGACATAGTAATTGGCACAAAGTAGATGCACATAATGTTCTTTACTTGAATTTGTTGAATCTACTTCAGAGGAATAAAAAGAAAATAAAAACAAAATTAGGTCATTATTTGGATTCTTCAAGTACTGGTGATTCTTGTTTTCATGGTTACAAGGATTTTTGTTTTTTTTCAAAATGACATTATTTATACTTTAAGACAGTTAGCTAATTTCCAGGAAAAGCACTTTGTCTAAAAGCACTTCTTATTGACAAATTGAACATTGTGATACATTGCACTACTTTAGAAAACATGCAATTCATGTAAATACTCTGGGGGAGTTTCAATGTTTAGGTATTTTAGTGTTTTCAAATCTCTACAAATTCTTTGCTATTCCTCTTTTCAGAAAAGGTGAAAACTACCTTCTTCCTGAGTGCAGGTTTGACTCAGTGACCAGCTTCTAAGGAACAAAATAGAGGGGAAGGAAGTATGGTGTGCAACTTTGGAACTAGGTCATAAAAGACCATGCAGCTTAATTTTTGCTTTCTCTCTTTGATCACTTGCTATAGGGAAGCCAGCCACCATGTCAGGAGGACAATTAAACTGCCCTACAGAGAGGCTCACATGATGGTGTCACCTGTCAACAGCCTTTGGAAGCAGATCTTCCATCTCTATTCATGCTTCAGATGATAGCCCCAGCATACAGCTTGACTGCTACCTCAGGAGAGACCTGTACCAGAACCACCCAGCTAAGTTGCTCTCTGATTCCTGACTCTTAGAAAGCATATGTGGTAATAAATGTTAATTAATTTTGAGGTAATTCATTATTCAGAATAATAACCATGGCCAGGCATGGTGGTTCACACCTGTAATCCCAGCACTTTGGGAGGCTGAGGTGGGTGGATCATTTGAGGTCACAAGTTCAAGACCAGCCTGAGCAACATGGTGAAACCCGGTCTCTACTAAAAAATACAAAAATTAGCTGGGCGTGGTGGCGGATACCTGTAGTCCCAGCTACTTGGGAGGCCGAGGCAGGAGACTCACTTGAATCTGGGAGGCGAAGGTTGCAGTGAGCCAAAAATGGGCCACTGTACCCCACCCTGGGTGACAGAGCGAGACACTATCTCAAAAAAAAAAAATTAGATAACCAATACAGATTGTACAGAGATCGTACGAGCATTCTCATTGTAGTTATTCATAGTTTTAAATCTATGATCATTAATGTCCAAGGTAGCAAGGAAATTTGAGCTGGTTATCAAAAATTGTAATCTGGAACCCACCTTTAGTTGATCACCATTCATTCAATTAATTACATATTTAGCAAATACTTATTGTCTCCTATCAGCCAATCACTATGCTACATCTTAGAAATACAAAGACAAATAAGATATGGTGCATGTTTTTAAAGGCTCAATATCCTAGTGTTCCCCACCACAGATAGCATGGGGATTGAATCTGAGGAGGCTTTATTGCCTAAAAAGTTATTTAAGAATGATTTTATGTCACAGGGAAAGAATTTGGGTGGAATTCAAGAAAAGACTCTGGGCCAATTACAGTTTTAGCAGGTAAGGTCCCAAACAATGCCAGACCAGACAAACAGCTTCAGGCTTTGAAACTAAAGACAGTGGTCTCAGGTTGTGTGACAAATAGAATTCTATGCAATGGCCTGTCTGTCTATATAGTCTCTCACACATAAGAGCAATCATTGCCAATAATGCCATCCTCAGGCATGAAGGACAGTGACATTAATGGGAAGAAAAATATTCCATTAGTAAAACATCCCCTAATTAATTCTAATCTGTTCCCTGGAAAAGCTGCTCTAGAGGAAAGATTTTTTTTCTCCACATGCCAAACTGCCAAGCATTACTTTGGAAAATTTTCCATTTAGTTTCAAGGAATATTAAAATGTTTCACTTAGCAAAAATTAGAAATGAATCTATTTCCTAGCTCATATTATATATAAAGATAAGATTTTTACAGACAGTGTCAATTCTTAATTGAGCATATCAGCTAAAAGCAACTAAATTCTATTAGTCTCTGAATTGACATTTATTATTATTCTTATTCTTTACTATAAAAATGCACTTAAGTACCTAAACTGCATGCCATCTTAGAAACTGTGATACAGCAATGACAGATGTAGCCCTTATTCCCCTAAAAACTTTAAATTTGTCAGATAAAATTAGCAGAAAACAAACAAATCAAAACTGCATAAAATAGAATATCTTCACATCAATTCATTAGTGAAACAGTAAAAAATGTTACGTTCAATGGAGGAATATGAAACACAACAAAAGTGACAAACCAGTAGCTACACTATGCCTCAATAAGTATTCACAGAATCAGCAACATGTCAAGCTGTCTCCTACCTCGGGGCCCTTGTACCTGCTAGCCTTTCCCTACCCAGCAAGTTCTCTCTGCTTAGCTATCATGTTAATCCTTCAGATCTGAAAGCATGTGCCCCTTTCTTCGGGAAGTTCTCCTTGACTCCCTAAAATTATATCAAGTTTTCTGACTCTCTAAACTTTCCTTAATATCACTTATTATAGTTCATAGTTTCCTTCTAATAGGTATATACTTACCCTAGTACCTACGCATAATCCTGTAGTGATCCATTCCTTAATATTGCTTTTCATAGTTCACAGTTATACATTTATGTGATTATTTCATAAATAAGTCTCATTCACAGCTATACTGTAAGTTTCATGCCAAGAATGCAGGGAGTGGTTCTCTCATCCTCCTGTTTCAGCCCAGTGCCTGGCACACTGTGGTTGCACAATATATATGTGAATAAATGAATAAATGAGCAGTATAGTATGTGTTCAGAGCATGAGCTCTGAAGTTAAACATATTTCAGTACAAACACCATAATCTCACTATCCAATTATGTGACTTTTGACATAGTTTGCTCCTCTCTGAGATTCATTCAGTTTTCTCATGGGTAAAATGGAAATAATAATAATAGTAGTTTCCTTATATGGTTGTTGTAAGTTTAAATGAGAAAAGGCATACAATGTGTTTTGCTTAACACCTGGCAGAGAACAAGTGTTTATTGTTGTTGCTGCTGTTATTATTTATGTCTCTGTCGCCATCGAATGAAATCATTACAAACTCGGCCAGGTGCAGTGGCTCATGCCCGTAATCCCAGCATTTTGGGAGGCCAAGGCAAGCAGATCGCTTCAGCCCAGAAGTTTGAGACCGGCCTGGCCAACAAAGTGAGACCCCTGTCTCTACAAAAACTACAAAAATAGTGGAGCGTGGTGGTGCACACCTGTAGTCCCAGCCACTCGGGGGGCTGAGGTGGAAGGATCACTTGAACCTGGGAGGCTGAGCCTGGAGTGAGCTGAAACAGTGCCACTGCACTCCAGCCTGGGGGGAGAAAAAGGGAACACTACAAACTCAATTCTCTCATATTTTTTTCTTCTTGTTCAGGAAGGTGGGAGAGAAAGTACTGATTGAGTCTATCTCTGATGAGCTTCTGGACAGCCCAGTCTTGGCCACATCGGGTTTCCAGACATTTTTGCTGCCTGGCTAACTCCCCATGGCATCAGCTAACTTCAATCACTCCCTCCAGCCATCACCAGGCTGGATTCTTGGTTTCCTATTACTATCTAGAGGTAAAGCTCTTTAATTTATCTTGCTTTTCTCCTTCATGCTAGCACCCAGTTCCTAGGATATGACACTGTGTAGAGCTAGGTCAGAAGAGAAATGAAGTCACACTCAAAAATGGTTCCACTTTTCCAACTTCCAAACACTTTCCCCAAGTCAACCATGTACATACACCTTGACTTTCCTCTCAGGATGACTTCCTGCCACAACTAATGGAGTGCCTGGCTAAAAATAAACAAATAAAATAAGAAGATGGCCGCTGTCCACCTTCCATTGGGACATTTTACTTTTGAGAACAAACATTTAGTCACTGAAGCTGAGGAAGTCCTCATTCAAGGACAGGGTTTCCTTGCTCAGTCGGCCAGACCAGACCAGACAAGCCTCATGCGCCTGAAGGTCCTGGCTCCTGGACCCTCACTGTATTTATAAAGTCTTAACAGAGTGACTGTGAATTCCATTGTGGTGATGCTGCCTCCGGCTGGCAGATGGCCATGGTTTCTAGACTTCATAAGCAATTTTGAGGCCTGCAGATATGGGCATTGAGAGCACTAGGCTCTCCTTTACATATCTATGTTCACGCGGTCTCTTGTAAAGTTATCTTTGACATATTTTAAACTTATTAGTTGTTTTCTGAAAATGTGGCTACTTCTAGTTGAACAAAAAAAAAATGCTCCCTAGTCTCTCACCTCCTGAGGCATAGCTTTGTAGAACAATCTATAGAAATAAAGAGCTTTTAGGAAGTTCAGGGTTGAAACAAAGAAAAAGAAAGTTGTTTCTCAGCAGAAAAATGCAACAAAGCCTTTCTTCTTACCAAATAACTTAAGAATGTCTGAACAAAAACATCCCAAACCTGGCTAGTGCCAGAATTTCTCAGATAAGTCAAGAGAGGGGAAAAACACAAATCACACCCCAAACCACCAAGAGATGAATGAATGGCAAAAAGAAAACAATACATAATTTAAAATGTTGTTAAACATTTAAAGAAGTAAATTGTAACCATTTTCTAGAACAGCAATTATACGTAAGAGTGTTTTCTAATTAATTTTCTTCTGAAAACAATTGGTGAGATCCTGCAGAGATTCCCTCTCTTCCCCCAAGGCCTTTCACACCCCTGGAGCCCCAGGAAGCCCTCTGAATCTCCACTCTCTACCTACCTAGAGGATCCCTTACCAGATACTACCTCGTGTGTCATGTTGTAAAGCATTTCTCACAATGTGGCTAGTCTTTCTAACCAGACTGCAAGCATCCTAGATACAGAAATATAATCACATGATCTCCCCAGAAGCTACCATGGTGCCTTGACTACATATCGATTGATTCATTTAAGAATTTCTAAATGTTTTCTTCAAACCAACAGAGAATAAAAATCTGAATGAGTACTTCATTGCATTATACCAGTATAAAAGCAGAACTGGCAATACCATAAATTTGAAATTACTCACATTTTGAGGAAATTGTAGACTCTTTGGGCTGCAGAGAAATATCATTGCTTGGTGCTCACTCTCACATAACATTCTGTCTTGCAAAATACCAGACAGATATCAAAAGCAGGAAGGTGGGTGTGGATATGGAAAACAGAAATCAATTTGCAGTATTTTGGTATCCTAGAACCAGTGAAACTTTTTCTTACACAGAAAAGTACTATGTTTGGTATGCAAATATTATTATTAAACTTAACACCAGTTGTTAAGTTTTCAGAATTGTTATCCTCAATAGGATAAGCTGAAAATTGAAACAGCTTTAAGAAAAAACATTTAACGAAACGTGGGATGTTTAATGAAAAATTTCCCACAATATGACTGTCCCTGGTCCCATTTTTAGAAAGAAAATCCTGAGCTATTTAGAATATGGAATGATGAATATGGATAGACCTGGCTAGTCTAGAATAGTCTAGGATAGAATATGAGTATGATGATGACAACATTTGTGCAAAAATTTTCAGTTTATAAAAATACATCAAAATTCATTAATACCTCTTTCAAAGATTTATATGTTTTGCTCATTCAAATATTTGTATATATCTATATATATTTGTACATCTTGATTCTCAATTTAAATGCATTACTTCACTTACTGCTCTTTTAAGGATTTATACATATTCTTTTTTCAATGATTTATACACAGTGCTTTTTGATGTAGGCAAATGAAGCAGCTGAAATGTTAGAAGAACAAGGTTGTAACTTAACTACTTTATAGCATCCTATATGCAGAGTTGAAGACTAGACATACTAGCTCCCTTTCTTCAAATGGGTAAACGAATACACAGAAATGTTAAATAATTTACTAAAATGTATGTAGGGATGACTGCCTCTTGAGTTTCCTGATTTCCAGGACAGCCCACATCAGATTATGTTGATTCTTTTCTGGCCAGTCTGAGACCTATAGAGTCCCAACGTTCTCTGATTTCATCCATACCTATCTTTGGAAATAGTCCTCAGGAAATGAGGGAACAATACGAAGCCTAATGTGCTGTGATGTGTGTAGAATATATTTGACACTTGTCTCGCTAATTAAAACTCTACTTCTCTACCCAAATAGCGGTGTTGTAAGAGATCATCACACTCACTTCTGCATTTCCTTCCTTATTTAATGTCCTCATGGTCACATGAGATGACTAAATGCTCAGGTCCTGAGCTACATTTCCATGTTTAGTAAATCAGGAAATAGTGAAAGATATGTCTTGTGACATTTTCATTCCAAACTTAGACTAGGCATGAGTATTTAATGACAAGCGAATAGATGTGAATGAGAAAGAGGTCAAGATTTGAATAATCTGGATTGGTATCTAAAATAATTTATAAGAAAAAATCATATATAGGGGGTTTTAATAAATATATTTCTCTCTATATAAAAACTCTCCTGATTCCCACAGGTAAAATTATTTCCTCTTTCGTGTATCACCATCTGTAGCCCTCACAACTCCGAAAACACTTTATTGTACTAGTTTTACACACCTGTCTTTTAAATGTAAAGTCTCTACAGAAAGGAAATGCGTTGTATTGATTTCTGTATTCCTATTAACTTGAATAATACTGAAATACAGTAGATGCTAAATATGCTTGTTTCATAAATGTGGGATAAAATAAATGTTTCTGTAGCCTACGCCATTAAGGATTTTATACTGGAGCTGGGAGATAATCAATCACGTAATATTTAGTGGTACCTACTGTAGGATGTAAAGGAAGACGACAATGAGATGCACCCTGAGGACTTGGGAATGGCAGAAATGAGATTGTTCTACATACAAGAGAGGGATTTTTGTAAAACTCAACTGAAAGAGAATAGGACTTGACTGGAAACTGCCGACTATATTTAAGACCTTATGAAAAACAAATGTATGAGTTGGAAAGAGAGTTGGTCACTCATGGGAACAATGAGAGAGCTGCAGAGTAATCCTCCAAGTAAGCACTTTGCCAGGACAGTAAGCAGTCAAGGAAGCACTGTCCACTATCCAAGCTCATCGTACAGAAGGACACTACCTACCCAGTCTTGTGGGCAGGAATCTCCTTAGGTTAAAAAATATGTCACCAATCTTCTTGTTCTAATCCTTAAACCTGTGATTCACCTGACTAGTCGCTTTTGCCTTGATTCCATGCTCACCAAGAGTTCTGATGCCTCTAACTAAACTCAAAGAGCTCACCTGAAGGTACCTGAGGACGTAGGTGTCTAGTTATGCTAGATAGGGATATTTTATTTTGAAAACTAATAAATTAGAATCAATCTGATGAATCCGAGGAAGATGAGTTTGCCTCTGGCTGATGTAGTAACATGTGGTATCCTGCCATTCACATCACTGTGCTTGTGAGTCTGAGGGGCAAATTTAGATCCCCCCAAGATGATTCCTCCCTATGGGTACTTGTGGTCTTCCCTAAGCATCACGTCTTTGGCTCCTCCATGAGCCACGTGCCTTTTCTTCAAACGGCTGCACAGATTATGTGCGTAACACTATGCTTTAAACCACTAGAGAGTGATCCAAGAGAACATATAATTAAGTGAGAAATTGTTTGGCATAAACTAAAAGTGCTACAGAAATTCCGAGAGAATAAGGATCACTGTGGTGGGCAATTATCCAAGGAGAGCTTCCTAAAGGCCTATGGTGTTAAGAGGGAACTTGATGTCTGGGTAGGATGTGGGTGGGTGGAAAGAAAAGGAAGGCATTTTTTTTTTTTCTTTGAGATGGAATCTCACTCAGTCGCCCAGGCTGGAGTGCAATGGTGCGATCTCGGCTCACTGCAAGCTCCGCCTCCCCGGTTCATGCCATTCTCCTGCCTCAGCCTCCCGAGTAGCTGGGACTACAGGCGCCCGCCACCACGCCCGGCTAATTTTGTTTGTATTTTTAGTAGAGACGGGGTTTCACCGTGTTAGCCAGGACGGTCTCGATCTCCTGACCTCGCGATCCGCCTATCTCAGCCTCCCAAAGTGCTTAGGATTAGAGGCGTGAGCCACCGCGCCCGGCCAAGGAGGGCATTTCTAAGAGGAGAATGTGGGTTCACAGATATGGAGGCCAGAATGCTGGACCGCATTGCTGAAGTATTAGAACCACAAATTGGGCCAACATACTCTCTTACTTCCTTCAAAATGAAACCTGAAAATTGATGAGAAAAGTAAGAAATCAGCCTTCTTATTTAAGCCCTGATCTGTGAGCATGAGTAAAACAAAATAAAATAAAATGAATCCCAATATCCTATCATGTGTCTAGTTTGAGAGAAGGATATTAACACTCTAATTATTTGCTCTTAAGACCAATTTTTTAAAGCTGTCACTAATGCAATGAAAACATTTACACAAACTTCTAAAGCAAACAAAGAAAAAACAATATCTGTCACCAATAGAAAAGCAAGTTTGAGTGCTAGAGTACAATAAATTATTTATTATACTGATACTGGATTTGTTCTAGAGACTAACATGACCACAGGAAAGGAGGCTTTACTAAATAATTCCTAGTAAAAGAAACTTTTAAATAATTTTTCTTTCATTCACTCTAAAAAACAATCTTCACAGATAGATAAAAGTATTATCTTTAAAAATGCAACATTTATGTCAGGAAAAAAAACAGACATTCATGTGTTTTCCCTACTCTTAAATTCTTTTTTTTTTTTTCTTAATTTAAGATACAGTGTCTTACTCTTGTTACCCAGGCTGGAGTGTAGTGGTGCAATCATAGCTTACTGCAGGCTTAACCTCCTAGGCTCAATCGATCCTCCTGCCTCAGCCACCTTAGTAGCTAGGACAATAGGTGTACACCACCACATCCAGCTAATTTTTAAATTTTTTGTAGAGACAGGGGTCTTGCTGTGCTGCCCAGGCTGGTCTCAAACTCCTAGTTTCAAGCTATCTTCCTGCCTCTGCCTCCTAAAGTGCTGGGATTACAGGCATAAGCTACCATGCCTGACCCCCATTCTTTATAATACCTTGGCATATGGGAGATGAAGGAAATAGAAAACAAAATGATTTTCTCCTAGGCCAGTTGTGATACATCACCTCTTTCACCTGCCGTGTAGTTGGTATTCAGTGTTAGAAAAAGGAGTGAAGTGAATGAAGAAGAACAAGAGGAAGAGATGAAACAGAAGAAGCGAAGAAGTAGTCTGCACCTGCTCAGAAGAAGTGGTGGCCAGGTGGGCCTCCAAAATTAGAAATCCAGCCCTCTCTCCATTTCTTGCCTCAGTCAGCACTGTCTCCATCCTATGTCTTTCCATCCTATATTTAAGTCTTGCTTCTGGATTAAGACTGGCAAAAACAATATACTTCCTAAAGGATCACTTTTCAAACATTTATGCATATGGAATAGCAGAACCCTGTATGTGTGCCCAAGTGAGGGTACGCTGATCTAACTCCAATATACCTTGAGACATTGAACACACCAAGCAGTTAAAATGGGATAACAGAGCCAGGCATGGTGGCTCACACCTGTAATCCCAGCACTTTGGGAAGCCAAGGCGGGCGGGTCACCTAAGGTCAGGAGTTCGAGACCAGCCTGACCAACGTGGAGGAACCATGTCTCTACTAAAAATACAAAATTAGCCAGGTGTGGTGGCACATGCCTGTAATCCCAGCTACTTGGGAGGAGGAGGCAGGAGAATCACTTGAACCCGGGAGGCGGAGGTTGCAGTGAGCCGAGATCACGCCATTGCACTCCAGCCTGGGAAACAATAGCAAAACTCCATCTCAAAAAATAAATAAATAAATAAACACATACATACATTTTAAAAATGGGATAGCAGATTTTAATTCCAGGACACTCAGTCACCAATGTAGGTATTCCATTTGACTCACTCCCAGAGATGTCTCTCCCTCTCTTTCTGTCTGTCTCTTTTTCTATCTGTATCTCTATCTTTCTCACACACACACAAGCACACATATGCATGCACATACTTGCAAAATTAAAAAACACCTTCAAGCTTTCTTTATGGTCCAAGAGGAATTTTGCTGTACAAATATGGTTGCCTTTCAGGAAAACTTAACTTCATTTCCATTTTTTAACTTCTGTTAAGCCACAACTCTGGAATTGTGTTTCTGAAAAAAAGATACGTACTTAAATTTTTTAAGAGATAAGTGAACAATATCTAACACTGATAATGGAACACCCTGTTGTGAATGCATTCAACTTCTAAAAGGAATATAGAAACATAAATCTTTCACATTTAAGTGGAACAATGGTGACACAAAGACAATCCTGAAAAATGACTCTTCAATACTTTGAAATTCTCATAAACAACCTTTTCTCAAGAAGGCTATAAAAAGAGTCAGTTTTGCCTGAGTCAGAGCAATTTTAGCTAATTAATAGCACCCTCTGGACCTATGAAAAATTGACATTCTCCATAACAGACCAAGTTTGGGATGTGGCTCATAAAGAAGCTCCCAACGAGACTTCCATGCTTATTTTCTCCTTTAGATCCAGAGCAAACATCAGCAAACTATGACTCAAGGGCCAAATCTGGCCTGCAGGCTGTTTTTGTAAATAAAGTTTTATTGGAACATAGACACACTCTTTTGTTTATGTATTGTCTATGGCTGCTTTTGGGCTCCAAGGACAGAGCTGAGTAGTTGAGTAGCTGCCAATAGTCATATGGTCCACAAAGCCTAAAATATGTACCCTCTGGCTCTTAATAGAACAAGTTTGCTGACCCCTGATCTAGAGGAATGATTTCCCTCTTCTATTATTCTTTTGAACTGAAAGTCAGGAGACCTTGATTTTAGACTCACTCCATCCTGCCAGTAAACTTCTATGTGACTTTGGGCCAGTAATTACTTTCCTCAGGTTTGGTTTCTTATTTGTAAAGTAAGGAGGGCTGGCCCTGGTGATCATCTATTCCTTATTAATTCTCTTTAAATGTCTGTGTTCTAAGGGGATTGAGACCTCTCAATTTTTAAAAGGAGTTTATTTTTAAAAGGAATCCAAATCAATTAAAAAAGGCATCTTTCTTTTTGTAAGATGTACACTTTCTTTTTCAATGTAAACCAGGGTTTTACACTGAAACACTTCACATTATTTCAAGCATTCAGTACCGAGTAAAACCCCTTGCTGCTGTATCACAGTCATACCAGAAAGCTGCGGGTTAGAGCTGGAGAGAGAACTATAAACAGCAGTAAAATCTGTTTTAGACAAGGCAGCACATCTGCCCACTGCACCCCCTTCCCAAGAAATGCATTGCATCACTTGTGCCAGAGATGAATGCTCTTTTCTGTCATGTTTTGGTAAGTGAGTGCTCTACCTCCTCTGTCGCTCTGGGACCCTGAGGGAAATGACAGGAGTCATCCCACTGAAGGAGCACTTTGAATTCATGACAAAGGCGAAACTTTCTTTTTTCAATAGAAATGGGGCTGCTCACTGTCAAAAACTTCTGTGCCACTGGCATATGCAGCATTACACAACTTCTTTCTAGACATATGACATAAAGCTGCCAAATTAAAGAAATGATAGTATAGCAAGAATTGTCTCCTCTCTTCCAAAATCTTCACAACAGCAAAGAATCTTTTGCAATTGCTACTTGACAGAATAAAAGATTTGAGATATTATGTTATCTTAAAAACAAAATCACCTACGGAGCTTTAAATAGAGATCAGAAAATGCACTAGACCTCAGTTCTAATAACTATTATTTTAAAACCCGAAAGTCTGTATCTTTCAAATAAACATTTTTTTCCCACATTCTTTCTGCCTGGAAAATAAAGGTATTTTGGGGTATCTTTGAGTCTCTGAGCCAGAAATCATTCGTTCTTAGTCTCCATAGTAGGAGACTTTGAATAGAAATATGCATACGTGGAATTTAGAAAGCACCATGAATGCGTACTCACTTTAAAATGTTAGATTTTAAAACAGAAAGGAGAGTCTATCAAATGAAGCCGCTTGAGAGTTTTTATAAAACCCAAAGAGAATATATATTAACATATAACATTGTTATATGTCATCAATCTGGAGGGTTGATAATAACATTGATATCTGGATGTTATCAACCCTACAGATAACATTCAGAGCTTGGTTACTGTCTTCTTAGTAAATATCTATGGTATACTGAGCTCTCTGCCTTTACCACATATTATATAGTTTGGCTGGCAGCTTTGTTTTCAATAAGTGCTTTTCTTTGCAAGAAAAAGATGCTAGTGAGTGCCATCTATCATTTCTGCTAGATCATCTTCCAAAATCCCAAAGAACAGCACTGTCTGCTTTTCTCTTTCTGACAGAGAAACCTCTGAACTGGATGCTAATATTTTGCAGACCAAGCATGAGCCAAAATGGATTAAAAAATCTAAGCTGGCATATCTGCATCAGTCTAAGCAGTTTCAAAGGAAGAACTGCAATGTTAAGCTGATTATTGTAGCTATGGTTCTCCCTTGTCCGGTCCCCTCCCCGAGTTCTGTATTTTATAGTAATTTACCTTCTCTTCTTGGCCAGTCAGTATTCTTCTCATCCTCTCAGATCCTGCTTAAGTCCCATCTCTGTGATCACACTTCTCTCTCGCCCTCACAAAGCTTTGAACATAGAAGGGGCTTATAAAAATTGTTGGTTTGTTTTGAAAGTCTTCCTGGATGACCTCAGCCCATGTTGATCTCTACCTTCCTTAACTCCTTTGAGACTTACTGCCTATCGCACAATTAACACCTTATTATCCTTGGCTCTAATAGCCTGTACCACATAATACATTTCATTTCTTCTTTATAATTGTTTCACAGGAGTTGATTTTCTAACTCCAATTAAATTGTCACCTCCCGATAAGTGAAGCTGTGTTTCCATAATATCTAAACAAACTGTTAGGCACATAGTGGACATCCAAAAAATATTTATTTTTCAATCTATAGCAGCTTTCACATTGCTTGAAAGATTTGATAGTTGTGTCACAGGCAACTGCAGACCAAACTTTTATTCATTAATGTAATATGTAATTGTCGTGTATTGAATCTGGCTGTGGATACAACACATTCGGAAAACTACATAATCTTTTATGCACGCCTACTTTCTTCAAGGCTCACAGATTTCCAGAGTTTACACCTTGCTCATTGTTTAGAATGTGATGCAATGAAAGGAATCTGCTAAGCTAATGTTTATTTTAACAAACACTTTGTTTGAATGCATCCTGACAACTCAAGCATCTGTTTTAACTAGAAACATCAACTGAGCTGACTTACTACATTGATAAAATTTGAAAAATTGCTCAATATTCTGCTTTGTTCTGCCTGTATGGACAAAGTCTAATGCTTTCCGTGCCACCAAATTAGTACTTAAGTGGTTAAAGTAACCAAAGGAGCTTTTGTATACTCTATGCCAGCTGGTGTTCTAAAGAGAATTAGACCTGAAATACCCAGCTCTCAGGACAAGCAATTAGTACAGAGCTTTAGTTGTTTAGTTGGGGGTTTCATTAATATGGAAGAGACAATAAAACTGCCATTTACACTATTACAGAGTCTGATTTAAGCATTTCATGCTAGGACACCTCACATATGAAATCAGTGAAGGGCTTGTATAAAGGAGGAGAGCAATATTAAGCTCATCAGACACAAAACAAAACTGAGCCAAGGTGTATCTGTGTTATGTTTCAAGTCAAATAACACATTCTTTACTTGCAAGTGAGACAAGATTTATTTTTCCTTAAGTGGCTAACCTCTGGAAATAATTTGTGAGACCAGAGAAAAAGAACCCAATTTTGAATGAAATTTCTGCTGTGAGTCCAAACTTTGCTGTCTCTACTGCAGCATTCCCATGATTGCTATGGTTTTCACTTTGCAAACTCCCTCACAATGACATTTAGGTTTAGCTCCTGGATCGATAACTTTTTTCCAAAGTTTGATCCCATTGTAGCTATTATCGCTGCAGACAAAACTTCCTTTATTGATATGATATGTAGAAGTGGGTTTACTAAGGTTTAATGAGCCAGAAATTACTAGAAGAGCTATGTAGAGGCATGTGAGCTTATTCAAGTGTCTGGTATGAACAGAGCTTGTCAGATAAATAATGTGTTTACAAAATGGGGTAGAACATTATTGAGTCACTGATGAAATATAGTTGATGGAAGCTTCTTGGA
The DNA here is from genome assembly GCF_000001405.40 of Homo sapiens. NCBI lineage: Eukaryota > Metazoa > Chordata > Mammalia > Primates > Hominidae > Homo > Homo sapiens. The sequence goes on from NC_000011.10 coordinate 96,238,831, forward strand.
GAAACAGAACTAAGCAAGAGAGAATTTAAAAAGGGATTTGTTGAAGGATCAGTGTCCAAAGGAGTAAGTAGCCACTTTGGGTTTCAGAAGTCTGTGGAGAAAATAGAAAATGAAGAGGTATTCTGGCCAAAGTCCAAGTAATAAGCAAGCTGTGACACCAGGATTGAACCTAAGATTAGGCACAAGCTTGCCAGCTAGGGAAAAGACAGGTTGAAACAACTACAGCTGCAACCAAAGATGGGAATCACACTAACATTTTAAAGTCAGAATTGGTCCATTAAATACTCACTTTCCTAAACTTTAACATGATGATACAACAGATCCCAATCCTTCTGGCTGCCATAAAGTAAATGTGGTGCTGTTCTCTAAATGGCTGTTATATAGTGTTAGGTTTGAATGATTTAATACTTGGGAGGAGACAGAAAAAGCTCTAGGTTCCAGCCCACTGAGGTGGCTTTTCTTTCCTTCCTTGAGTGATGGCAGTAGAAGAGACGGAAGTGAATAGCTGTTGACCCCTATTGGAGGCTGTACCTGCCAATACCAGCACTTCTCTCAGGAAGCTTAGAAGAGACTGATAGAAAGCCTATGGCTATTTTCGTCAATTTCAGAGTAAAGGCAGATTCCTAGGACGAAATCAAGAATGTTCAGAGTTTGAGTTGTCCTAAAAACTGAGGCTGGAATGTGATTATGCTTTTTTCATGATTCAGAGTTTCTAAATTACTGTGAATTGATGTATCTTGAGTTTATGTTTTTGAATTCAAAGTACAGGCGAATCAAGAAAAAAAAAAGTAGAAAGAAACCTTGGTTTCAAATTTGGGGGCTACCATTTACTAACTGTCCACTTGGAGTTTCCATTTGGAGTCTATTGTATCATTAGGACATAGAATAATAGCACCCATGTCATAGAGCAGCAGTGGTGGTCATGTCCCAGAGTAGAATGAATGTTGGTCAATAATGTAGGTATATTAGTAAGTTCTCAAACATTTGTTAGTATTCTTCACCCCCTGACCCCTTTCTCCCAGCCACTATGACACAGTTGTGGTGACCTGTCCATGTCTTCTTAACATTTCTGAGCTGGACTATTCCCATTGGCAAATTAGGGAAACAATTGATTCTGAATAGGGTGGCTGTAGAGATCATTGAGATTAAGGGAATTTTTCTTATAGGCTTCATAGGCATCATCATCAGTTACAGTCTATGAGAATATATTAACTAATAACTTTTTTCTTTGTGGCTATTACAGCACTTCAATTTAGAAGCTACATTCAAAGACAAAAGCTAAACAAAAGCTAAGGGTCTGTGTCTTAGAATGCTAAATCACCATTAAAATAAACCATTTCAAAAACTCAATTAGCTGTTCAATTTTATACTGTGATTATTCTTTCTCCAGGTTTTTCCTGACATACAAAAAATAGAAAATTTGGTTTGTTTTTTCCATATTAAGAAAGCTGATGTCACGCCTGTAATCCCAGCACTTTGGGAGGCCGAGGCGGGTGGATCACGAGGTCAGGAGATCGAGACCATCCTGGCTAACAAGGTGAAACCCCGTCTCTACTAAAAATACAAAAAATTAGCCGGGCGCGGTGGCGGGCGCCTGTAGTCCCAGCTACTCGGGAGGCTGAGGCAGGAGAATGGCGTGAACCCCGGGAGGCAGAGCTTGCAGTGAGCCGAGATTGCGCCACTGCAGTCCGCAGTCCGGCCTGGGCGACAGAGCGAGACTCCGTCTCAAAAAAAAAAAAAAAAAAAAAAAAAAGAAAGCTGATGAACTGTCTGTGTCAGTGTTATATATTTAGTGGGCTTATTATTATTTTTGCAATGCATTGGCACAGCTCAATTTTAAATGCAATTACCACATTATAATCTTGGCAAGACCCACTGTTCCAAATAATTCTCTGATGTACAAATTAGTCTTCCTACTAAATGAAAACTGCCAGCAGAAAGGTACTATTACAGTATATAAAAATGAAAAGTCTCATTGAAGTACGGAATAACTATAAATTTCATTTCAGAAGCATATACTATATACACACAAACTTAAAAAAGTTATAATTAAGATGTCTAATTCTCCTGAAATAGCACTCAAATATATAATAATTCCCTGTAGGGTATGTAGGCAGTCTGGATCAAACAGCATCTCCCTATGCTGTGAACTAGAAACACTACTAGACTAATAGGTTGAACTATTTCTTCTGCTATTTTTCCAGAATATGAAGATAAACAGCAATTGAAGTGTCATCAGAAGATTCTGCAATTATTTTTTGATCACCAACACCATCGGCTGTTGTGAGGTAGAGTTTTTATTATAGTATATATTTACAAATGTCTTCAACAACTTACAGTATTTTCACTAGTTCTGCCACACAGTAGTACCATACATTGTCTTCTCAGCATCAAAGATTTAGTGCTTTAGCAGAGAAACCAACTCTGAAATGAGGACTTTGAGACTGGCTTTTATTTCCTACTAGGTGGTCCTTCTGGGAAGATCAGTGCACAGCTTCTCTTTCCAACATCTACTAAAAAATCCTTTTGAAACAATGTGGGAGGCTGACGACTATTCCCCTATTGCAGTGGTCCTTGACAGGGGGTGATTTGGCCCCCCAGGAGACATTTGGCAATGTCTGGAGATATTTTTAACTTTTGTAACTGGAGGGAGGGGTCTACTGGCACCTAGTGGGTAGAGGCCAGAGATGCTGGTAAATATCTTATAATGCACAGGACAGCCCCATACAAAAAGGACTTAGTCCAGAAAGAAAATAGTGCCACGGGTAAGAAACCTTGCCCTATTGGCTTCTCTGTCAACATAACAGGTATTGCCTGTGAACATTTGTTGCCAGAGTGAGTGTCCCTGGGACAGTGTTGATTGCGGAAGTCAACAGAGGAGGAGAATTTAAGTCCTCCACTTCCTGCTGGGCTCTCATAAAACGATGCAAACCAATGGGCCCTTGGTTTGTTTTAGGTTAGACTTGTGGAAGTTTTCGAAATTCTAGTTTTGCTCTGTTCAATCATTTTAGAAAATATCTAAGTATCGTTCTGGTTTGAATTAGTTTGTTTGGTCTATTTTTGAACATATTTTGCTTCAGTTACAACATTAATATTTGGGTTTTATTCAGTTCAGGGTTCAGCAAATTAGCAAAATTACAGCTTTGGGTTATGGTTACTTGTTATATATCTTTGCATGAGAGCCCATGCAAGTGTGATTGGAGCAGAAAGCTAAGGTTCATCACAACCATGGCCACTAGAGCTTTCTATGATCCAAGGAAGTTAATTCACTTTTTTACTTTGTTTCTCAAGAGGATTCAACAATGCAAGCACCAAACCAAGTGGATGCCCCTCTTTCTGTTGCTTGGTTTAAAATTAAAACCCTTGATGAATAAAGTGATTTATTTCATATTATATTTATGAAAAGGTAGAGCACTCTCAATGTTTTGAGTATTCCTGAAACTGTTTACTTAATTATACAATGAGAAACAAGACAGGAAAAAACTTCATAAAAATCACTAGGGATTTTAAAAAAATGCCCATGTACTCTTATTTTGCAATGGCTCTGGTTGTGAAATCATCAGACTGAAAAATACTGGAGGAGTGGTGAGGGTGGATTTTAGTGACAAGATTTCCTTAAGGCTGTAAATAAACCAGATTCAGTAAGAGAAACAGAGATGGCAGTTTTCATCATAAAAGGGGGAAAACATTTTCCAGTTGAATTATAGGTACAGCACAAAACAGTTGTTCCGTTTTTAAAAACTTTAGTTTCTGCAGGCTGAAACAGAGCATTTCATTTGGCTCAGTTCATGAAAGCCATCTGCACCTGCTCACGAAACAGCTTAAAGAGAAAAAAAAAGTGTGCACCAAGGATTTTAACTTACACAGACAATAAGGGATAGACTCTGGCACTCAAGCACTGAAAAAGCAGGAGCATGATAAAGGGGAAAGGATCATAATTTTATGAAGTGCCAATAAATAATAACCCCAAATCAGCTTACAGCATCACTTAGGTTTACCTGTGGAAGCTACACTTGCCTGTTCTGGTTGCATGTTTAAAAGTTAAGCAATTAAACCTCAATTATATAGGTTTTTCTTTTATGTAGCCTAGGGTTGAATGCATTACTGGCAGGAAACTTTAGCTCATGAATTCAATCAAAAATCCTTTCATTTGTCAGAACTGCTTCCTGCTGCCTCCTTTAAACATCTGCTTCTCCAGTTCAGGGACACACACACACACACATACACATACACACACACCCCCTCTTTGTTAAAATAATAAGCAATCTACCAACTTCCCTTGCAAAAGTTACATTCTCTCTTACACACACACACACTTGTTCCCAGTAGAGTTTATTTAATGTGTCTTTTATAGCTTCCTTGTCCTTCTCTCTTCCTTTCCGCTTTTAAATTCTGGAAAACCTCAAGCTGACAAAAGAAGACATTTTAAAAATGCGAGGATAAGGCCCGGCCGGCCTCCAGACCAATGAGAAGGAAGCAGAGCAAGGAGGCGGGGGAGGCGGGGTTGGCTGTCGGGAATTGCCTGCACTCCTTAAACGGCAGGCACTTCCTGCTAGAGGAGGCCAGCTCTGAACAGACAGAAATCGGGTGGAAAGCTAGCAGGAGGCGTTGCTCAAGTTCAAAACAATCTGTGCGTGTCCAGGCACGCGCGGAGCCAGACCCCAGCCGCGCGGCTCAGACCTCGCGAGAGCCATCACCTGAGAAATCCACAGCCTTTTCTCATCAGGCTTAGACTGTTTTTCCCATACCTCCAAGAAGGAAGACCCACATGTTAAAACTATGAGAAAAGCTGAAAGTGCCTTCTGAACAGTCATCCTTCTTTTTCTTTTTTTTTTTTTTTTGAGACGGAGTCTCGCTTTGTCGCCCAGGCTGGAGTGCAGTGGCGCGATGTTGTCTCACTGCAAGCTCCGCCTCCCAGGTTCATGCCATTCTCCTGCCTCAGCCTTCCGAGTAGCTGGGACTACAGGCGCACGCCACCACGCCTGGCTAATTTTTTGTATTTTTAGTAGAGAAAGGGTTTCACCGTGTTAGTCAGGATGGTTTGTCGTGATCCGCCCATCTTGGCCTCCCAAAGTGCTGGGATTACTGGCGTGAGCCACCGCGCCCGGCCCAGTCATCCTTCTTTAACCACGACATAGGTACTCAGGTCCGCTGGCCTTCCTCTGCACTGATGGACTTTTCTTTGTGAAACTGATTCAGAGGCGGACCTCAAGTGGCTTATTCCTTCGCCTAAAAATCGTGCTGCTTTTTCCTCTAGTGAAGTCTGGAGTACAAATTAATAAAAACTTGGGGCTGTGCGGCCTAATGGCTCAAACCGTGTTCCAGATGTTTTGAAATATTATTACCCCTTTTGAGAGCCTCAGTGTCTCCCTGGAGGGTAAGACATCTGCCTTAAGGGCACTTACCAAGAAACTACAAACATTTGACTGCACACAACAATGGTATCTTAATAAGACAAGGTGCTTAATACAACTGGCTGCCCTATTATGACGTGTAAGAACGTTTTCATATGTAAGCTATGCTTGCAATTCTATAAGTAGATAAGGAAGCTTGTGGTTGTTACACTTCTAATATATGGATAGAAGAGCTTAAACTCTAATGATTAGAAAATTACTGGTATTCTGAAGTGTATTACAATCAATGCATTCATGATATCTACACGTTGTAATTATTCATCCTTAAATTAAAAATGGTTTATATGGTTATAGCCATATATATCGATTATTGTTTTATTATATTAATAATAGCTAACATTTCTGAGCACTATGTGCCAATTATAACACAAAGTTCTTTACATGCATTATTTCATTTCACCCCTACGACTCTACAGAACTATGATTACATTGAAGAAACAGAGGTTTGTATCATTCATTTGCTATAGGCCAGGGAGTGAGTTAACAAAGCTGTGACTTGAACCCAGCACCTGGACTCTCAGAGCAATCACACACTATTCAACCATCCACCCATTCATCCATCTATCCGTCTGTCTGTCCATCCATGCATCCAATCACCCACACACCCATGCCATCCAACATGAAATGTGTATTATTTGGAAAGACACAGTCATAAGATGTGCACAAAATACTTAAAAAAAGGATCTATTTTGTCCACCTGAAACAAAAGGAACATGCTGTATCTTAAAATGTCAGATGTTAGATGTGAGATTATACATCCATACTGAACTGTAGAAACAATGAATAATACAAGCAAAACCAAAAAAGCCAATGCAACTGATATCAACAAGAAATTCAATACTCCTCTGACATACAAAATATAATACTCAGTGTATCTCTCAAAAGACAATTTTTCTTTGAATTTTCCAAATAATTTGCAAAAATTAATTCAGGGAGCCTTCAGGAAAGTGCCTTCCGAACAGTCATCCTTCTTTTTTTTTTTTTTTTTTTCCAAAACAAAACATGCTTAGCATGCACACTTTTACCACTTTTTTCGAGTGGAAAGTTTATTGGCAATATTAAATTTCACCCTAGATAGGATATGAGAATGTTTTGATAAATCACAATTTATAGTATATTAATGCCATGTGAGAATTTTGTTTCCCAAGTAAGAGCTCACATGGAACTTGGTCATTAAACCTTAAAGAAACCTTTCTCACATATCTATAGGCCTCAAATTGAAATAATCTATAAATGAATTTGTAGATTTCTTTTTAGTTTAATTCCTGAGTATACAGGGCAAAAGCTTATATCCTTTATATAAACTTCTGCTTTGGTCTAAAACTGATATATCTTCACGTTGAGGTTTCATCTGAAATGCACCACGTTTGCTGACTTGCTTCAATATGAATTTGTATGGCTATGAAATTGTGCCCTAACTCAAGCTATTTCTATGTTCACCTGAATCACACCCATACCTAATTTTTTTTTTTTTTTTTTAGACAGAGTCTCACTCTGTTGCCCAGGCTGGAGTGCAGCGGTGCGATCTCGGCTCACTGCAACCTCTGCCTCCGGGGTTCAAGCAATTCTCCTGCCTCAGCCTCCTGAGTAGCTGGGATTACAGGTGTGCGCCACCACATCTGGCTAATTTTTGTATTTTTAGTAGAGACGGGGTTTCACCATGTTGGTCAGCCTGGTTTCGAACTCCTGACCTCGTGATCTGCCCCCCTCGACCTCCCAAAGTGCTGGGATTACAGGTGTGAGCCACTGTGCCCAGCTGCTTAATTCTTTATATTTCACATTCAACAAAAACGTGGAGGCTTATCATGTGCTAGGTACTATGCTAGGCACTGGGGACACAAAGCAACATGAAACATGGTCCCTATGCTGGAAAGAGTTACAGACTTGTGAAAGAGACCAACAGGTAAATACATCCTAAGAACTGGATAAGTGACAAAAATGAAGCATAGGGACTCATAAGAAAGTTTGTTGAGACTCATAAGAAAGAGTGATTAACTCAGGGAAAGTCATTTCCTCTACAGAGCATATCATTCATCCCTTCAACAGGCATTTTTTGGATTCTGAAGTATAAGGAGGTGTTTATAAGTAGAAAAGGCAAAAGAACATCATATGCAAATCCCTGAAGTTCTGAAAGGGATTTCATGTTCGGGGACATGGTTGAACTACATACAAAATGCTATGGAAGCACAAGGCATCATCAAGCACAGTGATTGCTTCTGCCTGGGGTGTCAAGGAGGGCGTCAGAGAGGAGATGGCATGCGATCTACCTCCTCAACATATCCAAAAACTCTGTTTGTAAACTGATAATTCTGAAAGCCATTTCAGGTACACTACAGATTAAGTGCTCAATCTCTTTAGTATAAAACCAGTGAGAAGACTCCTGCATTGTTTCAGTCAAAGTATGAATGGAGTCAAATGTCTGAATTATTTGGTGACAAACAATGAACTGTTCCCACATGCACAGTAGAGACAGTTCAGGCTGCACTTACTGCAGTATCATACCCAGGATTGTAGTTACCCATGTTGACTGTTCAATGTAATATATACAGTTTGAGGTTGGCTCTGAGGAAACCGTTGTGGACACACACAGCATTTGTCAATTACGAATGGAGAACCACCTCCCTCAGACCAGTAGTTCTCACAGTCTCCTCACCCTGTCTCTATTGTTAATGCCAAGTGAAACAAGGACATAATTCATACTCCAGTTGCCTTTCTTTTCATGTGTGGCATGATCAAAAGAATAATTATACAGAGAGGAATTCTGCAGACAAAAATTGCGTGTGATCCTCCTTACATAAGGACCTTAGTGTGTTGCTGGAAACTGTCTGATTCATTCTGTTGACTGGCAGCTTCAGGTTACAAGCAGAGAACAGAGAGCCCTCATTAATGTCTTTCTAGCCTCAAATATGGAGTCAGCTCAACACACACATTTAGTCTTGACAAGTATATATCAGATTCAGACCATGCAAAAAAAAAATAAGTAAACCTTCAGAAATAGTTTGATCACCTCTAAGGAAAGAGGGCACAGACAGCTCAGTTAAGTGACTCTAGAGAAACAGTTTGGAGAATTTGCTAAGAATTCTGAGATAGCAGTTCAGTGGACGAAAAAATGTCACTATGCTTTCAAGTTCCCACACACTCTTGCTTAACATCTTATATCCCCACCCCAACCCACAAGCATAAAGCCTAGATCAGAAAGAAAAAGGTCAAACTTCCTATGGGAAAAATTTAGCATTTTTTACCAGAATGATAGATTGGCATCTGCTTTCCAATCAATTTTACCCTGTTTAAATACAACTTTGTCCACTTTGCAGACGCCCACTGCCACTGCCCCTGCCCCTGTCCCTGCTAGGCAGAAGATGGTGAAGAAAAACAAACTCAGCATCGTTAGTCTCACTGGAAATTCTGGACCACTAACCTCAAATGGGCCAATGGTGCTATACCCATTCTAGCACATTCTTCTGGTTCCATTAACTCTTTCATTCTCCTACATGACTACTTCACACCTTTTCCTCTCTCTTCTAAACCTCCAGCACCTTCTTCCCAATTCTTACTCCCAGTTGCTGGATGAACTTGATTCCTATTTCACTGAGAAAATAGAAACAATCAGCACACCAACAACCTTCCACCAACACATCTGACCACTTAACTGATATGTATACCCACCTTCACCAATATGATAGTCCCTACTGTTGAATACTTGAAAACTGGCTAGTTCAAACTGAAATGTGCTGTTAGTGTAAAATGTACTGGATTTTGAAAATTAAATTTTCCCATTAATGGTTTTATATTCACTACATATTTTAATAATAATTTGTACATATTGGGTTAAATGAAATCATTAAAATTAACTTCACCTGTTTTTTTACTTTTTTTTTTTTTTTTTGAGACAGTCTGGCTCTGTTGCCCAGGCAACAGAGTGCAGTGGCATGATCTCCGCTCACTGCAGCCTCCATCTCCTAGGTTCAAGCGATTCTCCTACCTCAGCCTCCCGGGTAGCTGGGACTACAGGCACCTGCCACCATGCCTGGCTAATTTTGTATTTTTAGTAGAGGCGGGGTTTCATCATTTTGGCCAGACTAGTCTCCAACTCCTGACCTCAAGTGATCCATCCACCTTGGCCTCCCAAAGTGCTGAGATTACAGGTGTGAGCCACCATGCCTGGCGTGTTTTACTTTTTAATGTGGCTACTAGAAAATTTACATTGTCTTTGTGGCTCACATTACACTTAATTGGACAGGGCTACTTTTATTCTCTGCTATTACTACACTGTTACTGGAGATGAAACTACCCTCTCCCTATGCATTAGAACCCCCTCCTCTTTCCCACCCAGGGACTTCACCCCAGCAATTCTCCCTGCTTTCTCCTTTTTCATTGATTTCCCCCTCTAATTGGATCATTCTCATCTGCATACAAACATGCCACTGTATTTTTTATTTTAAAAATACAAAAAAAAATCTTGACTACATGTCATAGTTCAGTTCCCACCTTATTTCTTTATACTAGAACTCCTTAAAAATGTCTGTACTCACTGTCTCCAATTCTCATTTCATTTCTTATGGATCTACTCCAATCTCCACCACTCCTACAAAATGGCTCCTGTTAAGGTGGTGTGTGGCGCAACTAGCAGAAGCTAATTGTTAAATATTCAAGAACTTTGCAAGCTGGTTGTTAAACTGTTTGTAGCTGGAAATTGACTATGATGGGAATATTTCCACAGGGAAATTTAGTAAACACTACAAATCAGGATTTTGCTGTTGTCACTGCTTTTCAGAGAGCCAGTTTACCAGGACACCACTGATTGAAAGTCACCAATGACTTTCACCTGACTCAGTGATCAATTACAGTCTTCAGCTTAACTAATTTATTGGCAGTATTTGACAACAAACTCTTTATCTGACAAATAAACTCTTCCTCCTTCTTAAGTTCTTTCTTCACTAGCCTTTTGGGGCACTATTTTCTCTTATGTTCTCTCCCTCACTTCTCCTCTGTCTCCTTTCTGCTTCCACTTCATCTTTCCGACCTCTAGATATTGGAGTGTTAGCACTCTGTTCAAACGCCTCTTCTTTTCTTTAGCTATACTTCTGCTCCAGGTGTTTTCTTTCAGCCTTCTAGCCTTAAATACATAAATGTACACTTTTAAGCCAGCCCTTGCGCATGAATTCCAGCTTACTTATTCCCCTGACTACTTGGCCTCTCCGCTTGGATGTCTAATAGGCATGTCAAACTAAAATGTCCAAAATGAAACTTCAGTTCTCTCGCCTCTTCTTTCCTCAGTAACCAAAAATGACACTCCAACAATATCCCTCCAGCTCAATAAATGGCAGTTCTAGCTGCACGAGTCACACATTTTGAGTGATCCTTGGTTCAGTTCTTTCTTTGACACCCTACATCCAACGTATTGGCACTACTCTTGGCTCTGACTTTAAAATATATCTAAAATCCACACTTTTCCCCACTTTTACTGCTACTAGCTTGCTAGTAGCTAGTAACTAGCTCCAAGCAACCATCACTTCCAACTTGTGCAACTATGCAATAAACTATGCAACATATCTCCATACAATGTAGACCCAGAGTAAGCCTATAAAAATGAGCTAGATCTTCTTATACTTCTGCTTAAAACACTTTGCTGCCTGTCTTACTTAGAATAAGACCAAATCTTCGTATTGGTCTACAGAGCCCTACAAGGTGTTCCTGCTACCTCTCAGAACTCATCTCCCATCACTCCCACCTAGTTTACTCTGGTCCTGCTAGAGCCTCCCTGCAATTCGCTCAGAGACTTTGCACTTGCTATTCCCTCTACCTGAGAACTCGTTATCCAGACAGTTTCACGGCTCGCTCCTTTACTTCCTGCAGGCCCGCTCTGCATGAAATTAATCCCCTCCATGGCACTTATCACCCTATGGCACACTACAGTATTACCTGTTTATGAGTATACATCCATCTAGGCTTGGTAGACAAATTATCTGCTTTTCTTTTTTATTTAAAAAAATGTTTAAAATTTAAAAATTTTTTATTCTTAAAATTTTATTTTTTAAATTGAAAAAAATGTACATATTCATGAGGTACATAGTGATGTTTCAATACATATAATCATAGTGCTCTGATCAAGATAATTAGCACATCCATCATTTCAAACATTTATCATTTATTTGTGTTGGGAACATACACTATCCGCCTTCTAGCTAGTTGAAACAATATATTATTGTTTGCTATAGTCATCCTACAGTGCTAAAGAACACTAGAATTTATTCCTCCTATCTAGCTGTAATTTTGTATCATTTAATAAATATCTCCCTATCCCTTTATATCTAGCAGTTAGAAGAGTAGTGCTTGGTCCATAGTGAAAGCTCAGTAAATTTTGAATGAATGAATATATTGATGTCACACCAGCAGCTCTGGAGCATGAAGGAAGCTACTATCACCTTCTCTTCTGTGTAAAGCATTAAGTGATAGACACATTTTAAAATGACAAGTGTTCAATTTCTCTGCCAGGCTGTCCTTGCATACAGACTAAATAGGGAGGCTTTTTGGACTGGCAAAACAATTAAATACGACTTGATTCAGGATTAATAGTAACTTATTTGGTGATAATGACATTACAAACTCTTTTCTTCATATTGCAAAAAGAGGATTTCTCCATCTTGAAAGCCTCTTAATTTCATACTTGGAGGACCTGCAGGAAGAACTATAATTGAAACAACTGAAAGTATCCCTTAGGACATTGGCTTTGGTTGATTTGTGGAGTGATGGTAAGGGGTGAGGGAGAAGAGGGAGCAATAAAACAAATGCCAAAGTTTTTAGCAATTTTATATCGCTAGCAATAAAGTAGTCTTTACAATTACATACACATAACAATAACTGTTTCCACCCCGCCATCCCTCATTCTCTTCTGCCATTGATGTTGCCCAAAAACTGAGGCTGAAGTTACCCAGTGAAAATCATGTCCCGCAAAATGTTGTCTTTTACTAAAGATGGTAGAGTACAGGCATGAGGCCTCTCATCCCTAGAATTTTCATGGAGGTAGCTGTGTTTCAGATATCTCTGTAGCTAGAATTCACAGCATGTGCTATGAATCACACATGATTGGTGATCTACGGTACCATTTTTTTTCTCTAAGGTATTGGGATAATTAGATAGGTAGGCCTGAGTTTTAATTATGTCTTATAACATTTTTTATGGGAAAGTGTATTGTGAGATTCAAATTCTTGTTTTATAACTGAATTTTGGAAGACAGAACTTATGTAAGTAAATTGGAAACTCTGGAAACTGCCTGTATTGTTATTAGTAGTAAGTAGGATTACTAAATTTAGAGTTCTAGCTAAGCCCAAAAGACAGGTATGTTTTAACCTTCTATGGTAGTAGGAATAATAAGCAGTGATTATCCCTTTTAATTTTCCAAACATGTTATGAGGTGTTAGAGGTTCCATCCATGGTGGAATGTTGGAGAAGCATCAACAGAAAAAAAGAGGCCCACAAATACAAACCCTTTTTTTTTTTTTTTTGAGACGGAGTCTCACTCTGTCACCCAGGCTGGAGTGCAGTGACGCGATCTTGGCTCACTGCAACCTCCGCCTCCCAGGTTCACGCCATTCTCCTGCCTCAGCCTCCCGAGTAGCTGGGACTACAGGCGCCGGCCACCACGCACAGCTAATTTTTTTGTATTTTTAGTAGAGACGGGGTTTCACCATGTTAGCCAGGATGGTCTTGATCTCCTGACCTCATGATCTGCCCGCCTCAGCCTCCCAAAGTGCTGGGATTACAGGCATGAGCCACCGCGCCCAGTCAATACAAACCCTTTCAACACCAGACGGAGTAGCAAAGACACTCCTGGTTGTATGGCCTGGCTAATTTCCAATTGGGTCTAAATACTTTTTCCCATAAAATTACACTCGTTATGCTGTTGGGAAATATGTGCTTCTCTCTCTCTACACACACACACACACACACCCCACACACACACAGACATGTACAATAGAAAATGAAGTCAACCAACATTAAGTTCTGAAAATGTACTACACATTTTGCTGAGTTCTCTATATAAATAACAGTGAATAGTTACCTTCTACATGTGTCAAGTATTTCACATGCATTATATCTAATCCTCACAATAATGAAAGCAAACCCTTATGTGATGTTTTGTGCAAGGCATTGTTCTCAGCGCTTTACCTTGACTAACTCTTTTTTTTTTTTTTTTTTTGACCTGGAGTCTCGCTCTGTCACGAGGCTGGAGTGCAGTGGAGCGATCTCTGCTCACTGCAACTTCTGCCTCCCGGGTTCAAACAATTCTCCTGCCTCAGCCTCCCAAGTAGCTGGGACTACAGGCGCGTGTCACCATGCCTGGCTAATTTTTGTATGTTTAGTAGAGACGGGGTTTCACCATGTTGGCCAGGATGGTCTCAACATGACAGGCTTATGAGGCAGGAGGCAGACACTAACATCACTGCTATCTTCAGATGAGGCACCTGAGGCAAGAGAAGTTAGATGAGACTTGTCCAAGGTCATATCAGGTGTAAACAGCTCACCTAGGTTTTAAGCATAAGCAGTCTGGCTTCAGTCATGTTCTTACACAGCCACATCTTGCTGCCTTTTACACAACAACCTATGAGAAAAGCAGTTTAATTGTCTCCATTTTCCTGACGAAGAACTGCATAAAGTCCCTTGCCTGGTTAAAGGGCGTAATGGGATCCCATCTCAGGGTGCTGACATGAAAGTGTGGGTTCTCACAAAACAGCCTCCCACTATAATATCGTGTCTCTTTAAACAAATACTTGGTTTCACAAAGTCAAGTGGCATGCCTTAAAATTCTTTTGCATAATCCCCCTCGCACAGAAATACCCAAGGCTCTGCATATAGTAGAGCCTATAGTAGAGCTCAACAGAGGAAAGAGATTCACACAGATTGATTTTGCATCATATGTAAATAGGAGCCAAAAAAACCCTTCAACACCACAGCTTCCCTTTATTCTGAGAAAACTCCAAGGAAAACTGACTTTGATTTTCTAAATCATCTTTTGATTTACTCTAGTAGAGGAAAATCAATGCTAAAATAACTATTGAAAGCCATCTGAGATGTGCTGCTCTAACATGACAATGCCAAGGAATATAGACATTAAATTGATCTTGGAATCCAAGCTCCCCTTCCTTACTCAACACAAGACGAAATCACAAAATCCATATGGAGGAGAAATCTTCCTATCTAGACTGTAGGACTTGTCATTTACTCAAAACAGAATATCTCCCATGCCATCTTGTTTACGAAGCAGCTAATGTTGTTACTTCTGTACTCAAGTGAGTGCTGCCTCTTTGTAATATTGATTGCTGGGATTTTTGCTGGTAGTACACTGACAGAGATCGACCACTAAAATCTTCTGAGGCGCATTTATCTTTCTCTTTGAGAGAGAAACCCCATTTTCCTCAAGAAAAGGCAAAGCTGTTCCAGCACATGTTTTAAATGATTCATATTATCTGACAATGGAAAGGTAAATTCTCTCCCAGGATTTAGGGTATAATTCTCAGCCATCTGAGAATTCTGTTTATCCCACCTTGTCTCCTTGCTCAGAGAATTACAATTAGATGGAAACATCTAATGTCAAGGCATCTGATAGCTCCAGCATAGGATACTGTGACTGCTCCAGATAGATTTTCTCCATGAAAACCAAAGTTGATGGTTAATTACCATGTCCCCTTCTCATTATGGCACTATCAGACATATTTAAGGAAGTGATGAGAAGTCTTTGCAAAGGTATATAAGAATAAATACAATACACTGAAGGTATCACTTACACTTTCTTTAAAGGTAAGAATTTGTGAGACTTCTGGGAGAATTTTGACAGGTCCTATTAGAGGTATTTTAAAACACACAGGGGAAAGTGATTTGATGTTAAGCAGTGGCAAATCTACACAAAAACAAAAACAGTCATCGGAGACTTTCACTCAATACAAAGTTCTACCAGACCTATGCAAATAGTAATCGCATTTTCTAGAAAGAGTTCTAAAGTAAGTCACACACACAAACCTCAGTAGTAGCACAAAACATCCTTTGTTGCCGGACGTGAGAAAAACACACTCGCTTCTAAAAAAAGCCATAGGAAGGAAGTGGAAGAACCTCAGGGGCGAGTGGGAGTGCGAAAGGAATGTTGCAGCTCTTTTTTTTTTTTTTTTTGAACATGTAAGCTTGCTGTGGCTCTTAATAGTAGGGCTAGTAGTTCAAGTAAGTGAAGTAAAATCTTTGGGATCTTTTTTACCTATTCTTGTAAGTGTACTATCAGCCAAATAGGTTTGAAAATCTTGACAAAAGGACGTTGATATTCTGGCTTTACATTGCCCCATTCTAAAAACAAAACAAAACAAAACAAAAAAAAAACTCTTTTAAAAAGCAAAATCAAAAGAACTCAAACACCTGCATATGATTCTAATTTCACACATCTCAAAACAACCAAGATTGCCAAAAGAAGAATTAAAAGTCGTTCCAGAGCAAAGATGGGTAAGCAAAGCAATGTGCTGAAATTTTTGCAATGTAACAAAATGGAATATATTTGTCAGAGGCAGAGGATAAATTGAGGGCTCCTTTTTTTATTTTTTATTTATTTTTTGAGACAGGGTCTCACTGTGTCACCCAGGCTGGAGTGCATGGCGCAATCACAGCTGACTACAGCCTCTCCCAGGCTCAGGTGATTCTCTCACCTCAGCCTCCCGAGCAGCTGGGACTACAGGCGAGTGCCACCACACCCAGCTAAAATTTTTTTGGCATTTTTTTTTTAGAGGTGGGGTTTCCCCAAGTTGCCCATGCTGGTCCGGAACTCCTGGGCTCAAGCGATCCGCCCACCGCCTGCCATGGCCTCCCAGAGTGCTGGGATTACAGGCGCAAGTTACCACACCCAGCCTGAGGGCTCTTTTGAAAACACAAATATGATCATGTCACTTCCCTGCATAAAATCCTTTAATACCTTCTCACTGTGCTAAGGATAAAGACAAAATTATCAATATGGCTTACAAAGCTCTTCATGAACTGTTCGTTGCATAACTGTCAAGCATCATGTTAGAGCTCATATTGATTGAATGCTGATTACTGACTGAGCATAGAAACTATTTCAGTGAATCTTGTAACAACCTTTTCAGGTGTTATCCCCATTTTACAGAAGAGGAACTGGGAAGTTGAGTTACTTGCCTAAGATTATAAAGCTAGAAAGTGGTTATGTCAAACACTGTTGAGGAAATCAACACACATTCCCAATCCCCTCTCACTTGCTGCCTCCATTGTTAGGGGTGGACGATCTATTTTCTCACTTTCACATTTTTCCTGGTTATTTGGGTTGTGTTCTGGCCTATGACACCCAGGTAGAATTCCAACAGAAGATTTCTGAGAAGCTTTGAACTTTCCTGATAAAATAACCTGACACTGCACATCGTCCCCCTTCTTCCTCAACGGGCCATTGTGCCTGGGGCTGCAGCCGCCATTTCCAGATGAGGGAATGACAAAGCCACAGGCTACGAATGCAGAGCAGAAGACAGAAAGAACCTGGATCTGTGATGACCTCATCATGCCCTGTATCAGCCCTGGACAGCTTATTGCTTATTGTCGGACTTTTTGTTTTGTGGAGATAATTTCCCCCCACCGCCTTTTTTTTTTTTTTTTTTTTTTTTTGAGACAGAGTTTTGCTCTTGTTGCCCAGGCTGAAGTGCAATGGCGCGATCTTGGCTTACTGCAACCTCTGCCTCCCGGGTTCAAGCGATTCTCCTCCCTCAGCTTCCCGAGTAGCTGGGATTACAAGCGCCCGCCACCACACCCAGCTAATTTCTGTATTTTTAGTAGAGACGGGGTTTCACCACTGTGGCCAGGCTGGTCTCGAACTCCTGACCTCAGGTGATCCACCCGCCTCGGCCTCCCAAAGTAGTGGGATTACAGGTGTGACCCACCGCACCTGGCCAATTTCCCCTTTTTATATGAACCTCAGTAAGGTAGGCTTTCTGTTCTTTGGATGCCACAAAAAAAAATTCTTAACCGATACAGCTAGGAAGTCAGGATTCCAACTTGAAACTCTGATTCCAGAGCCCGTGAGCTGAATTCCATTCCTCCCTGTTTCTCTCTTTCTTTTGCTCTCTTTGCTACACTGCAGCACATCAGTGGCCACGCTGATCTCGAAGTTCCTCAAACGACCACATTTCTTCCTGCCCCACACACAGCCTTTGCTCTTCCCTCTGCCTGAGGAATCTTCTAATTATCCTTCAGATCTCAGCTTAAATACTGAGATACTTAGCCATGTCAGTATTAAATGGAACCTAAATATTTCCCCCTATACATGGGTTCATAGGAATCTGTATTTGTTCTCTGAGCCTTATCACAATTACAAACAAATAAGAACTTAGTGCTTGTCTTCCCATGTTACATGGTAAGTTCATGAGGTTAGGAACTGTGTTTCTGGTTGTACATGGTAGGCAGTCAGTAAATAGTTATTACATTAATGAATCAATACAGGCATTCCTCGTCCACAGTCAACTCTTGAGCTAGACAGACAAAGATAGGAAGTTACTTATTTTACACATCTGAAGCCACATAAGTATGTCCGGCTGCAATACATCTGGTTTGACTCTATCAAATGCCATAAATATCTCAACAGAAAGAAAGGAAAAAACCTACAATCCAGAAGCAGGCTGTGAAGACAGAGGACACCCCAGTAAGAAAGAAATGAATACTTTGGGTAGTAGCAATCTCAGAACTAGAAAAATGCTACAAGAAAACCGCCAGTGGCAAGACAGGAACTATATTGAAAACAGGGATTACCTTGTAAAAATACAGTTTCCAGCAGACCAAAAATAGGCACAATGTTTCTGTGATCCCAACTTTTGCATTCAGCATTTTGAGAGGTTTTTCTGTGGAAAAGCATTTCCAATTTTACAGTAGAGTTGTAGACAAATGTTGCAATTTATTTAAGCTTTGTTTTATTGTCAAATTTCCTGTAGCCCATCCACTCCATGAAGCAAGAGATAACTGGTTTGCATCATCTTTTTAAAATCACAGCTCTGGATCTGCACTATTGGAACACTCTCTTGTCACCCTGCAATTGATCCTTTCATACTTCTTTCTCCTCCATTGGACTGTAAGTTCTTGAAAGTGGGAATCTTGTGACTCCAATTTTTCAATACTGAGCACAGTGCTGGCACAGAATATGAACTCACTATATCTTGTTACTATAAATGAATAAACAAAATGCATAGGCATGTTAGGCATTTAGTAAATACATGTCAAATTGAATCTTTGATACATGACTTGGAATTACTTCCCTTTCAAGGTATTTGTTCAGTGAGCATAATTATAGAGTCCACAGTCTAACAGTCTTCATTATAGAGAAAAACCGAAAAAGAGCCCTTGGCTTTTCAAGACAATATGCATTGATGGCAACCCCCTTTTTATCATGTGCATATTTCATGCACAAGGACAACTTAAAACTTGGAATGAAAAAAAAACCTCTATAATATTTCTTTGCTCACCAGTGCTGCCCATTTCTGGTATTCTCTCTTTACTGTGTATCCTGGGGGTGATGGGAAGAAGAGGAGAGACGAGAAGGACTTACTAGTAACAGAAAGGAAAATAATGAATTGGGAAGAGGAGCAAAGGGGATGGTGAGGACTGGAATAACAACTTTATAAAGAATAAAAGTCTGATTCCCTTCTATTTCCTGCAGTCTCTCATTGCTCCTGTCTCTGATAAAATGCCTACAGATTTGCTTACTTGATCCTAATTTTATGGCCTGTTCAAATATTACAACTTCTTTTTAAATAAATTAATTTGGAACTAAATGCCTTTAATTTTTACCGTGATAGGTTTGTGGCTCTTGACATCTTTTGGTCCTATTCATCAAAATCATTTGCTAAGTCCAAGGTATAGCAGAGTGGCTTTAACAACAACCATGGAGGATGAATAAAATACATTTTCATATTTACTGAAAGTGAAACTTATAAGCATATATCATCTTCTGCCTACCTTGTAAATATCCCATGTTTTCATTTACATATTGTACCAATTAATATATCTTGGTACTAATCAGAGTGGAATCCACTCCTGACATGGGAGAAAACTACGACAAAAAACATTAGCAGCAAGAAAAAATGTTTGTTTCAAGTATGTGGATTATATTTTCTAGTGCCTTAAAAAAAGAATGAAACTGAAAGAGGCAGCTTGAAGAAGCTTACATGTGTTTAAAACCCACATCCTGTTGTTATCCACTGCCCTGGCACAGAGGAGCTGGGAGGTGAACGTCCTCATTAGGGTCCCTATTAGCTGTGATTTGCAATGGGCTTCTCCAAAGAAGAAAATCACATTCACCCACTGGACAATGGCCCAGGTATCACCATTGATGGGAATCATATATGGAGTAAACATCAAAGCCCAAGAATACAGTGGTCTAAGCCAGTGTGCTTAGAAGTTGCCAGATCCTCCATGCTTCATTCCAGCCACTATCAGCAGATTCTAAATCACCTATGAGCAGAGAGGCCCATCTGCCTAGGGCATAAACGAAATTATAACAACAGTGAGAGAGCCAATGGGAGTCAGCCAGTAAGACTATGAGCAGCATGATGTACTCAGACTTTTGTTCCTTTTTATTTATTTGGTTAAAATACATGTGTTTTTGCTTCAGGCAGATGTTGGTATCCCAGCCTTTTATACAGGAAGCTGTAGAAGGGAGAGGACTTTCTGGGTGGGAGCAACTTATTGTGGAGGCCAAATGGCATTTTTTGTAGGCCCTGAGATTTTTTACGAAAACACTAACTCTGTTCAGAACTCTTTCAAAGGGTGAAGACAAACTTAACAACCTTATACTATAATACAAATAATTACAGAGTGTTGCTTTAAACTTGTATCTTGAAGTTCCTTCTTTAGGTAACTCTGCTTAACAACCACAGACTCTTCTTCCTAATGGCTTATCTGCATGTCTTTTCAATTTTCTAAGTGAAGGCCAGCCCCCTTCAAGATGTTCTACCAACTCAGTCCTATTCTTTCCAGATGTTTTTTTTCTTTTTCTTCTTCTGAAAAGCATGTGTTGATAGACTATGGGGAACAGACCAAGATTTATTTTTTAGCCAGCATTTTCCCCTTGCAACCGTAAGTCATTCTTCCTCAGAAGGCAAGGTGGGGCAAGTGATTCTAATGTGCTTCGCTCCAATGCTTCCATCTCAATAACCCTTTAAAGTGAAAACTGTGGAGAGTGAAGTGAAAAACTTGTCTCCATCTGGAAGCATTTATACAGAGAGGTGTCTTTAGCTTAGTTGTTTGTCTAGAATTTCCATTTATGAACCGACTTGCCTTTCTCCTGTGGGTATGCTGGAGAAAACTCTTTGCAAAATCCATTGTATGCAATAATCCAGTGGCTCCTTCAAACTCAATCAGGCTGGAAAGGCTAAATATGACTCATAGGATTCCTCCAACAAACACAAAGTAAGTCAGAAGTCAAGGAGAGAGTCATCTCGATGTGGACCAGCTTACCTAGCAAGGCAGGGAATTGTCATAAAACCAGTTTCCTGCTTGCAAGACCTTGACTCCTTTCAGTAAAGGTGTCAACTCTTCTTTTTCTGAACAATCTCAATGTGAATGACAGGGCCTGATTCTAGAGGAAGGTGTCTTTAATCTTTTTATGGTTCAGTATAAAGGTTACCTTAAAAAAAGCCTTGGGATATACTTTCAAGATACTGACTTGTGATTTTTTTTTTTTTTTTAAACATCAGTATGTCCTGTTCTAATTTAATCATTATTCTTTCAAACAGGCTGGGAGGAAAGGTTCCTGGACATCCACAGAGAAAACTTATTCAATAAAACATTTTATAATCCTCGGAACACCTGTGCCACCTTCCTAAAGGCCAGTCAGTTCCAGGACTTCCTAAAAATGAAGGTTGGACTGTGTGAATGCCTGTGTGTGTGGGAGTGGAGTCACTCTGTGTGGTGTTGGGGGATGGGGTGGGGGGAAGCAAACTGGCAGACTCTAGAAGGATGGTGGTAGAGCAGAAGAAAAAAGAAGAATGTCTGAATCTGGAGTGGCCCCATGAGACCCAGTCTGTACTCAGGTGACACTGGAATAACAGGAGTTCCTTCTAAAACCAAGAGAGCAGCAGACACTCTGTCATGCCACACCCTTCTCAACTGTCTTATCCCTTGGCCGTCTCCTTTTTAGAAGCTAAAGCAATACATTTTTTTCTTCAGTGTCTCTTGTTCTTGGAATGGAGGTGCAGCATAGTTCCGGCCAATAAGATGGACATCTGATAGGAGAGGGGTGTGCTTTTGGGACACTTTCAGCTTTTCTGATAAGAGGAACACCAGGGCTGCCCTCACTCCTCCCTCCAGTCTGCCAATGTGATACCTGCAGTTTAAGACTATGAGAGAAAGGCATAGAGAATCACAGACAAACTGACCCTGAGCAGTGATATTATTTGAGTCACTAAACTAATACCCATAATGACCTTATATCCAGAAATATTGTAGTGTGTGTGGGAGGAAAAATCCCTATTTGTAATCACTTTATTTCTTACACTGTTAGTCAGTTTTCTGTTATTTGCAGGCAAAAAAAAAAAAAATTCCTAATTGATTCAGCAGAGGAGGCAGATCAAATGAGTAGCCATCAACTCTTAAAAAGGTTGTTTTTTTGTTTTGTTTCGTTTTTTGGGGGACAGCGTAGCTTTGAAAAACCTGAGTGAAACTAAATATTCTTCTGAAGGTAAAACCAATATAGCATATCATGGAGCCTCATAATTTATTTCAAATTTTATGCCTGAAACAACTTACCATCATTACTCTATGCTATGGTTTGAATGACCCCTCCAAAACGCATGTTGGAACTTAATCTCCAATCTGGCAGTATTGACAGGTGGTAACTTTAAGAGGTGATTGGATCATGAAGGCTCTGTCCTCATAAATGGATTAATCCATTCACGGATTAATGGGTTATGATGGGAGGGGAACTGGAGACTTTATAAAAGGAAGAGAGACCTGAGCTAGCACATTAGCACGCTCAGCCCCCTCCGCCACGTGATGCCCTGTGCCACAGAATCCCCACCACCAAGAAGGCTATCAACAGATGCAGCCCCTCAACCTTGGACCTCTCAGCCTCCATAACTGTAAGAAATAAATTCCTTTTCTTTATAAATTACCCAGTTTTGGGTGTTTTGTTATAAGCAAAAGAAAACAAACTAAGACACTCCATCCAGTGGTTCATGACATTTATTGAGAGGAAAGACAAGGTGTATTCTATAGCTATAACCGTAGAATTGCTTTTGTTAAGTATATTTATGTTTATACAAGCCTATAACCTTATTTTCCTACATGAGCCGAAGGTATCGTCTAATGGGGTTCTTGGCTTACCCCAAGTCCTTCTGATAATATTGGAGACTTATAGAGACTTTTGAAAGGAACACAACATAATGAATGGAAAGAGCAAATATCTTGCCTGGTCCCTAGCTAGTGACATGATATTGTGCAAATTACTTTGACTACCTGAGCTCCATATTATTCGTCTATAAAATAAGGAAGTGTTCAATTCAGTAACTATTTCAATGTTATTGTCTAAACAGTTTGATTATAAACAACCAAGTTACCTAACTGCAGACAATTTTATAATTATTTTTTCACCAATATGTGTTATGTTAGATTTCTAATATATCACCATGAACAAATATTTAAATTCTAAAATTTGTATTTGATACGGTCAGAATTCCTAAAATCAGTGGCATTCTCTGACTCAAAGAGTTATTTCCCTCCTGGCTCATTATTCTCCATATTAATGTTTTTAAAAGATGTCCTGAAGTCCTTGCATCTTTCTGGGTCCCAACCAACATCTACTGAACTTGAGTATTTGAGGATGGAACCCAGAAATCCGTATTTTTCACAAGCATTCTGGGACATTCTGACATGTACTAAAGTTCGAGGACCACTAATCTGGAAATAGGTGTCACTGAGACATTGGAAGATTAAAAATTGTGTACGGTTTTTATGATAAATGAAGACAGAGTTCAGTCACAGATTCAGTTTTTTACTTCTCCAAATGTGCTGATTTAAGGTCATTTATAACATTCTCATAGATTAATTTGACCCTCAGTTAGCATTATTATTTATTGTATAAATAAAATTCACAAAATCAAACTGAAAATAATTCTCCCAAGATTTTGATTACTGCTCGTTTTCTTTCCTCTTGTTTTTCCCTCCAGTCACCATTTGTTCTTATTTTTAAAATTTAATCTTTTTTTTTTTCTTTTTTGAGATGGAGTCTCGCTCTGTTGCCCGGGCTGGAGTGCAGTGGCGCAATCTCAGCTCACTGCAACCTCCGCCTCCCAGGTTGATGCCATTCTCCTGCCTCAGCCTCCCGAGTAGCTGGGACTACAGGCACCCGCCACCACGCCTGGCTAATGTTTTTTGTATTTGTAGTAGAGATGGGGTTTTACCATGTTAGCCAGGATGGTCTGGATCTCCTGACCTCATGATCCGCCCACCTCAGCCTTCCAAAGTGCTGGGATAATTTAATCCATTTTTTAAATCCTTGTTTTAATGCTCTGTTTCATTTACTGCCCAAAGAATGGCAAGCTTGTAGATAAACATGGCAAGTGCCATATTTGCCTGCTTTACTATAATCTCAGCTTTCTGCACCTTCTGGCTTATTTTCAATCCTATCATCCATTAATAAAATCAAAGGAGTCATGTTTACTTTGCACCCATGTTTTTCTTGATCTCTCTTTGGCAAGATTTGATAGTAATCATTATACTAATTGCTAATAGTAAACTGCTTCCCCGGGAGTTAAAAAAAAGTTCAGGAATTTCTACTCCAGTTTATATAGTTGATTGGGTTGAGAACAGCATGACATTGTAATATCTATATAAACAATGCATTTCTCAAGAGTAATTTGCTCACCATAGCATTTGGTATACTATCACCTCTTTAATCAATTCTGATTTATTCAACTTTTCTTTTATTACAAACTAGTCAAAATATTCCCCAAAATGTCATGTCCAATTCAGGTATGTTTTGAATACACTGCCTGTCATTGTTAAAAGCAGGACTGAGATCTGTAAGAGAGACCAGCATTGTTTGCCAATGTTTCAAAGCCATTTAAAAGGCAAGATAACTTGGAATAAACAGACTGAATCAAAAAAGGTTAAAGCTATTACAATTCAACAATTTAACAACAATATTAGTCATTGTTATTTCACAATAATATGTTCAGCATTTCTAAAGTGTTTCTCAATCAGAAAATGTTCATGTATCTTACAAAATTTTAAACTACTGATGAGTCACACATAGCACCTTAAAAGGAAGTCTGGTGTCCATTGTGAAAGATAAGAATTTAAGAGGCAGATGATCTCCCACTAATGACATACATTTATCCAAAGGTAAAGCTAAGATAGTTCTGAAAGAAAGGAAAGGTGAAATGGGATCCTGATCTTTTATACAGTACATCCTCTAGCCACAAGGGAAATTCCTTTTGAGTCTGTACTTGGGCTCAGCAGGTATGGAGGGGGGCTGGTGGGACCACAATGACCCCTTTGAATGGTCAAAGTGGTTGGTATCATTAAAAGAGCAACCAAATTGGAGTCAAGAGACCCAAATGTATGTTTCCCAATCCTTATTTATTATTTGTGTAGCCTTGTGCATGTCACCATCTTCCTGGGCCTGTCTGTGCCCTTATAAAAGATCTATAGCATTAGTGTATTAACAGACCTCCTTAGGGGGATTTGGTGAGGGAAAATTAAGGAAATATGTAGAAATCACTCTGAAATAAATGTTGGTTATAGTTATAATTCAAAAAAGACCCAGATCACTTCTTTAGAGCCTAAAAGCCAAGTATGGACTAGAGTGCCAGAGTGTCTCTTGTTTGGGCTATTGTTCTACATTTACCCACAATTATCTCAGCAACTATTCATCCCCAAGTAACCTAACTGGGGGAGCCTAGCCCAATGCAGAGGTTACAGGTCCGTAACTTTTGTAAAGCCCCCTCACAAACTAAGATGTCAGCTGCTGCCAAATTAGTTACAAAGTATGGAACCCATCCATGTGTTCGTTTTTTATAAGGCCCAGACCCCCATTCAGTTTAGTATCTGGAAACCCTGACTTTTGCATGCTGCTGGAGAAAAAATTATCTCCAAACCAATACCTACCTCTGGCAGGAATGTGCATTGGAACAGATTGAGGCAAAAATAACCCATTTGAACACAATATGCAACAGTGTATACAAATATGTTTTACGGCTGGACTTGAGTTCTGATTGTTAACATGTCCTGTTTTGTGCCACTCACTCAAAAATGTGTTCTATTAGGAGTCAGGTTCTATTCCTGACCCTCTTAGTCACGCTGGGCAAGGCATTTCCATTTTCCTTAGCTTTATCTTAACCATCTTGGAATGTCTCCTCATCCACTCTACCGTACTGGTTTCAAGTTATGTCTTCTAAGCTAATAACGGAGGGTCCACAAATTAAGCATTACAAATTGTACTAACTACTGTATTGAAGTAGGAGTCATGACCCCAAACCACTTCTTAAAATGCTCCTGAAATGAAAACGTTGAAAGGAGTACAAATCATTGCTTCAAATACTCTAAAAACTAGTTACCACACAGCATATCTTATTTCGGCATAGGGTACTTATTTAGTTTTGCAAGAACACATTTAATACCCTAGATATGCCTTTCTTCAGCTATAAGCCCACTACATCCTGTGAGGAGAAGAGTTTGAAGAGCAAGACCTTCTGGCTTTCAAAAGTTAGCAGACGGTCAGGAATTACCAATACTGAGGCTGTTAACATTAACCTAAAGAAATCAAGGCATTTCAAATTGTTACATAACTAAACCATGTTATTTATTCTTTGTACACAAATACATAGTGTCAGCTGACTTTCATTAGGAATGTGGTAGAGACAGCTAGAGGACAAGCTACAGAAGAGGCCCAAGCAATTGCCAGTACAAGCAGGCACGATGCAAAGCATTTCTGCCTGTGAAAATGGACAGAAAAGTGGCTGGCTTTAGCGCGGGGAGGACGAGGGGAGAGTTGGCAGAGGCAGAAAATGTGATGGAAAAACAACAGAGTTATTTTCCCCATGAATTACTCTTGCAGGTTGTGTAAACTTTCAAGTGAATAACTAGAATATGGCTTATGATGTAACTGAACAGTACAGAAGTCTGCACAGAGAAAGTCCTGTTCAAAAGAGAAGGAACACAACCACTGGTGAAAGACAGCTCAGCAGAAATGATATGGAAGAGGGGAAGGGAAGTGCTGGGTAGAGGAAGGCATGGTCCCAGGTTAGGACTCCACCCCCACGGACCTAGGTGAGGACAGGCATTTTTGTTTTCCTGCCCAAATGCTACATTTCCCAAGACCACCCAGGCCCCCATCCTGTGCCTATAAAAACCCGAGACCCTAGCAAGGCAGAGACAGAAGCAGCTGGACGTGGAGAGGAGCACATTGGCAGAGGAACACACAAGCGGCTAGACGTTGAGTGGAACTCACCAGCAGGCACCAGCAGGCCACTGACGGGCAAAACAACACAGAGTTTGGCTGGGGCAGTTGGAGGAGCGCTCGGCCCCCAAGCGGCCCAACTTATGGGGAAAATCATCTCCCTTATGGCTCCCCCATCTGCTGAGAGCTTCTTCCACTCAATAAAACCTTGCACTCATTCTCCAAGCCCACGTGTGATCTGATTCTTCCACTACACCAAAGCAAGCACCCCAGGATACAGAAAGCCCTCTGTCTTTGCCACAAGGTAGAGGGTGTAATTAAGCTAGTTAACACAAGCTGCCTTTGGATGGCTACACTAAAAGAGCACCCTGTAACACATGCCTACTGGGGCTTCAAAAGCTGTAAACATTCACCCCTAGACACTGCCCTGGTGTTGGAGCCCCACAGCCTGCCCGTATGTATGCTCCCTTAGAGGCCTGAGCAGCAGGGCACTGAAGAAACGAGCCACTTCCCCATCGTACACCCTGCGAGGGGGACAAAGGAACTTTTCCCATTTCACCTCCTCTGTCAGTACCAAGCTGGTCTGTATGAGGACGGCAGTCTTTGAAAAACAACATATTGGCCAGGCGTGGTGGCTCACACCTGTAATCCCAGCACTTCGGGAGGTCGAGGTGGACAGATCACGAGGTCAGGAGATTGAGACCATCCTGGCTAACACGGTAAAACCCCATCTCTACTAAAAATACAAAAAAATTAGCTGGGCGTGGTGGTGGGCACCTGTAGTCCCAGCTACTCGGGAGGCTGAGGCAGGAGAATGACATGAACCCAGGAGGCGGAGCTTGCAGTGAGCCGAGATGGCACCACTGCACTCCACCCTGGGCAACAGAGTGAGACTCCGTCTCAAAAAAAAAAAAAGAAAAACAACATATTGGTGCGATTCTGAGCTTCACTGACAAAGTGAAATTGACTACCTCTCTAACTGATTAACTATATCTCAATTTCAAATACTGACCACAAAGGTAGAATCTAATTATGAACTGACATATTAAGACCTAGGTGCTTAAATGGTAGGATGTACTTATTCTAGGCTTCCTGTGCTATGACAGGCTTTTACTCTTATGTGGTTAGGTATGTTTCCAGGGACATGCCTCGGTGAATATCACACATGGAAATGTGGTTAATAATGAGCCCCTTCTGTGATGGAATTATTATTCAAGGTATATAAATTTAGAAATACGTGAGGCTTAATAAAACATAACGTTATTGAGAAGTAAATCTCCCATTGAGCAAATCATACATTATTTCACATAATAGGTCCACAGATATTTTTAAGAGAGTGAATGAAAGGCCATGTAGCCTGCTGAGGAACAGTATGTCCCTAATGTATAGTTTTATATATGTGTAAAACCTAGGAGAAAATAAAGCAGATTTCCTTGCAGAGGTAGCAAAATTGTCAGCTACTTGGACTTTCAGGGAAAATACACAGTATTTGAAGAAAACAATAGTGGAGTCAGTGCCAAGCTGATGAGTAAAGTACAGAAACACATTATAATGGAGATGAGCTGGTTTAAATAAGCCCTAAGACAATCAAAAAATTATGTCTCCACTAAACAAAATTTCTATCCCACATATTAAGACTGTGACACAAATAGACAAAAGAGAGGAAATACATGATTATAGATGCTTAATTCGGCCAACACAAACACAGCATATCCATTTCAACACTGTGTGGAATTATTCAGCTTCTAGCTAGGGGAAAAAAGAAAAAAAGCATCAGGAAAAACAAAAACAAAAACAAAATCAAAATCCTTTCCTACAGTTCCCTCAAGGCAACCAGAAAGTGAAACTTAATTAAACAAGTGAAATGTAATTACCTAATGCTTACCGCACATGGTGCTGATTTTCACTTCACATTCTAGGTTCATTATTAACGGGCTGGTGCTGCCCAGAGGTAGGAATAAAAATTCTATGTAGGGGTAACCATTGGCAGGGAGCAAGAGAAGGAAAGTGCTACCTGTTCTGACCTCCCTACAGGGGCTCAATTCCTCCAGTCACTAGTTTCAGCTAGTCACACTTCAGGCTGAGACTGTGAGTAGAGTCTAATTATGGGAGGGCTGTCCCTCAAGCATGGTGGGAGGTAACCCCACTCTCTGGAGGAAGCTGAATCTGAATCTGGGGTTTTTTACACCTCTCAGGACCTCACTGTGATTGCTCACTCAGCCCACTTGCTATTTTCATGCACTGTTTAGAACAACTCAGCAGTTTCTTTTATAGGAAGAGGCATTTGACATAAGGCACCTGTTGAAACAATTTGAAATGTGATTTCATCATGACTCTGGAAACATGGAGATGGCTTTCTTTTGTTGACAGGTACATACATTCAGAACCAGAAGGATGCCATCTCTGCTCTCTATGATTTCATTTTATTATGAAGTTTGATGCTATAATGGTATTTGGATATCTTTATTTAACTTTGTATTTCCCTTTCTACCATAGCATCTTTAAGCATACATCTTAAAAAGTAGGCTGGGTGCACTGACTCATACCTGTAATCCCAGCACTTTGGAAGGCTGAGGAGGGAGAGTCACTTGAGTCCAGGAGTTCGAGAGCAGCCTGGGCAACATAGCAAGACCCTGGTCTTGACAAAAAATAAAATAAAAATTTCAAAATTAGCCAGGTATGGTGGTGTACTCCTGTAGTCCTAGCTACTCCAGAGGCTGAAGTGAGAGGATGGCTTGAGCCCAGGAGTTTGAGGTTACAGTGAGTTATGATCACACCACTCCAGCCTGGTGAGAGAGGGAGACCCTGTCTCAAAGCAAAAAAGTAAGTAAATATTTTTCCTACCTATGTGGCTTCCAAGGAACAAACATTTGAAAAATCAAAAACCCTACTTACAAGGAAAATTGGTATATGATATGGTTTGGCTGTGTCCCCACCCAAATTGCATCTTGAATTGTAGTTCCCCTAATTCCTATCTGTCATGGGAGGGACCCAGTGGGAGGTAATTGAATCATAGGGGTGAGTCTTTCCCATGCTGTTCTCGTGATAGTTAATAAGTCTCACGAGATCTGATGGTTTTATAAAGGGGAGTTCCCCTGCACACGATCTGTTGTCTGCCGCCATGTAAGATGTGACTTTGCTCCTCATTTGCCTTCTGCCATAACTGTAAGGCCTCCCTCACTATGCAGAACTGTGAGTCAATTAAAACTCTTTCCTTTATAAATTACCCAGTCTTAAGTATGTCTTTATTGGCAGCAAGAGAAGAGATTAATACAGTATATACATCAAGCAAACACTAAATTGCTCGAATAAATGCATATTTGGATTAGAATAAATCTCTAAAACTGAGAAACATACTCAGAAAGTTATGAAACAATATAATGTTGGCATCATAATCCACTTCATTCATATACCATGGAAATGACTTGGTTATTTTTATTGGAACTGCTAGAGGGAATCAAATATGCACAGACTTTTGAGAAATTTCAAGTTGCCTGTTATTGAAGATGATTAAGACGGATGACTTCATGGTGGGCATACTGCATCAGGTAAGGGATTGAACTAGGTTTCCTCTTAGCTCTTTTCCAAAGTGTCTATGGTTCTGTGAATCTGGTGAGATTTCTATGGTAGAAAGTCACATGAATCATCATTGTAGGTTTATGCTTCAGCTCTCCATTCAGCCTAAATAGCTATTGTATGTTATGTTCCTGAGAAGGTATTAACATGGTTGTTACTGAAGGGACCAAGGCTATTTCCTTCTGTTTCCTTCCACTCACTTTGGCATGTCCTAGTAAGTATATATATAATCCATTAAAAACCTCTTTTTGCTTTATTTTTTGAGGTACATTCTTTTTATTTTGGGGGGAAATGTCTTGCTCTGTTGCCCAGCCCAGAGTGCAGTGGCACAATCTCAGCTCACCGCAACCTCTGCCTCCTGGGTTCAAGTGATTCTATGCCTCAGCCTCCTGAGTAGCTGGGATTACAGGTCCATGCCACTATACTCAGCTAAGTTTTGTATTTTTTATAGAGATGGGGTTTCACCATGTTGGCCAGGCTGACCTCAAACTCCTGACGTCAAGCGATCTACATGCCTTGGCCTCCCAAAGTGTTGGGTTTACAGGTGTGAGCCTCCATGCCCAGCCTTGAGGTGCATTCTTCATTTGGCTTCCAGGTTGTTCTCCTTCCTCACTTACCACTCCTTCTAGTACCCTCTGGGAGTTTCTATCCCCTTGACCTCTAAACGTTGGGAGCCCCAGAGCTCAGAAACCTCTCGTTAAACCTCATGGCTTTAAATATTTAAATTAGCATAGCACTGATGACTGACAAATGTATGTCTTTAACCCAGACATCTCCCCTGAACTCCAGTCATATACACAAATGATATCTCCTTAGATGGCTAAGACTTGACATCCAAAACTGAGCTCTTGATCTTTTCCTCAAAACTCAATCCTCCCCAGTTTTCTTATCCTTAGTAAAGAGCAACCCCATCCTTGTAGCTGCTCCAGTAAAAAGACTTGGCATCTAGGTTGATTACTCTTTTTTTAAACCTTACATCCTATCCACTAAAATTGCTGGAGTCTCTACCAGATATCCAGTATCCAACAAATACCACTTCTGACACTAGCAGTCTGTTCTGAGATACCACCATTTCTTTTCTTTGAGATGGAGTCTTGCTCTGTCACCCAGGCTGGAGTGTAGTGGTGCGATCTTGGCTCACTGCAACCTTTGCCTCCCGGGTTCAAGCAATTGTCCTGACTCAGCCTCCCGAATAGCTGGGATTACAGACGGGTGCCACCACACCTGGTTATTTTTTTGTATTTTTAGTAGATATGGGGTTTCACCATGTTGGTCAGGCTGGTCTCGAACTCCTGACCTCGTGATCCGCCTGTCTTGGCCTCCAAAAGTGCTGGGATTACAGGCATGAGCCACCATGTCCAGCCACCATTTCTTATTAATACAATAGCTTCCTATATAATCTCCTTAAAATTTCCCTCCTCCTGTCTTTTTAAAAACACAACAGCGAGAATGATCCATTGAATACCTAAGTCAGATTATGCCACTTCTCTGCTTAAAACCCTCCAGTACCTTCCTGTAATGGTTAACATTAACTGTTAATTTGACTGGATTGAAAGATGCAAAAGTATTGTTCCTGGGTGTCTGTGAGGGTGTTGCCAAAGGAGATTAACATTTGAGTCAGTGGATCGGGAAAGGCAGACCCACCCTCAATGTGGGTAGGTACCATCTAATCAGCTGCCAGTGTGGCTAGAGTAAAGCAGGCAGAAGACGTTGGAAAGAGCAGACTTGCTGAGTCTTCTGGCCTCCATCTTTCTCCTGTGCTGGATGCTTCCTGCCCTCGAACATCAGACTCCAAATTCTTTAGCTTCTCGACTCTTGGACTTACACCAGTGGTTTGCCAGAGGCTCTCACACCTTTGGCCACAGACTGAAGTCTTCACTGTTGGCTTCCTTACCTTTGAGGTTCGGGACTTGGACTGGCTTCCTTGCTCCTCAGCTTGTAGGCAACCTATTTGTGGGACTTCATCTTGTGATCCTGTGAGTCAATTCTCCTAATAAACTCCCCTTCAGGTATACATATATCCTATTAGTTCTGTCCCTTTAGAGAACCCTGACTAACACAGATTTTGGTACCAGGAGTGGGAACCAGTTAAGACTTTGGGTGACTGTTGGAAGGGTGTGATTGTGTTTTGAAGTGTGAGGACATGAGATTTGGGAGGGGCCAGGACTGGAATGATATAGTTTGGCTTGGCCCCACCCAAATCTCATCTTGAATTGTAGTTCCCATAATCCTCACTTGTCATAGGAGGGACCCAGTGGGAAGTAATTGAATCATGGGAGCAGTTACCTCCATGCTGTTCTCATGATAGTGAGCAAGTTCTCATGAGATCTGGTGGTTTTATAAGGGGCTTTTCCCCCACTTTGCTCTGCACTTCTCCTTGCTGCCACCATGTGAAGAAAGATGTGTTTGCTTCCCCTCCCACCATGATTGTAAGTTCCCTGAGGCCTCCTCAGCCCTGCTCAACTGTGAGTCAAATAAACCTCTTTATAAATTACCCAGCCTCAGGTATGTCTTTATTAGCAGCATGAAAACAGACTAATACACTTCCCATCTAATTCAGAACAAAAGCTGAAATCTTTTCAGTGGTCTACAAGGCCGTATGCAACCTGCCTCCAAGACCGCATTACTTCTTTGATATCAATTCCCATTTCTCTCTCCTTCGCTTACTGCTCTGACCATATGGGCCACCTTGTTATTCCTAGAGCATTCCAGGGATACTCCTGTCTCAGAATGTTTGCACTTTTTCTTCAGCCTGCCTAAGAATGCTCTTTCCCCTGATGTCTGCTTGGTACTATCCTACACCTCCTTCAGGTCCTTGCTCAAATGCCACCTTCTCAGTGAGGCTTCTATAACCTTCCTATTTAAAACTGACTCCTTTCTCTGACTTATTTTATACCACAACACGTGCCACCATCCAACATCCTATGCATTGTACTTGTGTTGTGTTGTGTTTTCTCTGCTAGAATGTAAGCCCCATGAGAACAGGAATTTTTGTTTGCTCAACATGTGCCTACTACAGTGCCTGGCATATAGTAGGACTCAATAAATATTTGAGTAGATAACATTTAAATATGCTTAAATTTCAATTGTTACATATATTGAAACCTCTTGGTTTACACGCCTCTTCCAGGTTAAGGGCTTCTGTGATCTCACAAGAGGCATCCACCTTATCAGGGTCAAATTTTTCAGACATTTTTCACATAAATGGTCAACTGCCTGAACCTAAAAAGTTTTTAGAAAACAGGACATATTATGAGTGGGAAACAAACAAACAAAAACCAACATATATTTAAATACCTTCCAAGAAAATCTCAGAAGCAGCCCACCAGATTTAGATACTATATACTTGGCTATGTTGTTTTGCAAAGGCTGGAAACATAAGGAAGTTCTGGAAGTCAGCAAACACCAGTATTTGGCCTTAAAATGATTTAACACACACAAAAATGGCACTGTGCCTTTGGAGACCTGGAATGCAGCATTACAGGTTTTCTCCAAAACAGTTTCATTTACTTAACATTACTCTGACCCTTTAACTTCTAACTTGCTGTACAATTAAGCTATTTAAGCCTTCGACTTAGTGCTCTTTGTGCTACAATCTGGGTCTAAAGTGAAGCAAAAACCACCCTACACCTTTCTGTTTTACTTAAGGTTATTCTGTCCCATGAAGAGGTTTACATATGCAAATTTTAGCACCACATCTGTTTAGCACGCAGTTGTAAGGCTGAGACTATTTCTATTTTACTTTTTCATTCCATAAACATTTATTCAGCCCCTACTATATGTGTTTCAGGCACAGAGAATCAGAATTTTTTTTTCTTGCCTGTTTCAATGCAAAAAGTTCCTACGTAATGCTGATCACATTAAAGTTTGTTACCATGGAAACAAGAGGACAGTCACAATCAGAACTGGCATCAAGTTGCATTGAAAGTAAGGTACTGCTTCTGACAGCAATTGAAAACAATCTGAATTCTGTACTGTTTATAAATCAAGGCAATAATCTTGTCTGTCTTGCACAGCCTTTCTTATTTCCCCATAAAAGTTGTAAATGACTTTTGGAAAAAAAGTTTATCTCTTGAAACGTATTTTTTTTTAAAGTTCAAATTAGATTAAAAGGAACACAATTTACTGGGCTTCACCAATATTTGACCTGGGAAAAATTAGGCTACCCCAAAATAGTAATTTCATGCAAATGAAGTAATTTACTGTCATATGTTTAAACAAATGGTTGTTAATTTTGGAACTTTTTTTCTTCTTTTGTAGCTTTCATCCTTATCCTTGTTTATCTTATTCATATTTTTTCTTTCTATTGCAAGTTATTCTCCATAGTGCTAAAAAGAAAAAAGAAAGCAAACATCATCGGAAATATGAATAAGGGACCTAAGTTAGAGTCCAGTTTAGTCTATGTAGTAGTTATGTGACTTAGGGCAAGCTATTTTATGACTGTGGGACTCAGTTTTCTCATCTGCAAAATGGGGGTGATACTCCCTAAATTATTGAGATTTAAATAAGACAATTTGTAGGATGCCTGGTATATAACAAGTAAGGAGATAGCCAGCCTCCATATCAAATTTGTGATATAAGGCAAGATGCTTGCCTTTCCCAGGCCTTCATTTTTCATATATCAAATGGAGATTTAAAACTTTTCATTTACTAAACTCTTTGGATTGTTGCAGGGGTCAAATCCTTATTTTTACATTTTTACAACATGTAATTCCCATTCATTATAAGATAGTATCATCCTGTTATCCTGTCTCCTTTCTTAGTTGCAGTCTCTCTTGGTATTTTCATTTATTCCTAGTTCTTTTTCTTGTTTCTTTTTCTTTTTCCTTTTCCTTTTTTTTTTTTTTTTTTTTTTTTAGAAGGAGTCTCGCTCTGTAGCTCAGGCTGGAGTGCAGCGGCGCCATCTTGGCTCACTGCAAGCTCCGCCTCGCGGGTTCACGCCATTTTCCTGCGTGAGCCTTTCTGCTAGCTGGGACCACAGGAGCCCGCTACCACGCCCTGCTAATTTTTTTGTATTTTTAGTAGAGACGGGGTTTCACGTGTTAGCCAGGATGGTCTCGATCTCCTGACCTTGTGATCGGCCCACCTCGGCCTTCCAAAGTACTGGGAATACAGGCGTGAGCCACCGCACCTGGCCCCTACTTTTATAAAGGATTTCTCATCTTTTTCTTTATAGACATCTTTACACGTCTCTTTCTCTCTACTATAGCTTTCCTGTTGTTGTATTTTTGTTTCTCTGTTAACTATAAAGTTTTAGAGTATTTCTTTTATTTGTCCTTATTCCTTATGAATTATGTAGTTATTTCTATTATGAAAACTTTAAAAACCAGAAATATTAAATTAGGTATTAATTAATGTTTAATTATAGGTTTAGTTAAACCTATTAATTAATTAAACTATTACTAATGAAAAGGCTAGCAATGTGGAATTGCATTGGAAAAATAAAACATAAGTTGAAACAGATGCTGCTCATGAGCTATATAGCTCATATGTCTAACTCTTTTATATCTGGATTAGATGTTTAATTTGGAAAAAAATGCATTCTTTTTGTAAATATTCAAATATTGCTAAAAGGTCTAAGAAGAAAATAAATATCACCTGAATCTAATACCCTAGAGATCACTACTGTAAATAGTTTGATGAACTTGTCATGAATCTCAATGTATATATGTGCATATTAGATATGTATAATTTCACATAAATGGGCTCATTTATACATATTTTAAAGTCTACTTATTCACTTAATTTATTGTTGCACTAATTCCATGTTAATGTATATGTATTGTATCTCAATTTTAATGGCTGCATAATATTCCATTGTATAGATGTATCATAATATATTTAATAAATTCCCTATGGGTGGACATTTAGGTTACTTGCCCCTTTCTGCTATAATAAAAATGCTGCAGAGAATAACCTTTGTGCCCAGATCCCTTTAGAATAATGGCTAAAAATATAATTAATGAATGAGTTCTTAAACATATCCTAACTTTTGCATTTTCTTCTTTATCCAAACACTAAGGAATTTTTTTTTTTTTTTTTTTTTTTTTTGAGACAGAGTCTCGCTCTGTCACCCAGGCTGGAGTGCAGTGGCGTGATCTCTGCTCACTGCAAGCTCTGCCTCCTGAGTTCACACCATTCTTCTGCCTCAGCCTCCCGAGTAGCTGGGACTATAGGCACCCGCCACTACGCCTAGCTAATTTTTGTATTTTTAGTAGAGATGGCCGTGTTAGCCAGGATGGTCTTGGTCTCCTGACCTCGTGATCCACCCGCCTTGACCTCCCAAAGTGCTGGGATTACAGGCATGAGCCACCACACCCGGCCAGAATTTTTCTTTCTTTTTGTACAACTCAGACCATGTGACAACTTAAAGTGAAATTCAACATCAGTGCTGTTGTAGGTAAAACTGCCTGAAGCAGGACACTTGAGAAGTGTAGAAAGCTTTGTTTTTCCATTAATTTTCCCTAAGTTAAACATTCCTACCATAGAAATAATAGCACATATAAAAATATTTCCTTATCCTACAAATCAATAAAAATAAAGACTCTTCAGCTGGTCTCTATGTCTGTTTTAACTTACCTACCTAATTATATCTATTATAATTAGCCATATCATCAATGTCGTTAGCTCTTCACTATGGGTAAGAGCTAAATATTTTAACCCATAGAAGGTCCTACTTCCAAGCTCCAGGAACTTACATTCCTTCATCAAGAGGGTTTTAGAACGACTGGAAAATGTCTAGCATGGTGAGTAGGCTAAGTAAGAATGTTCTAGCCAGGAAGATAGCAGGGAAATCAGTTTTCCCTCACATGCTTGTGCCTGAGGGGATTTTGCTATCTCATGTCCATGAAAACAGGTACAGAATCTATAATTCTCAAGAAAGGAAAAAGGTAAAATAATATCAAAGCAGCTACCGGTTTCCTGGTCCATTCTCTACTTCTAGAGAAAGCAGTAACTGACAGAATAATATAATGTCAGAGACTTTTGTTTCCTTTTTCTCCTTCAAATGGATCCACTTTACTGAGAGGAAGGCTATGCACATTCACTCTTGCTGACTGATAACTCTGAACTGTGCTGTTACACCCTTGCCATCTCTCTCTCTTGGAAAAGATGGTTTTCTGCCTATAGAGAGGACAGGAAGAACAATTTCTTATCCTTGTCAGTGCCCAACACATTTTAAACTTAATCCTAAAATCTAAAACAGCAAAGTCACAGAGGACCGCATTTAAGGAAAGAAAAGTCCTTGTCTGTCTTTGAACAGAGCACCCTCAAAAGCTGAGAGTGACACCTTAGGGTCATGCCAGCCTGTACCGACAACCATAGTTCCAAGGCCAAGTTTAGGCCAAAGAAGATTTTATAATTGAGGCAGAGCATAAGAACTAGCTTTTTGGATCCACGTAGTTAAATGGATCCACACATTGAAATGGCAATGTCTGTGCCTTTAAAACACCAATCAGGTCGAAGTGGCTTGCGAAAAGGCTACTAAAAAACAGAAGAGGAAAAAAATGTGGTTAGCTCCCCATTTTCATAATTATTTCTCCCATTTCCTCCTCTCCATAGCTTCTCAGACCCAAAAAAAAAAAAAAAAAAAAAGCTTTTAATCCTTGCTCTGTGCAGTTATAGTGGAAACCTAAAGGAAACCTAAATCTGGATAGTACTATGATAAATATTGTAAGATTTATGCACTCATCCCACTGATATTTATCAAGTGTTTAGCTCATACGTGCAAGGTACTATCTAAAGCCGAGTGCGGCAGGCCTCTGTACACAGAGCAGGATTCATGCTCTGTAAAAACTCACAGCATGAAAGATAAGCTCAGATATTTATGATACAAGGCAATATATTTAAAGTGTCAGTTCAGTGCCATACTCAGTATAAAAAAGAGAGGAGTCACCCACGGAATGTGTTGAGAAAAGGCATGTAGAGGATACACCATTTTTACCAGGCCAGGAACTATAGCAAACTTAGGACTTCTGTATCTCGATTTTTTTTTCTTTTATTGATACATAATATTTTACATCTTTATGAGATGCATGAGTGTTTGTTACACGCACAGAATGAGAGATGATCAAGTCAGGGTATTTGGGGTATCTGTCACCTCGAGTATTTACCATTTGTATCTGTGGGTATCACTTCATGTCTTCTCTTCCATTACTTTGAAATATACAAAATATTGTTGCTAAGTACAATCACTGTATTCTACTATCAAATATTAGAACTTACTGTCCAGGCGCGGTGGCTCACGCCTGTAATCCCAGCTCTTTGGGAGGGCCGAGGCAGGTGGATCACCTGAGATCAGGAGTTTGAGACCAGCCTGGCCAACATGGTGAAACACCGTCTCTGCTAAAAATACAAAAATTAGCAGGGCGTGGTAGCAAGCGCCTGTAATCCCAGCTATCTGGGAGGCTGAGGCAGGAGAATCGCTTGTGGTTGCAGTGAGCCGAGATCATGCCACTGCACTCCAGCCTGGGCAACAGACACTCTGCCTCAAAAAAAAAAAAAAAAAAAAATTAGAACTTTCTAAAATAATTTAAAATGGAATAAAAGATATCTTAGAAGAATTAAATCCTGAAGTACTAATTTAGTATCCTGAAAAAGTTAATAAGGTAAACAAAATAAATGGCCTGGCACATAGTAGGTGCTCTAGAACTGCTAAAACCCTTCTGTGGGAACTTTTTTTTTTTTTTTTCCATTCTCCAGGGCAGTGATTCTCAAGCTAGATACACAACAGAATCATCTGGAGGACTTGTTAAAACAGAATGCTAAGCCCCATCCCCAGTCTCCAATTCTGTGGATCTGGGGCAGAGTCCAGTAATTTGCATGTGTGATGCCGCTGCTGCTGCTGTTCTTGGAAGCACACCTTGAGAACCACTGCCTGGGGAACAGCTTAGCTGCTATGAGAATCTGATTCTGTGTTCATATTCCGTATCACAGATAGCTCTTGGCTTTTCAATTGTGGTTTCTTTTTTTAATGTCTTACTAAGGGGGAAAAAAAGGAACGCCACTTTATATAAACCTGACCTTTTGGTAAGCCTGGGTAGTAACTTCCCATGTGGAGTAAATTAATCTCTTTCATGCATGCCTCGTGCTCTGGAAAAAGTAAAACAGATTGTGTTAGACATTTACCAAGTACTTTTTCTGTTGGTGGTCACTGCCCTAAGCCTATCAGAACTGGTTTCTACCCTTAAGAAGCTTACAATGTAGTAAGGCGGACATCCCAACAAACCAGACATTGGAGTTCATTGTGTGAGGTGCTATGATGGATTATAAGACATTATGATTGACTGAGTATTATGAAGGGGTGAAGCAAACTCAAGCTGGCAAATTAGGGAGGAGGTAGATCACACAGGCTTTCCTAATGGGATTACTTATGACTCATTGAGTAGTGAAAGATGAATAGGACTTTACTAAACAGAAACTGGAAGGGCTTTCTGGGCTAAGGGAACAGCACAGAAGCATCAAATACACTTTACCTTTCTAGGGCTGCCAGTAGTTTAATTCAGCAATACCACATCACAAAGGTCTTTGTGTGCTTTGCTAATGAGTTTGAACTTTATCATAAAAGCATTTTACAAAGATCACACTGGCAGCTGCATTTTGGAAGGGATTTGCCTAGAGGTAGGATAACTGCGGGGGGTATGTCTATAGCAATAAAAGTGAGAAAATATGAGATCTGAAGGAGCTAACATTGTGGCAGTGGCAGTGGGTATAAAGGAGAAGGGAGGACTAGAAGAGATATTTAAGATGCAAACAATGTAGGAACTGGGTGATTATAGAACTGAAAAGTGAGTGAGAGGGAGGAATCCATGAGAACTCACATATTTCTGGTTAGGATAAAAGACTGATTGACTGACATGAAGACTACAAGAGAAAAAAACAGACTTGGAGTTGAAACTTCAGTTTAGGACACTGAAACTGAATGATGTGTCATTCAAGTGGAAAGGCCATTAGGCAGTTAGATATGTAGGCTTAGAGCACAGGAGAAAGGTCTTAAAACCCTGGGCTTATGGGACGTTACCACGGAGACTGCACAGAGTGAGAAGATCCATTTTAAAGCTGATGATGAATAATATTTTCGTTATAAGGAGAGAAGCAATGTTAGGGGTGTCTTCCCATTGCTGGAGTGGGTCATTTGCAGTATGCAGTGCATAAACTCACAGGCTGTCCTTATGATGACCTTTTGTTCATTCTTACATTCAGTATACAGATGAACAAAGGAAGTATTTTATGTCTTGTAAATTACAAGGGACTATGCAGTATGTAAGGGAAGATACAGGAGAGTAAGGGAAGGAGAAAGAGGGTGACTAACAAGCTTCTCAGAGATTAGCCAAGAACTATGGCATTGAATCTAGGTCTCTCCTGTCCTCAATTTGACACTCTCCACTCCCCTGACATGTTTTGTATTAAAATATATTTTTCTTTTTATGAACATGTCATACCTATGGCTCACCTGTGTCCTTGCTAACCTACAGGTTTGGACAATCTGGAATTGGCAGCATGCATGACTGTGGAGCTTTAAAGCCACCCTCCTGAGAGAAGAGCAGCTGACTCATGTACCTCACCATGCAGATGAGGGTGTGTTATAACCCACAGTGTGTCTGTGTCCCTGGATGAACTGAGCACTTTATAATGGAGTTTTTCTGCATCTCAAAAAGAAGTCACAGATTAAATGGTAACTGCAAGAGCTCATTTCTCTATTTGAGTGAGTGCTTTATCAAAAAAATATTTTATTCCTGCTGCTTTACCACAGGGTCAATTCAAGTCTAAATGAATCTGGCATGTATAAAATATATTTTTATATAGCTCCATATAGAGATATAGCTCTACACAGCCATTAACAGACTCACACACAATCATTCTTTTATTCCAGGTGTGAACTGCTATGCTATTTCACCCAGTTCAAACACAGGTCATTGGCTTTCAAACTAATTTTGGAAAGCAGACACTGTGTAGTTGGTAGGTGGAATAAAATGAAAACAAAAAATTAATATGCATGGCAGTTTAACTAGCTGTGTATCTCTCATGGAAAGGGGGTAATAGTCTAAAATTATTTACTCATTTTTTTTTAAAGTCTTTAAAAGAAGGCAATGAATTGCCAGTAATTTCCCCACCTTAACTCATGGTAATTTGTTTCCTGCTGGGTGAAAACGCAGGGATCTTGAAACTGTTAATGAACTTTCTTTCTCCTGATCTGTACAATGTCAAATTCATTTCTTTTTTTCTTACTTCAGGTTTTACTATTCTGTTTTGTTTGTTCCATTTTTGTATTTTTTCCTGAGGTCAGGGATGATTCTATGGAAGCATGAAAATTTGTAGTTGAAAGGGATCTTAGAACTTCAGCAAGATTTGTGATAGATGGTCAAGTGGGTCTGGGCTCGCACCCTCCCTAAGGTGAAAGACTCACTGCCTTACCCCACAGCTATTTCACTACTTACAGACTACCACACAATAGCCAGGGTGCTGCCCTATTTGCAACATGAACTGGAACATTATATTGGGACATAATGATGAGTGGTAGCTAAAAGTCCTTTCCCTCTGGTGTTGTTATTTGGTTAAATTGATTTACATAATGTTATTCTGTGGTATAAACCTTTCTCATTTATCTCATATATATCCCATTTTAAGCTATAAGCTCCCAGAGGGGTAGGTACTTCATCATTACTTCTGTACTCAAGTATTTTGCATATCTTTGATACAAAGTAAGAACAATGTATATGTATATCAGTTTAACTCTCAGATGAATGAACTAATAAAACTTGTAACAGTATTTTCCAATGTAGTGAGTACATTAAGCATCATTAATATTAAAATGCAAATTAATGCATTATTTGCAAGTTTTCAAATCATGTGTACTTAAGAATTTTCTTTTAAAATGTATCAAAAGACTGAACATTCAAGCTGATTA
Source organism: Homo sapiens (assembly GCF_000001405.40). Lineage (NCBI taxonomy): Eukaryota > Metazoa > Chordata > Mammalia > Primates > Hominidae > Homo > Homo sapiens. Next base: position 96,281,150 of record NC_000011.10, read on the forward strand.
TCATAAAAAGTGTATGTATGGGGGTAATATTCAAAATATTTAACAACCCAGAAGAACATGGGAGCTGTAATTCCCACAAATCACCATGTGAAGGTGATTCCAGGGAAGAGTCAGTCAACAGAGAATAGCCACTGATGGAAGGGAAGTGGGGTCTGGTGGCAGGTGATGGATAGATCACTAAACATTTGTCCAAGAGAGTGCTAGTGTTGCCGCTAGGGGTGAATATTTCTGTTGGGGTCCAGGTCTGCTCTGGCTGGGGAGGTGTGGGGAAGCAAGCAGGAATGGGGCTGCAAAAGGCTGGCTAGGGTAGCCCACAGTGGTATCTGCCCAGGAATCCCTGGGGTCTGGGCAGGGTAGTGGGAGGCACTGGTTGAGGGAAAAGGAATAATAGTTTTTTTCCCTGTTTGTCAGCTGAGTTAGCAGCCCTGGTTTTGAGAAATATTAAAATATGCCTTTGATTTTTGGGGATATCAATGAGTTTTGCAATGAAGTAGAGGGGATCACCAGTTTAAGACTTACTGATCAGTATGGGCAACATGGCAAAATCCCACCTCTACAAAAAAATTAAAAATTTGCTGGATGTGGCAGCATGCACCTGTAATCCCAGCTACTCAGGAGGCAGAAGTGGGAGGATCACTGGAGCCAGGGAGGTCAAAGCTACAGTGGGCTCTGATTGTGCCACTGTACTCCAGCGTGGGTGGCAGAGCAAGACCTGTCTCAAAACAAAACAAAAAACAACAAAAACAAAAAAGACCTGATCTACTGAGCAAACAAACTACCATCACAAATAAATCAGAACTTGAAAAATAATGACTGTAGGCCAGGCGCGGTGGCTCATGCCTGTAATCCCAGCACTTTGGGAGGCCGAGGCAGGCGGATCACGAGGTCAGGAGATTGAGACTATCCTGGCTAACATGGTGAAACCCCATCTCTACTAAAAATACAAAAAATTAGCTGGGCGTGGTGGCGGGCCCCTGTAGTCCAAGCTACTCGGGAGGCTGAGGCAGGAGAATGGCGTGAACCCGGGAGACGGAGCTTTTAGTGAGCGGAGATCAAGTCACTGCACTCCAACCTGGGCGACAGAGCAAGACTCCATCTCAAAAAAAAAATAATAATAATAATAATAATAATGACTGCATGTATGTACTTGGCATGATCATTATGAAGGCATTCTTCACTGTACAAGAAGAGTCACAATGAAATTCTTTTAGCTCAAGCAATTTGAGTGGATTTAAATTATTTTTCAGTAAGGAACTTGGTTTCAGATACAACTTTTCAAGAATATAGCTACTGAGTAGAACAAAGTATGCTGATGTCCACTCTCCAGGTCTTCAAAATCAAAGCAGAATTGAAATCTGCGGCAATTTTTCTAATTTTTTAGTTTTATCTTGAAGCTGTTTGTTTAAATTATCTCTCCATCTTACTGTTAGATTAGAAGACATACTTTTTGCCAGAAATACTCACTTCAATTGCACAGGAAAAAGTGAGGTTTCTTGATTCAAATTAGATAGAAAATTCTGTTTTGACAATATAGCCAAGGTCAGATATGATTTCCCTACAATCTCTAATCATGTTGAATTTTATAATACAAGTTTAAATGACCTCAAAAAATTTGTACTACATTTCAGAGGCAACTGTAACTTCCTTCATGAACATTAGCAAATAATCTTCAAAAATTGGAATGTGACCTCAGTCATCCTCCTCCTTCTCCCTTCCCCTTTTCACTTCAACCTTAATGTACACACTTGCAAATTTTCTTCCACTTATATTTTCCTTTAAAGGCCACTTTCTAGCAGACAATTCAACTAACTGCTGTATTTTTCCATATATGATGCCAGGGAATAGAAACAAGTGAGATAGTTTCTTATATGATATAATTGTTTCCATTAAAAACTCAGGAAAGCAGGAACCAATCCATCAACAAGGGCGAATGAAAGATCGTGTAATCCACAAACTTTAACTTTTGATCACTTATAAAATTTAAAACTAAACAAGCCATAAACTAAAGTGATGTTAACTGTCAAGGTGTGGGGGTTTTTCTTTTTCATTCACTGCAGACCTGTTAAACTTTGTGCTCTCTACAGACCTTGCTGTCCACACCAAAAATGCAATTACAGTTCTCCTTGTCTATTTTAATCTCACATTAGTTTATTAACCAGAAATTAAGTAAGGGCACTCACTCTTTAGCACATTTTTTTGTAGATGTGTGAGTTTAATACTGTTTTCTACAACGTTTATTAGAACACTTGACATGGGAAATAGAAGAATATCAAGAAACCATGAGATGCCATTATACCAACAAAAACAAAATGCAGGCTTTGTGTGCTACAATCTTTTTCTCCAAAAGTGAAAATAAACACTAATGAATGATTCCTTTTGCCTTGAAGAACTAAAAATTTCTTAGTTGAAGTATCTAACTGGAGAAATCTTTAAACATGTGAGAAATGTATCTGGGGCCTACAATTTAAAGAGAAGAGGAACACATTAAGTCATGAACCCACTAGACCAACCAACATTTGTCCTCTACGTTCTGAAGTCCAGCTGGATTCACAAGGGTCGCTGATCATTCCTCATTGAGCTATTATATGCTAGTGATTCACTCCTGCTTTCTTTTACATTTTCGACCTCTTCCTCTCTACTTGCTGATTTACCTCTGCTTTATAAAAGTGGTTATTTTAACCTAGAAAACAAAAATTTGAGATTTTTTGGTCTCTAACTTTCTTCTAATGGACGACTTTCTTCTATATACCATATATAAGTTATTTCCACTTCCTCATCTCCTACTTAATCCACAATTGTCTTCCTTTTTCAAAACTTTACTGAAAGTACTTATCATTTTGCCCTCTAGATAATCAACTATATCCTTCTATCAAACTTTTCTTTCAGTTCTCATCCTCTTACATCTTTCTGCTGCATTTGAGACTATATAATATCACTTCCATTCTTAAAACTCCTTTCTCCCTTGCCAACTGGCTGAAGGAAAGTCGTTTCTCCACTCATACACTCAAAATGTAGCCATTTCTTGATGTGTACCACTTTCAATTTGTCTGTTTAGCAAGATCTTCCACTCCCACAAATTTCTTCCTCAAAGACATATGTGTAATTTCAAAATCACTGTTCCTGAATATGAATCCTCTCCAGAGGTGCAGGTCCATATTTTCAACCACCCAATAAACACTTCCATTTGGATATTTTATCTCCTAATATCTCTAACAACATAGTCCGTATCAAACTTATCACCATCTTCAGCCTGTTTTTCTTCTGTTGCTTTTGCTTCTTTTAATGGTTTCATCTTTCCAAGTTAACAATAGTTTCTTCTCATTGGTTCTCAACACTGAATTGATAAGCTCTTTTCCACAGGTGAGATTTGGAAACCTAACAGTGAATCTGCAATTCTTCTTTATGATTGCAATACTGGGTTTTGAGGTGTCAACATCAGTCTGATGGTGCTAAAGTAACTGTGACACCATTTGGTTTGGCTTACAAATAGTTTCTGAGCTCCTACTGTGTAAGACCAGAACTCTGCTAGCAAAACACCATTAGTTTTTCAGGAATATTAGCAACCGCAGTTTAGAATTGATGAAAGAAAAATATGAATTTGGATCAATGTCTTATCTTTCTTACAAAATCTCCATAAATATTCCTCTCCCATGAAGAATCAGTCTCTTCAGTTACTCTAACTCATCACTCTATAATAATATTTACTCAGAACCTGTAATGTGCTGAACATTCTAATCACTTTAGAAATGTTTTATATGGTAATCCTCTTCACTATCCTATGAAGTACTCATCATTGATTGTTGAATTGTGCCGTATATGGCTGGATGGAGTTGTGCAGTGCATAGTCTATGCAACCATATCTCTTGCCCCAATAAGACCCATTTCACAGTTGAAGATACTGAGCCACAGAGAAAGGTTAAGGAACTTGTCCAAAGTCACACAGCTACTAAGTCAGGATTGAGTGAGTATTCAAACCATGAAAACCAACATTTTGACATGACTCTCTTCTCTTAACAGATATATGAAACCACGTCTACTCATATTTCTACTGTAGCACCTATTGTAAATATTTGCCTTTGTGCTTGTTCCCTTACTTAGAATATGAATCCCACGAACTGGCTAGCCATGTGCAGAAAATTGAAACTGGACCCCTTCCTTCAAACTTACACAAAAAGTAAGATGGATTAAAGACTTAAATGTAAAATCCCAAACTTTAAACACCTTAGAAGAAAATCTAGGCAATACCATTCAGGATATAGGTGCAGGCAAAGATTTCATAGGAAAACACCGGAAGCAATTGCAAAAAAAGCAAAAATTGACAAATGGGATCTAATTAAACTAAAGAGCTTCCGTGCAGCAAAAGAAACTATCATCAGAGTGAATAGACAACCTACAGAATGGAAGACAATTTTTGCAATCTATCCATCTGACAAAGGTCTAATATCCAGAGTCTACAAGGAACTTAAATTTGCAAGAAAAAAACCCCAAACAACCCCATTAAAAAGTAGGCAAACAACACGAACAGACACTCCTCAGATGAAGACATTCAGGGGGCCAAAACACATATGAAAAAAAGCTCAACATCACTGATCATTAGAGAAATGCAAATCAGAACCACAATGAGATACCATCTCATGCCAGTCAGAATGGCTATTATTAAAAAGTCAAGAAACAACAGATGCTGGTGAGGTTGCAAAGAAAAAGGAATGCTTCTATGCTGTTGGTGAGAATGTAAATTAGTTCAACCATTGTGGAAGAGAGTGTGGCAATTCTTCAAAGTTCTAGAAGCTGAAATACCATTTGACCCAGCAATCCCGTTACTGGGTATATACCCAAAGGAATATAGATCATTCTATTATAAAGATACATGCATGCGTATGTTCATTGCAGCACTATTCACAATAGCAAAGACATGGAATTAACCCAAATGCCCATCAATGGTAGACTGGATAAAGAAAATGTGGTACATATTCACCATGGAATACTATACAGCCATAAAAAGGAATAAGATCATTTCCTTTGCCGGGACATGGATGGAGCTGGAAGCTGTTATCCTCAGCAAACTAACGCAGGAACAGAAAACCAAGCACTGCATTTTCTCACTTATAAGTGGGAGCTGAATGACGAGAACACATGAACACATTGCGGGGAACAACACAGAGTCAGTCCTGTCGGAGGGAGCAGGGGGAGGGAGAGCATCAGGAAGAATAACTAATGGATGCCAGGTTTAATACCTAGGTGGTGGGTTGATCTGTGCAGCAAACCACCATGGCACATGTTTACCTATGTAACAAACTTGCACATTCTGCACATGTACCCCTGAACTCAAACATTGAAGAAAAAGAAAGGAATAAGAATCCCACTAGGGGAAAAAGAGATTTAAGTTCTTAAACTGTTAGTATTAGTATATAAGAAGGGCCTAGAATCTTGCATATAGTGGGTTTTCAATAAATTCTAGCTATTATCATTCTTTTTATCTTTTTTTTTTTTTTTTACAGATTTGTCACAAAGTAAGGTGCTAATTAATGTTTGTTGAATAAATTACTATGCCAATTCCCCAATGTGTACAAAATGAATATACATATGACCTAGTCTCAGGAAAAATGTATATGTGGAGAGGATGAAAGATAATTTTTTTCCATATAAGCTTCCTCATCTAACCTGTTTCATATCCAGTTTCTGGGACAGAAATTGATTAAACTATTCTAACGTGGAACTAAGCAATTTAAACTTATATTTACATGGTCACCATATCAGCCGGTGATCTCAATATGGCCCTCAAATTTTGCTGTCATGGATAGTTGTATATTCCAGTGCCAGAAAAAAGTAACAATATATTCACGAGAGAGCAGCCTGATGCGCTGCTCTAGAGATGAAAATAAATTGATATAAATGGAGATACTGAGCAAAAAAATCAGCAGCTAGCACTTATCAGATGGGAAGTGAAAAGATGTTAACTGAGCTTACAAGAATGAAGAATATTGTCATCAGATAGTTGTATAAAGAGGACCCCACAAAACCTGTTATTATAAGAGCATTACATCATGGGAGAAAGTGAAAAGCAATAGCTCTCTTAAATGTATTTGATTAATAACGTCTGCTAAACTTCTCCTTAACAAATGACCACAGTCAGAAATATATATGTCCCAAAGAGAAGCTGATGGTAACTAAGAGGCCCTTTGGGGGAAATTCATCTGACAAAACCCCTCTGGAGGATGTACAGGGGATTATGTGAATGCCTATGTCTACTTCTATCCTTGCATGGTATAACTTTTTTAAAGTAAAGCAAAGCTCAAAGTTTGATGCCTTACTAATGGCCAGTGTCTTGCCAATGGTCCTTTGATTACAACTGGCATTCTAAAGCAAAAATAAACTAAGAAAATTTAATTTCATATAAATGTATTATAGAGACATCTACTTTTTTGTCTTGTCTTTAGTTTTAAAAAAATTAAGAGTAGAATTGGTAAATACAATATTTATTTGAGAATCATCATGGTCCCGACAGACAATCTAGCGTTAAGTAGATTGTTCTACGGTAATTGAACTACAAAACAAAATCATTAAATACTCAGACACCTTATTAAGTGAAAGAATCAAGCATCAACATTATCTTTCAATGTTCTCATTTTCATAATACTCTTCTGCTACATTCTGTTGCTTGATCCCATGTTAAAAGATTAAATGGCTAAAAAGTTAAGAAATCCCAACCCTTCATTTTAATACTAACTCATAGTTCATAAAAGGAAGGGCTTATCAGCTGAATCATTAAATACACGTTGCTTGCAATTTTGTGCAGTGGAACGGAGACACTGAATCCCAAAAGGGCCCTACATAAACTCTGAGAGTAAGCGAAATGGTATCCTGATACACTTTCACCATGTCACTGAAATAATTAAGTTGGGTATTATAAATCTGAATGACAAATCTTGGAAACCACCTGAAAAACCACAGGAAATATTCTATCCTTGTTCAATATATGGAAATAGTTGATGCAAAAAGAAACAGAAGTAGAAAAAAATTAGATCTCAGAGCAAATGTACAATATTTTTTAACATGATCAGGGTAACTGTTACTTGAAGCTGGATATCTGCTGATTTTGCAGATTATGTTAATTGGCTACTATCTAGAACAAGGTATAAAACAGATAAATGGGAGGTCGAGGCGGGTGGATCACCTGAGGTCAGGAGTTTGAGACCAGCCTGGCCAACATGGTGAAACCCAGTCTCTTCTAAAAATACAAAAATTAGCTGGACATGATGACAGGCACCTGTAATCTCAGCTACTCGGGAGGCCGAGGCAGGAGAATTGCTGGAACCTGGGAGATGGAGGTTGCAGTGAGCCAAGATCGTGCCCTTGCACTCCAGCTCGGGTGACAACAGCGAGACTCTGTCTCAAAAAAAAAAAAAAAAAAACAACCAAAAACAGATAAGCACATTTTCCAAATGACCTGTAGGATGAAAATCAAACTGCCAAGCAACAAATGGTAATACCATTATTATTCACGTAATATTAATTCTGACTCTTCATTAGCCTCCAATGTGAATTTAAATTAAGGTATAAAGCTGGTAAATATGTGGCATTCAAACACTTGTGTATTATACATTTAAATTAATTTTAATTATTTTCAGAAGCACGGCGAAACTCAAAAGGTTTTTCTACTATACATTAAATTAAGGTAATTCTGGAATGATGATACCTAAACACAGAATCACATCTTTAAAGTCAAAAATATAATTTTTCTACTAATAAGCCAAGCCAGCACATGTTGAATTTTTAATATGTATGCTCTGATAATTAATTTTGTATTTTTCCAATTACATGGCTATCGCAGTGTACTTAGAGACAGAAAACCGTCATGGGGAAAGGGGAAAGGTGACCATGGTATGTGTAAAGCCTGTTTCATTTTCTAAACATCTTTGAGAACTATGTTAAATTTTAGTACTTTAGTCATGAAATGACAGAATGATAGAAAAAGACTTGGAGGGACATCAAAGCATTTAGTTCTACCTGAAACTTGGCTTTCTAAAAATACGACTGGGAAAAAGACTATTGTGTTTAGACCACAGATTTTTAGTTAAATCTTTGAACTCTATGCAAAGTCTAAGTAATACCACTTTTATTTAACTCTTCAGTCTATATAGTCTTCAAGGATAACTGTGCTTTTATATAATTATCCGGATTACAAATTTAACTACAATAGGCAGACTCTTATTGTCAAGGAACAGATCCTTATACTTAAACATTGCTTAGAATCTTCGTAGGCACTTCATAAATGTTTGCAGAATCCCATATAACTCACGAATGAATGAGTGACCTGCAACTGCTGATGGATTTGAAATAGAGTCCAGATTTTTAATGCATCTATAAATGTAACTTTCCTAACTTGATTCTGTGAGAAGTCTAGAGGCACCTAATTTAAGAGAAGAAAATGATATGTTTATAATCATTAAACATCTTGCTCTGGGTATTTATTTAAATTAATAAAAATTCATAAACCTAGCTAACCTGCGACAGTTTTAAGGGAATATGTGCAATACAAAGTGTAGGTAGAATAGAGTAGTATGATTACGTTTACTTTTAGAGTATGTATTTTATTTGGCATCATGTATTTATTGGTGTGCCTAACATTCTCAGTGAACTGGGTATACACATCATACATTCAAAGGGGCAGAATGTTCTCTCTTAAAAAAAAATCATTTTAAAGTCTTTTGATTACCAAATGCCCACTTTTTAATGTAAAACTACTCAAGATGTTTTGAAGGGACTGGGAATAAATATCAACTAAATTAATCATTACAATCAGGGAAAATCAGTTAGAAAGGGCCTTAGAGATCCTCTAAGCTCTCTCACTTTTCTCTCACTGCTTTTTATAAGCAGTGTATTTTTATTACTTTGTTAGCCGTTGGCAGAGAATGAACATTGAGTATCTTTGGACAATTTCTTCTTAATGGCTGGTGCCTATTTTGTCCTATAAAATCATGTGGAAATGTTGGTACTTTTGGCAATATCTTACTCCTTGAGGGCACTTAATGGTCTTCATTCTCCCCAAAGCTTCTCTCACTCCCAGGTAATAAGCTGAACTCTAACAGAGATACAGTTACTCTTTCAATCCAGTAGAGACCACTTGATTTACCACTCTACTGCACAAAATGGTACCCTGGTGGCTTGAAAGAGACAATGGGGAGAATGTGGCTCATTAAATAGTAATTGATGCTGCTGCTACTACTAATGTTAGTATTGCTGCTAAAATAACTGTGTTGCTTCTATTCTGCTTCTTCTATGTGATTGAGAATTAGCATAGTTCATTCCCATGGAAGGTCAATTGACAGGCTAGCCCAGAAGCATTGAGTAGCCAAACTGATTGGTGAGACAATCAAGATTTCAAGATCTCATATGATCCACATTGCCAGAACCACATTCTACCTCCTTAATCCACAAATGCATTATAAATCCTTACAAATCCTAATGAGATACAGTTTCATGTAAGTAAATTTTAAGATATTTGATATTCCCCTTTGAAGTACCAATTTTTCTTACTTTCGAAAATTAGAATGAAAACCTTCATGAAATGGTATTATTCACTGCCTACTTTCTTAAAGACTATCTTCATCATGATCCAACTCCTGTCTGTATAACTCAGAATTACCATTCTTAACAATAATTATGGCACTGTGTTGTAAAGTGGTGAGGCTCCCAAAGGTCACTCTGTATATAATGCTATGTGCCATAGTCTTTGGCTGTTGGGTTTTTCTGTTTCATTTTATTTTGATTTTAGAATGTTTCTGACTCCTTCATCTTATCAGGCTTGTCACTTTTTGTATGTAGCAGTGTACTTTCTAGAGGTGAATCTGTCTAACTTCTAAAGGCAAAAAAACTTGAAAAAAAGTTGGTAAATAAAGACTTGAAAAATAGAATTAAAGGATTTTCTTAGAGCCATGTGACATCTGTGTTAGTTTTTCACAAGCCTTTTTTTTTTTTTTTTTTTTTTTTTTTGAGATGTAGTTTCACTGTTGCTGCTCACTCTGGAGTGCAATGGCGCAATATCGGTTCACTGTAACCTCCGCCTCCCAGGTTCAAGCAATTCTCCTGCCTCAGCCTCCTGAGTAGCTGGGACTACAGGCACCCACCACCTCACCCGGCTAATTTTTGTATTTTTAGTAGAAACAGGGTTACACCACGTTGGCCAGGCTAGTCTCAAACCCCTGACCTCAGGTGATTCACCCCACCTTGGCCTCTCAAAGTGCTGGGATTACAGGCATGAGCCACTGCGCCCGGCCTTCATAAGCCTTTGTTTATTCCTCCCTGCTTCTTAGTTATAGTCTTAGTTATATTGTTGGAGTTTTAGGAAAAGTAACGTCCAGATGAGGTAAATCTTAGTTCATGTGACATAATACTCTGCTTTTAGTGTATTCTTCTCTTCTCATTTTAGAGATTCTATTTTCTCTTGTATTGGTATTATTTTACAGAAGCCTCTTCAGATCCTTTTTGGAAGGAGATATAATTTATACTTGCCTTATTTCTCTTTTGTGTATTTGTGTGATATTGTATATGCACACAAAGGGGCACGTGTAAGTATGTGTGTGCACGCACACACATGCATACATCATCTTTTTATTCATAGAATACTCTGCCAACCATGGTCTCCTTGGAAGGTATAAGTATGTCTGCGGTTGTAGAGAACAATCACTTGCCTCCTGGATGTATATCACCTTTGCCCAGGAGCCCCTGCAATGTGAGTGGCTGGACTCTGGGGTGGCTGTCTGTCTGCTGCCATAGATCCATGTTCCACAGGAATATCTTTATGCAGCATGTGAGTCTCCATTTGAACAATCATATATTAGGAATCATGCTATTCTTAGGAATCTTTAGAAATACCTGAGTACTAAATTTGTCTCATAACTTAGCAAATGCATATAACAAATGATTTCCTGCACGTTATTGTCATACACCATTTTACCTTGTAGCACATAACTACTGCTGTCATCCTTGGATAGAACTCAGCTAAGTTAGTTCCTCCCTCTTCTAGTAATCATATTTACTATTGAATACAGCAGCATATGATGGAAGTGGTCCAAAGTAAAAAATTGGCTTTATCACAGAATCATAACATTTTAGCATTATATGAGGCCTTAAAAATAACACTTTGGATAGCAGGAATATGCAGACTCCATAAAAAGAAGAGTTCTGTGAAGGGAAGGAAATGAATTTTTATCTATTGAATGCTCACTATGTATTTGGCTGCTAGACTAAATGCTATAGATACTTTTTCCTAATTTAATTGTAACACCAATCCTATGGAGTGTATGCTATTATCCCATTTTACAGATGATGAAACTGAGGCCAAGAAGTTAATTCATCTTGCCCAACCTTAAAATTATTAAAGTCAAGCAGTTATGTAAACCTAGGTCTCCCTGGCCCTAAAGGCCATACTCTTTCCATTGTTCTTCTCTACCATGTCTCTCCTAAGTAGAAAGTTCCTTTTTTATCTGTTGTCCAAAACTCATTTAGCTGGGTTAGTCATTCACAGCAATACTGTAAGACTAGCTTATTCTTTACAGTAACAATAGAATCTTTTTCTAATCCTTTATTCCTTTCAGGGCATTGCTATATGGCTATCATTATGGTAGGCATATTCATGAATAAGTCTGTTCTTTTAACAGCACAGTGTGAGTTTATGAGAGTAGGATATAAAAACAAGGAGAGAAATAGGGAGCAAAGTCTAGCTGTCTCACAGAAGGCAGCCCTAGACCACAAAAGAGGCATATGTAGGTCAATTCAAGTTAGAAAAAAAAAAAAGATCTGATGTATGGGTTGATCATTGTTTATGGATTTTCTATTTGACATTTGATGTCTTCAAATAGTATACTGTCTTTCAAATGGAAAGTAAAAAATGTATCACATAGACTATGCTTGAAAAGGTTATCCACATCTTAGACATGCATACATTTTTAAAACAACAGCTATAAAGTCATGGACAACCATGTGTCTCTTCGAAAGAATCACTAATGAAAATGGATATGATATTACCCCTGTAATGTGCCAACTATCTACATTGTTACTATTAAAGCATCCTTAATCAAAGTTTCTGCCAAGTTCACTGAGAATGTTAGAGACAGTAAAGATTTGGAGCATTTTAATCCACTTATTCAATATAAGTGTGAGCCTGTGGCAGACTAAGATATGAAAAAAAATTCACTGTAATCAGATCTTACAAAATTATGTTATATCTTTGAAATCATCCAGCAGAATGAATAATTTTCCTCGGTCTTTCATATGCTAAAAGGGAGTAAGGGCATAAGGTTGCATTTTTGGTCATCTGAAGCATGTTAAATCATACAACTTTTTTGATGCATATTAAGATAACTATAAAAATACCAAATACTTTACTAAAAAGAGAAAGTTTGAAGCACAGCAAACTAAAAGGAAATAGCAACAGTAACAACAGCAAAATATCAATCTTGAAGACTCCAGCAGTAGGGACCCTCAAAAATGTCAGGCTGAAAAAATGAGACACAGCCAAACAGCCCACGGAAACAGTATGCAGAACAATAATCATTTTGATACTATGCCATTTTCATGTGGTAGCCCAATCTGAGGAAGTTAAAGTGAAACAGACTCACAGAGGCTGGAGAGATTGGTCAACGTTTCACATAAAGACTGAAAGACTGAAGATTTTATACATGTAGCAGAGAGGCAGGGAAGAAAACTCTAGAAAGAGCCAGCGAATTCTAAATGGCCCAAACATCCAGAGTCTAATAGTCTAGTGATTGGTTAAATAATTCTTAGCCCTTTATTTAACCTTGGCTGTTCAGGCCAGAGCTGACTATTCAATTGCAGTTGGAAAATAAATGCTGAATGCCCAAAGTACAGAAATTATTCTGGAGAGAGGCCAATGAATTTTAAGTATTATTTTCAGCATTAGTTAGGTTTTATTTTTAAACCGTTCTTCAAAAGACTGATATGTTCGTTCTTAATTATCTTTGCCCCAAAGCAGTTCTGTCCCCTAAAAAATAAGTACATCATAAAGGAAACTTAGACAAATGCCAAGCTTAAATATTTTCCTTTTGCAAACAATGCTGGCTCCAGAAACACATTACAAACAGCTGGGATTGTGAATTTTCTCTCCTTTAGAAACAAGAATGTTCTCATGTCAAAGGTAACCCATTGTAAAAAAAAAAAAAATTACTGATTTTGTAAAAAATGCACATCATCAATTAGTTCTAAAGATGTAGTCGCCCATAAAACCAAGACCACATGGTGACCTTGGGGTAGAAGAAAAAGAAACAGATAACCATTTTGTGAAAATTTGCGCATTTTCACCAGTTGTAGCTAAATGATTGACATCTTGCTACAAGCAGCTTCTGTATGAATTGTTACAAGGACTGCAGGAAGTTCCAAAGGAAAGAGACAGCAGAGATCACTATTCTCAAGAGGCTCACTGTTAGTGGTATAGTAAACAAATATTTCACATGTAACGAATTCTTACCCCTTATAATTCCCATATAATTTTGATAAGAACAGAATCACCTTTGGAATAAACAAAGAGGTAACATTTATTGAACACTTATGCTAGGGACCATGCTTAATCCTCTACACTGTCCCAATTTATCAACACTATAAAATAAGCATGATTATTATTCTCATTTTACAAATGAGTAAAATGAGGCTCAGGGAGGCTAAGAAAATTGCCCTCTGTCACCAAGCTGCTAAGTGGCAGCATGGGATTGGGGGACCCAGGCTGTCTGATTCCAAGGTTCCATGCATGTAGCCATCAAGAAAATTTACTAGGAAGTAAGGTATTTGAATACAAATTAATTTTGTTCTCTTTGGCCAGTAACATTGACTTTGGTAAAATGACCACAGCATCAACATAAAGGCATATTTAGGAATTTCTCCCAGGTATAGAAGCACATTTTCAAATGATCTTGCCTCTGCTAAACTTTAGTCAGACAACATCAACACTGAGGTAACACCAGGTGAATGAAAGTCTCATTTAGTTTGAAATTAACTCTGAAATATGCACATTTAATTTCTATTACTAATTCACTTTTGCAATGGTCAGAGTTTTTCTGGAAACACTGGTATCTTAAGGGAGCTTTGAAGAGTAATTAAAAAAAACCACAGGCAAATAAACTTTCAATAAAAACAGACAGTCAGGATTAAAATGCTTTTCTATATTTAGAAACATAGGAATGAACTAGCATTTTTCAAATTAATTTGTAAGCCCAGATTCACACCAAGTGCATTTAAAACCACTTCTTACACGCCTAAATGAGATGAACTATAAACAGAAGTTGACGCACGCTAAGGTACTCTGCTGAAGGCCTAAGAGTTCTCTTCAAATGTAAGCTATGAGGACGAAATGCCTATCATCTGGAATGTTTCATCCCAAGACCCTCAGAAGGCTATGTTATTACTTACCCTGGAGGCACAATAGTAATTTAAATATGTAGCCATGTTATTTGATAAAATCCCAACTGAGTATTAAACTACATTGTGGTTCAATCAAATTACTACTGCTCTGCTGCTGTAACACACACACACACACACACACACACACACTTGCATGAACATAAATGTATATGAACATACATGTACCATAGTAGTACCTGATGGTAGTGTTAAAAATAAACAATAAAGAAGTAGCTTCCATATTCATATTAAAGTAAATTCATAATCATTCATCCACAACCTTCTTTTTATAGGCTTCATACACCCTAAAACTGTGGATGTAAAACTTTCTTCCTGTAACCCACAACAAGAAATCCATTTCACATCAGAACAGTAAACACACACACACACACACACACACACACACACACACACACACGAAACTAATGTTTCAGCAAATAAAACTCCTACTGTATGCAGTACATTTTCTTTCTCATTCTATTTCATTTTTTAAAGTACATTTTCTTTTCTTTTTAAATTTTTTAGAGATGAGGCCTTGCTACATTTCCCAGGCTGGCCTTGAACTCCTGGGCTCAAGCAATCCACCTGCTTCAGCCTCCAAGTAGCAGGGACTACAGGCACACACCATCATACTCAGCTTATTTCTTTTTTAAAAAATGTTAGGTACAACTGACAAATTTGATTTTGTGAGCAAATAATGGGTCATGGAATACAAGTTGAAAAAATACTACCCTAAAGTGCCTAAATTCCAGAGGAAAAGTTCACAGTGAAGTATAAAACAAGAATAAAAATAAGAAGGGAGGCCGAGCACGGTGGCTCACACCTATAATCCCAGCACTTTGGGAGGCAGAGGCGAGCGGATCCGAGGCTAGGAGTTCGAGACCAGCCTGACCAACATGGTGAAACTCTGTCTCTATTAAAAATACAAAAAATTAGCTGGGTGTGGTGGTGCATGCCTGTAATCCCAGCTACTGGGGAGGCTGAGGCAGGAGAATTGCTTGAACCTGGGAGGTGGAGATCGCAGTGAGCTGAGATTGTGCCACTGCACTCCAGCCTGGGCAACAAAAGCAAAACTCCATCTCCAAAAAATAAAATTAAATAAATAAATAAATAAATAAGAAGCAGAGAGAAAAATTCTACTGTTAAATTCCAAGTAATGTTTAAAGAACACAGGATTTGCATTAGAAGTCTTCCTAATTGTATTGCATCTTAACAGGCAAAGGGAAAAAGAGTTCTTTGGGTTGGGGGCCAAGAAAGTATCCTAGATATCTGAATTGGACCTTGAATGATAAGGAAAAACAATGTCATATCCACTTCACAGATGAAGAAACACAGGCAAAAGAGGACAAATGCTCTGTTTGCTCAGTCATTTAGTCTCCTGTAGAATTATCATGTGAATTGAATCCTTACTGTGGTGCCCAGCCAACTTTGTCAGGCTCTTCTGTAACTAAAAGTAATGAGTCTTGTCCACCCACCTGTGCACATCATAGGTACTGTCAGCCATGTTTGGCTTAAGAGCATCATTGACCTCAATGACCACTTCAGCTTGGGAAAGGCTGCAGCTGGGCTGGGACCCCAGCTGATGATGGGGAGACAGAGGAAATGAAAATTCCGGAGTGAGGTTTCAAAGACATCTTCATTTACAATTTTGCATTTAAAATTTAATTAATTCAAAAGTTTTCCATTTAAAGTTTTAAATATTTGAGACTTTAATTAAAACAGAGAACATAAGGCCAGACATAGTGGCTTATGCCTATAATCCCAGCACTTTGGGAAACCAAGGCAGGCGGATCACTTGAGGTCAGGAGTTTGAGACCAGCTTGGCCAACATGGTGAAACCCCGTCTCTACTAAAAATACAAAAATTAGCTGGGTGTGGTGGTGCATGCCTGTATTCCCAGCCACTCAGGAGGCTGAGGCAGGAGAACAGCTTGATCCCAGGAGGTGGAGGTTATAGTGAGCCGAGATCACGCCACTGCACTATAGCCTGGAGCCTGGGCAACAGAACGAGACTCCATCTCAAAAACAAAAACAAAAAAACAGCAAACGTAGAGATATATTTCTGACCATTTCTCTTCAAAAAAGATTAGTATGAAGAATTTCAAACATACATAAATTAAAGAGAATGGTAAAATAATCCCCCATATACCCATCAACTAGATTCAAAAATTGGCAAGATTTTGTCACACTTGATTTATTCCCTACATTGTTCTTGCTGCCAAAGTATTTTAAAGCAAATCCCGGCCATAATTTCACTCCTAATTACTTAGTATGCATCTCTAAAAATATTTTCTTTATATAACCAAAATGTCACTATTATACTTAAAAATTTAATAATCCCTTGGTATCCTGTAAAACACAGCCAATTCAAATTTACCAGGCCACCTCAAAAATTGTTTTATTAGAGTTGAATAGTTGAAATCAGGATCAAAATAAGTTCTGCACCTACCCCCCTTGCTAACCCTTACCTTGTACCTATCATTTATATCCTATCATCTCCCACTTCATTCCCCCCAATTTCCCAGAAATTCACTATACTTAGGAAATATAAATATTTTAGTTTTTTCTTCCCAAGTCTGCATGACCACATTGAAAGCAGCATAGCTTTTCTGCAACAGTGACATCCATCTTTGCAGCTATCCACGGTAAGGATATCTTCTATTGCAAACAGCATGCTTATGTTCTGATTAGGTTAAAGTAAAAATGAAATGCATATGTGCTAAGTGATTATAATCATGCAAGAAAGTTCTTTGCAGAGAAACAGTGAGGATGGAATGGCTGAGGTTTGGTGGAGGATGCTGGTAACCAGTGATGTGAATTCCTGGAGAAGTAGAAATGAGCTAAGTTGAAGGTTAGCCTTGAACCAGAAGAAGAACATCCTTTCCTCTGAGACTCAGGAAATGTAAACATAGGTGTAGGTATTCTCTGTTGGTAGGAGTTGAGTTGTGGAGTTTTCTTTGTGAGGTACATGAGACAAGGCCATTTGCTAAGAGTGCTGGGTTATATAAGAGAAGATAACCAAGCAAACAAAGAGGTAATGAGTTCTGCTCTGCGTTAGGCATTGTGCTAGGTTGCATATCTATACCTACACTATATACACAATATGTATTATATACATTTTTCTATGTATATGTGTGTATGTGTGTATAAATATATATATATTAAATACATAATATTATATATATATATATAAATTTCTAGGCCGGGCGCAGTGGCTCAGGCCTGTAATCCTAGCACTTTGGGAGGCTGAGGAGGGTGGATCACGAGGTCAGGAGATCGAGACCATCCTGGCTAACACAGTGAAACCCCGTCTCTACTAAAAATACAAAAAAAAATTAGCTGAGCGTGGTGGCGGGCGCCTGTAGTCCCAGCTACTCGGGAGGCTGAGGCAGGAGAATGGCGTGAACCCGGGAGGTGGAGCTTGCAGTGAGCTGAGATTGTGCCACTGCACTCCAGCCTGGGCAACAGAGCGAGAGTCCATCTCAAAAAAAAAAAAAAAAATATATATATATATATATATAAAATTTCACCAAACAGTTTGTAACACAAAGCCAAGTTGGTATTAATGTGCTGATTTTTACAGAAGAGGGAAATGTGGTTTAGAGAGGGGTTCAGTATCTGCCCAAATTCACAAAGTGGTAGAGGCTGAGTGTGAATTCAGTCTGTCTGACACTAATCATAAGTACTAAGGAAAATGAAAGAGAGGCACAAGTTAAAACATCATAAAATGTCATTTATGGGTCCTGCCAAGATTGGAAACCATATATTCATAACAGCACAACAATACAGTTGGCAAGCAGAAGGCAGCTCTTAGGATTAATCCAGGACTGAGAGGTTTGCCTGGTGGATGAAGTCGCAGAGGCTGCCGGTGCCCTCCCAGACCTCCCAGACACTCACCTTTCCTGTGCATGCTGACAGTTTCTTCACTGGAGCAGCTGAGACTCTCCACCTCAGGGTTTTTCTCTAGCTGTGTGAGCAGGCCTCGCCCTCAGACAAAAGGGAGGTGAGAAGCTCTTAAGGAAGAAGTTCCCCTGGGAGCAGCCCACAGCCAGTGACCCATGAATGTTGGTGGATGAACACCCTAGCTCCGGTGCCTCTGGAGGGAGGACCACTTTGAGACGTGCTCCTCCTTACAGTTGTCCAAACGCTCAGAGGCAGATCCAGCCCTTGCCCACAGAAGTGCCCTGCTGCTTAGCACACCCTGCAGTAGCTTCCTCCCCTTTGCTGTCTCAATTCCCCATGACTTTATATGTACTTCCCAGAATCGCCTCCTGAGCTGACTACCCGTACTGAAATCCTCAAAGTCCACTTCTGGGGAATCAAAACCAAAACAATGGGGAAAAGGGATAAGGAAGTCCAGGAACTGAAAGTGTTGGTAAGTTTAATTTCACTGCCAACCATGAAGTTTAGTTTTGGGAAAGCAGGAACCAAAGTTAAGAGGAGGTAGGGAGAATAACAAACAGTGGAGATAATAGAGGTTTTAATAAGAAAAGAACAGGAGGCTCAGAGAGAGTAAGGAAATTGGGAGGGTGGAAGAGGATAAGAGGGTGTGTGATACTTGAGTTTGAGCTCTCATAGGTAGACAGTTGGAGTTGATGAAAAGGTCAAAGGTAAGGCCATGGGAATTAGTTCTCAGTGGAGCTTATGTGAATGCTAATGAAACTGGGATGTCATGAAAGAAATAGCCGGAGTGTTGAAGTCTTTCTTTCAGGAATATTGAAATCTGCCAGGATGATGGCAGGAGTTGGGAAGATGAGAAGCCTTGGCAAGCTGTCAGAGCCTGGAAGTGACCTGAATATAGCAGACAGCTACGACAAAACATGTTAAAGGCAATAAAACTGATCGGTGCCCATTGCAAAGGAGGAGGGAGAGCTTGGGAGAAGCAGTTTGGAACTAGGATAATGCTGATACCTCTTCCTAACTCTGTTTTGAGGTACCCTAGACTTCTCCATCTTTACCTGACAGGAGTAAAAGGAGAGAAATGTTCTTAGGGGAGAAGCAGATTTCCTGAAGGCCTGGAGGTAAAGGCAGCACACTGTCTGATGTCAGAGAGTGTGGGGAAGTTTATTTACAATGGAAAAGAGTTTTCAGTGTGCACAATGGAAAGCACTGGAAGAGAAATCAGCAAAAGGAAGATAAGCTATTGGAAGAAAGGGAGGATCCCTGTATCGCATGACATCCTCAGGGAGGATTCATGAACCCAGAGGCTTCGGACAATGAGCAGGAGAGGAAGCGGAGCTGAGGATAACCAGGTAAAGGCCAGGATGGTGGTACCATAGAGTTGTATTAAAAGCACAAACTTTGGAATTAGGTCCTGGATTGGCTATTGACTCCGGAATCTTGGTCACATTATCTAAAATCCTATGCCTCAGTTTCCTTTTCTGTACAATGAGAATAAATAGTTACCTCATCAGACAATTTTGAGGATGAAATGTAAAATGCTAAGCTCCACTCTTGGCCCACAATAAACACTCAATAACTGTTCATTAGTTTTCATTATAACTAGCCTTATGGTTTGGATAAGTCCGTTGGTAGAAAGGATTTTAACAATCGCCCAAGGGTCTCATGTATTGTTAGGACCCATGTATTCTTACATCTGTTGGGCAAAAATTATACATATACACATACACCCACATACACAGAGAAATACACCAGTCAAAAGTTGATTTCTTTTTCCTAGAAAGTAAAAATTCTGAATCTGCATTTTAGCCCAGTTTTTCTGTCACCAGGACTGGGACAAATGAGGCACATGGGGTACAGAATTAAGAAGATGCTCATATTCAATGAGCGTACAACTGGAGAATGAGGGCCTCCTTACATGCTACACCCTAAGTACCTGGCTTGCCTCATCCTAGTCCCAGCCCACCTGTCAGTAACCACCAACTCCTCTCCACTGCGTAGGCCAGGCCAATGGTTAGATTCTAGAGCAGAGCCGTCCCACATACAGACCCTGGTCATGCCACATGGATATGTGTTAGAAGCAGAATGACCCTCTTGTTACCCTGTAGATGGCCATGACTAATTGATATGCACAAATATATATCTCAGGGCTCTTCACTAGAGTTTATACATACTGATTCCTATCTTATGTGATACATCTTGGAACTGTTCTAAATTAATTTAAAATATATATGCCATGGTTGAAGGCATATTAATAAATCCAAAGGAGAGAAAATTAATCAGCCACTTTATGAATTGTGCTTCTTGGGCTCACACTCAGATAATCCATTCAAGTGCTGACACTTTTACTTATACAAATTAATAGTACTGGCAAAGAAAGCCTAAATTGAACCATAATTCACACGTTTTATAATTAGTATTACCTGCCAATATGTAGAACTTACCAGTTGCATTTTGGCTACAAGATTAACATTGAAGAGCTATTGCGACCTTATTCTCTTATATTTCTTAGTTCTTATTTTGGCTTAATAAGCACTTTTTGTGTGTGTGCTAGGCATTGTGCAAAATACAGTCTCATGCCACCCTATTCAATCCTTACAAAAGCCCTATCAGTTCTTTCCATTCATTATCATTATTTCTATCAGGTATTTCTGTTCATTATTAAAATATTTCTGCTTAATTTAGTGTTAAAGACACATATTTGTTTTCATGCTATGCCATCACATAATCAGTGTTGTCTGTGGCAGTAATATAAAGAAGAATGTTTCTATCTCTATCCATACTGACTTTCTAAGACACAAATTTTGTTGATTAAAATTCATTGATTATAAAGGCATAAGAAAGTTTAAATTATAAAGAGAAGACCAAGAAATCCTGTTATGTACTTTCATCTGTTGTTCTGGCTCACTCAGCATCCATTCTTCTCTGTGTGCAGTATCACCCTAATTCCCAAGGGAGCCACCCCTCCTTCTGCATGTGGTCTGGGTGGGGCTGTCAATCAAGGTGCCCTCTTGCCCTGGTCACAAAGTGGGCATAGGATCCAAGACATACTAAAGAAACTCTCACTCCTGGAGGTTGGGGAGAATGGCACTTGGATATAAACCAGCTGGAGCTGATTCTCCCCTGAGGAGGTTCCCTGGAGACAGGATTTTCCACTTCTTGCTATCTAGAGTCTTGAAACCCCCTGATTCCTTACATTTTCTAAATTTGGTTATTTTCAGACTTTTCTTGGGTTGCACAGAAACCCCAAGTTCTTGTAACGAATTACTCTCTTGATTAAATTCACCAAAACTCATGCCTGGTGCTTGCAACCAAAGAATACACACCGACACATACCATCTTAGCACATCTATTGTAATTCAGATGTACTACGCTCCAGGTTTTTCATAATCATATTTTTACATAGGTAAAACTCATTTAATTCTGTTCCTGTTGAACACATGGATCATTTCAAGGGCTACTATTATTTAACCCTACAGCGATTATGATTATTTTCATGCATATCACTTTATTTTGGATTCTTTCCTCTGAGAGATTCCAAGAAGTGAAATTATTGAGTCAAAGGGCACAGATATTAGTACAGCTCCTGAAAGATATTGCCAAAATGCTTTATAAAATGGCCCTGACAATTTATAATACATTCACGGGCTCATTTGTATTAAGCCTTCAGTCAACATTGACCATCATGTAGTTTTAATATTCTGCTGCCAATGTTCTCTATACTTTGCTCAAAAAAGTGCAGCACATGACTCACACATTCAACAGGAGAGATAAAACTCCCTACTCTGGCACTCTGAATCATTTCCTCAAACAGTGGTGTATTTGTTAACTTTATGGAAGTATAATTTACCAATATAAAAATTGCTCCAATGTTAAGATATTATGTAATCTCAAAGTACAACTGATGTGCTGTTTCCTTTGGTAATCTTTCTAGAATTATAGTTATCTATATATAACAATTTTCCTCATGGAATGTGCCATAGAGTAAGAGTATAGGAACCATTATTCTGTGAGTTCTGAGGTAAGTATATACTGAAACCATATACAAAAAACTACAAACACAGCCCTTCTAAAAATCCCAGTGTGGCCCATATAAATTTTTTATAATAAAAGAAAGTAAAGAGGTCTATTTTCCTTTCCTCCTTTGAGCTGTTTCAATGCCAAAATTATATCTTAGCAATAGTGACTAGGTCACTGGCCTGTGAATAAGATAGGCTGAATACAAGACACACAATGAGTGTCCAGCAAGAACAGATTTAAGAAAATGAGTTCTTAAGGGGCACAAGTGGGCAGCAGGTCAGGCATGCTGCCCAAGCTACACCTGGCGCCCACAAAAGGCTGGGGTACTTCTGTATAAATCCTGGCCTCACCCAAGGCTGCCAGAGCTGACACATTCCCTATCCCCCTTATCCTCTCTCCAGAATGTCTGAGAAAACAAAAAGAAAAAATATAATCTGAGAACTGCTGCTGTGGGCCAGCTAATCTTGTCACCAAATATGTAGTGCACAATTACTATGAGCAAGGAAGTGGGTGCCAGGATCCAGAGTGGCCCTCAATCTTTATCCATTAATGTCTGTACCTCCTTCTCGAATTCAGCACCGTTTGATCTTTGATCATCACAGAATCTGCTCATTCCAGTCTCCCGTTAAATCTGTGAAAGCTGCTTCAGCCCTACTTCTTGCAAGTCAGTTTCAAGCCTCTCTTATCACAGTGTACAGATTCTGAGGAGGGGACACTGATTCTACTGCTGAGGCCTGGTTCACTCTCTCACCCCTTAGAATAAGAAGTCAGGCTGACTCCTATCATAGTCATGTTTCCAGGAAAGAGCCTAAACTCCTTCTGACACTGAGATCCACAAAAGGGTTGATGAGGAAGCTTGGAATTTGGGGTGCCATTTAAAGATTTTAAGTGGAGACTTGAGACAAAAAGAGTTGCATTTTTAGGAATTTAACTGGCAAATGATAGAGGATAGATTATGGGATGAGAGGCCAGTTTGGAAGTACAGTGACAGTTAAAACATAAGTTGGGAGACATTGGTTAATGTGGATTCAACCAAGGAGAGAGATGGTCCCCCGATCCAGCCAATACTGTATCCTGAGAGTGGCACCCAGGTTTTTCTTTATCTAGAAGACCATCCTATTACATTTCATGGCATCTACTTCAAACAGAATGAATGCTTCCTATTAGTCCTAATTTCCTCGGTAACTTTTTGTACATCTGCAAGTAATGAATGTATTCATATAAACTCTTCTTGCAGCAGGCAGAGGAGATACAGAGACAGCTAACTGCATAAAGTGCTCCAGAAACATAGCCCAAATCACAATGATGTTACACCACTGTGATTCAGGATAAAGGGACCTTAAAGAAAAAAATAAAAACAACTAAATGTGTTTATGCTATGTTATGCTGTTTATGTTTCTTCTATTTGAGAAGCTCCTGACTCAACCACTATTGAAAAATTCCGAAGTCCTATAAAGATACAATTCTCTTGACTGAGAATAACATTCTGAAATATTATTATTAGGTCAATAAATTCTCACTTAAGGAAAAGGAATTAGAGATGCACCATTTATAACAACTTCTCAATGCAAAAACTGAGTTCTGAGGCCAAAAAATATATACACTTTAATCCATTTTTCAGTAACTTTCACATTTTAGTGTAATATTTTAAAATTAAAGCTATTACATTTTAAAATAATATGGAAACAGTAAAAAGATCAGTAGTTGCCTGCAGTTAAGGGAGAGGGAAGGATAAACAGGCAGAGCACAGAGGATTTTTAGAGCAGTAAAATACTCTATGATAATATAATGAAAGATGTACATTATTATATATTTATCAGAGCCCACAGAATACAACACCAAGAGTGAATCCTAATGTCAACTACAGACCTTGGGTGATAGTGGTGTGTCAATGTAGGTCCACTAATTGCAACAAACATACCACTCTGGTGGAGGATGGTGATAATGGGGGTGACTATGCATGGATAGGGAACTGGGAGTATCTGGGAACTCTTTGTATTTTCCACTCAATTTTCTTGTGAACATACACTGCTCTAAAAAATAAAGTCTATTTGAATAATAATAATGAGACAGGATGTATTCTATATTAAAATACATGTGAAACTGTACTATATGAAAAAACTTTGGCAAAAAGAAAGTCTCATCAATTCTCTGATTCCCAAATGTCTAGATATCTGTAAGTTACTATTCAAGTCATCTAATACACAAAGGGAATTTTTTCTATGTTAGAAAAAGTTTCCACAACTTCTATGATGAACTATTCTGAATGTTACTAGAACTTAGAAGTACGGTAACTGGAAATTAAGGCAGATAAAAACATCTGTCTCTATGCAAAATATGTCCCTCAGAGGTTAAACTGGGTGAAAATAAATAGCTAACCTGGCAACCAAATAAAACTACAAAGCAACAAACACAAGTATAAACATTCTGAAAAGTGTTTTTAAAAGACAAAGTGAAATGCTCCTAGAAAATGAACATTTAAAATGTATCATATGAAACTTTAATATCTCACAATAAGAAACATACCTTTCTTCTTGTTATGCTGCAAGACGTCATAGCTGCCTTGAGTATCAAATTATGTATATATAATTATATACATAACATATACATATATAGTTTTCTACAAGTCTCTCAATAAACATATATTCTGAAAATATGGAGCACTTCAGTTGTGCACTTCAGTTGTGCCTTTGATCACTGCACGAGCCCAGGCCCACAATATCAAATGAAGAAGAGTTAACATGTTGACATCTGTTTTAGGCTAAAAATGGAAATTGTGAAGCTCTTCTCTCCTCTTCCAAGAGTTCCCTGGAATGGATCAAAAAGCTTCAAAAGACTTGGCTCCAAGGGAACTTCTAGGCAATGTCTACACAGCACAAAATGATATGGAGGCTTGGCATCTCCCTAAAGAATTAGGGCTGTGTTGACTACTGCAAAAAGGGGACTGAACCTAGCTCCCTTTGTGACTTGAAAGGTCAAAACAGTTCTCCAAGCTCCAGAATTTTCCTTTATGTGGATCTATGTATTAATTTTTCATAAAACCTCAAAGAAAACTCCTTGCCTTCAGCATAGTTAGACAACGACTGAACATCTAGACTGGGCCATGTATTTTGCCAATACTAGGGGTAAAAAGGCTGACTTTCCCAGGTAAGTGAGGCAGAGGAATGTCCTCAGTCTAAATTGAAAAGAAACCTTCCCAAACTTACACTATTTTTTTCACACCAAATCAACTTGGCCTGTGAATTTTTTCTTTCCTTGAGGCTGAGTCAAGATGAACTAGCATTTGCGGGTGGAGTGGTTACTTGAGAGCACACCATTCGTTACAAGGGGTCTTTATATGTAAAGCAGAAACATTTTTGTTTTGCTTTTCAGTTGGAGTGAGCACGAGGAATTGATTCTTTTTTTTCTCCAAAGTTAAAAGAGCAAACCCAGAGACTACCAAAATGTTAGGTTTGTTTATCATTTCCAAGTTGAAATAAAGCGTAATGTGAATACTCAGCACTCTATCTTTCCCTGATTAAAGTGATCCTGCCCTTTGAATTGCTACACAGGATACTGTTCTGTACAGCTCACTCACACGGCTGTAATAAGTCACAACAGTTTGGCACCTCGCCCAACAAAATACAAACTCTCCTGAAGTCTTGAGCTTTCCCATGGCAACATCACAGTCACCAACACAGCAAACAATCACTCCAATCCCTGCTCCCGCTTTCCTTTTCTAACAGCAAAGGATATCATTGCAGCCAGCCTCTTAGAACTGTGCTCATTATCATCTATGAAAGGAGATAGCAACGGAGATCAAGTTGCCTTCAGTGCTGAGCTTAAAGTCAGACCAAAAGCAGGATAAGTACAGGAGCATAGGGAAGTTTTACTTATGCTTTTACTGTAAAGGAAGAGTGAGAGGCTGTATGAAAAGTATATTCCTTAAATATATCCCTTAAAGTATATTCCTTAATGTGCCTTGCTGCCCTGATTACCCAGTGGCTCTGGCTCACTCACAATCTTCATACAAAACTCCCATTCACATCTAGCCCAGGCACTCTCGACAGCAGCTGGGGAGGGGGAAATGCCATCTTAAAGCTGCAACTCCGACACATTCCTGAAACTGCAAAATTGGAACGGCTTTCAAACCTCAGCTGCTTTCTCCAAGGGAATGATCATTCTGCTCATATGGGAAGGCTGCCTAGCAGTAAGAGCAGGGTGGCAGCTCCGTACAGCAGATTAAAGCAGCACCACTTCCTTTATGACCGCTTCTTTTCAGATTCAAATAACATCCTTAGGGGTGCCAGTCTCTTCTCATAAAAAGTGTCTGGGCTCCCACAAATCCCCTAAAATGATAATCTCTTCGTGTGTATTAATTTTATTTTCATTTGATGGCCCATGAGAGTTCAGGAACAGAACTAATAGTGAACCCAAGGGAATGAATGGCCTATGACTCATGGGTGGATATCATTTTATAGGGGAAAGGAAGAGGAGGGTGGAAGAGAGTCCTGGCTTCATGTGGTTTTGAATGCTGATTGTTCTACTCTGGAATTATGGTAAAGCCCTGCGCATGCTCATGGAAGATTCTGGCTTCTTTACAATTCTAGACTCAGGCCTTACACAGTGTTATAGTTTACATTTGGGATCACCCGACCTCAGAAATCAAAATTTCAGAGGGAGTTTCATTTCAGCATAGCTAAAATTTGGGGGGCAGTGGTGGTGGGGCATTAGTCCATGTAATAAAGAATATAAAATACTAATGACAAAGTATGGAAGTAATTATACCAAGATATTTCAATGCTATCCTAAACCACAAGGAGGAAAAAAAAATCCAGTGATTTACTAAACAATAGTAGAATTCTGAAATATAACTGAAGCATCTCTAACATACATATGGGTGACTGCTGTGTCATTCAAGACTCTGTGTATTTAAGTACTAACCCTCAAAATCCATTTTAGTGACAATTTACATAATTACAGTATTACTGGAAATTCTGACATCAACTTTTCACTTACTGCATACCTGATTATGTTTTATTCTTTATTATCCAATCATTTCCCATACCCAAAATCTAATTATGTTGCAATTTTTATCAGTAAGAAACCTACTTTAGACATAAAATATTAAGCTAAATAAACAAATGGTACTTTGCATCAGAGTTGCTCTAACATCTCAGAATACACTTCCCAAAAATTACATCCATGGCTACTTCCTACTTCTTTATGTTTCAGCTTAAATTTAAAGAAACTTGTGCTTTATAAAAAATGACTAGCTATAATAATGTATATTTTTTAGTTTGTTTGCTTGTTTCTTATATGTCTTCCTATTAGAATGTAAAGACCTTGAAGCTGGGGACCATGTAGCTAACCTCATGTCTTACACACAATGGATACTGAGCAAATATTTATTGAATGAATGAATGCTTCATTTATCTATACACAGTGAACCATACATGTGCTATATACTTTCTGCTCTGTGTACTCTTGTCCAAATGTAAAAATGCTGCAGCATAAACAAATAATTCATGGCATAAAATACAATACAATAAAATGAAAATAACTCATTAGTTAAGTTCAGCAAAACAGAGAAGTAAAAGATAGAGAAAGGAAGAAAACTAAGTGCCCTTGCTGGTGTTAGCTGGCAATGTCTTTTGTCTTGAAAGTTCTGGGTGAATGTTTTTGGGTTTTTGGAGAGAATGTACTCCCACTGAAATGAGTAATCCATTGTGTCTAGCATCATACTGGGATTTGGAATGCCATTGTGTTTTAGTATGAAGTGCTTGACAATGCATTCACACCCAGAGGTCAGTTTCAAAACTGCCCTTTAGTTTAACCCTATAGTTGTGATTTAGTAGAAGGATTCGAATAACTGCATAATTTGTTTACCACACATTATTCTGCTCACAATTATGAGTAATTCATTCTTACCTACAGCCATGGAATCTGTACAGAGAACTTCATTCAACCCAGTAGCAGGATTGCTAAGATCATCATGGATGACGATGATGAAGATAGTATCTAACACTGAGCACAGTAACTACCTGCTCACTCTCCCTTAATCTTGCCACCATCCCTGTTAGGCAGGTTTTGCTACATCACCATTTCATAGATGGTGGAATTAAAGCCTTAGAATTAAATAATTTCCCTCAATTTGCTCAGTTAATAAATGGTAGAGCTTGGATTCTAGTGCCCAAGGTATTGACTACTGTGATATTCCACCTCCCAAAGGAACAATTTTTTTTTTTTTTTTTCTGAGACAGGGTCTCACTCTGCCACCTAGGCTGGAGTGCAGTGGTGCAGTCACGGCTTACTGAGGTCCCGACCTCTCCAGGCTCAGGTATTCCTCCCACCTCAGCCTCCCACGTAGCTGGAACTACAGATAACATGCCACCACGCCCAGCTAATTTATACATTTTTTTTTGTAGAGATGGGTTTTTGCCATGTTGACTAGGCCGGTCTTAAACTCCTGGACTCAAGCAGTCTACCAGCTTTGGCCTTCAGAAGTGATTGGATTACAGGTGTGAGCCACCACACCTGGTCAGAATGATTTTTAAGACTCTGAAGTTTCCAAAATGTATATGATGACATATAGGGAGCATACTTGCTTCTTGCTCTTTTAAAAAACTATCATCATATTTGGAGCCAAGAAATCAGTTTATACTGTGATTACGTGAAAAGGAAATTCTTCTATACATAAACTGAGAACTGATATGCAAAGAAGCCTACTATAAAAAAATAGCTAAAATGTTTTTGTTGTCAGAAGCTAAAGGTTATTTTTTTTTTCACTAAGTAATGTAAAAATCAGTATATGGAAAGTCAGAGCAACATAAAACGTTAAAAATTTTGAAACAAACTTTTAGATTCATTTTGCTTAAGAATGTATCAGGGTTTATACCATTTCATCAACATTATTACCTTGGGGATGACTACAGTATGTCAAATTTCACCCCAATGTGACCTGAAACTGCCAGAAGCATGAAATCTCTGGAATCATCTTTCAAGTTACCACATTGCTGCATATGAGTTGAAACATTTCAGTACATAAAAGAAAGATACACATTCTAACCCTGTATCTTCTTGAATACCTTTTCTAATTCACATATTATTAAAGCAAGAAACATGTAAGCCCTTTCTTCCTAGTCCTTAGGTTGGCAATACTGTGGTGTCAGTAATTTATAACATGCTTTCTCATATATAATAAGAAGCACTGGACTAAAGAGTCTGCTGGTTTGACTCTTCACGCAAGTCAATTCAAATTAAGTCACTGTGCCTCTCTGAGCCTCAGTCTCCCCAGGTGTAAAAAGGGAAAATATGGTCAACTCTTCTGCGTCCAGTGTTGTAAAAATAAAATGAGAAATTTCTTTATAAGCTATAATCTGCTATGTGAATGCATGGGACTCTTCTAAGGCATATTTTACAATATCATTTATGCAAATGTAGGTGAATATGTTAACCATATACCAGAAAAGTGGCAATAAATAGCCCAAGAAATGTGTTCAATGGCTAACATCTAAGGAGTCCCAACTATGTCTAGGCACCAAGCTAAGTACTTTACATGTATCATCTCATTTAACTCTCACAATAGCTCTTTATTAGTTATCACCCCATTTCATACATAAGGACATTGTAACTCAGAGAGGTGAGGGAATTTGTTCAAATGTTCACAAGAAAAGACAGGGCTTAGACTCAAATCTAGGTCCAGATAGCTTTTTACCACTTTATTATGTTTCACTATGTTTACATTGGCTAGGAGTTTGAGAAGTCATGTGAGTCCATTCCTGGCATGCAGCAGAATCATGAAGGGAACAAAAGAAGTGAAAGAGTAGGAAGAAATAGAAGAAGCTGGATAGTCACACTCACTTTAGTTCTTTTGTATAAGCCATTAGGAATCCTTAGATTATCTAAGATATTTCTGCAAAGCATCTTATAAAATCAAATTGTGATTCTGGAATATCTCCAACCTTGAATGTTAATCATTCCTGAAATATGAATGCACAATTCACCACATTCATCCCACGGGAGAAGGCAGCAGTAGTAGCAGAGGGTTGGTGCTACAGATAGCTAGAGATGGCGGTACCTAGATAGGATTCTCATAGCTGAGGCCAGCAAAGACACCTCTTCTTGATTGTCCAAGCTCCAAGCTGAGGTTCGAAACACAGTCTTACATGCAGAAATGGTGCTATAGGAAAACATATGTCCAAGTTATACACAGCTTACTTACAAGCTTTTGGAATCTAACTTTGTTATAATAGGGAGAATACCTCTATGATGGTTAAGTTTCACTGAGAGTTAGGCAATCAAAAGTTGTCTACATTTGCTTTTCTAAATAATTTTTTCAAGATCCTTTTTGTGACTTTGATGAGGAAGGCTTTTTTCCAATGGTGTGTACTATTTGATTCTAAGAGCAAAGATATCCTTCTTTGCCAGTGTAGCATGTAACAATAATAAAGCTATAGCCACTGATAAAGATCTATGTAGCTAGAATGAGCAAACACCGGCCAGGCTTGGTGGCTCACACCTGTAATCCCAGCACTTTGGGAGGCCGAGGCAGGTTCAAAACCAGCCTGGCCAACATGGTGAAACCCTGTCTCTACAAAAACACAAAAATTAACCGGGCATGATAGCAGGGGCCTGTAATCTCAGCTACTTGGGAGACTGAAGTGGGAGAATCATTTGAACCCAGGAGGTGGAGGTTGTAGTGAGCTGAGATTGTGCCACCTGCACTCCAGCCTGGGCGACAGAGCAAGACTCTATCTCAAAAAAAAAAAAAAAAAAAAAAAAAGAATGAGCAAATGCCCTGCCTTTCTCAATCAAGTTTATCATCTCACAAAGGAAAACTCCAAAGCCAAAACAGGCTGTCTCAGGCCAAGTCCTAAAGGGCATTTTCTTCTTTAATCACCCAATGAGAATCCAGATAGGTGGGCTTTTGTGTGTGAGAAGTGATTGTAATTCAACATTAGGGAACTGAAAATATCATTGGATTCATCATTACAATGGATTCATCTGAGTCTGAATGGACAGTAGGAAGCCCCGAGAGCTCATCCCAGGAGATGTACAATGTATGTTTTGAAATTTAGTCACTCTTTAAGTAAGCAAATTTGAACAATAGTTGTTTGACAATATGCTAAACTGAATTTCCCTCTAGGAAGTATGAGGCAGAGCACAGAAAGTAATATTCAGGCTATCCACTATTTTTTTTTATTGTGGTGGAACATTCATTACATAAAATTTACCATTTTAATCATTTGTAAGTGTACAAGTCTGTGGCATTAAGCACATTCACATTGCTGTGCAGCCATCACACCGTCTATCTCCAGGCAGGCCATCGACTTACCTGTTGTGAAAAATAGCTTTAGTTTCTTATCAGGAACTAATTTCAGTTAGTTAGGAACTGTACTGTGACACAGAAATAAATAGCTTAGTTGTATTGGAATCTGAACTAGTCCATCTCTTTATTAAATGTTATGCTAGTTATAGGAAGCAATATGTTCTCTTTCATTGGGAAGACAACTATATTTTCTACTTTCCCCAAAAAGTGCAGTGTTAGCGCCAGACAAAATAATAATCTTTAAGATAGTGAGTACTTGAATGTGCTGG
Organism: Homo sapiens; assembly: GCF_000001405.40. NCBI lineage: Eukaryota > Metazoa > Chordata > Mammalia > Primates > Hominidae > Homo > Homo sapiens. The sequence continues at coordinate 96,313,060 of NC_000011.10, forward strand.
CTACTATGCTAAGTATTTTATGTGCATCAACTCAGTCTCACAACCATCTAATCGTCATTATCCCTCTTGCACATGTGAAGGAAACTGAGGTGCGGAGGTTAAATAGATTGCTAAGATCCCACAATTAGCAAGGGGTAGAGCTGGGGCTCACAACCTGATCTATCTAACTTCTGAGACCAATAGTCTAACTCTAAGAGGTTCACAAATCCCGAGGCATCGGCATCCACCTGAGCAGCTGTTAGAAATGCAAATCCTTCATCCCCATCTCAGAACTGGGGTGGACGCCAAGGTGCAATGTAAGCAGCTCTCCGGGCCATTCTGAGGCTCACTGGAATTTCGGAACCTTTGCTCTAGCCACTGCCTCATTGCATTTCCCTTTTTTCACACTCCTTTCCCACCATGCCAAATCCCACCACTTGTTCTTGGTCACACAGTCTTCATTATTGTTCCCCACCTCGCCCAGCCTCCCCAAAATTGCCCCATTCTTCAAACTGACTTTTTCCTTCCTCTTTATAGCCTGCCTTTCTCCCATTAAAGACTCCTCTTTCCTGTCACTGTTTTCTGCTATAATTTAGTAAAAGAAACAAAAACAAATCCTACTAAGCCAATCCTACAAGGCTTTGGTTTGTTCACTCATCAATAAATATTTACAGAGAACCATATATTTTTAAGGTGTTTTTAGGAAGTGATCTAGTGTTTTGGGATACATTTGTGAATAAAAAGACAAATATACCCATCCTCATGAAGGTCCTCATACTTGATTAAAAATGCAGATATTAGGGTTTTACAGCAGAAATTTGGATTTTTCGACATTTGAAATAAGACCCTAGAATCTGCAGTTTATCAAGCACTCCAGGTGGTTCTGATGCCAGGTGAATCAGGTGATTTAAGTACCCTGATACATCCCGTGAAGTAGCTTGAGTAGGAGCACAGTAATTCATCTGGTGTTTCTGCTTTCTAAATTTGTTTGTCTTCTTCTCCCCATAGGGTCTTTGGGAGAGGGCAGGGATATGAAAAAGGAAAGGAAAAAATTTCAGGCAAACTGAAGTAGCATTTTTCAAGAAAGGGAACTTTCTAAGGTCTCCTAAGGCTAGTTCTGCAGAGAAGATTTTGCTTAACTTGAGCCCTGGGTGATGTGATTTAAAGACAGAAAACCAATACCAAAACGGGACAAGAGTCACAGGTGGCCTCTTGGCCTGTGCCCCCTGAGCTAGGCCAGCCAGCTGCTGTTTATAAACCTGTGGCCTGCTAGGGCCTGCTACAGATGGTCTTTTTGGATTATTTCAAAGACAACACCTTTAACTCTGAGTGGTAGTTTGGAATCATTTTAAGTCCTCTTGATATCCCCTCTTTCCTAGTAAGAACAAGACCAGCTTGTTTAACATTTCCTCATACCACAGATATTTTTCATGAGGCCTCACCCACTCCCAGACAATAACAACATCCTTCCTGTGGGTTGGTGACCAGTGCTGCACGTATCTAAGAGGTATAATAAGCATTTTACACGGTGGCATTGCCACCTCCTTCTCTTTGTTTCAACTCCTTCTGCTAAGATAACCTAAAACACAGGGAAACGGGAAAATAGGCAGCTTAACTTTTTTTCCCCTTTTCCAAGATGCCTCCCAAATTCTAGCCCTGAGTCAACTACTGTTCCATTATTCTGTCTAGAAGATAATATAGACTCATTTTGTACCCAATATAAATGTTTGGCACAGAAACAGCCTTCCTTCAAATGGGTCCAGAGGGGAAGTAGTTATGGGAGTGGCAGGGGCAGGCATGGCTCCATCCCAGCCCCCTGCAATCCAGACTCTAGGCCAGAGGACAGACAAAGTCAGCATTCTGAACGGGAAGCTGGTGTTGCAGCCACCAGTGAGGAATTGTATTCTTACTCCACAATTTAAAAGGCCAAACATTTGTCCTACTCCAAACAACAAAGTGCCAACCCTAGAGGTTCCATTTAGTTACAGTAGGCACTAGAAAGCTTCTGAGATAGATAGTATGAGTTTCCTAATCTGATTTCAACAACCTGGGCTGTTTTCCTTAGTTCTAAAGAGTATATTAAAGAGGAGGTTCTCCATCAGACATATTTTGCCTTCCAGGGGATACTTGACAATGTCTGATCCCAATTCATGGTCCTAATGTAGATGGAAGGTGGGGAATGGTATTGAAAAAATGAGGACAAAACGGTGCCAATGGATAATTTGTGGAAGGACATAGTTGTCCTCTTGTTAACCTTAAAGGCTGGAAATGATAACTCTAAACATTCCCTAAATAATCCATTTTGGTTTCCTGTAAAATATATTTATATTGTATCTAATTTATTTCATACTTATATTTTCATTCAAGCTACTACCTCTTGGGCTGATTTTCCTATATGCTTATCTCCACTTACCGTATAAAGTAGAAGTACATTTTATTTATTCCAATGCTATCTCTTTCACACTTTAAAATTTAAACTAGTCCTAGGATCTTGTTAACAGTTTCCAGACTCCTGTTTTTTTCATAGAGCTTTTTACATTTTTGTGCCTCTGGATTCAAAGGGTTCTAATGGTCTTGGTTTATCTTCATATAGCATTCACTCACCCACTCTGACAGGTCAGAATGACTCAATCTCATCATGCGTGGTACCCAGAAGGCCCAACAGAGAAGAGAGCAATCTAGTTGTCCCTGAGGATACTTGGCTCAAAGCCTCCTACCATCCTCTCTGAGCCAGGCTATGCATCCAGTCCCTGCACAGAGGAGCTGGCTGTGAGGAACTATAGGGAAACCCTGGTCTTGACTACACAAGCTTCAGTTTTACATAATGCAACTTCACAACTAATTTTTTCCCAATGGTCAGATCGGCAGGTAGACTGAAGCCATTAAGGTAGCCAAAAGCACCAGTCAACTGGGATATACAGTTTTTCTATCATGTGGACATAGCCTTGCCATCATTCAGCAATATGTAAGCCTGTGACTTTTCTGAAAAACAGAATGAGGGGATCTCTGGTTCAGTTCCTTGAGTTTCAATCTGGGTAAGTGGGTCACTTGTTGCATACTCTTGTAATATCCTTCCACTTAATATTCTAGAGGGATGGATTTGTTAGGGAAAACAGAAGCACCTATTCCTGCTGTTCCTTTATACCCTATCTTCTGGAATAGAATAAGTCAGGGTACTTGCTTGCCCATTCAAGAAGCAACCAGTATACCCAAGCACTCTGGTGGGTACTGCAGATACACAAATGAAAAAGGCAATAAAATGGAGTTTCTACTCTAAAGGGAGTGATAGACCAGAATGGGAACCAATACATAAATAAACACAGAAAATGCAGGTTGTAACAAATGCTATAAATAAAACAAAGAAGGGGCTAAGATACAGAATAACAGAAGAGTAATCTCTTTAGGAGGGATGTTCAATAAGGCTACCATTCATGTTGAGATCTAAAAATTAAGTGGGAGGCAGCCAGGTGATGAGTTGGAGAAATAACATAATAAAAGGCCCTCTGGGGAGAAAGATCTGGGCTCATTTGGAGAATTAAATGATCCACACACAACTTCTGTGTAGTAAGCAAAGGTGGCTTGAAAAGCGAGGCAGGCAGCAGCATGAGCAGGACCTACAGGCTTGCGTAAGGGGCCTGGATTTTATTCTAAGTGCAACAGGAGGCTACTTAAGAGTTTTAAGCAGGGGTAGGATGTAAACAATTGTATGTTGAAAGGTGTTAACTTTTGTTGCTGTACTCAGTATGGACAATACTAGAAAGAAGATGCCATTGCAGCAGTCGAGGGGAGAGGGGATCCTGAACTGGGCCAAAGTGGTGCCCAGACAGGGGATTCAAGCTATGCTTTGAAGATGGAACTGAGCAAATGATCCAATGGCACATAGAAGAGCAGATAGTTGGACTCCTCCTCTGCTGTTGGGGCCAAGCCCCCTCCCCACTCTGGTGGACACTTTATTTAAGAGTTAAGCACTCAGTGTCTTGGCGCTCATTATCTTGCCAAGCCCTCTGGTTTTACTCGTCCTTCAGCTTCAGGCCTGCATTCCACAGATGTTCCTCGGTGTCCTGTTCCTGCTTGCATTCACTGAAATGGTGCCTGTGGAAGGAGTAAATTGTTCCATCTGGGTCACACATGAAGCCAACAGAGCTTCCACAGAAGGAAAGATGCACCTTTGCAAATCTATACATTGGTGCCTCTCAAGGCACCCAGAAGCCACCTGGAAGCATAGATAGCTTTAAAACGTCTATGCTTCAGTGTCTTCAAAGCTAAAAAATACATTTCATATCCGACCTCCAAAAATGCCTAAAATGCTTAAGCCAAGATGATTTCAAAAACTTCCAAGACTTGAGAGTTTCCTAAAAGCCTGTGTCTCCAAAAGAGCCACACATTTCATTCCCAGTAGAGGCCCGGGAAATTATGAGGGTATGTGAGATGCACAAATTTTCAAATACCAGATGTCTTCAAGAATTATACTGTGCCTCCCTTTACCAAAACATACCAACCTACTGAATTGTTATATTCTTTCTGAGGCTGGAAGTTACTAGTGTCCCTTCCCTCTTACTGCCAGTTTCTCTAATGGTCACTCCAGGAAAGAAAATGACAAGAGGAACTGAAAATAGGGCTGCAGGCTGCCCAGCTTTGGAAAGGCAAGAACTTCTGTGGCAGGGAGCAGCTCCTTGGTCAGTGCTGGGCTAAGAAAAATCAGCTGCTTCCTAGCTCAGGTGCCAAGACTGACAGAAGGAGACAGAAACCCCAGGGCACCTGCGTCTTTCTTCTCCAGGTTCCTTTGCTGACAGATGACTTATTTGCAGAGCATATTCAACAGGAACAGCCTGAGTAGGAAAACATCAGGTGGCTATTGAAAGTGCTTTTACGTATCTAAATGGTAAACTCCTGAGGACAAATCAAGACTTTAACACAAGCTGTGAATCCAGAGTTATTCTTCCCACTCAGTACATATGCAAGTGGCAGTCACAACTGGCAAGTGAGAGTTGCTTTAGAGGTTACTAGGCCTCTTAATATCTTGGATATTTTGGGTTGAACTAGGAGGTCATTTCTGATAGCAACTTTTGGCAATGAGTCAGTACACAGATGTGGTTAGAATAAAGAAAGGGCAGATAAAACTGAGCAGTGTCTATGTACCAGATCCTGTAATAAATGCTTTAGGTCATTTGTTGGTTACATCTCCAAGAAAGGTGCCACTATTATCACCATTTTAGAGATGAGATGACAAAACTGAGGCTCAGATGAGTCAAGCAACATGCCCAAGGTAACACAGGAAGAAGTAAGCAAGAGACTTATGACTAAAATCCGATATGATCGGACCCCAAACCTTATTTCTTAAGTTAATATACTTTACTTCCTCACTTTAGCTATCAAAGACAGAGAAGTGATCATTTAAGAGAGTTAACTAATAGAAGAATGCAATCACTAGAGAGTTTATATTGTTGCTACATTTTTCTAAAAACAAAACAAAACAAAAAAACCCTTATTGTGGCAGATAAAGAAAACAGATACCCCTATTTCCTGCTAAGTCTGGTCAAGGCATACTCAGTCTGAAACAACGGTTTGATGTCCTTGTACTTATCCTAATTACATGGGCCCACTGACCTGTGAGATTTGCTATATGAAAAGCAGAATGTAAAACAGAATGTAACACTCAGGAGGGTGAGGATCTTTGTTTTGTTCCCTGATATATCCTAAGGACTTAAAATAGCTGTCCTCAGTATATAGGGGACATTCATTGAATACCTATGAAATTAATTAATGGTCAAATTTTAAAATATTCAGTGGTATAACCTTCCTTAATTAACAACACAGAAGAGGACATGGTAACCTGGGCTATTGGCCAATGTTTATTCATTAATGTGTTAAATGGCCTTTAAGATGGCTCCCAGTGATGCCTACTCCCTGGTACTCATATCCTGTGTAGTCTTCTCCCACACTGTTCCTGGTTTGGCCTATGTGACCAGTAGAATACGGCAGAAGAGAAAATGTGTGACTTTTGAGATAAGGTTGTAAATGCTGTGGCTTCTATACTGATCTCTCTCTTGGATCACTGTTTCTGGAAAAGCTAACTGCTTGAGAACACTCATGCAGCCTATACGGAGGCCATCACAGCAAGGAACTGAGGCCTCCGGTCAACAGCCAGTGAGGAATTGAGATTTTCTCCCAACAGCCATGGGAGTGAACTTGGAAGCAGATCCTCCATCCTCAACCTGGCTTTGAGGGGACTGCAGCCCCAACCAGTAGTTGGAATGCCATCTCATGAGAGATCCTGAGCTAGTACCACCCAACTAAGCAGTTCGCAAAAGTCTGACCCTTAGAAAATGTGTGAAATAATAAATGTTTGCTGCTTTCAACTGCCAAGTTTTGAAGTAATTTGTTACAAAGCAATAGATAACTGCTAAAATTAATCTTGTCATGTTATTAGCATGGCAACTGGAAACTATCTTCTGAACAAAAAGTCATGCCATCAGAGAATTTTAAAATAATAGCTCAATTTTACAAACTCTTCTCCCTCCTAGAAGCTTTTGAAACACAAGATATATTTTTATGTCTTGCTATGGTCTCTTTTGCTTTGCTACTCATTGAATTAGTTATGCACAGATATAGGTACAATAGGGCCCAGATGTGATGTTATGGTTATGTGGAGGAGGAGTATACATCTCCCCCAAAGGAGAGAGGAGATATTCTTGTGAACTTTTAGGAAAAATCTTCCTGCTGACATTAAATAATTTTGATTCTAGTTTAATTTCTCAGGAACTTAAATTCTAGGTTAGGGGAAATATCATAACCCATAAAACTAAATAATCCGATAATTTTTTATTGCAACAAGCACTAGGATGCCAATGAGCATACCACAGTCCGTACATTCTGAAGGCCAACTCTCAGAAGGAGGTGGTTGAGATTTTTCTGAATTTGGCAAAGTACCTACAGTGGCATCTCATTCAAAAAATCATGCAGAGAACATTCACTGATGAGAATTACCAGCTCATTCTGCAGAAGCTACAGTGAACTTGCCATGCTGGCCAGAAAGATAAGAGACATGCAAACTAGACACAACTCCAAAGATACTTTTCCCACCAAAGGCGTTTTATGAGTTAGGATATATCTATGAAATATTTGCAACTCAACAAGGAGGAAAATGGAATGAAGTGGAATGAACTCCTTGTTATATTGATTGGATTATGTCACCTGTCAACTAACAAATTCCACCACAGCAAACCTAAGCAATGAAGTACAGTCAGGGGTCTGCTGACACACTGGGAGGCTGGAGTAAGGGAGTCATTAGACATGAAACTACTCATCACAGCTCCAAAGCAACTCTGCTCAGCTGACTAAAGAATATAATTTTGAGTTTGTTCTCTAGCCCTCTGGTATACTCAAGCTCATGGCAACTCAGGGAAGAAGCACATTTTGCTGACTCTGGAAATGGCTCTGGCAGAACATCCACTCTCATCTCTGAGCAGATCTAATAGGAGTGGAGTAGACAATTCCCACTTGGGGGTTGATTGTATTATATCTCCCCCTTACCCTACTCAACTTCTGCTGGTATAGAGGCATTCTCTTGTCAATTTCCAGATTAATGTACAGTGATAGTCTTCAATTCATTATTACTATAAGAAGACAGGAATAGGAGTTTGTGAGGTAGAGATGTGTGTGTGTTTGTGTGTGTATTTCTTATGCCTGGAAAAACAGCCAGCATTTGTAGCAAATGAATGCCTGCTACAACCAGAAGATTCTTGTCTTTGAAAGTACTTGAAATGGAGAGAAATGGAAAAACCAGAGCAGGAAGTATGGCAATAAGAAAACATATCATATGACAAGGACCAAGAAAGTCAATGTTTTCAAGAGCACATCCAGTTGGAAGAGTGGGAGAAAACATGTGGAATCCACATGCTGGCCAATTTCAGGGCTTATCTGCCTCGGATATGGGGTAGAAAATAACATTTTACCTGAGGGGTAAAAACAACACTGCAGCAACATGCCTTCAAATAGGGTTTGTGTAGAAAGACACACTCATCATTTAGCTGGAGGGTTTCCAGGCCAAGGTACTTCCACAGCATATGGCTGCCCACTGGGCTCGTGACCCTGAAAACATACTTCCAGATCTTTCTATACTTCCCACTTCACAAATGTAGCCAACCTCTGAGCACAGTTGCCCTCTTGTATTGCTAAAGGGATGAAGAAATGCTAAATCCTCTTGGAAAGCTGGTGTTTCTCCTGTGCTGGAATATAAGAATTTGCCTAACACTACTTTTAGAATCTTAAATCACGAGAGAAAGATGTCAAAGTTCAAGCCTCTCCTTTTTAACACTGAAATTCCTCCTAAAGCTCCCGCTTGAAGGCCAGAAGTCACAACCGCTTCAAAAGATTACTATGTGTTTTGTTACACTTGCTTAAATTCCTTCCAGAGACAAAAGAAATAGACATATTTGCGATATTCCTTCCTTTATCATATTTCTGTAGATTCTTTTTCAAGGTCCTCAGACATCAATAATCCATCAGTGCATGTACAAGCTGATGCTTGGCGTTTGGGATATTATTTGTTCTCCTAATGGGACTAGTAGAGTCTACAGAATTTAGAGTGTGCAGGAAGTATGTCTATAGAAGGTTTTTGTTCTAAATATAGGAGATTTTAAGGGCAAAACGATTTACTCAGTATACTAGACTGCCTTCTTTGAGCCATTCTGTTCTGGTCAATCATATAAAATATGTGTGGCCAACACTATTCCCTCCACATGTGTTTAATGGACATTTGTCATAGCAAAATGACCTAGCAGTTCCATTTCTTCTTCCCTTCAAATTACCAATATGACTGGACCATCAAACAACTAAATGCCAATTTTTTTTAAAGATCATGAACAGTTTTGAGTTATATGAGTGGAAAAATGTTCCTGAAGGCCGAGTTTTTTGTTGTTGTTGTTGTTGTTTTTTTCCTTATAGCAACTTTTCAACAGCTAAATTGCTTTTGGTAAATATGAGTAAAGAAAATAAGCTCCCAGTCACAGCACATGTTTACAACGAAGTTAAAGGCTCTTAAAAATAGGGTGTTTGATGGTCTACTGCCAAAATATGAACTCTAGCAGCCTGGAGTGCACCGCTAATAATAAGAGTCAGTGTTGCTATGAAAGGCCCGAGACAGAGCTCCAACTTAGCTTTAACCTTTTCTCCAAGAAGTTCCCCACAATGACAAGGAGACATAAATTTGGAGTTAGAGGTCAAGGTGAGAGGGGAGGAAGCCTGAAAATGGTAAGAGGTCACTTAAAAATAAAGCAAAAAATTGTTGGACTGGGCTCAAACCTGAACTGCAAAAGAGAATGAAAAGAGTTCAGCTGCTATCTGAGGACTGACTGCCTTTTAGAAAAGAAGAAAATGGGCGGGGCACAGTGGCTCATTCCTATAATCCCAGCACTTTGGGAGGCGGGCGGATCACGAGGTCAGGAGATCCAGACCATCCTGGCTAACACGGTGAAACCCCGTCTCTACTAAAAATACAAAATATTAGCCGGGCGTAGTGGCGGGCGCCTGTATTCCCAGCTCCTAGGGAGGCTGAGCCAGGAGAATGGCGTGAACCCGGAAGGCGGAGCTTGCAGTGAGCCGAGATCGCGCCACTGCACTCCACCCTGGGGGCCACGGAGCGAGACTCCGTCTCAAAAAAAAGAAACAAGAAAATGCCTAGATAGATAACAAAATAGATAACAAAAGTCCAACGTAAAGGAAATATGTTAGGCATGAAGAAAGTTACGTTTGCTTTCTCTTCAGATTCCTGAAACTAGAATGAACAGACACACAAAGAAAGGAAATGCCGGATGTCCTAGAGTTAGCTGTTGTGTAGAGTGGAGAATCACAGTGTGCCTAGTATTAGTGGAGTCTTCCCATCTCCACAGGCCTAGGCTTCAGGTTCTTTCGCCCTTGGAACCCCTGGAGAATCTGACGAAACTGTGGAATGCGTCCACACTGAAAATGCATATATGCCATCGCACAAAGTTGTGTATTCAATTTAGGGAACTCACAAACTCAAGAAGCTGGATCATTTATGTTCTAGCATGAAAAGAGGCTACTGGTTTAAAAAAAAAAAAAAGCACTCTCCAAGAGACCATGGAACTTATCTTATTCACCACTCCATTCCTAGTGCTGAGGGTGGGGCTTAGATACAATATCTCAAGACATACTTGCTAAAATGTTTTAAAAGGCAGCTTATAGAAAAATGTGATTCCCCAAAGAAGGTTCCAGTGATCACGTAAGTTTAGGGTATCCATTTTTTTTAAACACATCTGTACGTTTCTGTTGCTCCTTCTAGCCAAAGAGAATTTCCCTCAGAATATTCACCACAGTAATGGTATCTTTAGAATTTCCATGTAAGAGGTGCTTAGGAAGAACGATCTGGTTGCAGGTTGGCGAGGGAGTGAAGCTGAGTTTGTATTGCCCTTTACAAAATGCTGAAAAAAAAAAAAACCCATCTGCATGCTCAGAGATAAGAGGTTTTTGTGTCTTCAAGGAACTTATCTGTCTTCAAGGCACTTACAATGAATTAACTTATTTAAACCCAAACTTATTCTATAAATAGATTTGAGGCCCACTCACAGTATAATCTGGTCCTGATGCATTCCTTCATGGGAATTAACAATTCATCCGGAATCTCTATGGATTATGCTCCAGATTTGGATTCCTCAACCCTGAAGAATCTATCTCAGAAACCGGTCAGCCATGCTGCCTTCTCTGTGCCTGCAGGGCAGATGTCGACAATGAACCACCACAGCTGTCTTTCCCATCATGCGTAGGTATGGCCTTAGAATCCTCCACACAGCCCTCCAGGTGGCTACTGAAAGCTACCCTGGAATGCCAGTCAAAACATGTGTCACTCATAGGCTCTACGTGTTCAAGCACTTTCTACCTCTTAGAAAAGAGACGACTGGCAACAGTCTCAAAGAGTAATCTGTGGCCCCTAGACATTCATTCTGAATTTCATCTGCAGCTTAGATTAGCAGTTAGTTCTAATTGTCATTGGCTTTCAAATGTCTTGTTGCACTTGCCTTCAAAATTCAGGCCTGGACCATGTGTAAGTTGAGTCTGATAATACCTATGTAATTATCTGCTCCTATACGAGGTGCGAAGTCATGATTAGAAACCTTGGCCCTGGCATCATCCTGCTGTATTCAAATTCTGACTCCACCACTTGTGGTTGCATGACCTGGGCATCTTCCTTCACCTAATTTGTCAATTTCCTCACTTGCCAAATGGGAATAAGATAGTACCTATTTCATAGTATAATTGCAAAGATATGTTAACATTCAGAAAACGCTTAGAAGAGTGCCAAACATGATAAACGCTTAATACATGTTATTTTTTTTAATGTGTTGAACCAAAAGGATGCCTTGAAGATCAGTATTTCACATTTGGTGTACAATACATTCAGCCACAGAAATATAAAGAACTGCTGTCCCTTAAAAATTCATGCTTGCCACAGGGTAGTTCAACACACATTTATGGAATGCTTGTGTAATAGATGTCTGACACTATTGTAGGCCATGGAAATACAAAAATAAATAAGAAGGCACATCTTCACCTTGAAGCAAAATCCCACCGATTATGAGTCCCCACATTTTCTCCAGGTAATGAGAAAACATTCATCGGCTTAAAAAACCTATTCCCTACTTGAATCTGAATGGATTCAAAATCACTTCTCAGCAAAGAGCTTCAGGTCTCTCCCTAAAGTTCCATCTAATATATTCATTCTGAAATAAGCAATGGTAAGGAGAAAAAGTTAAGAGACCAATCTTGGTGGCAGAGAAGAGTCTACTTCTTTAATTCAAGATCAAGTTTCTCTTCATAATGACCTTGTAGCCCTCGCTCCTCAGACTTGCTGGCTGACTGGACCCACAAGAAATACAGGTACCAAATTGTGGGCTTTCATACATTAAAAGGTTTTCTCATCTTGCCTTGTATTCTTACAAATTATTGGATTTAAATAAGAAAAAACAAGACTCTTGTTTCAGCCTCTCTTATTCTAGACTTGGTGTGCCCTGGGTGTCTGACATCCTCATTCCATTCATGATTGCCATTCTTTCTAGGGGAGTCATTGCTTCAAATTATGTGTGGGTGTATGTCTGGGAGCTGAAGACATTCAACGTCCCCATCTAGTTGCAAATTTAGTTATACATTTGGGGTTTAGCTATTCAACTTTGCCAGCTTTGTGCCTCCTGCATAGGTCCAGGAGCCCCAGGGGTAGACTGATGCTTACTAGTGGAGTTAGCACAGACAAGTTTGAGCCTCTCATACCTGTCTCTTAAACGAGGGTAGTAATACTCCAGAGAAGAAACTGAAATGATGTTTAAACTGAAATAATGAAATAACACACTCCATAAACTGCAAATTTGCTATTCAAAAGTAAGATATTATTACCATTTCTCAACTTCTCCAAGTCTGTTTCACATTTGTAAACTACAGATAGCTCCATCTTTTTCAGTGATAGCATAAGGTTTCTGTGAGGACTCTGTAGGTCATGTACATATATTATTATTATGACCATTACAAATGCGAGTTATCTTCCTTAGATTTATGCCTGTACCTCCTTGGGACACTGATCATTTTTTTTTTTCTGTTTCTATAAAGAGGAACAATATTCTCCTTCACAAACCGTACCTTTCAGCAGTTTCTCTTTAACTCTCAAAACTTGATGATTTCTAACAAAATGATCACAATAGCTCCAAGGCACAGAAGATGCTGACAAGACCACCTTCTTCCCTGGAAATGTCGGAATCAACATTTCACACAGACTGGCCAAAGTAGCACACAGCCTGGGCCAAAAAGACCACTGTGCAGGCAGATGTCCAGGCTTGGAGCAGCCACGGGCACAGAAACCCCTCTTCTAGCTCTGTGGGTAGAAATTTGTTTATGGTTATCACCTTCCACAGAGTTTCCCAGATTTGCTTTCTTTTAATTAACCCAAATCAATCTCCAATTAGCCATATGAAGTAAGGAACAAAGAGCTGTGCATTGTATCACCGTTAAATTTCTCTTGTTCCTTTGTTTGTTTACTCTCTGTCTACCCCGCCCCCCCCCCATTAAAATGTAAACTCCATTAAACAAGAACTCTGTCCTTGTGTGGTTCAAGGACCCAACACAAGACCCAACATGTAGTAGGCACTCAACATCTGTAACCCTATTCCATCATCTTTTTCCTTGCACCAACATTTTCCTCTTATGGCAGACTGGGCTTTAGAATTTAAACCTGGGAAGAATTTTAAGAGATTATCTAGTCCATGTACTTTTCAAATGGTTGTAGCACTGGAACTCTATTTTTAATCACACTAAAGCGTGTGTGTGTGTGTGTGTGTGTGTGTGTGCATGTATGTGTGTGTGTGTGTTTTAAATGCATAAACAAGAGGTTAAGACCTTGGAGTCCAATTGCATGCCCTTCCTTCTTTCTTTTATATCCCTTTGCTGAAAGTCTTAAAAACTATCTCGAGTTTAGGCTGGGTGCGGTGGCTCATGCCTGTAATCCCAGCACTTTGGGGGGCCGAGGCGGGTGGATCACGAGGTCAGGAGTTCGAGACCAGCCTGGCAAACATGGTGAAACCCCGTCTCTACTGAAAAAATACAAAAAATTAGCCAGGTATGGTGTGATGGGCCCCTGTAATCCCAGCTACTCGGGAGGCTGAGGCAGTGAGCCGAGATCGCACAATTGCACTCCAGCCGGGCAACAAGAGCAAAAGTCTGTCAAAGTAAATAAATAAATAAATAAATAACAAAACAAAAAAAAAACTATCTTGAGTTTAAAAGCCATTCATCTGGTCATTGACTTAACAAATATTTATTGTGAATACAAAATGTGCCAGGAACCACTAGGGCTTGGAATACTTATGGTGAATAAAACTGCCCAGGTTCTTGGTCTCATAGAGCTTACATTGAACGGAATATAGGAAACAACGTGAAATGCACAAATAAACAAAGAATCAAAATAATTCAGATAGTGATAAAAATTATGAAGAAAACAAAACCTCTGTAATGGGATAACATGATGGGAGATTTCGCGAGAGAAGGAGATCAGTCATGTGTGTCTGCTCTAGTTAGGGTAGACAGGCAGGTCTCTCCAGGAGGTGATATTTGAGCTGAATCCTGTACGACAAGAATAATGCAGCCAAGCAAAATGCTAGGGAATCCAACCCGTGTGGGTTGCTGATGGGGAAATAAAGAAGCAAAGGAGGGATGACTGGCCCCGAGGTCATCCTGTTAGTTAAAGCCTGGACCCGAATGGGGGTCTCCTGTCACTCCAGACTTATCATTGTAATATAATGGAGTTTTTCCTTAGTTTCTGTAATTGGCAGGTTCTTGTCTTCTGGAGAAACTTCCTTCAAAACTGATCTTCTTTCCCATACACTTTTATTTTATTTATTTATTTTTTGAGACAGAGTCTTGCTCTGTTACCCAGGCTGGAGTGCAGTGGCACAATCTCGGCTCACGGCAACCTCTGCCTCATGGACTCAAGTGAGTCCCCTGCCTCAACAGATTACAGGTACCTGCCACTGTGTCCAGCACATTTATTTTTTATTTTTTAGTAGAGACGGGGTTTCACCATGTTGGCCAGGCTGGTCTTAGAACTCCTGACCTCAAGTGATCTGCCTGCTTCAGCCTCCCAAAGTGTTTGGATTACAGGCATGAGCAACTGCGCCCGGCCCTTTCCCATACTCTTCAATGTATTTCTTTGATTCTTATTTATCTAACAAGGCACTCATGTAACCAACTTCCGTTCATATATATTAAAAATAATCAGGCCAGACACGATGCCTCACACCTGTAATCCCAGCACTTTGGGAAGCCAAGGCAGGCGGATCACCTGAGGTCAGGAGTTCGAGACCAGCCTGGCCAACGAGGTGAAACCCCATCTCTACTAAAAATCCAAAAATTAGCCAGGCGTGGTGGCGCACACCTGTGGTCCCAGCTACTCGGGAGGCTAAGGCAGGAGAATCACTTCAACCCGGGGGGTGGAGGTTACAGTGAGCCAAGATTGTGCCACTGCACTCCAACCTAGGTGACAGAGTGATATTCCATCCCCCCAAAATAATAACAATCAAAAACAAAGCGCATATGTGTGTGTGCATGTGTGTATATATGTGTGATGGGAGCTTAAGGTATATTTCCTAAGCAAAGGTAAGACCCCATCTATTGGGAAAGAAAGGCAACTTGACTTCCTTTATTTTAATATTTTTAAAAAGAAAAGCCATGTTGCATAACACCAAGATATTTTCACCTAAAATTCCAGCAAATCTTAACAGAAGAAATTCTAAGGTGCTTAGAGGTAACTGAAAAAAATGTCACTATCTTTATGGCTCCAACCTAACAATGAAGCTGAGTGTGTCTACTCTCAGCTTGAATGAAATAAAATGGCAACCACAACCAAATGACCTTGCTCACTTTATGCTAGTTACATCTTGCTCTGTTGTTGAAAAAAAAAATGCTCGGGCTGGCCCAGAGCCTAAGATGTGATCCACAGACACCCCACGCCACCCCCCAAGATCGTACGAGTCATAAAGAAGTGACTGGAAGAGCTGTGCTCTAACTGAATCAAGAGATAGGGAGGGAGAGAGGGGACTGTGTTACCGTAAAAATTCTTTAGATTTAATATCGTTTGGGAAAATTTTTCTTTGTTGGTTTGCTCCTAGAAGCAGATCCCATGCATTTCTTTTTTCCAGTTCTATTAAATCCCTAAACAGAGCTGAGTTTTAAGGGCTTAGGGCTGCCCTTGGGAAATAGGTGATTATACTCTCTGCTTAGGGTTTTAGCGATAAGAAAAAAAGAGGCAGTGGATTGAATTCCCCTCCCCCAGGGCAATTTCTTGACTCTCTTTTATAGTTCCCCGTTAAAGCAGACACATATTTAAAAAATGAAGTGGTGACACATATAAAATCCCATCCATCAATCTGCACTTTTCAATTGTTATGTATATATGAGAAATAGATAGACAAACAGATGGAGAGACGGATGTACACAGCTGAAAGACTAGTTAGTTCTTTAGTAAGAGGCTCTACAGAATATTTTCCTTTTTGTTTTTTTTAATGTTTCATGTAATTATTTCACAAGGGGTAATCGCTTGGGAATCTTTACCCTACAGAAATATTACAAGTGTAATTGAGAGGATCTGGGGAAAAAAAATCAGTACTCTCTCTAAAAATAAATTTAATGAATCAAACTCTACTCCTATAAATGTGTTTCTCAAACTGGAACTCTAAGTCCCTCAGAATATGGCCAGAGATGGAGTGATTTGTTCATTACTTCTAGGAAGGGTATTCAACAATTAATATGGCTTGGACCTCCCCCTTCCGCCATGGCTGGACCTTGTCCCCCACATAACTTCAGACCCTCCTTACTGCTACAAAACATTGCCAATTTTGTCACTGCTCCTTTCAATTCTTCCTCAATAAACATATGTAAGAAGAGACTGAAATTTGAGAAACAAAATCAAATATCAGGGAACTCTGCAAAGTGTGTCATACCAAAAGAGGCCTAAGAAGTGATACAAGCCACATACCAAGTGCCACTTACTGTTTTTCCAAGAAGCAAAGTAAATACCAGGAAGTTAAAGGACATGACTAAATTGCCCTACTAGGTAGTATCAGAGCCAGCACTAGAACCTTCAATACCCAATCCCCTGACCAGTACTCTCATACAGTATCACTACGAATAAGTATAGTAAGTAGGTATAATACAGTATGACTATATCACTCCTTCTTTATTTATTATTTGTTGTGAAGGCTAAGATGGAAAAAATGAGGCTGTTAGGGTAATTTCCTATCAAAAAGAGTGACAGAATTTAGAAGCAGTGCTCTTAAAGATGGGAATGTGCTCACTTTTCCCTGTCTGCTATACCAGCTAACAAAGTCTTCTGTGACCTAGAAGATCGAATGCAATTACATTGCCCATATATATTTGCTATGCTGTTTGAGTCTCCCAAGGGCAGCATAACAGTACAAAGGGAGTGACATCTTTATGAGGTTAACCCTTTTCTATTTTAAGGGTAGACTACTGAAGGCAGATGTGTTCCATGGAGTATAGCAAGAATGCTTGAAATTTGGTAGTTAGAAGGAATGACAGCATCACCCAGGAGGGAAAAAATTAATCGCTGTTTAGAGGAACAGTGATCTGAGGAAGCCTAGGAGAATGTTGATGCACATGAAGTGAATGTGAACTGACAAAGAGGGAATTTGTATGAATTATAATACATTGAGAAGAGACAAAGAGAAAGCAGGAAAACTGTTTGTTAAGCTGTGCCATGTACCAAACAAAACTGTAGGCTATTTCATAAACTGTATTATCTCATTTAATCCCCACAACCTTTTGAGACAGCTACTATTATCCTGAAAAGCAGAGTTATGAGGCTCAAAGACGTTAAGTAACCAGTCCAAGATAACACAGCTAATGAAATAGAGTCATTTTCCATGCTAAAATTTTCCAGCTCTGATTCTGTTAAACTTTTCTACTTACAAACCACCCCAAAAGTTAGTGGCTTAAAACAATGACGCAATATTTCTCATAATTCTGTGGATTGGCTGGGCAGTTCCTCTGCTGGTTTCACCTGGGCTCACTTGTGTGGCCACATTGAGCTGGAAGATTGGCTGGGTCCAAGATGGCCTCACTTGTGTGTGGGCAGTTGGTGCTGATTAGAGTCGGGGCACCTTGGTTCTCTGCATGCTCATCTCCCAATTAGCTAGACTGGCTTCCTTACATGTTGGTATCAGGTCGGTGTTCCAAGAGGGCTTCATAAAGGCCATCCTCAGAAGTAGCACATGTCATTTATGTCACGTTATTGGATAATGCAAGTCACGAGGCCAATCGAGATTCAAGGGGGAAAAAAGCATCCATTTTTTGATGCCAGGAGTGGCAAAGTTACATTACAAAGGGGCGTGTGGGGTGGAAGGGATCATTGTGATCATTTAAAAAGCCATCTACCAGCCAGGCATGGTGGCTGATGCCTGGAATCCAGCACTTTGGGAGGCTGAGGTGGGTGGATCCTTTGAGCCCTGGAGTTTGAGACCAGCCTGGGCAACATGGCAAAACACTGTCTCAACAAAAAAATACTAAAATTAGCCAAGGGTGGTGGTGTGCACCTGCAGTCCCAGCTACTCAGAAGGCTGGCGGGGAGGATCACTTGAGCCCAGGAGGCAGAGGTTGCAGTAAGCAGAGATTGTGCCACTGCACTCCAGCCTGGGTGACAGAGTGAGATCCTGTTTCAAAACAATAAACAAAAAAGACAATCTACCACAGGCTCTAAACTCCATGCTACTCTTACTACCAAAATATTAATAAAAATACCAAATTTCCCCTAACTGTTCTTTTTATAGGTTTATTAAAAATCCTTAATCAAATGACTACTTTTTATAACCTGGAATAGATGTCAGGAAAACTTGGGCTGTAGTCCAAGATCTATTGCTATGGGTTCTTGGAGGCTTTCTCTTTAATAAAAAAATGAGCTTTAAGGCCAGGCGCAGTGCCTCACGCCTGTAATCCCAGCACTTTTTGGAGGCCAAGGTGAGTGGATCACTTGAGGTCAGGAGTTTGAGACCAGCCTGACCAACATGGTGAAACCCCATCTCTACTAAAAATACAAAAAAAAAAGAAAAAGGAAAAAAATTAGCCGGGCGTGGTGGTGGGCGCCTGTAATCTCAGCTACTTAGGAGGCTGAGGCAGGGGAATCACGCGAACCCAGGAGGCGGCGGTTGCAGTGAGCCAAGATTGCACTGCTGCACTCCAGCGTGGGCGAAAGAGTGAGACTCCATCTCAAAAAAAAAAAAAAAAAGCTTTAATTTCTTCATTTACGAAAAGAGGATTTGGTCTGTCTTCTCTCTAAGGGCTTATACAACTCTATAAATTGCAGAATAGTGTCCTATTTTTAGACTAATATGAACTGGCCCTCTAGGGGGATGGGCAGGATAGAGATGAGAGAAGGCTAGAAATGAGATGGCTTCTGTTTTGCAACTCACTCTCTTTCATTGCTGTGGGTGCAGAATTTGGGAGGCAGTGAGCAATCAGAACTCCTTCCCATGTGTGGTTGTAATCTTATATGATCTGGGTGCTACTCTGTTTTCATTTATTATATGCTAAAGTAGCATGGGTCCTCCAGCATTGTACCAAGGATTAAAGTACAAGTCATCACTTTAAGGGCTTCTAGACCTGGTTAGACAAAACAATTCCCATGCAACACGCACTCACACTAGCTAAGCAGATCGGAGAGGTGAAAGGGCTCCTGAGCCAGTATCTTCCTGAGGGAAATGCTTAGCTGGGAGCTCGCTCTCTCAGAAAGATATTGTTGCCTAGTCTATGGAAGATCAGGTTCCCAAGGAGAAAACTAATGTTTAATTTAGCACAAAGACAGCTCAGAGTCACTCTCTGGGGGACTGAGCCTGCAAACAGATCCACATGCAAAGAATCTAAGGGAGAAAAGGAAGCTCTCTTTGGTGCAATGGCTCTAGGACTTGGGCCCAAACTTTACTAAACGGTTGCCTCTGTCTGTTGTTTCTGTCAGGATAGCTCCTCTTTCCTGTTTACTCTCATCTCTGCACTTTGCACTTTAACACTTCTGCGAAACAACCAAATGGGATAATACACTAGCACATACTTTGTGCTGTCTGAAATTAAGTAGCACGGTGTGGCAATCAAATGCGCAAGACTTAGCCGGTTTAGCAAGTATCAGAAACTTAGGTGAACAGAAACATCAACAACAACAAAAAATCCTCATTTCTCAGCTGCTTAGCCAGAGAATGTTTTTATTTTTACATAATTTAGACTCCAGTGACCTCCAGATATGAGCATTTTACACATAAGTAAGACACAGTACAGTACATATTGTATTCAATTAAGCTACTTCTTTGCACCCTGGTTACCAGGACTCTAAGAGATACTGTGTATCCAACAGACTCCCGGTAAGTTATTAGAGGTTGTAGCCGACTTTTGCCTTAACTGAATTTTCTTAGAAACAGACATGTAATTAACTTTCTACTGAAATCTATGAGAGCTACCTGAAAAGAACTCTGTTGTACAATGAGGCATTTAAGGTGTTGGGCTTCATGTGGGTGACAGTTATTAGAGGGCTGGATAAGAATTACAAATATAACTCAGCCACATTTCTGACAAAAGAGAAATTTTAAAGCAAAAATGTTAATGATTCCATGTTAATGTATGAATCTGCCAGAATGACTCAGGAAGCAAGAACACTGTTAAAAACAAAACAACCCAACTATGTTTGACACTACATTTCCTAAGCATTATTATCCTCAAGAAAGGGGAGGAATCTAAGGTTAAATCATGGGGAGTAAGCGAAAAAAAAAAAAGATAAAAATTTTTGACTACATTCTTTGCTCTGAGTTTGGACAATAAATCCATCCTTGCCCAAATATAATCTACTAAAGAATGGAGACTATTTGTTTTCTAATCCTGTCACTTCATAGAAACACCATGCTTTCAATTAAGAATCGTCATCAATAAAACTTGCTTTGAACCCTTGGCAACATCTTCCTCATGTTTTTTATGGAAAACCGCACTTGAGGAGGTACTGAGTAAAGAGATTCTGAGGTGAGAGCCACATCAAGGCATGGAAATTTCAACATGCTCCTGCTTAGGGTTGGAAAGACGGCAAATCTGTGTTGCCTATTCATCTGCAGATGCAGTAAATTAGCAACTTTAGCCAGGGATCTGGCTTTCAAAAGCATAAATTTAAATCTCCACAGTAGGAAGCGTCTAACCTTTTGTGGCTCTAGGACCAAATTCACTTAAGAATTATTCATTAATTTCAATTAATAATTCAATTAAATTGGTAAGTTTGTCTATTTGGTTCCAATGATTCAAAACTCCCAATAGATGGTTTAAATTTCTCATTTACCTACTAAGCCCACACTCCACACTTGCTGGGTAACTGAATGGAAACCCAGACTGAATTCTAGAAGTAAGGAGTCAAGAGGACATTCACTCTATTCAACTTCTAGATTAGGAGTCCTAGAATCTTAGGATTGGAAGAGGTAGTACTTGGTCCCATTCTCAAGAAGGACACTATTTAACATTCTAGGGAGATGGAAATCTATCCCAGGTGATGTCTCCATATTCAACTATTGAGGGAACTGATAATATGATACTCTTCACTAACCATTTTAAGTAAACATTAAAGAGAAAAGCCATGCTCTTCCTCTAAATGTCTGATGCATTACTGGAAACACAATTCTGGGCTGGGAAACCTATGAATCTGATTCAGGTATGTTACTTCACACACTAATAATAACAGCTAAAATTTATTGAGCCTTTACGAGGTGCTAGGCAATTGCTAAATTTAATCAACAGCTCTAAGATGTTAGTTCTATTACTATCACTCCATTTCACAGTCGAGAAAACTGAGGCAAGGGAATTTAATTGACCTATCCAAGAAAACACAACTAAGTGTTAGAGGGGTGATTTGAAATCTGGTCGTCTCACCTCAGAGTTAAGAGTTAAGATCTCAGGCTCTTAACTGCTATGCTTCTTTGCCTCCTTACACAAGCCAACTGTAACAGTTCTATTTCTAACCCCACTCACCTCCCGTCTACACTGTAAATTCAAAGAGGGCAAAGGCTATACTGAAGTGTCCATCAATGTATTCCTGGCACAGTTCATGGCACAGAAGAGCTGTACAAAGATTATTTACTGAATTAATGAATATTTTCCCAAACTCTAAAAAGGACCCATGCATACAATCTTGACGTAAGAGTTTAAAACCTTTGCTAAAACATTAAGACCTTTGGAGAGCTGTAGCATGTGTCAGTATTGCCATTTGCCCATTTTCATATCCATTCCTTCAGTAATTTGGCTATGGTAGGGTCCAGCTCTCTAGTTGTCCTCAACCTGTGGAGAATATGTGAACTTCTCTCTTCATGTCCTCTATAGGGAAGTGGAATAGCTTTTGCTCTTTTACCTCTGTTTCTCACAAATGTGTAGGCCAAGGTTGAAGCTAGTCAATAGCCCATTCACTACCGTCAGCATCCAAGCATCATGCCATGAATCAGGGAGGAGGGAGATGTTGGCTTTTCTCCTTTGCCATCTTTCCTTAGGGTCCCTTACTTTTCCCTTGTAAACAAGAACTAAATGGGGGAAACTGGTATCCAACTGGACCTTAAGGCAAGTAAAAAATTTGTAACACATCTGTATTACAAGCAAGGAAATAAGTACATCTCAAAGACCATCTAAAATAATGCTTTTCTCACGAATTTTTGTTCATGATTTTTTTAATAATGAGAATACCTTTTCCACATTAGTATACAGGCAAACTCATTTGTTGGGAAGACTGATTTACACATCAAGAGAGTATAAACACTTTTACCAACAGGGCATTTCTTGTTTGCACTGGAAGGCCCAGTGAACCTAAGAAGCGAGGTATAGCTTGGTCTGCTTCTTTTACTTCCTCTTCTGCATCTAGCTAGTGTGCTTTAAAACTATGTCCTTTTAGTGTCAAAGGGCATGTCATGCAGTATATAACTCACCATGAATGGGAGAATGTGTAAATAGCAAGGCATTAAGCAGCTCAAGGGACTTGAAGATGGGTAGTACAGAGCACTTAGGCAATGCGCTGTGAGAAGAGGCTGCTGGAGGGGAAATGTAATACTTGTCTTCAAGTATATGAAGGATTATTATTGCATCATAGCTGTTGATTCCTTGGAGCCGTCCTTGCTCTACCATTTTCCAGGGCTTCTGATTTGCTCTTACCGGATCTCCAGGCCCTCCAGGATGTGGATCAATCTCATTTGTCCCCCTCAGTACTCACGTCCAGCCACACTCAGTCAAGCACTGCTCTGTTCCCCAAACACTTAACTTACATGCCTGCACTCAGCGACCCCAATCCCACATTTCCGTATTTTCTCCCTCTTCTCAGGCCCTGCTGGTGACCCATGTTCTCATATAGCTATCCCTGGCCTATATTTGAATCTCTCTACTACCAACTACTAGTGGTACTCATGTTTTGAGCACCTACTATGTATCAGGCACTATGCTGACTGTTTTGCTAAATAACTTTAGCTTTATTTTGCAGATGAAAATACTGATGCCAAGAAAATAACAAAATTATTTTCTCATATTCATACAGCTAGTAAGTATAACATAGGGACCTGAACATGGTCTAACTATAAAATCTATGCATTAAATTATTCAATTTAAGCTTCAGTTTCCTTATATGTAAAATGGGACAAATGTTGATTACTCACCTGTTTTTTGCAGGCCTTACATAAAATATGTAATTAAAAAGCCTTGTACATTCTAGGACTCAGTAAATATTTGTTCCTCTCTTCCTCTGATTTTTCTATATCAGTTTTGGTCCATTCTACCTGGTTAGTACTTTTCCTGTTACTTTATTGAAGTGGTTTTGCATACCATTAGGCTGTAAGTAAGCAGGGACAATGTCTTTAGCTGTATTTCTCCTTATTCTCCCAGGAAGCCTGCTGGAGTGTGACGGAAATTAGCATGAAAATGCAAAATAAAAAATTTAGAATTGTTTTCACTAAACATTGCCCTGCCTGTGAACATAAACATATATAAGGGTCTGGATTAAAGAACAAGAAAGCAGTAGAATCCATTCAGAAAGGCTTAGCTGCCATGGATAGCAGAACTGGATGACTGTTTTCAGATTCCCTTTCAGGCTTTCTTAGATTAAATAACAGTGCTAAACACAAACACAAACAACAACAAAAAAACAAAAACAGCTAATTATGGCCACTCTTTTAGTCATATTTAAATTGGTATGTCTAAGAACATCTGAAAGCCCATATTTAAACATATTGGTATTTAAAAATGTTTACAATACAGAAGCCATAAGTGATTAAACATTACGATTTAGAAACATTTGATGAACATCACCTACCAATATTATTTCAAAGAAAGCAGATGCCTTCTATAAACAAACATTGTCCTAAACAAGCAAGATATCTTGGTTTACATGATAACATCACCTTGATGTCAAAGAAAGGTTTTTATCAATTTTTTGTAAAGTATTATACTAACTCCTCTCTCCACTTGAACCCTTTTGCCTTTGTGAGATCTTATAATTATATTTACTTGAAATAAGTGGTAGGAAGGTCCTAGATAGATAAGAATTCTCCTTTTTTTTTACTTTGTTCTAGAAAACAGAACGAAAATAGGTCAGTTTTTAAGGAAATGATGGCTGCATATATAAATAATATAAACACTCCTATCACTGTCCTAGGAGGACATTTATCATGTAGACAGCCATAGATACCCAGATCTGGCCTCCCACTTACAGCTCTCAACTTTTTAATTGTCAATTGGAAACTTGATTATTATCAGTTAAAAATAACCAGGGTACTCTGGCAATGATTTAACTTGTTTGACTTTCTTAAGCTAACAATTAACATTTTAGACAATTGTTGACAAAATATTTAACTCTCCCATGCATTTGTGTAAACAACTTTTCTAATATGCCTTAGATGTTCTGGGGGACACATCTTTCCAAAGCTTCCCAGGTCCATGCAGAGGCCTGTAAAGTAGATGCATTCAAAGACTCCAAAGACTTTCATAGCATTGCACTAGGATTTCCTGGGACCTTCAGGAACACTTAAGTATACGGATACGTCAGTCTTATCTTGACAGCAGTAAATTTGAAATGCCAATCCCTCTATTTACAATAAGTGCTATTTCATCATTTAAAACCGACAACTGAAAGCTGAGTATACATTTAACTCCTAGAAGAACCAGTATTATCATTCATTGTTTAGAAGTTTATTACTACTAACACTAGTATTGCATTTTGGCAGTGCTTAATTTTTCCTAAAGCTTGTTCAGAAAAACACGCTCATTTGCTTCTCTCAACAAGCTGGGGCAGCATGATTGTCCTCTCTGTTCCACAGATGACTGCTAAGTGACTTGTCCTAGGTAACCCAGATGGTGATCCAGCAGGCACAAAACCAAGGGATGTAGGCTCCTTGTCTGATCTACTTTCTTTCCTCCACATGACATTAGAGAAAAGATAATCTCTGAAGCCAGAGATGACATGGAACCACTTATCTAGTGATCCTAGCAACACAATCTATGCAACAGAAAAAGAGCTTGTCTCAGGCAAAAGGGAAAGATTAATAATGTACCACAGAAGCTCTAAACCTTACTGTTCCATGGACCAGCAATTATTCAGTTTCACAGTTCATTCAAAGATTCAAACATACTTCACCAGAAAATGAGTTAGTGCCTAAAGTCTGCTCCAAGTGGTTAGAAATGCAGATCTGCTCAAAGCCCTATAATCCGGGCCCTCTGAAAGGCCCTGTTCCTGCAGACTCTGCAGCAGCGGGGCTTCCCCTGAACTTGTACTTGAGCTAAATGAAGAAACTGGCTGAGTAAGGGCTGTAGAATTAGGCTGTCAATGTGGACAGAATTAAAACTGGCTTGGAGGTTATTCTTGCATTGTTCTTGAAACTTAAGGCTATTGAAAGGATTCAGACATTATATATTCCTTGCTGTATAATACCCATGAAAGTCAACATTATCCCACCAAACAGAAGTTGTCCTTTCACCTTCATTCAACAAATATTACCCACTGTCTTCAAGGCATTGTACTAGAAGGTATGCAGGATACAAAGCTTTCATCTGAGGACACAGCACATCTTTGATTTTAGATGATCAATATTCTCTCCCTTTCTCCAAAGGACATTTATGGCCACTTATGGCATACGAATTAACTATTAAAGTTATACATTCAACACACCTAAGTCACATAAATCTGGTTATGGACACAGTAGCAATAAAATTAAGAAAAAATTCTGACACTCACCCTGAACAAAGGCCCTTTTAAAATTAATAGCATATCTGAAAAATAAGAGGAGCCCGAGTAAAGTGAGACCTGCCAATGTAATGGGCTTGGTGAATCACTTCAAAATGCCCAGGCCTCCCTTTGGACACAATGTTATCAGGTTAATACAGCACTTGCATCACCATCTCTGAGTACCGTGCTGAGTAACAACGGGCCAAATTTAGCAGCTAAAATGGAGAGGGAATTTCCAACAACCCGTGCAATGCCACATATTCTCAGTGAAAAGCAACTACTAGAAATATACTATCCCTTACCCTCCTAACTTAAACTGTGCCTCTCTGCATCATCACTACACCTGGAGAGGGAGCTCCTCTAAGGGAATGTCTCAGGAGATGGCTGGTGGTTAGAAGAGAGAAAGATTCCCTCTTAGGCCAGAGGTAGCACAGCAGCCAGCTATGGCTTCTGCAGCAGTAAGCTTTCAGTCGGGAAGGGCCAGACACCGCTCCCTCACTTCCCTCCCAGCATGGGTATTGCTACTGTAAAGTTACCACGACCACTAAAGTTGGTTTCATTTCCCATCATGAAACACCCTAGAAAAAAAAGGCTGTCTCAGCTTACTGCCAAGTTGGACAAAAGCAGAAGCTCAAAGAACAAGGCCAGAGGCAAACATGCCACCTTTCCTTCAGAGGCTGGGCTGTGAAGGCCACAAGGGAAGCCCACTGTGGCTCTTCACGGCCCCGCTCCGGCCTTGACACCCCGGGCAGAGATCAGTCTTCTCCACTCAGGGTTGGGCCGGGTGCCTCACTTGCGGTTCCATCCCCAGAAACACTTACCAGGAGACTGTGAAGCACACAAAGCCGCATTATTGGGAGACTTGCAGACAGATTATAAATTTACTGGGGACAATCAAGGCATTTAGATACTTTTGGCTACAGATGCTGGTGACACACACATACATACAAACCTCATTCTTCTCTCCATTTGAGCGATTCTTTACCCCCCTCCTTTACCCTAACATCTCTTTTTTCACAAAACAACCTCCCACTGCTTTCCTAGGGAATTCCAGGGAGAAGCGGGAATAGAGCAGGTGGTAGAAAAAGGATATTAGGCTTCGAAGCTCTAATACAACCCCACAAGCTAGTGCTGCTATTCAAGGGTAAAACTGTAAACCCTGTGCAGTTTAACTGTTGGTAGTTATTTTTCATCTGGAGCTGGCCTCAAGGAGTCCCATTCCTAGGTAGCCCAAGTAAATGTGCTTATGGCTGGGGAGAAAAGCACCATCCTACTCCCCAGAGATTCCCAGGGTCTTCGTCACCATGGACCCAGGCCAGGGATTAAGGGAAGCCAGAAAGAGCCATCCTGAGCGTCTGGCCAGAGGATGTCCTCTCCCGAGAGCTCAATATCAAGCTCCTTTGGAGGAGCAGTTAGACACAATAGCACCATCTCCTTTGGGCTTTTTGAGTACTTTGGGGCTTGCATGGCCATTTCCTGTCGCTTTTGCTAGGGCTGACCTGGGTAAACTGGAGCAGACATAGAATCCAGAAGTCCCATGGAGCTCCAAAAGGGAGGAAGCCTGCAGGGCCACAGGGCAGGGTTCTACCTTCCACCAGAGGCCACTGGTCCAGCAGCTTTGGGGGGAAGCCTGCAAACAGCAGGCAGTCACCTGACCAGGACTGGCACTGAGAATCAATGATCCAAGGGATACTCCTCTGGGATGGTGTGTGTCTGTGCCTCTGGGGAAGAACTTCCAGCCAGAAACTTAATCAGAACTTTTGGGTTTGATATCCTATCACCAGGAGTGGCTGAAGACAAGGTATTTCCTAGGATGATGATCTGTGTAAATAGCTGCTTCGTGCCTGTCTGCTTAACGAATGCTCTAAGGGAGCATTACTGGATTGGACTGGAGTGCTTGGGAAAATAATCGAGATGTGGCTCAGGAGTGAGAGAGTCTAGAGGGAATCAGAGAGTAGGCCTCTTAAGAAACAGTGCCTCCCTAGTCTCTCTTTGGGATATTTTCCCCAAATTTTGTTTTTGACTGAGGGGACATTCGGGGAATTTGCTATTTGTTACAGCTTACCATTTATGTTCTCTTAAGCGAAGAAGAAGGGGGTCACTTCAAAAGGGAGAGGGGAAATGGGGCAAGGAGAAAAAGGCTTTAATAAAGGCCAGCTGGGCTGATAAATGCTTTGGGGCTGAAAAATGGCTTGGGGGCCTAATCAGAGCTGGCTGGCCAAAGCTGGAGGATCCATGAGATAGAACCTTCCTCAGTGGCTCAGATCTTGCCAGCTGGTAGCCTCTTCTTTTATAAGATGTGGACCCCAGAGAGCCTCTGGAAAACTCAGGCTTCTTATCAGTTAAGGAATATCCTATAAGCGAAGGAAAACCCAGGAGTGAGCACCAACAGAACATGATGAGTAGGCGCATGAAACCACCCGAACACACCCAATGGCCTTTAAGGTAGTCAGGTGACATCTTGGCCTTTTTCATTGCCATCCACTCTACCTTAGGCCAAAGCAAACTCTACCCTCACAAAAGGTCACAGGACCACAGCCAGAACCATGAGAAAGCCAGGTGCTTACCGCAATCAGGGCTGAGTTCCTCTGGTCCCCTGGGGTTGAAGCGGGCGGCTGCTGCTCTCCGTTTATCCCACCACTGCCACCATTATTGCTACTGTTCAGCAGGTGCTGCTGGTGGTGATGGTGATAGTCTGGTGGGGGCGGTGGGGCTGCTGTTGCTGCTGCTTGGGAGGCCGCAGGAGGGGCAGCAGGGGGCGGTGGAGGGGCTGTAGTGGTGGCAGCAGTGGCGGTGGCCTTGGTGTGTTTGCCAGCTTTCCTTGCCCCCTGGCCATGCTGTACAAGGCTCAGGAGCTGCAAGGTGCTTTCTCTTTCCCGGTCTGAGCTCTCGGCCCTACCTCGTTCATATCGTCCTTCACAGCTCAGGTGGTGTTGGCGGCAGACAGCGATCCGAGCCCGGAGGCGCTCCACGATAGCACTGTGCACTCTCGGGGTGACTGAGCCCCCTCCAAGGAGCCCCGCCCCAGAGGCCCCCCCTAGCCCTCCTGCGGGGGCCTGCGGGGGCGCTGTGTCCCCCATCTTACCGGACACAATGATTGCTGCCTCTGGGATGGTGAGGTGGAAAGAGGCTACTGCTGGCTATTGCAGGCAAGTCTGTTTTTGACAATGTGAGCTCAGTGTTCAGGGCCACATGAATAGAGGTCTTCAGAGGTTGTGGGGGAGCCGTGGAGAAGTTGTGGGGGAGGGGAGTTAGTAAAAAGAGGGTGGGGAGAAAGAATAGAAACCAACTGGGGGGAGGATAAGTTGGAAACAAACCCTGATTAACTTACTCTAATTGCATTTGACAGCTCTGGAGAAGTTGGACAGAGTTGGTGGATTTTTTTTCCTCCACCAAGCTGACAAGAGCCACTAGGTACTTTGTAAACACACGATCTGGGGGTTAGATCAAGAATTCAGGGATTGTCCAGCAAGAGACAGAAACACACAGCAAAAGGTATTGAGAGAGGTATTAATAGAGAGGACTCCCCCTCACCTAGTTGTTTCCGACAATTCTTTATGGGGATGTTTCTGCAGAGAAACACATTTCTACCATGTCTATGTAACCAGCAGCCTTGACTTTTCCTCAGGTTAAATAAAAAACCAAAACAAAACAAAACAGTGCTGTTTCAGAAGATGTTTAAGTCACTGTTCAAAATGTGCAAAAATCAAGGGAGACTGTCTTTTGGCTTTTAATTTTTCCTCCCTTTCCTTTCGCTCCGGTGTTTTCTCCTCTTTGGGGTACTGTAGGATGTTGTCTTCTCCCAAAAGAGGGAGACAGCTTTTCAACTGTTAACAATGTCAGTAATTGGACTTTTGGACCATGCTTTTTTCTTCAGCTAATCCAATCACCGGTAAAATCCTCACTCCCTCTAAGGTTTCCTAGCCTTAAATGAAAAGCAATCTTAAGTCGCTAGCCACTGAGAGAGATCCTTCAACACATTTTTTTCTTTCCCGCTTACGTTTCTATTCCTCACCCCCGGCTCTATTCTAATACAGTATCAAGAGAGACAAACTCTTCCGAGAGTAATTTACAAACGATGGTCAAACTTACAAACTTCCAGCAAATTGCACCGAGTCATGTCCAGCCACTTTTCTGTCCACTTTTGTACATTCCATCCCCGGCCAGTGGATCTGAGGGTCTGGACTCGCAATAAGCAATCTGGTTCTATCTCCTGTATTTGCTCCGCTTTATAGATGGAAAAAAAAAGTAGCTTGTATTTTCCTTTCTCTTTCTCGTCTGTTGTTAGCCGCTTTGCTGACACTGGCTCGCGCCCGGAGTCACGGCGATACACAGGCTTTCATTGTGCTCCGATAGGAGAGGGAGAGAAAGAGAGAGAGTGAGACAGAGAAGGAGAAAGAGAGAGCCAGCAAGCTGCAGATGGGGGTGGGGGGGCGGGGAGAGGGCGGGAGAGCTCGTTCGAGGCTCCCTGGTGGAAGGCTGGTGCCACTGCGCGAGTGAGTAATCGCAGCCAGGCACCGGGGAAAGGGGAACGCAGAGGGCCTCCCAGTGGCTGAAGAGGTAAATCCCAAGCCCTGCGCATCTCAGCTGCCCTGGCTCAGCTCAGCATCAGACTCGGTTAAGCGGGGAAGGCTGGGGAAATTCCCCAACCTCTACACAACCATTTCACCAGCTCTAAATGTTTAAGAAATTCCGGGCCAGGAATGTGTTTTCCCTTTCAGCCCTACATTACGCCCCGCTGAGGATATCATTTTCATTTTTCAGTATATTGTAAATGACACCACTGAGCAACCTAGCACGAGCTGTGTGAGCACCGAGGAAATGTTCATTAATAGAATAAGGAAGATATGAATGTGTGTGTTGAGGGCGGAAGGGGTTGCGCGTGGAGAGGAGAGGTAATCACATTGTTAGCTCCTAAAGGGCAGGCAGGTGTAGCGTTTGTCTACCTGCCTGCCCATTTGTGTGTCTCTGGATAAGTGAGTCTGGGTGATCACAGGCAAATCAGTTGGGATAAATAAAATATTTTATGAGAATGATACAATTATCGATACCAGTTCTAGAAAAAAACGCTTTTTTTTTGGGAATGCATGATTGCCTATGAAAAACCAAATATAAGACCTGAAGTATCCTTAGCTACCTGGTGCACATATACAATGAGGAAAGTCAATGTGTAGCAGCTGAGTTTCAAAAAGTTTTTTTTTTTTTTTTCTTTTAATGGAGTCTTGTTATGTTGCCCAGGCTGGAGTTGAACTCCTGGGCTCAAGTGATCCTCCCACTTGAGCCTCCTGAGTAGCTGGAACTACAGGTACTCACCACTACTGCACCTGGCTCTGAGTTTCAAGAAGTTTAATAATAGAAACCAAATAGATCTCACACAGATCATTGTTCCCCCATTTTCAAGTGATCCAACCTTTAAAATATCCAATCCTGGCCAGGCACAGTGGCTCACGCCTGTAATCCCAGCACTTTGGGAGGCCAAGGCAGGTGTATTACCTGAGTTCAAGAGTTCAAGACCAGCCTGGCCAATATGGTGAAACCCCGTCTCTGCTAAAACTACAAAAATTAGCTGAGCATGGTGTCATACGCCTGTAATCCCAGCTACTCGGGAGGCTGAGACAGGATAATTGCTGGAACCCAGGAGGCGGAGGTCGCAGTGAGCTAAGATCACGCCACTGCGCTCCAACCTGGGCAACAGGGTGAGTCTCTGTCTCCAAAAAAAAAAAAAAAACTTATTGTGGATTCTGCTTATTTTCAATTATGAAGATTAAATTAAGGTGAGCATAATACTGCAACAGTCAGGACCAAAAATATTCTGGGTATCCTAATTTGGAAGTCATTTGGATTTGAGGTCTCAAATAATATACCTTCAGTAATCTAAACAAACTCTGGCATTTCACGAATATGGTCGTTTCAAACTGAGCTATGGATAGAAATAGGCAAAATCAAGGCAAACATCTCAATACTGGATTTATTTGCAATTTAGTTCCCTATAGGATAGCCTACTTTAGTCCATTTTATTTTCACCAATCCTGTTAGCTTGGAAATGGGGACAAATACACTCAGATTTTTTGTTTGTTTTATAATTTCTTTTATTTCTTTTTTTAAATTTTATTATTATTATACTTTAAGTTTTAGGGTACATGTTCACAACGTGCAGGTTTGTTACATATGTATACATGTGCCATGCTGGTGTGCTGCACCCATGAACTCGTTATTTAGCATTAGGCATATCTCCTAATGCTATCTCTCCCCCCTCACCCCACCCCACAACAGTCCCCAGAGTGTGATGTTCCCCTTCCTGTGTCCATGTGATCTCATTGTTCAATTCCCACCTATGAGTGAGAACATGCGGTGTTTGTTTCTTCGTCCTTGTGATAGTTTGCTGAGAATGATGGTTTCCAGCTTCATCCATGTCCCTACAAAGGACATGAACTCATCAATTTTTATGGCTGCATAGTATTCCATGGTGTATATGTGCCACATTTTCTTAATCCAGTCTATCATTGTTGGACATTTGGGTTGGTTCCAAGTCTTTACTATTGTGAATAGTGCCGCAATAAACGTACCAGTGCATGTGTCTCTATAGCAGCATAATTTATAGTCCTTTGGGTATATACCCAGTAATGGGATGGCTGGGTCAAATGGTATTTCTAGTTCTAGATCCCTGAGGAATCGCCACACTGACTTCCACAATGGTTAAACTAGTTTACAGTCCCACCAACAGTGTAAAAGTGTTCCTATTTCTCCACATCCTCTCCAGCACCTGTTGTTTCCTGACTTTTTAATGATTGCCATTCTAACTGGTGTGAGATGGTATCTCATAGTGGTTTTGATTTGCGTTTCTCTGATGGCCAATGACGATGAGCATTTTTTCATGTGCTTTTTGGCTGCATAAATGTCTTCTTTCGAGAAGTGTCTGTTCATATCCTTTGCCCACTTTTTATGGGGTTATTTGTTTTTTTCTTGTAAATTTGTTTGAGTTCATTTAGATTCTGGATATTAGCCCTTTGTCAGATGGGTAGGTTGCAAAAATTTTCTCCCATTCTGTAGGTTGCCTGTTCACTGTGATGGTAGTTTCTTTTGCTGTGCAGAAGCTCTTTAGTTTAATTAGATCCCATTTGTCAATTTTGGCTTTTGTTGCCATTGCTTTTGGTGTTTTAGACATGAAGTCCTTGCCCACACCTATGTCTTGAATGTTATTGCCTAGGTTTTCTTCTAGGGTTTTTATGGTTTTAGGTCTAACACATAAGTCTTTAATCCATCTTGAATTAATTTTTGTATAAGGTGTAAGGAAGGGATCCAGTTTCAGCTTTCTACATATGGCTAGCCAGTTTTCCTGGCACCATTTATTAAATAGGGAATCCTTTCCCCATTGCTTGTTTTTCTCAGGTTTGTCAAAGATCAGATAGTTGTAGATATGCGGCATTATTTCTGAGGGCTCTGTTCAGTTCCATTGGTCTATATCTCTGCTTTGGTACCAGTACCATGCTGTTTTGGTTACTGTAGCCTTGTAGTATAGTTTGAAGTCAGGTAGCATGATGCCTCCAGCTTTGTTCTTTTGGCTTAGGATTGACTTGGCAATGCGGGCTCTTTTTTGGTTCCACATGAACTTTAAAGTAGTTTTTTCCAATTCTGTGAAGAAAGTCGTTGGTAGCTTGATGGGGATGGCATTGAATCTATAAATTACGTTGGGCAATATGGCCATTTTCACGATATTGATTCTTCCTACCCATGAGCATGGAATGTTCTTCCATTTCTTTGTATCCTCTTTTATTTCATTGAGCAGTGGTTTGTAGTTCTCCTTGAAGAGGTCCTTCAGGTCCCTTGTAAGTTGGATTCCTAGGTATTTTATTCTCTTTGAAGCAATTGTGAATGGGAGTTCACTCATGATTTGGCTCTCTGTTTGTCTGTTATTGGTGTATAAGAATGCTTGTGATTTTTGCACATTGATTTTGTATCCTGAGACTTTGCTGAAGTTGCTTATCAGCTTAAGGAGATTTTGGGCTGAGATGATGGGGTTTTCTAGACATACAATCATGTCATCTGCAAACAGGGACAATTTGACTTCCTCTTTTCCTAATTGAATACCCTTTATTTCCTTCTCCTGCCTGATTGCCCTGGTCAGAACTTCCAACACCATGTTGAATAGGAGTGGTGAGAGAGGGCATCCCTGTCTTGTGCCAGTTTTCAAAGGGAATGCTTCCAGTTTTTGTCCATTCAGTATGATATTGGCTGTGGGTTTGTCATAGATAGCTCTTATTATTTTGAGATACGTCCAATCAATACCTAATTTATTGAGAGTTTTTAGCATGAAGGGTTGTTGAATTTTGTCAAAGGCCTTTTCTGCATCTATTGAGATAATCATGTGGTTTTTGACTTTGGTTCTGTTGATGTGCTGGATTGTGTTTATTGATTTTCATATGTTGAACCAGCCTTGCATCCCAGGGATGAAGCCTACTTGATCATGGTAGATAAGCTTTTTGATGTGCTGCTGGATTCGGTTTGCCAGTATTTTATTGAGGATTTTTGCATCAATGTTCATCAAGGATATTGGTCTAAAATTCTCTTTTTTTGTTATGTCTCTGCCAGGCTTTGGTATCAGGATGATGGTGGCCTCATAAAATGAGTTAGGGAAGATTCCCTCTTTTTCTGTTGATTGGAATAGTTTCAGAAGGAATGGTACCAGCTCCTCCTTGTACCTGTGGTAGAATTCGGCTGTGAATCCATCTGGTCCTGGACTTTTTTTGGTTGGTAAGCTATTAATTATTGCCTCAATTTTTTTTTTTTTTAAGACCTAGTCTCGCTCTGTCACCCAGGCTGGAGTGCAGTGGCACGATCTCAGCTCACTGCAACCTCCACCTCCCAGGTTCAAGTGATTCTCCTGCCTCACCATCCTGAATAGCTGGGATTACAGGCGCACGCCACCCCGCCCAACTAATTTTTTGTAGTTTTAGTAGAGACGGAGTTTGACTGTGTTAGCCAGGACGGTCTCAATCTCCTGACCTTGTGATCCGCCCGCCCCAGCCTCACAAAGTGCTGAGATCACAGGCATGAGCCACTGCGCCCAGCCTTCATTGGAACATACTTCTATCTCTATCTGTTCCTTCCAAGGCTAAGTTCCTCACTACTCATGAGAAAAGCAGAAATATATATTTGTTAGATAAACAGAATTTGAATGGAGAACTGTCATGAGGTGTCATTAAAGAGGACAAAAATAGAAAACTTTTATTTTTAAAAGTTTAGTTTTAAAAAGTTGTCTTCATCAGACAATATCTTCTTTGTACTACTGTGGATATTTTACATTCAGCATAAAAGAAACATGTAATATTTAAACTGAAACCATTCCATTCACTCTGTAGCCCTTCAGTAACATGGAATTTGATTCATAACATGCAGTCCTTAGTCAAATCAGCTATTACTAAATGATGTAAACTTTAACTACTCTGCTAGACATAGACATATCTTAAATTGTGAAGCAGGAATTTAATATTCATACTATATTCCAGTGGTATAGGACACTTCTTTGGAGTGTCTTTTTTTTTTACACATTTACCCTTAAATAGACATTTAATTTCAAGTTGACATCATCATCAACATCTTCATTTCTGTTTCCATCGGTTGCAATTAAAAAATTACTGTTATGCCACAGCACTTCTCAAATATTATCCCTCTTAATCCACAAACAATCCTGAGAGATACTATAACTCCATTTATAAATGAGAAAAACTAAGGCTCATGAAAATTAAAGTACTGGTTCTTGTTCATATAACTAGGAAGTCAATAGACCAGAATTCTAATTCAAGACTGACTTCATGGTGTAAGGAAGGTGTCCAGTTTCAATTTTCTGCATATGGCTAGCCAATTCTCCCAGCATAATTTATTTTGTAGGGAATCCTTCCTCACTTGGGTGTTTTTGTCAGGTTTGTTGAAGATCAGATGGTTGTAGGTGGGTGGTCATATTTCTGAGTTCTCTATTCTGTTCGATTGGTCTATGTGTCTGTTCTTGTACCAGTACCATGCTGTTTTGGTTACTGTAGCCTTGTAGTATAGTTTGAAGTTGGGTAGCATGAGGCCTCCAGCCTTTTTCTTTTTGCTCAGGATTGTCTTGGCTATTCAGGCTCTTTTTTGGTTCCATATGAATTTTGAAATAGTTTTTTCTAATTCTGTGAAGAATGTTAATGGTAGTTTAATGGGAATAGCATTGAATCTATAAATTACTTTGGGCAGTATGGCCATTTTCACGATATTGATTCTTCCTATCCATGAGCATGGATTCCATTTGTGTCCTCTCTGATTTCTTTGAGCAGTAGTTTGTAGTCCTCCTTGAAGAGGTCCTTCACTTCCTTTGTTAGCTGTATTCCTAGGTATTTTATTCTTTTTGTAGCAATTGTGAATGGGAGTTCATTCATGATTTGGCTCTCTGCTTGCCTGTTGTTGGTATATAGGAATGCTAGCAATCTTTGCACGTTGATTTTGTATTCTGAGACTTTGCTTAAGTTGCTTATCAGCTTAAGAAGCTTTTGGGCTGAGACAATGGGGTTTTCTAGACATAGAATCATGTCATCTGCAAACAAAGATAATTTGACTTCCTTTCTTCCTATTTGAATACTCTTTATTTCCTTCTCTTGCCTGATTGCCCTGGCCAGAACTTCCAACACTATATTGAACAGAAGTGGTGAACTCTAGATGGATTAAAGACTTAAATGTAAAATCCCAAACTATAAAAACCCTAGAAGAAAATCTAGGCAATACCATTCAGGACATAGGCACGGGCAAAGATTTCATGATGAAAACACCAAAAGCAATTGCAAAAAAGCAAAACTTGACAAATGGGATCTGATTAACTAAAAAGCTTCTGCATAGCAAAAGAAACTGTCATCAGAGTAAGCAGACAACCTACACAATGAGAAAAAATTTTTGCAATCTATCCATCTGACAAAGGTCTAATAGCCAGAGTCTACAAGGAACTTAAACAAATTTAAAAGAATAAAACAAACCCCATTAAAAAGTGGGCAAAGGACATGAACAGACAGCCCTCAAAAGTAGACATTTATGCAGCCAACAAACATACGAAAAAAGCTCAACATCACTGATCATTAGAGAAATGCAAATCCAGACCACAATGAGATACCATCTCATGCCAGTCAGAAGGGCTATTAGGTAAAAGTAAAAAAACAAACAAAAACACAAAACAAAAACAACAGATGCTGGCAAGGTGGTGGAGAAAAAAGGCATGCTTTTACACTGTTGGTGTAAATTAGTTCAATCATTGTGGAAGACAGTGTGGTGATTCCTCAAAGACCTAGAGGCAGAAATACCATTTGACCCAGCAATCCCATAACTGCGTATATACCCAAAGGAATATAAATCATTCTATTATAAAGATATGTGCACATGTATGTTCACTGCAGCACTATTCACAATAGCAAAAACACAGAATCGACCTAAATGCCCATCAATGATAGAGTGGATAAAGAAAATGTGGTACATAAACACCAGGGAATACTATGCAGTCATAAAAAGAAATGAGATCATGGCCTTTGCAGGGACATGGACGGAGTTGGAAGCCATTTTCCTCAGCAGACTAATGCAGGAATAGAAAACCAAACATCGCACCGTCTCACTTGTAAGTGGGAGCTGAATGATGAGAACATATGGACACATGGTGGGGAACAACACACACTGGAGCCTGTTGGTGGTTGGGTTGGGGGATGGGGAGCATCAGGAAGAATAGCTAATGGATGCTGGGCTTAAAACCTAGGTGATGGGATGATCTGTGCAGCAAACCACCATGGCACACATTTACCTATGTAACAAGCCTACACATCCTACACATGTATCCCGGAAGTTAAAATAAAAGTTGAAGAAAAAAGACTGACTTCCACCTTAATCACTAGTCTGGCTGCCTCAATAGCAAGTATGAAAGGAGTTATGGGGGAGCCAAACTATCTCCAAAGTAGCTCAAAGCTGCTCAAAGGCTGCAGTC
Source organism: Homo sapiens (assembly GCF_000001405.40). Taxonomy (NCBI): domain Eukaryota; kingdom Metazoa; phylum Chordata; class Mammalia; order Primates; family Hominidae; genus Homo; species Homo sapiens. The sequence continues at coordinate 96,350,802 of NC_000011.10, forward strand.
TATCCCTCAGTGAACACTCTGGAATCTAAGTAAGTCCTATAATACCTCCTGGGAATGAGTACTATATAGATCTACTCATCTGAATATGAGCAGACAAGTCAGGAAATGTGGCCAATTGCATCCAACTGCCTGTACAATAAACATTTATTTTCCCTTGTTTTTTCCTGTCTTATGGTTTTGTTCCCTCTCTTCATAACCCTAAAGCTTCTGTATAGCCCTGTGATTTCTTTCTAGAATTACTTTCCTTTTACTTGTCCATTTCTGTCTTCCTCATCATCTCTGCTATCAATAGCTACCTAACACTAAAGCACCTAACACTGTAGTAATAAATGACCAAATCTAAAAAATTTACAGTCATGTGAAATGATATGTGAAATAAATGAGCTTAAAAACTATTTTTGTAATTAGCTGGGCATGGTGGTGCACACCTGTAGTCCCAGCTACTTGGGACGCTGAAGCAGGGGAATCGGTTGACCTTGGGAGGTGGAGGTTGCAGTGAGTGAGATCGCCCCACTGCACTACAGCCTGGCAACAGAGCGAGACTCCATCTCAAAAAAACAAAAACAAAAACAAAAAAAACCTGTTTTTGTGTTGTTATTGAATCAATGATATTGATGATGATGATGATAATGATAAAATAATATGTCCTAATACCTGTAAAGGTTAATTCTATTTCTCAACATTTCCATTTTCTTATGAACTACTTGCTTTTTGCCCCCTAATACATGTTAATTCTCACTTCCTAACAGCCTTTTTGCCATTCTTTTAATGTTACCACGACCTTAGAGCCTCTTGTATTCTCCAAATTCCTACAAAGTAGCATGCTTGGTTGCAATGACCTTAGACATCAAACTACCTATAAGCATTTTATGATCAACAGGCAGCTGTTCCAATAGGAAAAGTGCTTCAAGCCAACAAGATGGTTGATCCAGATAAGTCCTTGGAATTATTAGTGCCTTAATTTACAAATTAACTGCATGCTGTTAAAAGTAAGAGATATATTTTAAGATTACTCTTCAGCCATCTCAAGCTTGTCTGTAATGTCCCATATGAGAACTGATGCTTCTAGGTAATTGGAGATACTTTAGAGATCCTTTTTTTTTTTTCATTTCTTCTGGCCTTCCTTTTTATAAATCATTTGTGATCCTTTACCCTTCCTCCTTGACTGTCACTTCTAACTCTGCCTTGCTTTTTTTGTGGACACTGTCCCTTCATCTTCACCTTTCAATTACGACTTTATTTTTATTCCTTGGAATTTAGTTAAGAATTATTTTGCAATATGCCAGGGAAATATGAATAAGTATACAGATATGTAGGGCAGACACAGTGGCTCATGCTTGTAATCACAGGACTTTGAGAAGCCAAGGTGGGTGGATCACCTGAAGTCAGGAGTTCAAGACCAGCGTGGCCAACATGGTGAAACCCCATCTCTACTAAAAAATGCAAAATTAGCCAGGTGTGGTGGCGCATGCCTGTAATCCCAGCCACTCAGGAGGTTGAGGTGGGTGAGTCGCTTGAACCCGGGAGGCGGAGGTTGCAGTGAGTAGAGATCATGCCATTGCACGCCAGCCTGGGTGACAAGAGCAAGACTCCATCTCAAATTAAAAAAAAATACAGATATGTGAAATTTCCATTTCACAATGTTTGAAAAAGGTATGCACTCCTCATTAAACATTAAACATCAGCATCAGTACTGTTACCACAATTGTGAGTTTTTTCCACCCCATTTGTTTACAATAATAATACGGATAATTTCAGGAAATGAATTGTAGAAAATATTAACTCATTTCCATATATGAGCTTAATGTAGCTTTTTATGGATACGTACACTACGGTCCATGCCATGAGTCGCATAATAGATGAATCCAAGTTCAACCAAGACTTCCATTAAGAAAAAATTATCTAAAGGATAGATCCTACTAGAATACCACTTTTAAGAATTAAAAATATAGAACACACAGGGTTCATTTGTTCACTCTGCAACCATTTTACTTTATTACTTTATGGGAAAATTTAGATATGCAAAGCAATGCAGATACCAAAATATGCTTTCCAAGTGTTTTTGGCTGAGTTTGTCTCTTTCAGCAGTTCTGACCCTAAGATACATACTTATATGGAAAAAGCTATGGATAAAAATAAATAAAATACATCTTAATCATCAATATATAGACAAAATTGAATAGAAAAAAGTAAGAACATTATAAAGCATGAAAATTTACATAAAATTATTCCTGAATGTGAGGGTTGAAAGACTCTAGAGGCCTGAAATCTATTTGAAAGAGAAACTTTCAAGAAAAGGAAAAAAGCATTCCTCTACTTAGAATAGATATGCTATGATCTGATTCTGAAGCAATGGGATTGAACTGAATGATATATGAGGTTTCTTCCATGGCCCACTGATTTAGATGATAGCAGTAAAAAATATATTAGTGAAAATCATTTAATACTGTAAAAGAATAAACAGATCTGGACAGGAATTCCGTAAAAATACATGTAGACGTTAGTCTAAATACATTTTTAAGATACAATATATTTTGACTAAACTGACAGGATATCAACAGCTCATTCACTTGACAGTCATCTGTTATAAAGCCATTATTATATAACTTTAAAATATATTTACAGACTTAAAAATTAAGATAATGCTTTTATGTACATCAGATAAAAGTTTAATTAGAGTGTAGAGTGCCACTTCACAGGAATTAAGATAATCATGTTTTAAACAAAATATTTTGCCATGAAGATATAGATAAAATGTACAAACATGTCACATGATACAGAAAAACAAGAATCATGATCTTCACATTTACAGGAATTTAAAAAATCTTCTCTGATGGAAATGTGTTACAACTCAAACTTCTCTTCTTGAAAGTAATCCGCAAAATTGAGATATTCTTCAAGTTGACCATATTTCTGCATATACAATAGAAAAGCTAGTTATTTTACTCAAAGCAATGAAGACAAACTGGGCCTTTGCAAACTACAGACACAATTAGGATAAGTCCATTTCATGGTAATCGTGAACAAAAATCTTTTTATGATAAACAGGAACTTAATTTCAAATAAGCATTCCTAACTCATATATAACTCATATATTTCCATATAGAAAGCATTGGAAAGTGATCAAAGTGAATATTATTAATTTTATAACTGTGTTTTAAATTATAATTTTTATATTATCATGATTACAGTAGAAATGTAGTAACCTCAATAACTTAATAAAAAGTTTGTTGAACATATATATCAAAGGCTCTGCTAATGACTGTCTAGGTACAGTGTTTTTTAAAAGATACTTTTCCTGCCCCTAAGGAGAATACAGTTCAGTAGTAATACACCAATAACAATCAGTAATAAGTGCCAAAGAGGTACAGACACTGTTATGAGGGTTCAGAAGATAGGTCATGGTTAGTTGAGGTAAGCAGTAAAGAGTGGCATTTAAGTTGTCCTGGAAAAACAGATTTGGTAGGCAAAGAGTTGGTGGCAAGACTTTTCAGTAAGAGGGAACAGTCCATCAAAGTGACGTGACAAGAAAATATGGGATTTGACTACAACCTGAGTATTTTTAGGAGAACAGAGAGAGCTAAGACTGAACCAAAGAGGCTGAGTTCAGAGAACAAAAATTATAAAATACTGGTTAAAGAATTGAACAATCATTTGACAGGTAATGGAAAGTTGCTAAAGGTTTTGGAGCAGGGGACTGAACTGATCTCAGGTGTATTTTAAGAAAATCGGTAAAACATTCATTCTAGAATAGTTCAGCAACTAGTTATGGGTCTGTGATAACAATTTAGGTCATGAGGGCCCAAATCTGAGTCATGGCAATGAAGATGAAGAGTAAAGAACAAAGTGTAACAAGTTAAGAGAGGGGTCAAGAATGATTTAGAGATTTCAAAGTTGACAGAGTAGAATAATGGCAGGCTCTTTTGCAGGTTGTTTGTGCGAGGGAAAGATATCATGATTTCAGTTTCAGACATATAGAGTTCAAAGTATTTATTTCAGTGAGGGGATTAATGACATACTAGTTTCTTGACTCTGTTTATGAACTGTGTTTTAATCTTCAGTGAAATGAGAGAGGATCCTGGTGACCCTGACTTTTGTGGTGATAGGGACCTACAGAAGGGAATGTTGAGAAGTGCATTTTCCTTCTACACCTTGAAGGCCATGAAACTCTTTTTTATAACCGTATGATATCTGACTGGATCTCCTTCTCAGGAAAGATGGAAACACATAACAGAAGGGGAAATAGCCTAGGGACTACTTAGGAATTTTCTTTGGCCTAGTACTTAGATAGGTTTTATTAGATATAAGTAAAGTACTCTAGGATTAGAAACCTATACTTTAAAAGTTTGACTTTTTATGTTTCTCATATTACCTTTCCTCATATTCCTTTATTATTTATTAAATTTCTTTTGGAAAATTAAAAATTAAAAAAATTATTTTAAGAGACAGGGTCTCACTATCTTGCTCAGGCTGGCCTTGAACTCCTGGGCTCAGGCGATTCTACCACCTCAGCCTCCCAAGTAGCTGTGACTACAGCTGTGCACCACCACACACAGCTAGGACAATTAAAATCTATCTCAGCTATACTAAGATAGGAGGTTACTTGCTTTTATTGCAAGTAACAGCTAAGATTAATCAATCACTTACTAATTGCTAGGTCCTATACTAAATGCTTAAAACGTATTACATATCTAATCTCCACAATCAAAACCCTAATTATTATTACTGTTTTTGTTCCTACTTTACAGATGAGAAAACTTAGGCTAAGAGAAATAAAATAGCTTGCTCCCAAATTCTACTGCTAGTAAGTGGCAAAGCAAATACTTAAGCTTATACTTTTAACCAGTTTAGAGTATGCTGTTTCTGAGATTTAAATGGTGTGGCTAGGATGCAGCTTTGGCAAGAAAAAAAAAACTTGGAAAGTGAAACTCACAGACATTGCAGTTAGTATTACTCTGCCATCCTCTCTACCTAAAGATACTGCTCTCATAATTCTTTACTAAACATTTGGAGGGTTTTAATAGTGAAGACTACTTATTTTAATAGTGAAGACTACTCTCTTACAACACCTGATGGACCTACTGATGAAAACAGTTGGAATTGTGGAAATGAAGTGTGGGAAAGAGGTCAGAATATAAGAGAAGTTTGGAATCTTCTACTCAGAAGTAGTAGCTACAACTGCAGAAGGGAATTGATTCGCCAAGGCAACTTTGAGAGGATGAGGACAGAATTCAGTGTTAACGGGTACTTTTTAGCAGTGATCCTCAAACTTTTATCTATTTAAGAATCATCAATGCTAAAAATATTGGATGTTTAACATCCACAAGGATTGTCATTCAATAAATCTGGGATGAGGCTAGGGGATTATACACTTTTCAAAAACTTCTAGGTGATTCTGATATAGGTAGTTTAGGGCCATGCTTTGAGAAACATCAGTTTAAGGGGTGGGGAAAAAAGGGGCAAGGGAAAAAGTTGAAAAGGAGGGGAAAAAGAAGAGAAGCGTTTAAGGAAGGCAAGGGATATCTAATTATAATTTTAAATTATTATGTATATGACAATATTTATCAGTGCATTTAAAATTTACATACAACTGTCACTTGTAACAGTTTTACACACAGTATTTACAGTATGAATGGGCATCTGATACTTCTATTGACATGCTTTCTTTACTACCTGGTGTTTATGCATCCACCAGCCAATCCCAACAATACTATCTTCAACTTCCCAGGAAGTCCCATCATCATATACACTTTCTTCTTAATGAACAAATATTCGTTAGAATTTTGCCAGTGTCATATTAGAGTATGTTATTGAACTCTTCTTTAGAATAAGACATGCATTATTATGTTTATTAAATATTTTGGTTTTATTATAATTTTCCTATTATCTATTCTTTTCTTATACTCAAGTTGCTCCTACACCCCTTTAGTATCATTACATTAAAAACGGATCACCCTAGTTCAACCTTTAGAAGGAAGAACAAAAAGAATGAAGTCAGTCTAGTTGGCATGTCTTTGGGAAGACATGCTGAGACATCCTGAGATAATTAAAGTAAAATGGCTGAAGAAGCAGGTAAGGGAAAAAGTAAGGTGTGGAATACAAGCTGGAGGCAGAAAGACAGGAACAAATAGTACGTGTAAGGCAACAAAAGGGGTTGACATAAATGGGAAATATGAGCGGAAAGTGCCATGGAGACGGCATTCAAGTAACACTGAGCCCCAGGCATTCTAAAGGGTTAGAGTAACTGTGACTACCAGACTGTAGCTAAAGGCAGCACACATCACAAAGTACATGCAGTGCTATCACTCAAAGGCACACAGTGAGAGGGACAGACAGAGTGAGGATGGGAAATGTCAGAGCACGTGACAAATTTTGAAATTTCATTACAGCACAAAAAGCTGCAAATGGGTTTATATTGGCTATAAACCTCTGTGGTTTCTAGGAAATCTTTTGAGAAAACCTAGGAACAAATTTTTTAAGTGGAGAAATCTCAAAAAAATGAAGGTCTTTGGTATTTTCATGGGGAAAAAAATGTGTATACTGTCCTAGACATGCACAATCTTGAAATACCTTCAATGCCTAATGCTAAATGTTATTCTTTATGTATAACATGACACTTGGCTTTCTTGAAAAGAAAGCCTAAGCTCCTTTCTTTTCCTAAGAAAAGAATGCCAAGTGTTATGCATAAAGAATAACGTCTTTAAAATTCCAGGTCCCTTCTGGTGTCCTAAACCTTGTTAAGCTTTTTCTAGGATACATGATTTGGAAATGCTTTTTTCTTCAAGAAGTTTAAAGTTCTTCCCCATATATGATACTATTATATAACATATACAGTATATGCACAGTGATTTTTCTATACCTAGTATCTAATTCTTTATAACTGTGCTATCCCAATAGGTTTTGCAGTTCCACTAGAGGGTTGGCAACACTTAAAGGCATCAATAAAAGCACTTAAGAATTTAATGTTGTCTAGGAAAATGAAGACGGGAAGTTATTGAATAAGTGCTCTCTCCTAAAGCAAATGAAAAAGTACGGATAAGCAGGGAGAAGCATTTGGAGTAGGAGAAGTAGAAGCAAAGTAAAAGACAAAAAGCTGAAAAGAATAAAATGAGAGAAAGACTTAAGGATCAAGATGTGGGGGGCAGGCAAGATCACTGGGTGGTGGTTTGTGGTGGGAGAAAAATTGTCAAAGGGAAACCAGTGATGATGTCATTATCTAGACTGGGAGACCTCCACTAAATATGACATGTGCTAAAAAAGTTTCTGTTTTGTTTTCTTTCCATCTGCCTAAGCTCTCTTGCCTTATTTTTTATATTCCTCTTTTACAAATTTCCCTATGATATAGTCCAGGCAATGGATCTCAAGTTAGGCTTTTTTCTTTTCTTTAAAAGATTAAATGTTGATAAGAGTTGCCTGAAAATCTACTATTTGTTCTCTCTTATACATTCATGTAACTAGACTTGTTTTAGAAGACTGCAGTCGTATTAGCATTCTTTCCATATACCATAAACAATTCTAAAAGCTCTGTGAGCAGACCAGAGCTTGTAAGCTGCCAGCAGATCTTCGGGAATCCAGTGCACTCTTCAAAACCCCCACTTTACTCCTGTTATCAAATTTAGTGATCAATAGGATATGGGGGAATCAAAATCAGTGCTGTGGTCTGAAACCTCTGCATTCCCCTCGATCTTCAGTTACAGTGCTCACTGCTCAGTCCCATGTCCTCAAGAAGAGGATGTGGGTGTATTAGAACTGGCAGCCGAGATCCTTTCCTCAGACTGGCACCAGGTGCTTCTTCACTCTCAGGTCACAAGAACTGTTCTAAAGAATAGGAAGCAGACAAGCAGAGGTGAGTCCTATACTCTGTCAAAAAAAAAAAAAAAAATCAGGGGACTTAATATATATGTAAGCAATACATACATAAAAGCGAAAGGACAGAGGTCCTTCAATAAAGGACAGTGTTAATGCTTATTAAAATTTATCTGATGGGCTGAGTGAATCCTTAGAACATCAGGGCATCTATTCAGAAGGACAATGATAAGCATGAAAGGAATGAGCGGAAGAAGAGAAAATACAAACGACAGAAGAAAGAGATTCTCTTAAATTTCACTATCTTTTAATCATTTGTTTCCTTTTGCTGATCATAATTAGCCTTCAGAATCTACATGATAAGATTCTCATATATTCACCTTACCTCCTTAATCCAGCCATTTTCTTTTGACCGCCTGAAAATTCTTTCCACTGTTTCTTTAACTTGTTCATCTTCAACTTCTTCTGTCATTGCAATGGTGCAACATTCCTGGTATAGTTTGAATTTAAAATGTTTCAGTTTATGATAAATTCTGGTACGGCTGGCACAAATTCTGCCAACAGTGAACACCTAAATCAAGAAATAAAGATTGTTATCTGACAACGAATATATATCCTTTCTGGTTTTTGGATTTTCTTTAGTAGTAGAATCAAAATGCATTATTAACTTCCAGTGTTTACACAATGATTCCTTTACCTTCTCTTACTTATACAACTAGTCAAACACTGAGCACCTGTGAGGTTTCAAACATTGGGCTAGGCACTAGAGATATATAAATAAAATACCTATTACCGGTATTAGGGAGCTTACAGTTTTGAGAGAAAGACAAATGGTTACAAAACAACATGAAAAATGGTATGTCCAAGATGCTATGTCCAAAATGCTAGTGAAGAGGGGCACTTAGCCCAATCCAGATAGAACAAAAGTCCCCAAGCAAATCAAGCTTGAACTAAGTCTTGAAAACACAAGAGTTTGCCAAGTTCGGGGGAAAAAAGAGAAATGGCTTTAATGAAAGGCAGAAGGATGGGCAAAGTAAAAAAAAAAAAAAAAAAAAAAAGCATGAAAAGTATGATAAGTCCATATTTATGAAGTTAAAAATGACTGGATTATAATATTTTTCTAGCTATAAGCAACATGTAAAACTGAAACAAACTCTTACACCAAAATTAAGTATTGGCAGTTTTTTACTAGATACTTTTCTTTTCCCCCCCCAAAAAAAATGATCTAAAGTAAAAAAATAAATCTGTGTTTAGGCATACTGATTGCTTTACTTAAGGTGTTATATGTGAATAAGACATTAATATTTTGCTGTCAGCCAGCTATAAGAATTTTAATTCCTACGTTTATATGGACTTCTATAATTCTATGATTAAGAACTCTTTTTATGAAATCAAATAACCAGAACCTTTCTCTTTCAGAATGTTTTGAATGTTTAAAATTTGTTATACAAAACTACAGCTAAAATAGGAAGACAGTCTGACTGCACTGACCAAATTATTTATATATATTTAATATATATTAATATATATTAAATATAGATATTTAAAATATTTACATATTAAAATATTTATTTAAATATATATATATATATTTTTTTTGTTTTTTTTTTCCTGAGATGGAGTTTCGCTTTTTCACCCAGGCTGGAGTGCAGTGGTGCAAGCTTGGCTCACTGCAACCTCTACATTCCGGTTTCCCTGCCTCAGCCTCCCAAGTAGCTGGGATTACAGGTGCCTGTCACCACACGCAGCTAATTTTTTTTTTTTGTATTTTTAGTAGAGACGGGATTTCACCATGTTGGCCATGGTCTCGAACTCCTGACCTCGTGATCTGCCCACCTCGGCCTCCCAAAGTGCTGGGATTATAGGTGTGAGCCACCACGCCCAGCCAATATATTTTTACCTACATCATTTTACCCACTGTAGAAAATGCATCAGAAAGGGCTCCAAACATTATGATATGGTCAATCTTACTCTCATGGAGTAGTAACCTAAGGAAAGAGTAAACTTCCTGCTGACTTAAGTATTTGTGTCTGTACCTAAGTTCACTAATGGGTTATGCTTTCATGAGTACTAGTTTTAATATTTATCTATGCAACTTGTGTTCTGTCTGACAGAAAAATACACTTGTTTCCTGAGGCCACACTGCAAGGAAACATACAAGTGATGATAGACAAAGCAGGAGTATGTTTCCAAAAATGAATAGAAGTTATATCACAATGATTGGCAACAATCAGGTTTGATGTGTTTTCTTGTGAAAACTGTATTTTGGACATTTTGCAACCCTTCTTCAAATCTCCAAAAGTTTAAGAAAAGCATGTTCAGATTTTTGTTCATGGCTCCGTAAAAACCTTCCTGCTTTTCAGATCATTAGAAGTAAACAGGTATTATTGTACATGGCTTATTAAAATTAACTTTTCCAATTCAACCTTATCATCAAAGCAGTCCTGGTAGTAATGACATTTCAGCAATTCACTTGCTAATACTTCCAACTTTGTGTAAAAAGACAACACAAAAGTTGCCGTGACTATAAGGGTACCCTGTGTGTCTCCATTTCTGCCATCAAAGTAGACTGTGTGGGAGAACTCAGCTATAGCTGTTCTACATGAAGTATAGGCATACGATAAAGTGATTTGTATTTCTTTCACATTTATTCTGTATTTCCACAAAACAAGAGGAATTTATCTGTATAGCATTTTTAAGTTGAAACAAGAGGGAAGGAGAGGTGTTTAAAAATCCTAATTTTTTTTCCTGTATGAAAAACAAGTATCCTTTGAAAATATTTAACATTATGGTTTACTTCTTTCCATTTCTAATTCCTACCCCTCTTGGCATCTACTTATCATCATATAGATCTATAAATCAAAAATTACCTTAAAATGTTCTTGTATTTTTTCCCAAAATATGATCACATTTTATATGGAAGAACCTATATGGAAGGGCATCACTGCTGTAAAATTTCACAGAAAACAGTAGATGCAAAGGATAGGTGTAATACTCCAAGTGAACTTAACCCCTCACTCATTCCTGTTTTTAGTGTATTGTTACAGCCCATTGTATTTCTTTATCATATGAATTGAAGTATACAGTACAATACAGCTTACACTGTAGGAATCAATTTGTATAAAATACTAAAACAGGTAACATTAATCTCTGGTGTTAGAATGATTTCTTTAAATGTCCAGAAAAATATATTTAGAACAACTGTAATTATCTAGTTCAATTTCTGTACATTAAGGAAACTATTCTAACAAGAAAATTAGTATAAAAAATACCAGAGAAAAATAGGTGCTGTGGTGAGTGTTCACAAAGCAAATAAAGAAGATGACACATAAATGATGACTGGCCCACTATGCACGGTTAAGCACAGTTATCTGACCTGATAAATATGAGACTGAGTCAGTTCAGTTATCAGTATGAACCAAGTGATCGCACATATGTAAAAATTGGAAATGGAGCTAAAAATTGTCACTGAATTTTGCTAAAGCAGAAGAAAGAATCTCATTTCTAATTTAACAGCTATATCACATGGAGTGTAAATTAAATCTAGATAACAAACTGAGGCAAGGAAATATAATGAAACATGTACCAGGCAGACTTGGTAATATTTAGCTAACTGTAGGTAGCTTTTTGAAGTATTTCTCTAAGCTCTTATTTATAGGCAGAGGAGCCAGCTCCTTATGGAAGTTAAAGTATGAAGAACAAAGAAAAAGGATTCTCAAGGAAACAGTAAGTCTGGGGAAAAGTTTGTTTTCTGTTTCTGGGTCTTCAGAAACAGATAGTACAATACCAATCCAAAGGGTTCTATTTGCCCTTGTTTGGTTTTTTGTTTGTTTTTTGTACAGACATATTATACAATGCCATTTGCCTCAAAAATTATTGCTTCTTCCCACCAAATCCTAAGCATCTTAAGGAGTCTGGATAGACTCTGGGCAAAACTAAACATATATCCAAGATTGTTTTTAGTTCTCCCAAACTACCTTTCAGATTTCACAACTCTCTTTCATCCAGGTAATTTCCTTCTCATCTATGTCCTTAAACTTTATCACAATCTGGTGGTCCAAGGCCTCTCGTCTCAGTACCCTATCAATACTGCTGTAACCAAAATTACTCTTCCCCCACTGATTCCACTTTCCATCAAGGCATCCTTTCTTTCAAAGAAGCTAAAGAAAGGAGAAAAGTTTTCTTATGAAACAAATTTGCTGTTAAGTGAATTCCTTAAAAGTATTATTTGCACCCTCAAAAAGAACCCTAGTTAATGTCTCAATTTTATGTAACTGCAAGCAGCAACACAAAATAAAGAATTAGTCTTCAAAATAACTTGAAGATGGGTGTGGGGTTAAGCACAATTTCTTTTTCTTTTCTTTTTTTTTTTTTTGAGATGGAGTCTCGCTGTCGCCCAGGCTGGAGTGCAGTGGCGCGATCTCGGATCACTGCAGGCTCTGCCCGCCGGGGTTCACGCCATTCTCCTGCCTCGAGTAGCTGGGACTACAGGTGCCCGCCACCTCTCTCGGCTAATTTTTTGTATTTTTAGTAGAGACGGGGTTTCACGTGTTAGCCAGGATGGTCTCGATCTCCTGACCTCGTGATCCGCCTGCCTCGGCCTCCCAAAGTGCTGGGATTACAGGCGTGAGCCACCGTGCCCGGCCAAGCACAATCTTTTTAATGCTCTGGATCATAACTAGGTTTATTTTCTCTCCCTTTCTTTCCTTCTTTACATATATGCATTTACATTGTATTGAAGTAGGATGTAAGATAAATTTTTGTAAGTCATTCTTCACTTTAAAGAAAAAATTACTGAAAAAACAATTTCTCTTTAAAAAATTTAATCACACTCTCTTAACATACCCAATAACTAACTTAACGTTTACATATAGTTATATACGCATACACACATTTTTATATAGATGCCTAGACAGTGCAAATACTAATTGTTATCATACTTTCAAACTAGCATTATTTTTCAACTTCATGATTATACCATTTGCTCTTTACTGAACTGCTTTGCAAAAGATAAACTTATAGACATTGAGTATGTATATAGCTTTGTGACTCTAGCTCTAAAAATCTAGTATTTTTAAAAGATACGTATCACCCCTTTTTTCCTCTAGGAATCTTACTTTCCATGAACTTACTAGTTTCAGTGCAACCTTGATAGCATTGCATTTTATCATTTGATTTGAGAATACTTTGCCACTTTAAGAATTACCAACTGGCATCTTAAGGTAGTTTTAATTATATACCCTTACATGCAGAATAAGCATTTTCCCATATATTTGTTAACTTTTATAGTTTTCTCTTACGTGACTGGCAATATTGATGTTCTTTGCTTTTAGTTCATGCTTTCAGTTTATTGTTTTTTTAAATATTTGAATAACTATTTTATATAGAATCTTTACTGCTTCACAGGAATGTCAGAGCTCTAGAAGTGATTTTCTTACTCCACTTTCCTCTTCAGAATTAGCTATAGACAGCAAAGACCATGAAGGTACAGCAATGTATTTGATATACATAACAGAACATGGTCCCTAATGTACGAAATCACTTTTGCTAGGATTCCAGATATCTTATGTCATAAAAAGTCATAGATCAGTTTTTAAACAATGGGGAAATTTGCATATGACTATTAAATATACATATATATTCATATTTTTATAGTAACATATCAAACAAAACATTACAGACCAATTCTGAATTCATTATCCCCATAAAAACCTTCTAAGTCATTCTTGCAACCCAGATCTCTCAGAGGGATCTGGTCAACTACTGCTCGATAATACTGAGAAATCACTATCCAGTTTAATAGAAGAATTTAGATAAATATTATATTTCCATCTTAATAATTGACTGGGAGGATTCAGAGACAACTTTGGGTCTCTACCTCTCTAAATATACACCTCCTCCATGGATATGTAGACTTACCAGAAAAAGCGCTCAGTATTTCTTGCATTTATAAATATAATTTTCACATTTGTAAATGCAGCAATCTTATAAAGTAAGATTGAAAAAATAAATAGAAGTTGTCAGCATCTGTGCTTTTTATCATTTCACATTATACTGCTATGCTCTTGTCTAAAAAACACTTACTCTTCAGTTTTTTCTATTCATACAGAATTAATAGCATCTTAACTATGTGGTGATTGCTCTAGACTCTGACATACTTCTAACAGAGTCTAGTTGAAGCACAGTGTTTTTTGAATTCTCTCCTATTAGATGAACAGCTATCTTCCATTATTTACTTGTGGGTTGCCAATTTGGTGGATTATATGCTAAAAATGTTTCCACTTGGGTCAAATTTTCCTTAGGATACTTAGGATTATTTATGAAATAAAAATTTCTAAATACTGAAAATTAAGATTAGAGGGAAGAAAATACCTGTTTATCATGTGACATGAAATTATCTATTTGCATGGTCCTGGTGTTATACAACTCTCCTGATAAATGCACTGAATATTTACAGTAGCGATGCAGTCCACAAGCCTGGCAGGAACAGTTTTCAGGATTCTTCAAATGAATACTTACATTAGAATAATTTTCTACTCGCTCCTGAAAACAAAAAATATAAAAAAAAGTTTAAAAGATAAAGAATAAAAATAAAAGTAAGAATCTAACCAATTAAAACATCTTAGGGATTACAATACAAAGAGATATAAGAGCAAAACACCCTGGCATTTCTTACTTTAATACTGAGCACATAGTAGGTATTTTACAAGATATGTTTAAATAAAAAAATTTATAATCTTGGCTATTGCATGAAAATAAACCAGACTAGGAAAAAGCTAGTTTCATATCTCTTACACTTCTGCGGTTGCTACTTCTTTTCCATTTCTCATCTCTAGTTAGTGTTAATGAGGTATTAGTTAAAAATAGGAGCAGCAAAAATGTAGGATGATATAAGAAAAATAATTCCAAGTAGGCTAGTTAAAACTTGAGAAAAAAAATCACATTCACTTTCCATTATATGAATTATATATTTGCCACAAAAATATTCCAGAAATAATTCAATCCTCCTATGATAACTTACTACAGTCCTGGGGAAAAAACAAGTTGGCACTAGGACTGCCACGTGTCTGGTATTCATATGGACAGTTTAATAGCTCAGTTATCAATGAGTAAACAAACTGAGAAAACACTTGGCATTCATAAATAAGCTTCATTATTAAGCTATGAAGTTACTTGTGCCTGAGTATTTCTGCTTATGTTCTAGGCCTGTGCTAGATACTACTATTCTAATTGGTAGTGTAGATTAGGTTTTAATACAATATTTGAACTGCACACAGTGAGCATATTAGCATGGTTACTAAACCACATTCATATCTTCTACCAGACGGATGGTAATTAAGTATCCAATATACTGACAGTTTACTTTTTATATTATATGATTGAAAACTACATTTTCTGGTGGTCAACTTTTCATATTTCTCATACTTCATGGCACTTTATGACATGTATTACTTACAGGCTGAAATTCAGACTGAATAGATAACTAACCACCTTCCTTTCCTGCTTCTGCTATACCCCATGGAAGCACATGTTAAGATGAAACCTTTATCGACCTCTATCAGCTCAGTTCCCTGAGTGACTACAGTCAGCAGAGCACCCCTGATGACTAACACTGGATATATAAGTGAAAATAAACTTTGTTGGGTTAAGCCATTGGGATTTTATTGTTGGTTTATTTTGTTTGTTAGTTATATTCTTTATCTTTTGAAGCATAACCCAGCTTATCCTAATTAAGATCTTACTGAATCATCTGTGTCTCAGTTTTTCAGCTAATACTTTTTGGTATCTTACAGTTATTATCCCAACATCAGATTATCCAAATTCAGTATCACCCACCACAATATGGTAAAACCTAATATGGCATACAGGCATGGGTTTTGGAGTCTGAGACTCTGGGTTTAATACCAGCCTGTCTAATTATTAGCAGTGGAACCTTATGTTACTTTATTTTTCTGAGACAGTTTCCTCATCTCTAAAAGAGGGGAAATAATAGTGCCCTCCAGCTGGCCACAGTGGCGCGTGCCTGTAGCCCCAGAAACTCAGGAGGCTGAGGTGGGAGGATCTCGAGCCCAGAAGTTCAAGTTCAGCCTGGGCCACAGAACGAGACCCCTCTATTCCCTCCAAAAATAGTGTCTTCCTCATGGGGTTACTTTGAAGATAAAAAAAATTTTAGTTTACATGTAGATTACTTGGCTAAAGTTAAATAATCTATAAATACAGTACAGGTATACCTCAGAGAAACTGCAGATTTGGTTCCAGATCACCAAAATAAAGTAAATATATCAATAACGTGTCACACAAATTTTGTGGTTTCCTAGTACACATAAAAGTTATGTTTACACTGTACTGTAGTCTATTAAGCATGCAACAGAATTATGTCTAAAATGTATGTAATTTAAACTACATTTAATTAAAAAGTACTTTAGGTCTAAAAAATGCTAACAATCATCTGAACCTCCAGTGAATAGGCATCTTTTTGCTGATAGAGGGTCTTGCCTCAATAGGATGGCTACTGACTGATAAGGGGCTAGTTGCTGAAGGCTGGGGTAGCTGTGGCAATTTCTTAAAACAAGACAATAAAGTTTGTTGCATCCATTCTTAAGACAACAATAAAGTTTGTTGCATCCACTGACTCTTCCTTTCATGAAAGATTTCTCTGTAGCATGCAATGCTGTTTGATTGTATATTTGATTGTATGTTATACAGAATAGAACTTATTTCAAAATTGGAGTCAATCCTCTCAAACCCTGACACTGCTTTAACAACCATATTTTAAATCCACTGTTGTCATTTCAACAATGTTTGTAGTATCTTTCCTTTCCTAGGAGTAGTTTCCATCTCAAGAAACCACGTTCTTTGCTTATCCGTAAGAAGCAACTCCTCATCCATTCAATTTTTATCATGAGATTGCAGCAATCCAGTCACATCTTTAAGTTTCACTTCTACTTCTAGTTCTCTTGCTATTTCAACCATATCTGTAGTTACTTCCTCCACTGAGGTCTTGAACCCCTTCAAGTCATCCAGGAGGGTTGGAATCAAATTCTTTCAATTTAATTGTTAATGTTGATATTTTTACCTTCTCTCATGAATCATAAATGTCCTTGATGGCATCTAGAATGGTGAATACTTTCCAGAAGGTTTTTAATTTACTTTGCCTAGATACATCAGAAGAATCACTGTCTATGGCTGCTACAATCTTATGAAATGTATTTCTTTTTTTTTTTTTTTTTTTGAGACAGGGTCTTGCTGTGTCACCCAGACTGAGTGCAGTGGTGTGATTTCGGCTCACTGCAACCTCTGCCTCCCAGGTTCAAGCGATTCTCCTGTTTCAGCCTCCCCAGTAGCTGGAATTACAGGTGTGCACCATAATGCCTGGCTAATTTTTGTATGTTTAGTAGATACGGGGTTTCACCATGTTGGCCAGTCTGGTCTCAAACTCCTGACCTCAGGTGATCCACCACCTCGGCCACCCAAAATGCTGGGATTACAGGCCTGAGCCACCACACCTGGCCTGGAATTTATTTCCTAAATAATAAAACTTGAAAGTCAAAATTACTCCTTGATCCATAGGCTGCAGAATGGATGTGCTGGGAGGTATTAAAATGATATTAATCTCCTTGTAAATCTCCATCAGAATTCTTGGGTGACCCGGTGCACTGTCAATGAGGAATAATATTTTGAAAAGAATCTTTTTTTTTCTGAGTAGTAGGTCTTAACAGTGGTCCAAAAATATTCAGTAAACTATGCTATAAACAGATGTGCTATCATTCAGGTTTTGTTGTTCCATTTATAGAGCACAAACAGAGTCAGTTTAGCATAATTCTCAAAGGACCCTTGGATTCTAGGAATGGTAAATGAGCACTGGCTTCAACTTAGGTCACCAGCTGCATTAGCCCCTAACAAGAGAGTCAGCCTGTCCTTTGGAGCTTTGAAGCCAGGCATTTACTTCTTTTTAGCTATAAAAGTCCTAGATGGTAGGCTGGGTGCAGTGGCTCACGTCCGTAATCCCAGCACTTTGGGAGGCTGAGGCAGGCGGATCATGAGGTCAGGAGATCGAGACCATCCTGGATAAGATGGCGAAACCCCGTCTCTACTAAAAATACAAAAAATCAGCCAGGCGTGGTGGCAGGCGCCTGTAGTCCCAGCTCCTCAGGAGGCTGAGGCAGGAGAATGGCGTGAACCCAGAAGGCGGAGCTTGCAGTGAGCCGAGATTGCGCCACTGCACTCCAACCTGGGCGATGGAGAGAGACTCCGTCTCAAAAAAAAAAAAAGGCATCTTCTTCTAACAAAAGACCATTTTGTCTACTCTGAAAAAATCTGTTGTTTACTTTCATCAGTTATCTTAGCTAGTTTTTCTGGACAACTTGCTGCAGCTTCTCCATTAGCACTTGCTGCTTCACCTTTGCACTTTTACGTTATGGAGATGGCTTCTTTCTTTAAACCTCATAAATTGAACCAACCTCTGCTATCTCCAAACTTTTCTTCTGAAGCTTCCTCACCTCACTGAGCATTCATGGAATTGAAGAGTTACGGCCTTGCTCTGGATTAGTCTTTAGCTTACACGAATGTTGTAGCTAGTTTGATCTTCAATCCATACCACTAAAACATTCTCCATGTCAGCAATAAGGCTGTTTCAATCATTTATGTATTATTTTTAATTTCCTTCAAGAACTTTCCTTTGCATTCACAACTTGACTAACTGTCTGGCACAAGAGCAAGAGGCTTACATTTCAGCCTATCTGAACTTTTGACATGCTTTCCTCAAAAAGCTTAATCATTTCTCACTTTAGATTTAAAGTGAGAGACCTGCAACTCTTCCTTTCACTTGAACGATCAGAGGCCATTTTAGGGTTATTAATTGACCTAATTTCATTACCGTTGTGTCTTAAGGAATAAGGATGCCTGAGGAGAGGAAGAGAGATGGGAAAACAGCCAGTTGGTGGAGCAGTCAGCACACACATTTGTAAATTAAGTTCACTATTATATGGGCATGGTTTCTGTCACCCTCAAACAATTATAATAG
Organism: Homo sapiens; assembly: GCF_000001405.40. Classification (NCBI taxonomy): domain Eukaryota; kingdom Metazoa; phylum Chordata; class Mammalia; order Primates; family Hominidae; genus Homo; species Homo sapiens. Next base: position 96,369,631 of record NC_000011.10, read on the forward strand.
TAACATCAAAGATCACTGACCACAGATCACCATAAAAGATGTAATAATAATGAAAAAGTTTGAAATACTGCAATAATTACCAAAATGTGACAGAGATGAATAAGCATATGGTGTTAGAAAAATGGTGCCAACAGACTTGCTCCATGCAGTTGCCAAAAACTTTCAATCTCAAAAAAATACATTATCTGCAAAGTGCAATAAAGTGGAATGCAACAAAACGAGGTATGCTTATATATGCTATTTTTCTATTAAACAGTATTTATGCCATGTTCTAAAAGCTGTGCCTGTACTTTATCTTCAAAGAAAATAAGTATATACAGTATTTCATTTCACAATAGGTAAATATTTTCCACCTATGAAGAAGAAATGGGTTCAGAGAGGTTAAATTTATCAAAAGTCAAAAACTCAATAGCCCTAAACTCAAGCCATCCTCCAACTTGAAGTCTTTTAAACTCTTTCTGTAATCCTACACTGTCTTATAAACCTAATCTATGGCTAATTTATCACCATATAATTCAACAAGGCTGAAAAGCCTTGGATGAAACCAAATCTCTTGGCATAAATGAGGTACAAGAACTAATGATTTAAGTGCTAAAAGGATTTTAAATAACTTAAACTTCAATTATCTTTTTATTTTTCCTCTTCCTAATCATTAGAATATAGAATGTTAGAAGTAACAGGGAGAAAACCCTTACAAATCATATAGTACATCCTCTGCTATTAAAGATCATAAAATAGATAACTGGTACATGAAACAAAATGTGGCAAATCTTATAAATTAAAAAGATAAATTATAAATTCTTCAAATTGGTAGAATTAAGCAATCTTAAAGCAAAGAAAGATGCCAAACACTATCTAGACCAGTGTTTCCCAAACAATGTGTTATGGAAATCAAGCAGGTAACAGGTGTTACCTGTTTACATAAACAGAGCTTCACAGAGTAAAACACAAATTTAGGAAATACTGCATTCCATACCACCCTTTGAATATTTATAACATAAATTCACATATAATGCTTGGGAAAAGTCTTCCAGTAAAGAAACCAGCTTACAACCCCTGATTCTCAAATTTCTTTGACCATGGAACTCTCTTTTCTGACATAACAACACCGTGTGAGACAATCTTCTCATTTTAAAAGATGGGCTAAGCCCTGGAGATGTTCTGAAGTTATTCATCATTTGGAACCACTTAATTATTGGATAGATATAGTTAATGTGAAGGATTAAAACAATAATAACTTTTAGAAGATGTGAGAAATAATAAGCTGATTATTTAACAAAGACATGCCAATATTTTAGAAGATTATTCAGTCTGGATTTTAAAATCCTGAGAGGTTTGCTGCCCCCAACCCCCAAGCAGAGATTCAAAAACAAACTGTGTACCTTATATTGCTCTTTCCAACGACTTCTAGATACCAAGCTCTCTAGACGAGGCTGAACAAAGCGGTTATCCAAATAATGAAGAGATGTTAGCATATCTTTTGCATATGATTTTTGCCTTGTGCCATCTGTTCAGGGGATAAACAACAAAAAAAATCATTTTGTTAATTAGAAATATTTAAACTATTTAATACTTAAAAATTTCTTCCCAACTTGGTTGGAAGCATTTTAAATTAGGAAAAAAAATATTTAAAAAATCATTCCATCAGAACATTAAGGAAAAACAGGGTAGGCCGGGCACGGTGCCTCATGCCTGTAATCCCAGCACTTTGGGAGGCCGAGGTGGGTGCATTACGAGGTCAGGAGATCGAGACCATCCTGGCTAACACGGTGAAACCCCATCTCTACTAAAAATACAAAAAATTAGCCAGGCGTGGTAGCGGGCACCTGTAGTCCCAGCTACTCGGGAGGCTGAGGCAGGAGAATGGTGTGAACCCGGGAGGGGGAGCTTATAGTGAGCTGAGATCGCACCACTGTACTCCAGCCTGGGTGATAGAGTGAGACTCCGTCTCAAAAAGTTCCCTTTGTAAGCATCAAGCTTTAACATTACTTTCTGATAACAAAAAAAGTCAGATGAAAAAGCTTATCAAATTATCTTTTATTCTCTTATACAAAACTGACATGAATTAGCCCCTGAATTCCAGATAAAGTTCAAACTTCTGAATAGGCTTTCAAGGCCGTCTACAATTGACTCCATTCTACTGATCCCATGGTAACTCCTTGTGTCAACAAATCAGAATACTCTTTTCTAGCTAGGCGTTTTCCTCATTCTTCTTTAGCATGCTACACTCATTACTGCCTTTCTGATTTGGCTCATAGTATATTCTCTATATACATCTGTCATCGTATGAATTTAAGCTTTATTTTCTTGCCTTATTTGAAGTTTTATTAATTAATTTAACTAATAAATTTATCATGTTTCTTTAAATAATCACAAATTCAAACACCTTACCATAGCTTACAAAGCCCTTCTGTCCTCAGCCTACTCCTCTGAGCTCCTCTCTTTTCCCTCTCTCCTGTCTCATTCCACTTCAGCCACAAAGGCCTTCTAGTTGTTCTTGAACACACCAAACTTACTCTTTCCTAAAGGCCTTAGCACCTCCTTTGCCCTCTGCTAAGCAAGTAATCCACGTATTACTTGCTCCCTTTGCTTCATTCAGGTTTCTGTTTAAAAGCTACCCCAAGAGGCCTTTTTTGACTAATCTAACTAGCAGATAACATAAACTTTACCTTCCCTTATTCTCAATCTTCTTACCCTATTTTATTTTTTTGCAAGAACTAATCACCACTGAAATCGTATTATATTTTGTTTACTCATTTATTGTCTGTCTCTCCCATTAGACTATAAGTAACATGAGTGCAGGAATCTAATATGCCTTAAGTCACTGTCACATCCCCAGCCCTCAAATAATGCCTAGCTTATAGTAGACATTCAATAAATATTTGTTCAATATATTGTAAATGAAATCTTATTTGGCAATTAGTTATTCAACACAATATATTTATAGTCTATTAAATGCCAGATTCTGTGCTAGATGCAAGAGAAATGGGGATATATATATATAAATATAAATATATATATAAATATAAATATATATAAACATATATAAATATAAATAAATATATAAAAATATATATATACATATATATTTATATATATAAATATATAAATATACGTATATTTATATATATATTTATAAATTTGCTCCCACACTATGATAAGGGAAGAAAGCAAAAATACATTTTCAATACAACATGAAAAGTGCATATAAATGAGTACTATGAGTATTACCATACTCAGAATGATGGCGGCACAAATGAGAATGATAAATATTATGTGAATGGGTCATAGATAGATTCATAGTACAAATGTTTTTACACTCACCTAAAACATCTGGGACAAAAAGGGATTCTATTCTAAGAAGAAACAGCATGGACAAAGGCACAAAAGCAGAAAACAGCATGGAACTTTTAATGAAATTCAGAGCTCAGAGAGGCTGGGTTTGGCACATGGGTATTAAGACACTCTGCTGTTTTAGGTGTTATCCTGTCAAATTCACTGTTAACTCCCTAAGGGAAAGGACCTGTCACAAACTTACCTTCCACATATCTCAGATAATGAACACTAACAAGCATTTTACATGAATGGAGTTTTGATGTAGTTGATCCTACAGGGAAAACATTGGAAGGTCTTACAAATGATCCTCATTGGTTTTGTTTAATCTACATAGTTTTAAAAGTGAGGTTGTTTTAAAATTGGAAAAAGAAATAAAAACCAATTGTTTCATTCATAGTATTAACTTACCATATAATGTTCCCAGAAAAGATTCATCTAAAGCGTTGATCAGAAGAGCCTTCACAACTCTTTCAAAATGAGTATAGTGGTCACTAAAAGAATCTGAAATTAATTTCAAATAAATATTAGAACAGAGCAGACAAAATAATTTCTTGAATACAATAGGTTCCATTCTCCACTGCTAAGAAATTAAAACTATAGATAGCACAAACAGCTTAATCATCCTAATTTTATAGCTTCCTCGATGACTTGTTTAGTCACGGAGCAAATCTCCATTTTCCAAACTTACTGGCTTCCAATCCAAAGTGTCTACTTGTAATTTCAAATCTTTACTTCCCAAACTTAAGAAAACTGTTCAGAGAATATTAAAATAAGTTTAAAAAATAAAAATTATCCCTTGCACACCTATATTTAATTATCAATTTGACACTTAGAGTGACAGAACAAGAGAGAAAACCTCCAAAGACAGATTAATATGTCTTATTCTGTAAAACGCGTTACATATGAAATTGTCCAGGGAACTGCTATCTTAGCCAGAACCCCAATGGCTACAAAAACTTCATTTCCCTTTTCATGCTGCCCCAGATTTAGGATTTTCTACATCAATTTAGAAAACTTGTCTATTTCCTTCCCCATACCACATATTTAAGCCCACTTCCTCGCTAACCAAATCTCACACATGACATCATCTGTTGTGACAGGCCAGGCAGTGGTTAAGAGAGAAGATTCCTACTATTCTCATTACTTTTGGATCAGAGTTTACTATGACTGTGGAAATGTTCTCTATCAACCACGACCCATTCCTTGATCCAACAGTCACTGTAGAATACATGCCCTGCTCAGGGCACCTGTGAAGACATATTAAGGGCAGACTGAGTATTTCGAGAAATATAGAAGATGTCTGACAAGGGATTAAAGCAAAATAAGACCTATCATTAGCAACCATGGATAGATTTTGACTCTCCTTCCACTTGAAGTAAAAAGAAAGATGGGATTCAACATGGAAAACCCTCTTCATTTATATTTTAGTTACTCAAAGGGCTGTATAACTCTCTTTCAGACTTTAGGGTACATTTTAGTATGCATTCTTTTCTAAGGAGACACCTATAGAAGTGCTAAAGAGACAAAAATAAAGTAATACTAAAAATAAATGACAATAGCAGATCATTTGGCCATTAGCCTTTAGATGGCCTATGATCAAAGGCAATAATCATGGCCTTTAATGAATATAATATTTTCTTAAAAATCAGTACGGCATAATTGAAAAATGAAATAATACTTCATTTTGTTACACAGGTAAACTCATGTCATAAGGGTCTGTTGTACTGATTATTTCATCACCCAGGAATTAGACCCAGTACCCAATAGTTATCTTTTCTGCTTCTCTCCCTCCTCCTACTCTCCACCCTCAAAAAATTAATATTGTTGACATTTTAAACATCTCTGCCAGATATGTTATAAGCAAGTAATAATGGTTATGAATTTATTTATTAGATAGATTTGTCTAATTTCATTTTGGATTGTAATTTATTTACATTGCCACTAGTGAATCTTATTAAAAATTTCTAAATAAATAAGTAAATAAATTTGGGGGACATGCAAACATTCAGACCAAAAAGAAAAAAAAAAGAAATAATACTTCAATAGAATTTGACTAGACTGTTATCAAACTCTGGACATAATATAATATTGGGCAATTTTATTTGTGTTAAAATCCATCTAAACTGTATCTATAAAAGCATTTCTCAAATGGTATTAAGAGAAACTGGGACTATTAACAGATGTGTTGAGAAACAAATCAAATTCATCCCATGTGCACCTAAGTTTAACTATCATACAAATTGCATAGAATATTTCATCCTACTGAAGGTATCATTCTTGAATGTCCTTATGCCCAGTGCTACTCATTTGCTATAGAGTCTTGAGAACTAACTGCTGCTCTATTTCAAAGACCCTGAGAGGAAATTGAAAGGGCAGAGATCAAAATCATTTGAGAAGTCTTGTCCCTAACCATAAGATTCTTCTTTTATCAATGGATATCAGAATGTACTTCAAAAAAGTCAGGAAAAAGGCACCTATTTCATTATGCTTGAGTAGACTGGTGGGTGGTGGTGGGTTAATGCTCCTGGAATTTCAAATTGAAAAATAATATTACTGAGCAAAATATATGCCAGGCATCATTGTAAGCATTTACATGCATTGCTTTATTTTTCACAACAAGCCTGTGGGATACTACCATTATCCTAGATTCATTTCTGGTTGAGAAAACTGAAATATAGAGAGGATGAAAAACTTTCCTAAGACCAAACAGTAAGTTTCGGAACTAGGGCTGGAACCCCATCTAAGTCCAGATTTCATGTTCCTATCCCCTAGTTAAATATTGTTACACATGGTAGATTTGATATATGTCACAACACAAAATTTAGACTTGGATGGAAAACTGGAGAAAATAAAATTCAAATCTCCCATCTTAAGAAAAATGGCATTCTCAATGACAAAATAACTTATCCAAGGTGACATAACTAGACGGAGGCAAAATAAGGCTTAGAGCTCAGCTCTCCTTCAGAGCTTTTCTCATAGTGCTTTAATCCCTATATTGAATGAGCTTCTGTGGAATGTCCCAGGAATATTGTTTTAAACAATATTTTAAACATTTTAAATAAGTTTTCCCCATGACTATTTAAAAAACTGGAAAAAGTATTAAAGAGGAAACTATATTTGTGTTTATGCATAACTTATTTTTTCTAAGGTAATCAATTTCCTTATAGCCAATCATTTGGTAGTCTAATCATTCTTTGTTGATTTCCATGTATCCTTTATCACATACTAATTTCACATATATGCCAAGATTTTTTTTCAAACCATCTGCCCTTCCTACTGGTCTGGCTGTCATTCTTTAGAATTGTTTTGCAAAGTTTAACCAAAAAAACTAATTTCAGAAGAAATAACTTCTTGTTCTACGCATATTACCTTTCAGAAACATGCTTGTCTCTCCGCTTATCCATGTTTTCTGTTCTGTTTCACAGTAAAGTGTATTTTTTTTAACCTATCAAGCCGTGCTTTTCTTTTTTTTTTTTTTGAGCCGGAGTCTTACTCTTGTCACCCAGGCTAGAATGCAGTGGCACGATCTTGGCTCACTGCAACCTCCGCCTCCCAGGTTCAAGCGATTCTCTTGCCTCAGCCTCCTGAGTAGCTGGGATTACAGGCGCCCGCCACCATGCCTGGCTAATTTTTGTACTTTTAGTAGAGACAGGGTTTCTGTGTGTTGGCCAGGCTGGTCTCGAACTCCTGACCTCAGGTGATCCGCCCTCCTCAGTCTCCCAAAATGCTGGGATTACAGGCGTGAGCCACCGCGCCTGGCCTGCTTTTCTTCTTAATATTAGGCTTAGGAACTTTATTTTGGTTGCGATTGTAGATGGAATTTTTCCTGATTATATCATTTAAGTAATTATTGCTAGTATACAAGAGAACCATTGAGATTTACATACTTACTGTGAATCTGGTGATTTTTCTGAGATCTTTTACCAATTTCAAAATAGTCAGATTCTCTTGGATATTTCTGGGAGATAAGCTTCCTGGGACACTACAGAGCTGGAGATGGACACTGTTAAAGGATTCCTGGACACTATCTCTGCTTTCTCCCACAACCCCCAGGAGGATGTGGTCTTGCTAGTGGTAAATTTATTTCAAGAACCAAGAGAATGTTTACAAATATTCGCTTAGGTAAAAGCATGTAGATTTTTGATGTACTTTCTTCTGGAATGGAGATATCAGCCTAGTGTATGAGGCAGAGGCAGAACAAGAAACTGATTTCTTTTTCTACTTTAACATATCTCCCCTATCTTCACCCTTGTAGGGCAAAAAGAATGTGATGCAAGCCATGAAAAGATATGCTACGTCTACTCCTGCTTTTAAAGTATTTATATCCCTTCTCTTAACTTCTGTATCCTTTGTTAAGTCAGAAACTTTTAGCTTATATGTGTGTACATAATACACACACACACACACACACATATTATGTTCAAATAATGTCTTTTCTTTTTCAATAGTTATATTTCTTTTGTTTTCATGTCTTGTTGCATTTTTCAAAACATCTAGAACAAAGTCAGTAGAAAATATTTTTGTCATGTTCCTCATTTTAAGTATGCTGTTGTCTCTTGGTTTAAAATACTGTCATGTAAAGGACGTATGTTCCTATTACTAATTTTTTAACAACTGCTTTTCTTAAAAGCCAGGTATGGACATTGAATGTTACCAATGTTTCTCCTAGAATCTCAATAAATTATATGACTTTTTCTCTATTGATATATTAATGTGATATATTAATGTAATATATTAATGACTTCTAATATTAAGCCATTTTTATAGTTCTAAAAAGAATGATTAGGGATCTTTTTCTTTATTCTTGTAATTACATAAACAGTTCATACATCTGTTTGCAAAACTATTTTCATCAATTTATTAGCAATGTGGGCCTCTTTAATCTGCATAAATGTGTTACGCATTATGAAAATACCTCAAGAATACTTTCTTCTATAATAACCTTGAATTCATATCTTATGTTTTCCCATCCAAAAATATGGTATGATTTTTAGTACATTCAAATTTTCTTTTACATATCTAAAGTTATACAATTTTCTTCCTTTACATTTCCATTTGTTCTGTATTTCTGCCACTCCCTCCCCCAAATTTGTGAAATAGGGTCTTCGTTTGTAGTCCTTTATTATCTTCTCCTTTATAACTATTTTTTTCTTCTCTACCCTAGAACTTCTCAACTATCTCCTGTCATTCATGAGATTTTCTGTACTGTTAATTCTGCTATCTACTGCTTTCCATAGACTTTATTTCTGACTTTACATTTTAAAATTTTTGGCAATTCTTATTTTAGCTAGCTCCCTTTCACCTCAAATTGTTATCTCCTTATAACTTCTTTTTCATAGACTGCATAGCAAATGCTTTATAGCATTTTCTTGTTTCTTTTAATGAAACACTTTTCACAGTTATTTTCTTCCTCTGAGTCTACCTTTACCTTATACTGCAATAAATTTCACAGGTACTTTTTACTTATCCTAGAACAAGGGAAAGTTCTAAGATTTAATATTTAACATAAATGGTTCTGAGTCCATTCTTAGGCCCACTCTTTATTGTGTTAATAGAATGATTTTCTTTAATTAGTAGATGGAGACTAAGTGGATGTTCACTTAGTCTAATTTCCAGTGTTCTAGCAAGGCACTAGTAGACCGAAATGTATTCTACTCTTATCTCTACTCCTTGATTCTGTCCCTCTGAATATATAATAGAGTACTGGATAAATAATATTTAGTATCCACAAATCTGAAGATTTTTCCTCTTTACCTGCATACAATATTTTTAGTGTGTGAACTATGTAAATGTGGCATGCAATGGACCACTGCTATTTTGTCCCTCTACTCCCTACCATATCTTTTCCAAGAATTGTAGTTTCAGAATAAATATAAAGAGACACTAATAGGGATTGATAATAAAAGAAAAAGACTATGACTGTAGCAAGAGGGAAACTACCCTGTGGTGCATCTCTCAGAGCCAAATGGCAGATAGGAAATTACAAAATGTCTTCCTATAGGTAAGAATTGCTCACTTCAAAAAGGCAAGTACATGGACTACTGATTCCGATTGTCAACTGAAATACTGAATTTAGAGTTAGGAGATTTTCTCCCAAATTCTCATATGTTGAATATGATTCGTTGGCAGGAGAATGAATCTGGGAATACTAGCCTAATTACAACTTAACCCAAGTCGTAGAGTGGTGTTCATTATTCATCACATAGGTTACTGTTTTAATGAGAAAATGTACTTTGATTTTCAAATGCAATTTTTAGAACATAATTCCCTGGCAAATTGAAAACTGTCTATATTAAATTTTATTTATTATATTTAGATATGGTATAAAATTGCTAAATATTAAAAATATCAACTCAATCATAAATTATCACTCTAGAATATGTGAATTTTTTTCTCTAATGTTTGAAAAAATCTGATGTCCAATATTTCTCTGAGTCTTGAACTGTAACATTCAGGAGTCTTTAGCCAATATGCTTATCTTAATCATCTATAGGAACTTAACAATGAGTTCCTATAAGGTGTCACGAACTCTAATGGGTACTAGAAATATAGAAAAGGGAAGCTGGTTAACTATTTAGGTTTTGTTTTTGTTTTTTGGAAGTAGGGGCACCCACATGGCTTGTTTTATTGAGCTTTACTACTTTATATACCATAAAATTCACTCTTTTTGGTGTACAGTTCTATGGCCAATGCATAAAATTACATAACCAACACCAAAACAGTTCTATCACCACCCAAAACTCCTTCATATTACCTCTTAATCATTCAGTTTTGTTCCTATTGAGCCTGAGATGTCTGAAAGTCTGATAACAATCTTCAATAAGATAAAAACAAATTAGGCTTTATGTTCAGGAAAAATCTTGGCTAGAGATAAATGTTTGGGAATTTCTGCTTAACGACTGGACTGAAGTAATGGGAAAGAGACTGCCCAAACCCACAACCAAAATGAAGATAGTTGAGGATGGAACCCCTGGAAACATCAAAATTTACATGGTAAATAGTAATAGAGGAAAGGAATATTACAAACGGAAATGCAAGAAAAGTAGGGTACCACAGAAAGTAGAAGAGCATTCTGAAAGTGAGAGTGGTCAATGGTAGTAAAGTACATGACAATACCTGGTTAATATAAGAACTAAAGGTATTTTGGCAATTAGGAGGGTATCAATAACTTCAGTAAGAACAATTTCACTGGACTGACACAAGCAAGAGCCTGAATACAGTGCTTTGTAGAGTTACTGGGAAATGGGAACAAAAAGATAAAATTTAAAATAGTAGCTAATGGAACATGCCAACTCAAAGGAGGAAAGGCATGAACTTGGTTACAAGTTGAGGAAAAAGAGTTTGTAGGGATAAAATCATTGAAAATAAAGAGAACTGAGTAGATAATAGAGCCGAATGAGAAGCTGTAATTAAGAATACACAAGATAAAATATGTTGCATAAAAACATATACATCTTCCTGAGGTAGAGATGCTCAGTATTAACAGGAAGCCTCAGTATTTAAAGGAAACCTCCTCATATTTACCTAAATGAGTTGAAAACTTATGTCCATAGAAAAACCTGCACATGAATGTTTATAGCAGCTTTATTCACAATTGCCAAAACTTGTAAGCAACCAAGATGTCTTTCAATAGGTGAATGGATGAACAAAACTGTGGTACATCCATACAATGAAAAATATTCAGCGATAAAAAGAAATGCGCTATTAAGCCACATTTAGACATGGAGGAAACCTAAGTGCATATTATTAAGTGAAAGAAGACAATCTGAAAAGTTATATGCTGTGTGATTCCAACTATATGACAGTTTGGCAAAAGCAAAACTATGGAGAGGGTAAAAACATCAGTGATTCAGAGGAGGGAGGAAAGGAGAATGAATTAAAGCACAGGGCATTTTGAGGACAATGAAACTACTCTGTATGATAGTGTAATGGTAGATACATGTCATTACACACTTGTCAAAACCCATAAAAGGTACTAAAAAATGAGCCCTGTTGTGAAGTATGAACTACAGTTAATAACTGTAACAGAGGTACCAAACTAATAAAAGAGGTTAATAATAGGGGAAACTGTGTACGTGAGGAAGTATATTTGAACTCTGTACATTCCATTCAATATTTCTGTAACTCCAAAAGTGCCCTTAAAAAAAACAACTAAAAGGTGTAAAGAAGTTGAAGTTCCCATATGCTAGCCTTTTATTTCCATTAATTGGCAGGAGTTGATATGAGTTGGCATCTCTCAGCAAATGTTCCATCACATTCTAGATAACCCAAAATAGGATATCTCCTAATTGAGTATCCCTGTAATTTAAATGTCCAGGTGGCAAGTGAACCAGTGCCTACTGATATAAGGAAAACAGTCATTAACTTGCAGTGTAGAGATAACTGTAACTGGCATCTCTATAACTGCCAAATTTCTTGAAATTTGATTCATATCTCCAAATCCACTATTTTATTATAAATCATGAGATATAAATCAAGTCATGTCACACTTTATTTTAGTCAATATGGCCTTTTCTGAAATATTTGGAAAGAATGCACTCAAAGAAAAAAAATAAAAGTATATCCATCCAACACCTTGTTCCTACCAGAGCTGTAAAACATCATAAAAACAATCTTTGAAATTTTGTAGAATTATAGGAATCATAATAATAATAATTTAAATATATCCTACATTTTCAGGTTCCATGATTTATATTTTCATGTAAGTAACGTCCTATCTCTGATAGGTTTCACTGTTTGAGAGAAGCTTCAAAAAGTCTGATAAAACCAATGGTTCTCAAAGTGTTTGTCCGCAGACCCCTGATAGTGCCCAAGTCCATTTAAGGAAATCTGTGATTTCAAGTAATAACAATATTATTTATTTGCTTTTTTCACTGTGTTGACATTTTCATTGATGATGTAAAAGCAGTGATGGGTAAGGCAGCTGGCCCCTTAACTTGAATCATGGCAGTAGCATCAAACTACTAGTAATCATTACTGTCATTACCACTATGCACTCACAGTAAAAAAAGCCACTTTCACTTAAGAATGTCCTCGTTGAAGCAGTAAAACTATTAACTGTATTAAATCTTGAATGTGAAGTACACATCTTTGTAGTACTCTATAGGATGAAATGGAAAGTGCATAAAAAGCACTCATACTGCATACCAAAGTACAATGGTTGTTTTGAGGGAAAAACACCTGTGCAACTGTGTGTGTGGGGGGAAAGCCTCATTTTTCATGAAATACCATTTTTATTTGAAAGAAAGAGTGACAAGCTCTGGTTATTCAGACTTGGGAATCTGTCAGACTTTTCTCAAAAAAGAACAAAGTAAGCCTGTCAGTTCAAAAAGAACAATTCGGTGTTTTGTCGCCAATGAAAACAATCAAGTTTTAAAGCAGAAATTAGAATTTTGAAAAACTTGTATGTGCTATTCTGAGCCTGACGGCTTCTCAATACCTGAGAAATATTCTCATGGGATTGGTGGTGATATTAATGAATATAATTAAAAATATATATATAATGAAATATGTCAATATTTTGGAGGATCTGTATCATCCAGTGAACCAGTATTTTCCAAATGACTGATGCATTTTATCACAAAATCATGCATGGGGAAATTATCTATTTAAACTGCACGACAGACCAATGGTTGTAATGCAAGTACTAAAAGTTCATTTATATGGTTTTGAATTCCATATTATCTTTAAGAAAACAGTATCATTTGTCAAATTTTGGCATAGTATCAAATGAGAATATCAACAATTATTTTTAAAATACTATTAAAATACTCCTCCCTTTTCCAGCTACCTGTGTGAGGCAAAATTGTTTTCATACACTTCAACCAAAACAACATGTCACAACAGACTGAACGTAAAAGCAGATATAAGAATCTAGCTGGCTTCTATAAGCTAGACATTAAAGATTTACAAGAATGTAAAACAATGCCATTTATCACATTTTGGGGAAAAATATAGTTACTTTTCATAAAATTGTTATTTACATTAATGTAATAAATTTACTAAGGATTATTTTAAATGAATTAATAAATATATTTTAAATTTCTGAGTTTTGATTTCTACAATGGTAAATATTGACAGGCATAACTCATTGAAGTAAAGGCGTGTTGGGGTTAATAATTTTGAAAAATGTAAATGGTTCCTGAGACCACTGGAATAAACTATTAAACTGACAAGGTTATCTGAAAATGAAACCACAGTTTCTAGTCAATGATTTAGAACATGATATTAAAAGGCTAATTTGATACTTGATAAAATATCATGAGAACAATTCATGAAACATTTTCTTAATATTGAACTTACAAAGAGAATTCTGTTTTACTAATTTCAGTTGTGATGTAGTCAATTTTTCTCCTTGTTGGTTTTTATTCTCTTCATCACCCTCCTCATCTTGCACTACAAAGTCATCGATAATATAATCATCTCCATCTTCATCAGATTCATAATTATCCTCTTCTTCCTCCTCATCAACTTCATCACTGCTTGGGCAAGATTCCTTTTCAGAGTCCTAATTAAATTAAAATAAATGCTTCAGTAAATGGTGCTATTAAAACGGTAAGCATCGATATAAAATTAAAACATTAAATCTGACAGCAAAAAAATGATCCATAGTAATTAACTTCATATTTTAAAGTTAAAAATAAATAATTTTGTCATATTAAATGCTGAACTTTTGAAATTATTAAGAAGAATATACCTTGGTTAAGTGATGTAAAATGTTTAAAATGGACATTAGAATTATAAGAAGTTAAAAACAAGAAAGATCATATAAAATAACAAATAGTCTTTCAATTTTAAAAAAGGATGGACTGAGGCTCATGATAAAACAGTATATTACGTACAATAGTGTAATCAAACATGTTCAAGAATACTTGATTAAAAAATAAATTCTAGAATTATTGAGAAATGGAACGGACTCAGCACTTTTTTATAAAAATTAAATACTTTAAGAAAAAAACTGAAAAACAATAACAAATCCAACAAAATATAACACACCTCAAAATCTCTACCACTACTGCGTCTCTGACGAGATCTTTGTTTTGAGAGTTCTTTGAGCTTCTGAAGTTTTTCTCGCTTTTGTGCAGCTAATGTTTTTTCAGGAGTCTTTTGCTCCATTTCCACTGAAGAACCTTCATCTTCAACCACTCTACGGGGACGTTTAACACCTACTTTTCTAACTAGGATATCGCTGTCATCACTCTCATCACTGTCACACATCACAGAGGATAGCCTTTTTCTTTTTCCTCGCTTGATGTCTTCTTCTTCTAAATCATCCTCTATTATTTGTCCAGTTTGTTTGTTGAGATCATTATCCTCTTGACTTAAATGTTTTTCCTGATCATCCTCTATTATTTGTCCAGTTTGTTTGTTGAGATCATTATCCTCTTGACTTAAATGTTTTTCCTGATCTTGTAAGTCAATATTCCTATGTTTGATTTTGTTCGTTTCTTCTTCATATGTTGAACCGTTGCCAGAGTTAATGAGACACTTACTGTCATTTCCTTCACTTTGAATTTTACTTAAGTTGAGCTCTCTTTCACTTCCTGGTGTTTTATTACAATCAGGTCCCTTGTTACTATCAAGCTCTTCATCATTTTCAAAACTTTCATCACTATCAAGCTCTTCATCACTATCAAATTCTTCACTATCAAGCTCTTCATCACTATCAAGTAATTGTGAGATACTACTTCTTTTAGTTCGCCTCCAATCAACTCGAGATTTCTGCTCAGGCACGTGACTCTTAGAATTTCTCCTTGTTTCATGTCTTCTAACATGTATCATTTTCACTTAAGCTTCTATAAAATAAAGTTGTTAGGAATATAACAGTGATAACCAGATTAGAGCAATGAATGCATTTATGGTATAAATTATATTTATTTGGCTTTATTTAATGGTCCACAAACACAAAATCACATGAAATATCTGAGTGAAGATGGTAGAACATTAATTTAACAAATAATTTACTGAATGCCCATGAAATAATTATATGAACATCTACTCTGAATTACGTTGTATGTTGTGCTGCAAGGGATACATAGAAAAATCATGGTGCTGTCCTTCAGAAGATTATTATCTATATGTAGAACTAAAATATCTAAAACATATAATAATTAAGAAAATTTCAAGGTAATATTTAGTATCAAATGAATAACATAAATAACTGCAAGAGAAGTGGAAAGATGCAGGGAGATCAGTAAGGCAAGTGCTTCACTTTATCTTGAACAGATGTGATCTAATAGCATTCTGAAGGATTCATTGTATTTGAACAGAAAGAACGAAAGAAAAAGGGATGTCAGGCAAGTAATATGGTAAGGGCAAACTCTGGCTTTAAGAAAGAAGATGGTATGTTCAGTAAATAAGCATGGCTTAAAATGTATAAAAAAGAGTTTTATGCTGGAAAAAAGGAGAAAAGAATAGAAAACTGAATGGGATTACCAGGATGACTCACCCTGTAGGCAAAGGATTCTGAATAGAGAAATGATATAAAGTATAAAAGATCAATTTACACGAAGAAAGTTATAAAGTAACAAATGACATAAAGAAGACAGCAGTGAAAAATTGAGAGATAATATATCCACTAAGATTGTAGCCTCTTTATACCTTAGTAAAATGGGAGTGGCTTTCCCCTCAAAGTTAAATACACAATATAACCAATAGAAAACTTAACTAACAATCCAATAATGTAGTTAAGTGAATAAAACAAGTAAGTTCCACGGCAAAGCAGAGCATAGTATTGGGAAGGAAAACAAAAGCTGTCAGTTTATCATTTAGAAAAGAATGAATTCCATTAAAATTATCACAAGTATATATTAAAAGAACAATTAGTGACACGTAAGATAACTAGAAAAAATAACATATGTAGTTCTGTGGTTGTTAGGGAATAGAAATATGACAATGTAATGAGACCGACCTCAAACTACATGTTAGAGGTATATATTGAACTGACAGCTATCCCCACCAAAGAAATCACCTTATGAGGCTGATTATTCCAATATTTCCACCACAGCACAGAATATTCCTGGAGTCTTTCTATAAACCACACACTATAAAAAATCTAAAAATATGAAAATAATCACACTTCATTTTTTATCCCAAACAGTGACTTTAACACCCACTTCATTCACTTGTCTCGGTTATAAGGACCTGTTAGCAGCTTGCAGAAATGAAATCCAACTTAAGAAGATGAGAATTAACTACCATTAAAAATCTTCAAAAAATGTGCTGCGAATTCTGAAGGTAATTACAAAAATTCAATGCCAAAAATTTTTTGAGCAATGGGAATCTTACCGGACTATGTTTCCAGCTTTCCAAGAGGATTACTTTTTTCCTATAGATTGTGGAAGAGAGGATACAGCTCATTTAATTGTACAAATTCTGGTATGTTTATACGGCAATAAGACTTTCTGTATAATGGTTAACACCTCATGTAAAATCAGAACGGGGGCTGCCAAAATTATACAGCAGAAATTATAGCGTGTAGGATGAAATATAACTTTTATTTTTTTAAGAGATAGGTCTTGTCCTGTTGTCCAGGCTGGAGTGCAGTGGCATGATCATAGATTACTACAGCCTTGAACTCCTGGGGCTCAAGCGATATGTTTCGATTTTTAAATTTTTTGTAGAGATGGAGGTCTCACTATGTCCTGATCTCCTGACCTCAAGTGATCCTCCCACCTTGGCCTCAGTGCTGGGATTACAGGCATGAGCCATTGCCCAAAGTATAACCTTATGTCAGTAATTGCTATAAAATATAATCAGCATTGTAATAGCAATCTAACAAATTCTGGTCAACAGGGCAGTCTGCTATTTGAAATTACCCTTGGGTTGCATCTTACAAAAGGCTTATATTAAAATCAGCAAAGATGAAAATTGTGTGTAGTCAAAATTACCCTTTAAAAAAATCTCTATATTAAAGTATGGTTTTGTGTACACTATACTGCGTTACAATACGTCCACCCAGTTTCTCCTCCAGGTTTTAAGCAGCTTACTGTTTCTTTGGTTTAGCACCACACGAACTAGGCATCTTACATTTTTAAGCTGTATAGTACAAAAAAGTATTTGTAAACACATAAATTTGCGTAAGCTAAGTGTGCATATGTGCACGTGTAGTATATCACATTGTAATAACAAAGCATGGCTTTCTAATAAACCTGTTTGAATTGGGAGAAATAATGAAAAAACATTTATGAAAACAATGACAAATATGGTTGCAGTAGATACACTAAAGCAAATATGGACAGTAAAGAACATTAAAGTTAACGATGATTTTTATTAGTACCCAAAAGCAAATTCATATACACTAGATGATTATCTTACAAAACTATAACATGCCCAGAATGTCAGTTATTTATCATGAAACAGGTGATTCCTATGACAATGGTGGAAATGATTAAGAATCACACTATTAAAAACTTATGACTGCACAGTTAAGCCATAAAAGAAACTTTAAGTTTTTAGTGCATTTTCACATTGATTTTTAAATCCTGACAATGATCCTAGAAGGAAGATATCTATTTTTATGTGTAAATATCAAAGCCAAGGACATAGAGTTTAAATGACTTACCGAAGATCACGCAGCTTGTTAGTGACAGAGCAGGGATTAGAAACCGGGTCTCTTGATTCCCCGTCCAGTGCCACACAATGACGGCTGCCAATATCACATTTGTACAAGATAGTAAAAATTAAGCCTTTAAAAATCATTATTTTTATCTCTCATTCATGCTGTATTTTAGTTTCAGAAAAATAACGATTAAAATGGTTTAGAGTTTACAAATATGCTTTTTTAAAAAATTATGTAACCGAATTTTACTGCACGAGTTAGGCCAGAAACTTCTGTAAATTATTATCCACCAGGCAAGAAAAGAGTATTTGCAGACTTCCCTCTTATCATCTTATTAATAACACCAATTGCAAAATTTAAAGGAGTCCCCAGTGAGCCCAAAAGTAAAATTTCAAAGAAAGGCAGTCTCTGATGAGAAACATATTTTGGAAAACTGCAGAATTTGAATGCCTGAGGCAGCATCTTTTATTTAAACAAAATAAATCAGGTTTCATTGGACCAACTGCCAAATTGCCAGGGTCTCTCATATTTCAAAATGACCATTTATATCAGTAAGGTAAAAAATTCTGTTACTGAAAAGGAAAGACACTTTGAATATGTTTGGCTCTTCTTTTTAAATTGTAGGTAGCTTTACTATATTAGCTGGGAAGGGAAGAATGATAACGGAGGGAAAAGGTGAGTGAACCTCGGAAGAGAAATGTGAAGGAAAGCTAGTTTGATGGGTAAGATACCTCTTGGTCTTCAGAATCTACTCAAAAGAGAATCCATGCAAATGAATGTTACTTCTGTATATGTTGAATATACACTTAATTTCCTGAAATGAGAATTTTATCGAGCTTCTGTAATGATACCTTACCTTTAAGCAAAGAGAAAAACAGAGACTCCAAACAGAAAGCATTAAATAAGTGAATGAAGATGATCAATACTATCACATCTTTGTGTTTCATGGTTAATATAAGATGCACATACATAGCTATGTTATCTGCCAAAGAATATATATTAAAGACAATAATCCATATTGCTTGTGTTCTTTCTCTAACACAGTAACTCTATAGCTAAAAGTACTTTGATGATGCCATTTGACTTTCTCATCAGAAGAAATATAGTTCCTTCTAAACTTTGAGGTTAATTCATACTCAAGAAAAGATTCATTCTAGAAATCACCTACTTGCTGTATAAACAATGCAGGTGGTAGTTAACACTTTACAGATTTGAAAGGCAGTGGAACCCCAGGTCATTATTTGAAATTCTACCAGGAGGGATCCATTCTTGGGTGTAAAACATCACTCCTCTTCGATGTTTTCTTTTATATGGCAGTTTGGAGAGCAAAGATTAATAAGCCGAAAAATAATTATTGAATATCTACCAAAATGCAAGCACCTGCTAGGAACTGTGCTGCCACCATTTCAAATAAACATGGTCTCTGCTCCCAAGGAGCTCACAATCTGATGAAATTACTAGGGACACCAAAAACAAGCCAGCATAATACACGATTTGAGGGCTACAGTGTATGATTAAGATCAAGTTCTTATCACACTGCTATGAATAAATTTATCATAGTTCTTCTATTGGCAGGAAAACAAGACAGAACATGACAGAAATAGGATATAAGAAAATAAACATAAAGAGAGGAAAGCCTATTTCCCCCACTTAGAATCACAGTCCAACAGTCCACAATTTCGCAAAGTGGATCCTGCCAGCATGGTATCCGGGATAACTATATTATTCATTAAAATCCGTTAACAATGAAGGTTAATGCAGCAGGAATGAGTGGTAGACAGTGGAATAGATCCTCTCAGGAATTAACACCCGGAAGGGTGACTTTCATGATTACAAACCTCTTTGGCGGGACGCAGGAACCCAGCGCCCGCTAGCCCACTAGTCCGTCACTCTGCCTCCAGGAGGGAGGGGCACAGTAGCTAGGAAACCGGACCCTCAGGCCAAGCTTCGCGATGACGCGCGCAGGACGACGGAAACCCCCAGACCCCAAAAGAGCTCTGCACCGAGAAAACAATTACAAGGGTCTGGAAAGGCCAGAAACCCGAGAAATCACCAACCGAGCTCCCTACATCAGTTCCAAGCACCTCCCCAAGGCGGAAATAACGGGCACCGCGCCCACTGCAGCTCAGCTGAGGAGGGTTAGAGGCGCAAAGGGCTGAGGGGCGTTCTCCGGCCCACCCAAAGAGCGCCCGCGGGAATTTTTCTCTTAGTCCGCGAGGAGGCACGGCTTCCCCCGCCCCTCTCATAAACCATTAGCACCGGGAGCGCGAGCGAGTCCCAGCCGGGAGACAGCCCCGCACCGCCCTCGCGCTCTCACCTTTCAAAGCGCCTCCACCTCTGCCTCCGCCTCCGCCCCTGCCCCGGCAACCAGCTCAGGACAAGCGATGCTCCTCCCCCCCTTCCGGGGACCAAGGGAAGTCCCGCCTCTGGGTGGGGCGAGGGGTGGGGCCAGGCGGCGGGAGGGATCATCTTCCGGGAGCGTGGCTAGGGGCGGAGCGACTGCCGCGCGATAGTCAGGGAGCTGTGCGGGTCCTGGTTGCAAGAGAGGTGGGGAGAGGGGCCTGGCGGGTTTTGAGGGACTGGGAGGACTGTCCCGGCTAAAGCTGGCGCGGGAAACTGGGGCTGCGCGGCGGGAGGGCCCTGCTGCTGGGGAAGGAATCTAATATATCCGTTCCCCTGAGGAAGGGTGCCAGTCCTTGACTCCTAGGCTCTTCGGCTCTCTGTCGTAACTTTGGGGTGTGGCAGGGGTTAGTGACGCGCGGTTACCCGGGATCTGGACGTGCAGGAGGTTCGTGGCCACAATGGGGGTATAGTCTTTCTCACGGCTGCTGGGGTAATAAAACACATGCTTTTAATCCGGATTATCCGCGGTGACATGGGGCCTCCGCTACTGCCCGTATAAGTTAAAGAAAGGCCTGTTCTCTCAAACTTCCTCCTCTTTCACCTTCTTCTGCAGTCTATTTGCCAGCCAACCCCAGCCCGGGAGGGGATCAGGGCCACCAGGTTGCTGGTAAGGATGAAAGACTGAGTGTGTTAAGACTGTTGAAGTGAGCCTGTGTAAGAGAAGGAAGGATTTTGTGGATTGCTACATTGTGAGTGTGGGGTGAGTCCCAGAACCTCGCTATGTCAGGGAAACGGAAGCGTGTGGTGTTGACTATTAAAGATAAGCTTGATATAATAAAGAAACTTGAAGACGGAGGTTCTTCCAAACAACTGGCAGTGATTTATGGAATTGGTGAAACAACAGTTCGGGATATAAGAAAAAATAAGGAAAAGATTATAACTTATGCAAGCAGTTCTGATTCCACAAGTCTTTTGGCCAAGAGGAAATCTATGAAGCCATCCATGTATGAGGAATTGGACAGGGCAATGCTGGAATGGTTCAACCAGCAAAGAGCAAAAGGGAATCCCATATCTGGACCAATTTGTGCAAAAAGGGCAGAGTTCTTCTTTTATGCTTTGGGAATGGATGGTGATTTTAACCCCTCTGCCGGTTGGCTAACTCGTTTTAAGCAGCGGCACAGCATTAGAGAGATTAACATTAGAAATGAAAGATTAAATGGAGATGAGACTGCGGTGGAAGATTTTTGTAATAACTTTCGAGATTTTATTGAACGAGAGAATTTACAGCCTGAACAAATCTACAATGCAGATGAAACTGGACTCTTTTGGAAGTGCTTGCCTTCTAGGATTTCAGTAATCAAAGGTAAATGCACTGTCCCTGGGCACAAATCAATTGAAGAAAGAGTCACAATCATGTGTTGTGCCAATGCAACAGGTTTACACAAACTTAAACTTTGTGTTGTGGGGAAAGCAAAGAAACCTCGCTCCTTTAAATCAACTGACACCTTAAACCTGCCAGTCTCTTATTTCAGCCAAAAAGGTGCATGGATGGATCTTTCCATTTTCCGACAATGGTTTGATAAAATTTTTGTGCCGCAAGTTCGAGAGTATTTAAGATCTAAAGGCTTGCAGGAAAAGGCTGTGCTCTTGTTGGATAATTCACCAACACATCCAAATGAAAATGTCCTAAGGTCAGATGATGGCCAAATATTTGCTAAATATTTACCACCTAATGTGGCCTCATTGATTCAGCCTTCAGATCAGGGAGTCATAGCAACGATGAAGAGAAATTATCGTGCAGGTCTTCTCCAGAACAACTTGGAAGAAGGTAATGACCTGAAATCATTCTGGAAGAAGCTAACTCTGTTGGATGCACTTTATGAAATAGCAATGGCATGGAACTTAGTAAAACCAGTTACCATTAGCAGAGCATGGAAGAAGATTCTCCCTATGGTAGAGGAGAAAGAGAGCCTGGACTTTGATGTTGAAGATATTTCTGTGGCTACTGTGGCTGCCATTTTACAACACACCAAAGGATTGGAAAATGTGACTACTGAGAACCTTGAAAAATGGCTTGAAGTAGACAGTACTGAACCAGGCTATGAAGTGTTAACTGATAGCGAAATCATCAGAAGAGCACAAGGCCAGGCAGATGAATCCAGTGAAAATGAGGAGGAGGAAATAGAACTAATTCCAGAGAAACATATTAATCATGCAGCTGCCCTCCAGTGGACTGAAAATTTATTGGATTATCTAGAACAACAAGGTGATATGATTCTACCTGATAGACTGGTAATACGTAAACTTCGAGCCACCATCAGAAATAAACAGAAGATGACAAAGTCAAGTCAATAATGTCATTTCAATTTTATTGTTCTGCTCATTGTGTTTGTGACAAACTCTTTGCAATATGGCTTAATTTTCTTTGTGTTCTGAATTCTCAGACTTGGTCCTGTGAAATACAGGCACAAAATGTATCTGAAGTGGTTTGAGGATTATGTGTTTTCATCATCTGTGTCTTTTGTCCTTTTATTTGTACAGATAATCAGAAGATGATACTGAATAGATATAAATTACATGTACACATGTATTCACTTTTTAGAATCTGCAATTATACCTTCTGTAACAGTGGCATTCCCTTAATTTTCTAGTGAAAGTTAGAGATAACTGAACAGACTGAAGCACTTTTCTGAAATCTTTTGCTTGATTTATGAAGGCTGCCATAGTTATCTTTTCTTGTGTTAACCATCTTAAATGATGTTTTGTATATTTTAATAGACTGATAGGATGAGAAAGATTTATATTATTAGATTTCAGGATGATTTATAATAATTCAAAAATGAAATTCAATAATGGGGAAATAATTATGAATTATAGAAATTATGCCTTCATTCTCTTACATTTGTGTGGGTTGCAAGAGGGGGAGATTATTCTGGAAATGAAGTAAATATGGGAAGTTATTGCCAAATGAGAGAGAAACTATGGGAAAGCTGATCTATAAAGAGGCATTCTGATCAATTCATTTGTAGGAAACTGGGAAATAAAAACCTGGGGAACTTTAGGTTATTTATACAAAGGGAATAAATAGGCTGATTTTAATTTGGTAAGTTGATCTTTTTATTATGAATTTGGTAATAGTATAGGTTTATTATTTATTCATCTAATTTTATAGTACAGGTTTTGTAATGTTACATGTGATGATATGAGCTCCCACCTTATATGGGGGAACATCTTGGGAATTTGAGATTTAATAAGTTTTTTTTTTTTTTTTTTTAGTGTTTTTACTGCATACTCACAAATGTTGTCTATAATTTGAAAAATATTGTCATATCTGGCCCTTTGATGAGAAAAGGAAATTACAATAATAAAGTTTTATGATTTTAAATAAGTCATATGTTTGTATCCTGTTTTATGAAGAAAGCAGAAATAATTACTGAAAGTGCCAGACACTAAGGAATATTATTGTTTATTATTTTAATACATATAAAAAGGGATTAATCTGCTAAAATGTAATCTAAATCAGAATTTTGATAAATTTTTTTTGTAAACTAAGTATGTTTATTCAAGACATTGAAACTACTTTGCACATATGAATATTAATGTAACTTGTAATTTAAAAGTAAAGTGTTTCCATGCTATTTCATGTTTTGGCCAAAAATTTTTAAAAAATAAATTACAATTGTTCTCTATTAGTCATTTTTTAAAGGTTTAACTTTTTTTGTTGAAATACGTAACATTTTATAGTGCTTTCTGTAGAATACTAAAACTTCAAAAGTATTTTTAGTTTTCCATAATTTCTCTTATTTTCATGATAGGTGTATGTCTATATTTTTCAGAAGATGTGTGATGAAAGTGTTTAAAAATAGTGTTTATTGCATGAATTTCCTCAGTGTAGAGTGTGAAAAACCATCAGAAGTTAACATACATATTGAATCAGATAATGACACGTTCTGCTATAAAGTAAGCTGTACATAAAATAATTTTTCTAAAATGAAAATATGTACTACAGATCTTGGAATTTCTGTCTGGATTTGCACAGTTTTTAAAATTAATCATGTCAGCCCAATGCAGCTGTGTCATTGCCACCTAGTGGTAAAACTAACATTACTGTTAAGCTGTGTGATTTTAAACTTGAATCCCCAGTAAAAGGTTCACTGTTCTGTGGCCATAAGTGTGAATCTTGTGACTCTTTCTCTAGCCTGTAAGAGACTGCTCTTCTTTGGTTTACAGCTATTCTCTGAAATCTGCCAACACTGGTACTCTAGCCCTGTTTTGGATCCTTCTATCCTTAATTATAAAGGCTGATCAGTAGTTGTAGCAGTTGAAGCCAAAAGCTATTTGGGTTCTGTATCTGCCCCCAAAGTTGTATATCCTTAGCTCCTAATTCCTATTCTATCAGTGCCTTACCAGAGGCTGTGTTTGGCATTCTATTTATCTATTTAAAAATTTGCCATTGGCTTATGTTCTCTCACCAGTTTCATGAATTTTTTTCTCATTGATATGCCTTGACACAATACTCTCAGAAAGCCAATAACAGTGCAATGTTTCTTACACTTCCAGTAGTCAAGAATTTTGTGAGAGCAGATATACCTAATACAAGATCATGTAGGAAATTATAATGTTGCTTTTTTTTCTGAGAGATTTGGGCTTTTTTGTGGCGAGGGGGTTGTAGAAAGTTGAATTCTTTGTCATGATGAAATCCAGTAAATTAAAAATTTATTGAGTTTTACTGTATGTCGAAGACTGCCAGCTGTGGTGGGTTTAGGAAAATATGAAAGAAAGGGAAGAGGTTGCTTTCCTTGAACATCTTGAAATCAAGGTGGAAAAACTATACATGTTTGAAAAAAAAAAAAACCCCAAAACCATCTGCCTCAATTGTAAGCTCATATAAAAGAACCAACATAACAAGATGTGAGCTATGTAAAAAAACCATCAAGATTTAGTTGCTTATTCATTTCTCCTCTGATTTCTATTCTGTATACCCTTTACATTCTAAGCTATGCATTGGTCTTGATTTTTGCTGCTCCTGAGTGACTTCATCCTTTTCCCTTATCTGCATGTGATCCAGTCACCCTGTCTGGCTCTATGATTTATATATTCAATTGAGAAATTGGACTTAGTCTAGAAGGGAAATTAAAATTAATGCTTTGCTTCCCATCCATAGTGAACTCTCCATTAGCATCATAATGTCAGAGCCACCCAGATGGGTTAAGAAGTTCAAATAATTATTTAACTCAGTTGTTGACATCTCTACTCATATCAAAATTATTATACCTCCTTATGCCACTCATAAGTGTCAAAATACAGCTCAGCTGCCTTGGTCTGAAGTAGCAACATTATTATCTGTATCTCTTCTTAGCCTTTCCTAATGCATACACATGCCCTTTCTTCTCTCCATTTCCTCCAGTGGGCAGTTGTAGTGGTTTCTTTTTTTTTTTTTTTTCCTTTGGTATCCTTATTGCTACTTAAGTATTAAAATTTAGTTTGTTATGATTCAGCCTTAAAAGATCATCACGCAAATTCTTTAAGACTAACGGACTACACTTCTTAGATATGTACCCTTATCTGTTTTTCCTATTGAAGTCTATGACAACTTTGTTTAATAATTAGTCTCAGGCAGTCCTATGCAATTAGAAGTTGGGATGGAAGCTGCAGGGCACGGTGGCTCACACCTGTCTTTGAGGGGCGGAGGCGGGTGGATCACGAGGTAAGGAGATCCGGACCATCCTGGCTAACACGGTGAAACCCCGTCTCTACTAAAAATACAAAAAAAAAAAAAAAAAAAAGAAAAAGAAAAAAAAATGGTCGGGCATGGTGGTGGACACCTGTGGTCCCAGCTACTCCTGAGGCTGAGGCAGGAGAATGGTGTGAACCCAGGAGACGGAGCTTGCAGTGAGCTGAGATCGCGCCACTGCACTCCAGCCTGGGCGACAGTGTGAGACTCCATCTCAAAAAAAAAAAAGAAGAAGTTGGGATGGAAGAATGACCAATAGCAGTTTCTTCCACAGTGACACCTAATGTGAAAATGAGTGTCTGTAGTGCCTCAGATTCTATAAGAATTGCCATATTGTAAAGTGATTCTTGTGGTTGTGTCTCTTAATACTGGAATATAAGCATCTACAGATCAAAGACTATGGGATCAATGCTTTGCAGAGTAGTATATATTCAACAGACATATACTTAAACACTAATTGTATATCATGTATAAGACATGTTCTAGATCATGTATGGGATATATGGCTAAGACTATCTGCATTCAAGAGATTTACAATGGAAAGGAGGAAACAGACATGTAAGAAAGGGAGAATGAGTTAAGTGTTACTGGAAGAGTGCAAATGAAAGACTAATTCTGATGAGTGGCATAAGGAGGTATAATAATTTTGATATGAGAAGTAGAGATGGCAACAACTGAGTTGGCCTTCAAAAATAATATTTTCATGATGTTTTGTAATTCTTAAGATATTTTCGTAGACACTAGCTCAATGTCCAAGAGATCATCTAAAGGATACATTTGGTTGGGAAAGTAAACCTTAATTTAATCTTAGCTGCAGGGATGAATCCATTTGTTTAACTGAGAAGTCTTACTGAGGCTTTGCTTTTTCAGTCTTATTTCCTTCCTACTGTTTGTAGTCTGGAGAAATAGTTTTTGAAACCTACAAAAGCCCCCAGATTTCTGGACTTTCTCTAAGCCAAGGTATTTAACTGAATGTCAGAATAAAGGTATGCTTTATTTTGCTTATAACTGACTAATTTTCTGAGCTCACTTCTTTCTTGTATTATTTGCTGAACACAGCAAGGAGCAAATAACGTTAATTTTCTGGCTCTTTCCAGCCACTTCCTCTAGAGAAGGGCTTCTTAACTTCAGGGTTATCATGATGCAGATAACTCTCTGTTGTGGGGGGCTGTACTGGATATTAAAGGAGTCTTAGCAACATCTCTTGTCTCTACCTGCCACTTCCTCCCTGCTCCAGTATGACAACCAGAAATGTCTCCACACATTGCCAGATGTCCCCTGGGGGCAAAATTGTGCCTGTATGAGAATCACCGCTCTAGAATCACAAGCTTAGAGTCAGTCTGCTTTCCGAGTTATTGAAAGTAATATTTACAACATGTTTCTTACCACTATTCCATCTTTCCAGTGCCTGCTAGTTATTTCCTTGACGCATATTTCCTACTCACTAATATAATGCCACATATTTGATTATCACAACAGCAGCCCACTTCAAGATACCTATTTCTCTGTTGATTTGGGTAACTGTAGCTGATGAAACCCCCACATTTTAGAGGCTTAACACAGTAAGTGTTGTTTGTCTTTTTCTCTTAGTGGTCTTATGATATAAAGCTTTGTCAAAGCATGACTTTTTTCAAGTGATTCTTGGACCCAAGTGCTTTCCATCTTGTGATTTTGCATCTGCTAAACACTTAGAATCCTTTGCATCCAGTTGGCAGTTGGGAAAAGAGAGAATACACAGTGCACACTTGTTCCTTAATGCCCTTCTTTCAGAAGCCATATACATTCTTTCAGTTCACTTTCTATTGGTGAAAACTAGTCACCTGGCCCTACCTTGATGTGGGGTGGGGGTGGGATGGGTGATGGGAATGACTCCCTAACTAGGCAGCTGTTTCACAATGACAACTTTATATAATCAAAAGGGAGGCACAAATGTTGTTGAATAATTAGCCCTTTGTGAAACAAAAATAGGTACATTAGGGCAGTTATTCTCATAGAACCCATTCAGGGAGCTTTTATAAAAAATATCAGTACATGAGTCTTACTCGCAGAGGATCTGATTTACTTGGTCTAAAGTGACTATGGTGTATCTTTTATTTATTTTTTTTAAGTTCCCAGATATCTCAAATAATGCAGCCAGAGTTGAGAACCACAAGATTGCCCATTTTCAGGGCAAACAAAGTAGACGTAGGAACAAGAGAATAATGGGTTTCTTTGATGAACCATGAAATCAAGACTAGGCATAAAATAATAATGGGGAAACTAAATAAGTGCCGTATTACTAATGTTTTTCCACTCCAAAACTCATGTTAAAATTTAATTGCGAATCTGATGGTAGTGTAATTTCTAGGTGATTAGGCCATGAGTGCTCCACTCTCGTCAATGAATGAACACTATTATGAAAAGGACTTTTGGGAGTGAGCACTCTCTCACTCTTCTGTCTTCCACCATGTGATGACTCAGCAAGAGGGCCCTCACCAGATGCCAGGGCCTTGGTTTTGAACATCCCAGCCTCCAGAACTGTGATGAAATAAATTTCTGTCCTTTATGAATTCCCCAGTCTCAGGTATTCTGTTATAGTAGCACAATGGACTAAGACAGAAATTGGTACCAAAGGAGTGGGGTGTTGCTATAACAAATATCTGAAAATGTGGAAGCAGCTTTTGAATAGTTTTGACGTGACTGCTGGAAAAACGCTGTGTTGCCAAAAATGGAGCATTAAGGGCAATATGGGTAACAGCTCAGATGGAAATAAGGAATATCTTATTGGAAACTAGAGGAAGAGCCATCTTTTTATGAAGTAGCAAAAAACTTGCCTGAATTGTGTCTATGCCCCAGGGCTTTATAGAAGGTAGCATTTAAGAGGAATGAACTAGGATATCTGGCAAAAGATTTCTAAGCAGCAAAATATTGAGAGGACTGTGAAGCTTCTCTCTCTCTTTTTTTTTATACTTTAAGTTCTAGGGTACATGTGCACAACGTGCAGGTTTGTTACATATGTATACTTGTGCCATGCTGGTGTGCTGCACCCATTAACTCATCATTTACATCAGGTATATCTCCTACTGCTATCCCTCCCCATGACAGGCCCCAGTGTGTGATGTTCCCCTTCTTGTGTCCAAGTGTTCTCATTGTTCAATTCCCACCTATGAGTGAGAACATGCAGTGTTTGGTTTTTTGTCCTTGTGATAGTTTACTGAGAATGATGGTTTCCAGCTTCATCCATGTCCCTACAAAGGACATGAACTCATCCTTTTTATGGCTGCATAGTATTCCATGGTGTATATGTGCCACAATTTCTTAATCCAGTCTATCATTGATGGACATTTGGGTTGGTTCCAAGTCTTTGCTATTGTGAACAGTGCTACAGTAAACATGCGTGTGCATGTGTCTTTATAGCAGCATGATTTATAATCCTTTAGGTATATACCCAGTAGTGGGATGGCTGGGTCAAATGGTATTTCTAGTTCTAGATCCTTGAGGAATCGCCACACTGACTTCCACAATGGTTGAACTAGTTTACAGTCCCACCAGCAGTGTAAAAGTGTTCCTATTTCTCCACATCCTCTCCAGCACCTGTTGTTTCCTGACTTTTTAATGATCGCCATTCGAACTGGTGTGAGATGGTATGTCACTGTGGTTTTGATTTGCATTTCTCTGATGGCCAGTGATGACGAGCATTTTTTCATGTGTCTGTTGGCTGCGTAAATGGAGGATTGTGAAGCTTCTCTTAAGCACACATAGTAAAATGCAAGAAGAGAAATTATTTAATAATGGAATTTATAATCAAAAGGGAAGCAGAATGTAGAGAACTGGAAAATCCCTAGCCTGGCAATGTAAAGAATGAAAAAGCACATTTAGGAGAAAAAAACCAAGGCTGTGGTCAAAGAACTGTTGCTAAAGAGATTAGTACGGATAGGAGGAAGCCAGGCACTATTAATCAAGACAATGCGATAATCACCCCAGTGGCATTTCAAAGATCTTCAAGGCTGCCCCTCACATCGCAGGCCCTGAGCTCTAGGACCTTGAGGGCAGAATAGTTTAAGGGATTGGCCTGAGGCAACTTCCAGGAGCTTACCACCCAGGGCTCCCTGGGCTCCCCTTTCCCTGCATTCTGGCTTACAACAATCCTTGACCACCCCAGCTGTGGCTCAAGCAGCCCCAGGTTTGGCTTAAGCAGCCACTTTAGAGGGCACAAGTGGTAAACCTTGGCAGTGTCCACATAGTGCTAATTCTGCAGGCTCACAATGCAAGAGCTGTGGAGGCATGGCTTCCTCCACCTAGATTTCCAAAGATGTGAGACAGCTTTAGGGCACAGGCAGAGACATACCACCAGCAAAGGGTTGTAACTGAGTCTCTACTACGGTAGTGCTTAATGGAGCTACGGGGGCAGTGTCATGTTTGAGGTCCAGTAGAGCCACCAATGTGCGGTGCCAGGCTGAGAAAGCCACAGGAACCTGACTCCAATCTGTGAGAGCTGAATTGTGGGCTGTGTTTAGCTGGGGTGGGGCTGCCTTCAGCTTTGGGGGCCGCATATCCACCCTAGTATGTCCAGTCAGGACATGGCGTCAAATATTTTTCTCAAGCCTTAAGATTTGATGTTGTTTACCCTGTTGGGTTTCAGACTTACTTGGTGCCTATAACTCCATTCTTCTTGCCTATCTCTCTTTTGGAATGGGAATGTCTATCCTATGCATGTTCCATCATTGCACTTTGGAAGCATATAACTTGTTTGATTTCACAGGCTTACAGCTGGATAGGAATTTACTTCAGGATAAATTGTACTTTGAGACTCACCCTTATCTGATTTAGCTGATATTTAGATGAGACTATGGACTTAGACTTTAAAGCTGATGCTGGAACAAGTTAGGACTTTTGAGGGTATTGGGATGGAACAAACATATTTTGTTTATGAGAAAGACATGCATTTTTGTTGAGCCATAGACAGAACACTATGGTTTAAATATTTGTCCCTTCTATAGCTTGTGTTAAAATGTATAATAATTACCAATCTAATGGTGTTGGGAGGTGGGGCCTTTAAGAAGTATTTGGGCTATGAAAGCTCTACCCTAACGAATGGGTTAATGCTGTTATCAAAAGGGCTTTTGGGAGTGGGCACTCTATCACCCTTTCACCTTCTGCTCATGTGGTGATACAACAAAAGGGCCCTTGCAAGATGCTTGCACCTTGATTGTGGACTTCTCAGCCTCAAGAACTATGAGGAAAAAAAAATTGTAAGTTACCCAGTCTGAAGTATCCTGTTATAGCATCACAAATGGACTAAGACAATATGCAAATAAGCATGTGCATATTTCTGTATGTGCATTTTTGTGTGTGTGTGTATGGGGGGGGCATGCAACTGTGGTATCAGAGGAAAGAACGTGGGACTCAACTATATTTGAATCCCAGTTCTACCAATTGTCATTTTGAGATTTTCCATATGGTTCATTTTACAAATACCTATTCCTGTTTCTTGTATACAATAATCTTCTTTTATTTGATCATATTAATTTTACTTATTTAAAAGTTATTTTTTTGATTTCTATATTATCCCTGTCCCTTCCCTACCGTTTATTGAGTTTGCAGTCTTTCATAGAGTTGATACTCCAACATTTGGTAATTTTTGATTGTGTACTTCTAACTGCAGTTGCAATACCATGAAAGACTATGGTCTTTGCTTATACAGCACACATTGGGGAAGTATAAAAACATCTGCTAAGGTTTGCTTGGAGCCACTTATAGGATAAGGAATCGATATTATATCTTGCCAGATGGAAGACTTAGAATCTGGTCTTCTGAGCTTGGGTGCTCCCCATTTTTTCTGACTTTTTGGCAGCTACAAGAGGTATCCCCCTAATAATTACACCAAGCTCTGCTCCTTCCTGAGTATAGACACCTTTTTTTTTTCCTCTCATGTTTAGTCTGGAAGGTTAGGTTATGTGTCTGAATCTTTCTGCTAGGGCTCTTATTGGTCTTGTTTCCAGCTTCACGACTTACACATATAGAACACAATTTTCTTGCACACAGTTTGTGATCATCCGAAAGTTTATCTGCCTATTTTAAGGATGTCTGTATTTGCTTCTTTTAAAAAAGAGTATATATATTTTCTATCATTTATATGATTGATGTAAGATAAGAATGAAGTATCTGCCCTCTCAACCATTTATCTTGATATCAGAAGTCCTAGCCATGTATCTCAGGTGAATCTCTAAATTTCTTTGAGTCTCATAATCTCTAAAATGGGGATACGAACAGTCAAAGCAATCCTAAGCAAAAAGAACAAAACTGGAGGGATAATAGTACCTGAACTTATAGTACAAGGCTACAGTAACCAAAGCAGCATGGTACTGGTACAAAAACAGACACATAGACCAATGGAACAGAATAGATAACCTAGAAATAAAGCCACACAATTACAACCATCTGATCTTCAACAAAGTGAACAATAACATGCAACAGGGAAAGGACTCTCTTTATTCAATAAGTGGTGCTAGGTTAACTGGTTAGCCACATGAACAAAAATGAAACTGGACCCTTTTCCATATACCTTTTATCATATGCAAACATTAACTGAAGATGGATTAAAGACTTAAATGTAAGACCTAAAACTATAAAAATCCTACAAGAAAACCTAAGACATTCTGGACATCAGCTTTCGCAAAGAATTTATGACTACGTCCCCAAAAGCAGTTGCAACAAAAACCAAAAATAGACAAATGGGACCTAATTAAACTAAAGATCTTCTGCACAGCAAAATAAACTATCAATAGAATAAACAACCTACAGAATGAAAGAAAATATTCACAAACTGTGCATCTGACAAAGGTCTAATAACCAGAATCCATGAGAAACTTAAATAATTCAACAAGCAAAAAACAAATAACCTCATTAAAAATGGGCAAAGGACATGAATAGACACCTCTCAAAAGAGGACATACATGTGACCATCAAATATATGAAAAAATACTCAGTAACACTAATCATCAGAGAAATGCAAGTCAAAACCACAATGAAATACCATCTCACACAAGTCAGAATAGCTACTATTAGAAAGACAAAAAATAACAGATGTTGGTGAGGTTATGCAGAAAAGGAAATGCTCATACACTGTTGGTGGAAATGTAAATTAGTTCAGCCACTGTGGAAAGCAGTTTGGAAATTTCTCAAAGAACTTAAAACAGAGCTACTGTTCAACCCAGCAATCCCATTACTGGGTATATATCCAATGGAAAATAAATTGTTCTGCCATACAGACACATGCATTTATATCCCAGCACTCTTTACAATAGCGAAGACATGGAATCAACCCAGATGCCCATCAATGGTGAACAGGGTAAAGAAAATATAGTACATATACACCATAGAATACCTCACAGCCCTAACAAAGAACAAAATCATGTTCTTTACAGCAACATGAATGCAGCTGGAGGCCATTATCCTAAGTAAATTAATGCAGGAACAGAAAACCAAATACTGCATGTTCTCCCTTATAAGTGGGAGCTAAGCATTGAGCACACATGGACATAAAGATGGAAACAATAGACACTGGAGACTACTAGAGGAAGGAGGGTAAATTTGGGGTGAGGGTTCAAAAACTACCTATTGAGTATTATGCTCACCATCTGGGTTATGGGATCATTCATACACCCAGCCTCAGTGACACACAATTTACCCATGCAACAAATCTGCATATGTACCCCCGACTGTAAAATAAAAGTTGAAGAAAAATAGACAAATGATCTAAGTAAACATTTCTCCAAAGAAGATATACTGATGGCAAGTAAGTCCATGAAGAGATGCCTGACATCATCATGGAAATGCAAATCAAAACCACAATGAGATATCACTTAACACCCACTAGAATAGCTAGAATTAAAAAGTCAGATAACGACAAATGTTGGCAAGGATGTGGAGGAATTTGAACCTTCATAAACACCTGGTGGAAATGTAAAATAGTGCAGCTACTTTGGAAAACAGCCTGGCAGTTCCTCAAATGACAAACATAAAGTTACCATATGAACCAGCAACTTTACTCCTAGGTATATACCCAAGAAAAATGAAAACATACGTCTGCACAGAAACTTATACATGAATATTTATAGCCGTGTTATTCATAATAGCCAAAAGGTGGAAACCACTGAAATGTCCACCCGTGAGCAAACGAATTAACAAAATATGGTATATTTATACAATGGAATGTTTTTTGGCCATAAAAAAGGAATGAAATACTGATATATGCTACAACATGGATGAACTTTCAAAATGTTATGGTGATGAAAGAAGCCAGTCACAAAAGACCATATATTGCGTGACTCCATTCATGTAAAAGCAGACAATCTATAGAGATGGAAAGTAGATTAGTGGTTGCTTAGAGCCAGGGGAGTGGAGAATGGAATATGAGGGTGACAGCTCAAGAATATAGAAGTTTTTATTTTTTTGAGGTGATGAAAATATTCTAAAATTGAATCTGGTGATGATTGCACATATCTGTTGAAGGTAATAAAAACCATTGAATTATACACTTCAGTGAATTGCATGGTATATGAACTATATCTCAATAAAGCTGTATAAAAGACTTTAAAAACAAATAAAATGAGGATAATAAT
Source organism: Homo sapiens (assembly GCF_000001405.40). NCBI lineage: Eukaryota > Metazoa > Chordata > Mammalia > Primates > Hominidae > Homo > Homo sapiens. The sequence continues at coordinate 96,404,207 of NC_000011.10, forward strand.
ACATATTGTTAAGATGATTAAATTAATAATGCATAACATTTTAGGAACTAATGTTAGTTTTTATATTAATAGGAAGGATTAAAGGAATGGAGGGCATCATAAACATGAAGAAAAATGTGAGAGAGTATGATAATTGAAAGAAGAGTTTGTGTTCAAAGGGAGAGATTAAAGATGTGCAACTTCAGGTATTTACAGTATGTTGAGCCAAAGTATACAATCAGTCTTTGGCACTCTTTTAATGTCTAAGCTGTTTTCTCTTATTGTTATATAATAAGAGCCCTTACCCTTTTATTCACATTCTGAATCAGAAGACAACATTTTTCCTATTTTAATTATATGATGTTTATAGATTCTCAATTCAAAGAGATCTCTAAGAGGGGAGAAAAATAATTCTATAACTTTTGGAAGTATCAAGACAAGAAAAAGATTAATTGTGGTTGAAAATTCCTTGCGGTGCATAAATCTAAGATTTTATGGAAAGATAATAACATTCATAGGAAAAGATAAGAGAAACCTGAAAAAGAGAGATGAGTTAATAAGAAATGGGATATTGAAAAGATTAGTAATCAGCATTTGAATAATGTTTTATATCTTTCTGAATAAGGAAAATTAAAATTATGGTCATAAAACATGAGCAATAATGATGGGAGTTTTTAAAAAGTTTTTTAAAAATATATTTTATATTGGGATGCTTTCAAGCTGACCAAGAGCAGTTATGTTGTTTTAGTTGCCACCTAAATGAAATTGTGTAGCAGTGGGAATCTACTTTTTCACTAATAGCATTTTGATAAAAGATCATAGAGATGATTGATATTTGATGCCATTCTGAGATTAAGATAATTAATGGTATTAAGCAGCTAAGCTCTCCTATTTAATCCCCTTTTTAATACATATTGTCTTATCGTCCAGTCTAATGGAATATATGCCTTCTTAGCAAACTCATTGTTGTCTATAGACTGTTCCCCAGCTCGTTCTCTCTGTCTTTTGTTGTTTGATCTCTGTATCTATTAAGAGGTTGGCAAGGAAAGATCCTGAGTGGATTTTAAATTGACACAAATAATAGGGAATTGTCTGTACATATGTAAGGCAAAAAATGTACAAATTCAAGTTTTTATAAAAGACTTGTTTGACAAGGCACTCCTTGTTGTATAAGACATACAAAGAAGAAAAATCTTTGCTATAGAAATGTATGAGAGCTCCATGGCAACTGAAAACAAGATGCTGCATTTGATCGTACAATTAAGCACCACTATTAGTTTCTATTTTCATTTAAGTATTTAGAACTAGTCTATTTTTATTCTATCTATTACAGACATTTTAACAAATAAAACTGGATACAACATGGAAAAATTAGTTTTCCATGAATTAATTTTATAAGCTATATTTGTACCTTAGTAAAATCTCCTTTTTTCTTTTTTTTTTTTTTTATTATACTTTAAGTTTTAGGGTACATGTGCACATTGTGCAGGTTAGTTACATATGTATACATGTGCCGTGCTGGTGCGCTGCACCCATTAACTCGTCATCTAGCATTAGGTATATCTCCCAATGCTATCCCTCCCCCCTCCCCCCACCCCACAACAGTCCCCAGAGTGTGATGTTCCCCTTCCTGTGTCCATGTGATCTCATTGTTCAATTCCCACCTATGAGTGACAATATGCGGTGTTTGGTTTTTTGTTCTTGCGATAGTTTACTGAGAATGATGATTTCCAATTTCATCCATGTCCCTACAAAGGACGTGAACTCATCATTTTTTATGGCTGCATAGTATTCCATGGTGTATATGTGCCACATTTTCTTAATCCAGTCTATCATTGTTGGACATTTGGGTTGGTTCCAAGTCTTTGCTATTGTGAATAATGCCGCAATAAACATACATGTGCATGTGTCTTTATAGCAGCATGATTCATAGTCATTTGGGTATATACCCAGTAATGGGATGGCTGGGTCAAATGGTATTTCTAGTTCTAGATCCCTGAGGAATCGCCACACTGACTTCCACAATGGTTGAACTAGTTTACAGTCCCACCAACAGTGTAAAAGTGTTCCTGTTTCTCCACATCCTCTCCAGCACCCGTTGTTTCCTGACTTTTTAATGATTGCCATTCTAACTGGTGTGAGATGGTATCTCATAGTGGTTTTGATTTGCATTTCTCTGATGGCCAGTGATGATGAGCATTTTTTCATGTGTTTTTTGGCTGCATAAATGTCTTCTTTTGAGAAGTGTCTGTTCATGTCCTTTGCCCACTTTTTGATGGGGTTGTTTGTTTTTTTCTTGTAAATTTGTTGGAGTTCATTGTAGATTCTGGATATTAGCCCTTTGTCAGATGAGTGGGTTGCGAAAATTTTCTCCCATTTTGTAGGTTGCCTGTTCACTCTGATGGTAGTTTCTTTTGCTGTGCAGAAGCTCTTTAGTTTAATTAGATCCCATTTGTCAATTTTGGCTTTTGTTGCCATTGCTTTTGGTGTTTTGGACATGAAGTCCTTGCCCATGCCTATGTCCTGAATGGTAATGCCTAGGTTTTCTTCTAGGGTTTTTATGGTTTTAGGTCTAACGTTTAAATCTTTAATCCATCTTGAATTGATTTTTGTATAAGGTGTAAGGAAGGGATCCAGTTTCAGCTTTCTACATATGGCTAGCCAGTTTTCCCAGCACCATTTATTAAATAGGGAATCCTTTCCCCATTGCTTGTTTTTCTCAGGTTTGTCAAAGATCAGATAGTTGTAGGTATGTGGCGTTATTTCTGAGGGCTCTGTTCTGTTCCATTGATCTATATCTCTGTTTTGGTACCAGTACCATGCTGTTTTGGTTACTGTAGCCTTGTAGTATAGTTTGAAGTCAGGTAGTGTGATGCCTCCAGCTTTGTTCTTTTGGCTTAGGATTGACTTGGCGACGCGGGCTCTTTTTTGGTTCCATAATGAACTTTAAAGTAGTTTTTTCCAATTCTGTGAAGAAAGTCATTGGTAGCTTGATGGAGATGGCATTGAATCTGTAAATTACCTTGGGCAGTATGGCCATTTTCACGATATTGATTCTTCCTACCCATGAGCATGGAATGTTCTTCCATTTGTTTGTATCCTCTTTTATTTCTTTGAGCAGTGGTTTGTAGTTCTCCTTGAAGAGGTCCTTCACATCCCTTGTAAGTTGGATTCCTAGGTATTTTATTCTCTTTGAAGCAATTGTGAATGGGAGTTCACTCATGATTTGGCTCTCTGTTTGTCTGTTGTTGGTGTATAAGAATGCTTGTGATTTTTGCACATTGATTTTGTATCCTGAGACTTTGCTGAAGTTGCTTATCAGCTTAAGGAGATTTTGGGCTGAGACAATGGGGTTTTCTAGATATACAATCATGTTGTCTGCAAACAGGGACAATTTGACTTCCTCTTTTCCTAATTGAATACCCTTTATTTCCTTCTCCTGCCTAATTGCCCTGGCCAGAACTTCCAACACTATGTTGAATAGGAGTGGTGAGAGAGGGCATCCCTGTCTTGTGCCAGTTTTCAAAGGGAATGCTTCCAGTTTTTGCCCATTCAGTATGATATTGGCTGTGGGTTTGTCATAGATAGCTCTTATCATTTTGAAATACGTCCCATCAATACCTAATTTATTGAGAGTTTTTAGCATGAAGGGTTGTTGAATTTTGTCAAAGGCTTTTTCTGCATCTATTGAGATAATCATGTGGTTTTTGTCTTTTGCTCTGTTTATATGCTGGATTACATTTATTGATTTGCGTATATGGAACCAGCCTTGCATCCCAGGGATGAAGCCCACTTGATCATAGTGGATAAGCTTTTTGATGTGCTGCTGGATTCGGTTTGCCAGTATTTTATTGAGGATTTTTGCATCAATGTTCATCAAGGATATTGGTCTAAAATTCTCTTTTTTGGTTGTGTCTCTGCCCGGCTTTGGTATCAGAATGATGCTGGCCTCATAAAATGAGTTAGGGAGGATTCCCTCTTTTTCTATTGATTGGAATAGTTTCAGAAGGAATGGTACCAGTTCCTCCTTGTACCTCTGGTAGAATTCGGCTGTGAATCCATCTGGTCCTGGACTCTTTTTGGTTGGTAAACTATTGATTATTGCCACAATTTCAGCTCCTGTTATTGGTCTATTCAGAGATGCAACTTCTTCCTGGTTTAGTCTTGGGAGAGTGTATGTGTCGAGGAATTTATCCATTTCTTCTAGATTTTCCAGTTTATTTGCGTAGAGGTGTTTGTAGTATTCTCTGATGGTAGTTTGTATTTCTGTGGGATCGGTGGTGATATCCCCTTTATCATTTTTTATTGTGTCTATTTGATTCTTCTCTCTTTTTTTCTTTATTAGTCTTGCTAGCGGTCTATCAATTTTGTTGATCCTTTCAAAAAACCAGCTCCTGGATTCATTGATTTTTTTGAATGGTTTTTTGTGTCTCTATTTCCTTCAGTTCTGCTCTGATTTTAGTTATTTCTTGCCTTCTGCTAGCTTTTGAATGTGTTTGCTCTTGCTTTTCTAGTTCTTTTAATTGTGATGTTAGGGTGTCAATTTTGGATCTTTCCTGCTTTCTCTTGTGGGCATTTAGTGCTATAAATTTCCCTCTACACACTGCTTTGAATGCATCCCAGAGATTCTGGTATGTCATGTCTTTGTTCTCGTTGGTTTCAAAGAACATCTTCATTTCTGCCTTCATTTTGTTATGTACCCAATAGTCATTCAGGAGCAGGTTGTTCAGTTTCCATGTAGTTGAGCGGCTTTGAGTGAGATTCTTAATCCTGAGTTCTAGTTTGATTGCACTGTGGTCTGAGAGATAGTTTGTTATAATTTCTGTTCTTTTACATTTGCTGAGGAGAGCTTTACTTCCAACTGTGTGGTCAATTTTGGAACAGGTGTGGTGTGGTGCTGAAAAAAATGTATATTCTGTTGATTTGGGGTGGAGAGTTCTGTAGATGTCTATTAGGTCCGCTTGGTGCAGAGCTGAATTCAATTCCTGGGTATCCTTGTTGACTTTGTGTCTCGTTGATCTGTCTAATGTTGACAGTGGGGTGTTAAAGTCTCCCATTATTAATGTGTGGGAGTCTAAGTCTCTTTGTAGGTCACTCAGGACTTGCTTTATGAAGCTGGGTGCTCCTGTATTGGGTGCATATATATTTAGGATAGTTAGCCCTTCTTGTTGAATTGATCCCTTTACCATTATGTAATGGCCTTCTTTGTCTCTTTTGATCTTTGTTGGTTTAAAGTCTGTTTTATCAGAGACTAGGATTGCAACCCCTGCCTTTTTTTGTTTTCCATTTGCTTGGTAGATCTTCCTCCATCCTTTTATTTTGAGCCTATGTGTGTCTCTGCACGTGAGATGGGTTTCCTGAATACAGCACACTGATGGGTCTTGACTCTTTATCCAATTTGCCAGTCTGTGTCTTTTAATTGGAGCATTTCGTCCATTTACATTTAAAGTTAATATTGTTATGTGTGAATTTGATCCTGTCATTATGATGTTAGCTGGTGATTTTGCTCGTTAGTTGACGCAGTTTCTTCCTAGTCTCGATGGTCTTTACATTTTGGCATGATTTTTCAGCAGCTGGTACTGGTTGTTCCTTTCCATGTTTAGCGCTTCCTTCAGGAGCTCTTTTAGGGCAGGCCTGGTGGTGACAAAATCTCTCAGCATTTGCTTGTCTGTAAAGTATTTAATTTCTCCTTCACTTATGAAGCTTAGTTTGGCTGGATATGAAATTCTGGGTTGAAAATTCTTTTCTTTAAGAATGTTGAATATTGGCCCCCACTCTCTTCTGGCTTGTAGGGTTTCTGCCGAGAGATCCGCTGTTAGTCTGATGGGCTTCCCTTTGAGGGTAACCCGACCTTTCTCTCTGGCTGCCCTTAACATTTTTTCCTTCCTTTCAACTTTGGTAAATCTGACAATTATGTGTCTTGGAGTTGCTCTTCTCGAGGAGTATCTTTGTGGCGTTCTCTGTATTTCCTGAATCTGAACGTTGGCCTGCCTTGCTAGATTGGGGAAGTTCTCCTGGATAATATCCTGCAGAGTGTTTTCCAACTTGGTTCCATTCTCCTCATTACTTTCAGGTACACCAATCAGACGCAGATTTGGTCTTTTCACATAGTCCCATATTTCTTGGAGGCTTTGCTCATTTCTTTTTAATCTTTTTTCTCTAAACTTCCCTTCTCACTTCATTTCATTCATTTCATCTTCCCTTGCTGATACCCTTTCTTCCAGTTGATTGCATCGGCTCCTGAGGCTTCTGCATTCTTCACGTAGTTCTCGAGCCTTGGTTTTCAGCTCCATCAGCTCCTTTAAGCACTTCTCTGTATTGGTTATTCTAGTTATACATTCTTCTAAATTTTCTTCAAAGTTTTCAACTTCTTTGCCTTTGGTTTGAATGTCCTCCCATAGCTCAGAGTAATTGGATCGTCTGAAGCCTTCTTCTCTCAGCTCGTCAAAGTCATTCTCCATCCAGCTTTGTTCCATTGCTGGTGAGGAACTGCGTTCCTTTGGAGGACGAGAGGCGCTCTGCGTTTTAGAGTTTCCAGTTTTTCTGTTCTGTTTTTTCCCCATCTTTGTGGTTTTATCTACTTTTGGTCTTTGATGATGGTGATGTACAGATGGGTTTTCGGTGTGGATGTCCTTTCTGTTTGTTAGTTTTCCTTCTAACAGACAGGACCCTCAACTGCAGGTCTGTTGAAATACCCTGCCTTGTGAGGTGTCAGTGTGCCCCTGCTGGGGGGTGCCTCCCAGTTAGGCTGCTCGGGGGTCAGGGGTCAGGGACCCACTTGAGGAGGCAGTCTGCCGGTTCTCAGATCTCCAGCTGCGTGCTGGGAGAACCACTGCTCTCTTCAAAGCTGTCAGACAGGGTCATTTAAGTCTGCAGAGGTTACTGCTGTCTTTTTGTTTGTCTGTGCCCTGCCCCCAGAGGTGGAGCCTACAGTGGCAGGCAGGCCTCCTTGAACTGTGGTGGGCTCCACCCAGTTCGAGCTTCCCGGCTGCTTTGTTTACCTAAGCAAGCCTGGGCAATGGCGGGCGCCCCTCCCCCAGACTCGCTGCCGCCTTGCAGTTTGATCTCAGACTGCTGTGCTAGCAATCAGCGAGATTCCGTGGGCGTAGGACCCTCCGAGCCAGGTGTGGGATATAGTCTCGTGGTGCGCCGTTTTTTAAGCCGGTCTGAAAAGCGCAATATTCGGGTGGGAGTGCCCCGATTTTCCAGGTGCGTCCGTCACCCCTTTCTTTGACTCGGAAAGGGAACTCCCTGACCCCTTGCGCTTCCCAGGTGAGGCAATGCCTCGCCCTGCTTCGGCTCGCGCAGGGTGCGCGCACACACTGGCCTGCGCCCACTGTCTGGCACTCCCTAGTGAGATGAACCCGGTACCTCAGATGGAAATGCAGAAATCACCCGTCTTCTGCGTCGCTCACGCTGGGAGCTGTAGACCGGAGCTGTAGACCGGAGCTGTTCCTATTCGGCCATCTTGGCTCCTCCCAAATCTCCTTTTTTCTTATCTTAATGGGGAAAATTGCATTTTATATATTAAACAATAACATGTGTCTTAGATAAACACTTATCTCTTTTAATTTAAGCACTGTTTTTTCCTTTCATGTGACTATGTAATTTCGTCATTCATTCATCTCAAATATTTATCTACCTACAAATATTAACCTACTTCATAAACAAAAAGTTGAAAAAGTCATTCCCCAATTTCTTTCTGCAGATTTGTGACCGTGGACTTGAAATTAAATGTTTAGATATTTTTGTATGTTAGAAAAATGACGCTTGTACTTTAGGTTGTTAGAGTACTTTTGTGATCAATGAGATGATAGGGAGATGCCCAGAAAGATTGATTATTTTTGATGCATTTTAGCATACAAATTGGCTCTTAAAACTGGAATTATTTTGTGGTTATCATTTAGAAATATTTACAATATGAATATTTATTGATTGATTACTGTAAGTGCATTATACAAATAATCCATTTTGTTGACACACATTCCAGACATTTATACATAATACCCATTTTATCTTACTTAGAGATGATTTGTTAGGTTAAAAAAATCTCAAAGACAAAAGTAGAGAGATAAAAAATGCTTAATAATGATTATACTCTAAAAATGCTAAAATATCTAATATAAGTGTTATCTTAAGTGAGTTTTCATAAAATCTTTCCCTAGGTAATGAATGTTTTATTAAATTGCAAAAATGTCTGGTCTGTAATACATGTCTTTTATTTTTACAGTCATCATGACTGATGTGTTAACATTAATCATATATTCCACAGCTTTACAGAGTTGGCTTCTAATTAGGCTATTGCCATCATCCTTATTAAAAGAGCTGGAATTTATGAATTTAGCCTAATTGGGCTAAACCTGATCTGGGTTGACCAAGACTCCTGCATATATTCAAAACAGGAAATTAATTTTCAAGCATGCACCATATTTTTTGTTATTGTGTGGCAATATACAAAGTTACATAAAAACTTTTAAAAGTATAATACACAAAAAGCTTTAAGAAGGAGGCAGATCAAGAACGGCCAGATAGAAGCCTCTACCAACTGTCCTCACCACAGGAGCACCCAATTTGACAACTATCTGCACAAAAAAAGCACCTTCATGGGAACCAAGAATCTGGTGAGTGATCATGATCACTGCATCTGGTTTTAACTTCATATCACTGAAAGAGGCAATGAGGATCTTAGGAAAGACAGCCTTGAATTTCCAACATGACCTCTGCCCAATCCCCTGCCAGTGACCATGTGGCAGGGAGAGAGAATATGTACTCTTGGGAGAGGAAGAGCACAGCAATTAAGGAACTTGCATTGGAATGCAGTGCTGCCAACACTTGGTAGAACTCAGCTGGCACTCATGGAGGGAGCATTTAGACCAGTGTTAGTCAAAGGGCAATCACCCATGCCAGTGGTCAGAACCTGAATTTGTCAAGCCTTGCCATTGTGGGCTAAAGTACTCTGGGGATCTAAAAAAAAAACCTTGAAAGCCTGCCTAGGCCACAAGGACTGCAACTGCTAGGCAAATCCTAGTGCTGTGCTGGGCTCAGAGTCCGTGGACTGTGGGTGGTTGGGGTGGGGAGTGACATAGTGAGAAACCTGCCAGGGCAGCTAAGGGAGTGCTAGTATCACCCCTCTTCCAACTCCAGGAAGTAGAGCTCACAGTTCTGAAAGAGACCCTTTACTTTCACTTGGGCAGAGGAGAGGGAAGAGTAAAGCATACTTTGTCTTGCAACTTGGATACCAGCTCAAACACAGTAGGATAGGGTACCAGGCAGCTTGTGAGGCCCCCATTTCAGGCCCACCCTAGCTCTCAGACATTTCCAGACATGCCCTGGGCCAGAAGGGAACCCACTACCTTGAAGGGAAGGACCCAGACCTGGCATGATTCATGATCTGCTGAGTAAAGAGCCCTTGGCTCTGAATAATCATCAGCAACAACTAGGTAGTACACACCATGGGCCTTGAGTGAGACTCTGAGATGTGCTGGCTTCAGATGTGACCCAGCACATTCACAGTTGTGGTGGCTATGGGGAGAGACTACTGCTTGGGAAAAGAAGGAAGAGTAAAGGGGATTTTGTCTTGAGTTTAGGTACCAGCTCAGCCTTAGTGGAGAATACCACAAAGTGGGCTCTTGGGATCCTCAGTTCCTGGCCTTGGCTTTTGGATGTCATCTCTGAACCTACCCTGAGCCAGAGGGGAGCCCACTGGCCTGAAAAGTGAGTCCTGTGCCTGGCAGCATTCACCACAAGAAGAGCCCTTGGGTTTAAAGCAAACATCAGCAGTAGCCTGGCAGTACCCCCTGTGGGCCTGTGGTGGTAGTAGACATGGAGAGAGACTCCTCTTCATGGGGAAAGGGGAGGAAAGAGTGGGAAGGACTTTGTCTTGTGGCTTGGGTGCCAGCTGAGTGGTGGTAGAACAGAGCACCATATAGATTTCTAAGGTTACTGACTTCAGGCCATGACTCCCTGCCAGCATCTCTGGACCCACCCAGGTCCTAGGGGGAACTTTTCACCCTTAAAGGAAGGACATAAACCTGGGTGACTTCACCATCTGCTGATTGTAGAGCTCTAGGGCCTTAAGCAAACATACGTGGGAGCCAAGGAGTGGTTACAGTGGGCCTTGGGGAAGACCCAGTGCTGTGCTGGCTTCAAGTTTGACCTAGTGCAGCCCCAATGGTGGTGGCCACAAGGGTGCTTGTATTACCCTTCCCCCAGCTCTAGCAGCTCAGCACAGAGAGAGAGGGAATCTGTTTGGGAGATAGCAGAAGAAAAGAACAAGAGTGTCTGCTTGGTAATCCAGATAATTCTTCCAGATCATATCCAAGACCACCAACGCAGTACTTTTATGAGTTTGCAAGAACCACAGCATTACTGGGCTTGGGATACCCCTTTGTGCAAATATGGCTGCAGTGACCAAAAATTTAGATCACAACACTCAAATCTCTTCAAATAACTGGAAAGCCTGCCCAGGAAGGATGCATTCAAACAAGTCCTGATTTGAAGACTACAAGAAATACATCATTTTTAAAGGTCAGGAGATTGAGACCATCCTGGCTAACACGGTGAAACCCCGTCTCTACTAAAAATACAAAAAATTAGCCAGGTGTGGTGGCGGGCGCCTGCAGTCCCAGCTACTCGGGAGGCTGAGGCAGGAAATTCAGAATCCTTCAGATAAATTTAACAAGGAAATTGAAATAATTAAAAAGTATCAAGCAGAAATTCTGGAGTTAAAAAATGCAGTAGACATAGTGAAGAATGCCTCATGGCAGAATTGATCAAGCAGAAGAAAGCATTAGTGAGCTTGAAGACAGACTATTTGAAAATATACAATCAGAGGAGACAAAAGGAAGAAGAACAAAGAAGAATGAAACATGCCTACAAGATCTAGGAAATAGCTTCAAAAGGGCAAATCTAAATGTTATTGGCTTTAAAGAGAAAGTAGAGAGAAACATAATGGTAGAAAGTTTATTCAAAGGGAAAATAACAGAGAACTTCCCAAACCTAAAGAAAGATGACAATATTTCAGTACAAGAAGGTTATAGAATACCAGCCAGATTTAACCCAAAGAAGACTAACTCAAGGCATTTAATAATCAAGGTCCCAAAGATCAAGGATAAAGAAGGATCCTAAAAGGAGCAAGAGAAAATAAACAACATTCAATGGAGCTCCAATGCATCTGTCAGTAGACTTTTCAGTGGAAGCCTTACAGACCAGGAGACAGTGGCATGACATAAAGGACTGAAGAAAAACAACTTTTACCCTAGAATAGCATATCCAGTGAAAATATCCTTCAAACATCAAAGAAAAATAAAGACTTTCCCAACAAATAAAAGCTGAGGGATTTCATCAACCCCAGACCTGTGCTACAAGAAATGCTAAAGGGATTTCTTTAATCTGGAAGAAAAAGATGTTAATGAGCAATAAAAAATCATCTGAAGGCACAAAACTCACTAGTAATAGTTAAGTACAGAAAAATCATAATATTATAACACTTATCATGGTGTGTAAACTCATATTGTATGTAGAAAGACAAAAGATGAAGTGATAAAAAATAAGTACAATTTTTAAGACATAGTGTAATAAGATAAATAAAAACAAAAATTTAAAAGTTGGAAAAAAGTTAAAATATAGCATTTTTATTCGTTTTATTTTTGCTTGTTTGTTTATGCAATCAGTGTTTGGTTGTCATCAGTTTAAAATAATAGGTTATAGGATTATTTGCAAGCCTTATGATAACCTCAAATCTAAGAACATACAATGGATACAGAAAAAAATAAAAAGCAAGAAATTAAAACATACTACTAGAGAAAATCACCTTCACTAAAAGTAAGACAGAAAGGAAGGAAAGGAGGAAGAGAAGACTACAAAACAACCATAAAACAAATAACAGAACGGCAGTAGTAAGTTCTTACTTATCAATAATAACATTGAATATATATGGACTAAACTCTCCAAACAAAAAGACATAGAGTGGCTGAATAGATGAAAAAACAAGACCCAATGATCTCTTGCCTACAAGAAATGCACTTGATTTATAAGGACACATGTAGACTAAAAATAAGGGGATGAAAAAAGATATTCCATGCCAATGGAAACCAAAAAAGAGCAGGAGTAGCTATACTTAGACAAAATAGATTTCAGGACAAAAACTATAAAAAGAGACAGTGTTGGTCAGGAGATCGAGACCATCCTGGCTAACACGGTGAGACCCCGTCTCTACTAAAAATACAAAAAATTAGCTGGGCGTGGTGGCAGGCGCCTATAGTCCCAGCTGCTCAGGAGGCTGAGGCAGGAGAATGGTGTGAACCCGGGAGGTGGAGCTTACAGTGAGCTGAGATCGCACCACTGCACTCCAGCCTGAGCGACAGAGCAAGACTGTCTCAAAAAAAAAAAAAAAAAAAAAAAAGAGACAGTGTTATTATTATATAATGATAAAGTGGCATATTCAGCAATAGGATGTAACAATCATAAGTATTATATACACCCAACACTGGAGCACCCAAATATATAAAGCAAATATTTTTAAAGCTAAAGCAGGAGATAGACCCCACTACAATAATAGATCTTCCAGACAGAAAATCAACAAAGAAACATCAGACTTAATCTGCAGTATAGACCGAATGGACCTAATAGATACTTACAGAACATTTTATTCAACGGCTGCAGAATACACATTGTTCTCCTCAGCACATGGATCAATGTCAATGATAAACCATATGTTAGGCCACAGAACAAGTCTTAAAATATTCAAAGGCTGGGCGCGGTGGCTCACGCCTGTAATCCCAGCACTTTGGGAGGCGGAGGCGGGTGGATCACGAGGTCAGGAGATCGAGACCATCCTGGCTAACACGGTGAAACCCTGTCTCTACTAAAAATACAAAAAATTAGCCGGGTGTGGTGGCGGGCTCCTGTAGTCCCAGCTACTTGGGAGGCTGAGGCAGGAGAATGGCGTGAACCCGGGAGGTGGAGCTTGCAGTGAGCGGAGATTGCGCCACTGCACTCTAGCCTGGGGGACAGAGCAAAACTCTGTCTCGGGGGAAAAAAAAATTCAAAAAATTGAACTAATATCAAGTGTCTTCTCTGACTACATGGAATAAAACTAGAAATCAGTAACAAGACTAATTTTGAAAACTATATAAACACATGGAATATAATATGTTCCTGAATGACCAGTGGGTCAGTGAAGAGATTGAGAAGAAAACTGAAAATTTTCTTCAAAGAAATGAAAATGGAAACATGACATACTCAAAACTATGAGATATAGTGAAAGCAGTACTAAGAGGCAAGTTTATAGCTGTAAATGGTTACATCAAAAGGAAGAAAAACTTTAATAACCTAATGATTCATCTTAACGAACTAGAAAAGCAAGAGCAAACAAAACCCAAAGTTAGTAGAAGAAAAATAATAATAGGTCAGAGCGGAAATAAATGAAATGGGAACAAAGCAATACAAAGGATTAGCAAACAAAAAGTTGGTTTTCTGAAAAGATAAACAAAATAGACAAACCTTTAGTTTAACTAAGAAAGAGAGACAACCCAAATAAATACAATCAGAGCTGAAAAGGGATACATTACAACTGATACTGCAGAAATTCAAAGGATCATTATGGCCACTATGAGCAAATATATGCGAATAAATTGGAAATCCTAGAAGAAATGAACAAATTCCTAGATACATACAACCCACCAAGATTGAACCAAGAAGATGTACCACTTGAATAGTCAAATAACAAGTCATGAGATTGAAGCTGTAATTTAAACAAATCTCCCAGCAAAGAAAATTCTGGGACCCAAAGGCTTCACTGCTGAATAATACCAAACATTTAAAGAAGAAGTAATACTAATCCCACCAAACTATTCCAAAAAAATAGATAAGGGAATACTTTTGAACTCATTATATGAAGCTCATATTACCCTGTATTGAAACCAAACAAAGATACATCAAAAAAAGAAAACTACAAGCCAATATCCCTGATGAACATTGATGCAAAAATCCTCAACAAGATACCAGCAAACTGAATTCAGCAACTAAAAAGATCACCAGTTAAAAAGACCATTAATCATGACCAAGGGAGATTTATCCCAGGGATGCAAAGATGGTTCAACATACACAAAACAATCAATGTGATACAGCATATAACAGAATGAAGGACAAAAACCATGTGATCATTTCAACTGATACTGAGAAAGCGTTTGATTAAATTCAACATCCATTAATGATAAAAAGCCTCAAAAACTGGGTATATAAGGACTGTACCACAAAGTAATAAAAGCTATGACAGACCCGCAGCTAATATTATACTGACTGAGGGAAAACTGAAAGACTTTCTGCTAAGATCTGGAACATGACAAGGATGCCCACGTTTACCACTGTAATTCAACTGGAAGTCCGCGGTAGAGTAGTCAGACATGGGAAAGAAATAAATGACATCCAAATTGTAAAGGAAACAGTAAAATTATCCTTGTTTCCAGATGATGTGATCTTATATTTGGAAAAACCTAAAGACTTGACCAAAAACCTATTAGAACTGATAAACAAATTCAATCAAGTTGCAGGATACAAACTCAACATACCAAAATCAGTAGTATTTCTATATGCCAACAGTGAACAAGCTGAAAAAGAAAAAAAGAAAGTAGTACCATTTACAGTACTACAAAAAAATACACAGGAATTAACTTAACCAAAGAAGTGAAAAATCACTACAGATATGGTCTGGCTCTGTGTGCTCACCCACATCTCACCTTGAATTGTAATCCCCATAATTCCCACATGTCAAGGGCAGGACCAGGTGGAGGTAATTGGATGATGGGGGTGGTTTCCCCTACACTGTTTTTGTGATAGTGAGTGAGTCTCACAAGATCTGATGGTTTTATAAGCGCCTGGCATTTCCCCTGCTTGTACTTACTCCGTCCTGCTTCCCTGTAAAGAAGGTGCCTGCTTATCCTTTGTCTTCCACCATGATTGTAAGTTTTCTGAGGCCTCCCCAGCAATGTGGAACTGTGAGTCAATTAAACCTCTTTCCTTTATAAATTACCCAGTTGGGGGTATTTCTTCATAGCAGTGTGAGAATGGACTAATACAGCTACAAAGAAAAGTATAAAACATTGATGCAAGAAATTGAAGACGACACACACACAAAATAGAAAGATATTCATTTTAATAGACTAGAAGAATCAAAATTGTTAAAATGTTCATACAACTCACATTACTTGACTTCAAATTATTCTACAGAGCTATAGTAACCAAAACAGCGTGGTACTGGCATAAAAACAGACACATAGACCAATGGAATAGAATTGAGGACCAAAAAACAAATGCATACATCTACAGAGCAATCATTTTTGATAAAGGTGCCAAAAATATACACTGGGGAAAGGACAGTCTCTTTAACAAACAGTGCTGGGAAATCTGGATATCCATCATACATAGCAGAAGGAAACTGGACCCCTATCTCTTGCCAAATACAAAAATGAAATCAAAATGAAAGAGTTCAATCTAAGACCTCAAACTATAAAACTACTTAAAGAAAACTTTGGGGAAACTCTCCAGGTCATTGGATTAGGCAAACATTTCTTGAGTAATACCCCATAAACACAGGCAACCAAAGCAAAAATGGATAAATGTGATCACATCGAATTAAAAAGCTTTGGCATAGCAAAGGAAACAATCAACAAAGTGAAGAGAAAACCCACACAAAGGGAGAAAATACTTGTAAACTCTCCATCTGACAAGGGATTGATAACCAGAGGATATAAGGAGCTCAAACCACTCTATAGGAAAAAAATTGAATAACCTGATTAAAAATGAGCAAAAGATTTGAATAGATGTTTCTCAACAGAAGACACACAAGTGGCAAACAGGTATATGAAAATGTGCTCAACATCACTGATCATCAGAGAAATGCAAATCACAACTACAATGAGATATCATCTCACCCCAGTTAAAATGGCTTTTATCCAAAAGACAGGTAATAACAGATGCTGGTGAGGACGTGGAGAAAAGGGAACTCTCATACACTGTTAATGGGAATGTAAATTCGTACAACCACTATGGAGAACAGTTTGGAAGTTCCTTGAAAAAGTCCCAAAATAGACTACCATATGATCCAGTAATCCCACTGCTAGGCATAAAACAAAAAGAAAAAAAAATCAGTGTATCAAAGATATAGCTGCACTCCCATGTGTATTGTGGCACTATTTACAATACCTAAGATTTGAAAGCAACTAAAGTGTCTGTCAACAGATGAATGGATAAAGAAAATGCGGTATGTATACACAAAGGAGTACTATTCAGCCATAAAATAGAATGAGATCTTGTCATTTGCAACAACATGGACAAAACTGGAAGTGATTGTGTTAAGTGAAACAAGCCAGGGATAGAAAGACAAACATTGCATGTTCTCCCTTATTTGTTGGAGCTAAAAATGAAAGCAGTTGAACTCATGGACACCAAGAGTAGAATGATGGTTACCAGAGGCTGGGAAATGGGTGAGGCAGGGGGAAGGGAGAATGGTTAGTGGGTATAAAAAATAGAAAGAATGAATAAGATTTAGTATTTGATAAAACAACTGGGTGACTATATTCAATAATAATTTAACTGTACATTTTAAAATAATTTAATTCTAACACAAAGGATAAATGCTTGAGGTGTTAAATGCCTCGTTTACCCTGATGTAATGATTACACATTGTATACCTGTATCAAAATATCCCATATACCCCATAAATATATATACAACTGTGTACCCCAATAATTAAAAATGAACACACACACACACACACACACACATATATATAATAGAAGTTGAAATAAAAATGCTTTAAAATAAAGGTAGACACACAGGGCATTTATTTTCTATTTACTAGATTAGAATACCTTTTTTCTAATCCTTAACACTTAATAACATACACAAAAAATAGTACTTAAAAATGCAAGTATGACTGTTATACATTCCATCCTCTAACAAGATAAAGTTTATTAAAATGACTGTTTGGCTGTTTGGTGATTTCCTTTCATCCATATCTGCCAAACTGCAAAGTGTAAAGAGAGGAAGAATGTGGTTTGTGGGAGTCAATGTTAAAAAAAAAAGGTATGTAAATAGTCTAATGGCAATAATGAATTAAGTGGATATTCATAATAACATAACATTTAGTGAATATTTACAGAAGCCTTAAATATGGCAGACACTGCTCTAGGTACTTAGAATTTAGCAGTGGACATATATATTGCTTTTAGCCCATGGTATATATTGCTTTTAGCCCATGGTAACACACAACAAATATGTTTTGTTTATTTCTCTATGGATCAACTGACAACAGAGAATTAGTTTGTGACTCAATAAAAGGGTCAACTTGACACTAGAGTTGTTGCCACATAATGGACTTCCTCCAGAAGTATTGAGTTTCCATCACTAGTAGAGTTAAAAGATTGATTAGACAGCCAATTGGCTAGACCATATGGGCTGTTTGATGAGATGCTCTTTTCAACTTTGAGACTCCATGATTCCTTCACATTGAAGGTATGGGGACAGAGCAAATTACCAAAGAGCAATACAAATGCTTTCAGAAGCTTTCATTCATGCATTAGGTATTATAAGTAATCTATTAAAGTATAGGTATTA
Organism: Homo sapiens; assembly: GCF_000001405.40. Taxonomy (NCBI): domain Eukaryota; kingdom Metazoa; phylum Chordata; class Mammalia; order Primates; family Hominidae; genus Homo; species Homo sapiens. The sequence continues at coordinate 96,421,802 of NC_000011.10, forward strand.
TAAGTAATCTAGACATGATTTAAAGTATATGATAGGATGTGCATAGGTTATATGCAAATATAACAGCTATTTTGTATGATGGACTTGAACATCTGTAGAATTTGGCATCTGAAGGGGTCCTGGAACCAATCCCCTGAGAACACCAAGGATTGCCTAATTTACTATATGTTAGGCACTGTTCCAACCCTTAGGGATCTTGCTTTTACACTGGGTATGATGGTTATTGGCATATAAGCCTTTTATTTGATTCCTCTAGTTTCAAAGAAGTATATTTGGCCATCAAAATATACCCAATTATATAATCTAGAAAGTCAACCCAAATTTAATAAGAATTTGTTAACAAATTTAACAAGACAGATAATGTGATTCTCTTTCAATGACCTTTTGTATTGAATTTCGTAGACATTTGTGGCCATTTCTGCACTTGGGACAACAGATTGACCTTTTCCTCTTCTGTCCATTTAAAATGATTTATTAACTATGCTGCAAAAAGATGATGCAAAAGGGCTGCTCAAAAAGGCTATATTTTGTGCTTATTTTCAATTTGGTGTTATTAGCCATATGTCATATAACCTTTCTAGGAAGAGAAACTATGCCTGGCACACTGATTCTGATTTGCTTATAGTCCTTCAATTTTAAGTCTAGACCAAGTGTAGTGATTACAGTGAGATGGAAGAAGTAATGGTGGACGTTCTTAAATGCCTTAACAACACTCGTCTGTCTATTCTTTCTTGTTTTCCTTCATAGACTCCTCTCCCCCTGCCTTTTCATTAAAATGAAGGTATTTCTTAAAATTCTGTCTAGCTCTTCTATTGTGTTATTCTTCCTTACCATGTCATTCATGTGTACTCTTATCCCAGGTCTAGAATCTACCACTATTAAAAATTTTGGTAAATCTAAACACTGTATTTCCAAGCAACACTACTTTTCTATGTTTTTAGATCAGTGTATCCATCAATCTAGGCTAATTGAAATTTTGAATTGTGTTATAACTTGTTTAACCATTTTCTTTTTATCTGTAAAATTAATTTTGACAACTTTAAGTGACATTTAGCAATTTCTCTAGTTTTAAGAAAATCTGCGTAATTGTTATATTTGTTTGGTTTATTTGAACTACGTTAGTGAGGTGATAAGCTAATTATCACTATGGTAAAATCAACCTCTTATCTCAATACAGATTGCAATTTCAGTGAATAATCACAGTTTTTTGCAATGAATCTTCACCAGAACTCTCTTTATCTAATTCATAAGATGGAATGGTTTGTTGTGAGACTTAAATTCTTAAAACATCCGTGACAATAGATCCCCACTTGTTTGAGTTTCTAATAAAATGATAACAGGTTTACAGATTTTGGCTTCTGTTAGTTTTTAGGAAAGATGAATTAAAGAATTTGTAGATGAGACTTATAATTATCTTTTTGTTCAATGGAGTCCAAGAGGAAGAATAATAAAGAATACCATGTACTTCATTTATTTGCTGTAGATAAAATCCCAAAATCAATGGAAAGGACTTATGTCGCTATACAACCCAAGTAGAAATTTATTCATTTATGGCTGGGCGTGGTGGCACATGCCTGTAATCCCAGCACTTTGGGAGCAGAGGTGGGTGGATCACCTGAGGTCAGGAGTTCAAGAACAGCCTGCCCAACATGGTGAAATCCCGTCTCTACTAAATACAAAAAAAAAAAAAAAAAAATTAGCCAGGTGTGGTGGCTTATGCCTGTAATGCCAGCTACTTGGGAGGCTGAGGCAGGAGAATCGCTTGAACCCGGGAGGCAGAGGTGGCAGTAAGCCGAGATCACGCCATTGCACTCCAGCCTGGGTAACAAGAGCAAAACTCTGTCTAAAAAAAAAACAAAAGAAATTTATTCATTTATGCAGTCATTTACTTGATAAACATTTAAAAGATATATGCCTAAGACTAGGTGGGATGGACTATGTTAACATAAGACATAATTCTTATGGAATTTATGGCCATAACTGCATCTTTAATATTAGGGAGATGTTTACTAGAGTTTTCCCATCCAATCATAGAATCTTGGATCCAGTAGGTAATGCAAATGTCTTGTGATAAAAACTTTTAAAATGTAGTAAATTACCTTGGATGACTAAACTATCTAGATGGATGGACCTTATTCTGAATTTTCTTTGAAACTAGCAGTATTCTAATAGAGTTTCAATTAATTTAATAAGGCTACTTTGACTAATAGCCATTAAAAGGTAGTATAAAATGTGACATTCCTTTTTTAAAAATTAATAGCCCTTACTTTTAGAGCACTTTTGGGTTTATAGAAAAATTATACAGATCATACAGAGAGTTCTCATATACCCCCTCTTCCATATTCCTCCCCACAATTTACCTAATTATTAACATCTCGGTGTGGCATATGTGTTATAATTAATCAATATTGTTACATTATTATTAACTAAGGGTCATGATTTACATGAGGATTCACTCTTTGTATTGTATAGTTTTATGAATTTTGACAAATACATAATGTCATGCATCTATCATTAGAGTATCATACACAATGGTTTCACTTGCTTAAAAATCCTTTTCACACCATCTCTTCATCATTCCCTACGTCCCTTTCTTTCTCCCCCTTGAGTCTCTGGTTTTAAGAGTTATTGTTATATTTTGGATAACAGTCCTTTATTAGATATGTGTTTTGCAAATATTTTCTCCCAGTCTGTGTCTTCTTGTTTCCTTTTATTAACAGTGTCTTTTGCAGAGTAAAAGTACTTATTTATTTATTTATTTATTGAGACAGAGTCTAGCTCTGTCACCCAGGCTGGAGTGCAGTGGTGCCATCTTTGATCACTTCAGCCTCCACCTCCTGGGTTCAAGTGATTCTTGTGTCTCAGAGTCCTGAGTAGCTGGGACTACAGGCATGTGGCACCATGCCTGGCTAATTTTTATATTTTTAGTACAGATGGTGTTTCACCATATTGGTCAGGCTGGTCTTGAGCTCCTGACCTCAAGTGATCTGCCTGCCTTGGCTTCCCAAAGTGCTGAGATTACAGGCATGAGCCACTACACCCGACAGAAGCTTTTAATTTTAATGAAGTCCAACTTACTACTTTTTTCTTTCATGAGTCATACGTTTGGTATTTTATCTAAAAAGTCATCACCAAACCCAGGGTGACTTAGATTTTCTACAATGTTGTTGTTTTTTTTTTTTTTCTAGAGGTTGTATTGCTTTAATTTTACAATTAAGCTTATGAAACCATTTGAGTTAATTTTTATGAAGGGTGTAAAGTCTGTGTCTAGCTTCTTTTTTTTTTTTTGCATGTAGATGTTCCATTGTTCCAGCATCATTTGTTGAAAATATTCTTCTTTCTCAATTGAATTGCCTTTGTTCCTTTGTCAAAGATCAGTTGAGTATACTTGTGTGGGTCTATTTCTGAGCTCTCTATTCATTGATCTATCTGTTTATTCTTTTTCCACCACCACATTGTTCTGATCATTATAGCTTTATAGTAAATCTCCAAGTCATGTGGTGTCAGTTCTCTGACTTCATTCTTCCACTTCAGCATTGCACTAACTAATCTGGCTCTATTGCCTTTTCATGTAAACTTTAGAATCTCTTAATAATCAATTCTCAAAATAACTTGCTGGGATTTTGGTTGAGATTTTCTTGACACTTTAGATCAAGCTGGGAAGAACTGATATCTTGAAAATATTGAGTCTTCCTATCCATGAGCATGGAATAACTCCATTTATTTAAATCTTCTTTCATCAGAGTTTTGTAGTTTTGCTATTACAGATTTGTATATATTTTGTTAGGTTTATGCCTAAGTATTTCTTCTCTCACTCTTCAGTGTTAATGTAAATGTTGTTGCGTTTCTAGATTCAAATTTCAGTTGTTCATTGCTGGTATAGGAAAGTAATTGACTTTTGTATATTAACCTTGTATCCTGAAACCTTCTATAATCACTTATTAGTTCCTGTAGTTTTTTTGTGTGTTGATTCTTTGGAATTTTCTACCTAAACATTCATGTCATCCATGGGCAAAGACAGTTTTATTTATTCTACTCAATCTTATGCCTTTTATTTCTTTATCTTGTCCTGTTTTATCAGCTAGGATTTTCAGTGTAATGTTGAATAGGAGTGAAAGAACATAGTTACTTTTTTAAAAGAAAATATTTTATGAATTTGATAGTAGAATTAGGCAATTTAATCCCATGTTAAATAAGAATATAAAATTTTGATTAGTAGGGTAGCCAAGCTTCTTATAAAATAATAAATTGCTGAGAAAACCAATTTAAATTCCCCTGGAAACAGCGATTTCTGACTGACGTAATGGATCAAAAGGAGATTTTCTTTTAAGTCAGTGTCCAGGGAGTATGTAAAACAATTGAATAAGGAACCCCTCTTATATTAAATACAAAGCACCCAGAGGAATAAAAAAATCAATAAACATACACACATACATGCAAGACACACCAGGGAGCATATAAAACATATAAAATATTCTCATTTCCTAATTCAATTTGATAATAACAACTAATTTTAAAAATCAGACCTTTAGTGACTATTATGGAGAGACATAGTGGGTGAAAGGAAAGAAATTTTTTAGCATCATTATAGACTACCAGATACCTTTGCTGTATTAAGATTTTTTTAAATGGAAAAACAGAAGAGATAAGGAAGAATAGAAACAAAGGATGACACAGTCACATGTTCACAAGACAAAGAAACGCAAACACACATACTCACTTCATACTGGAGTTGCAAATGTGAACTAGCACAGCTAAAAGGGAGAGACAATTACAGGGACTCACAAAATTACTATGTAGGAGGCTTTCATGTGGATGAAGAGACAGGATAACAAGCACCTGCGGAATAAAACACACACACACACGCACACACACACACACGCCCACCATGAAGCTCCGTTCAAAATTCAAATGCATATAATCTGCAGAAAAACAAAGATACACTCATTTTAAAGCGTGTATCCCTGACACATTTTAAAGTGGATATCCCTGTTTCCATTTTGTTTTATAGATGGTTTGATTCTAACTTCATTTGGAAACATAGATGATCTGAAATCTTAATTTTTGAGAAAGAAAACCCAAATTTAGTCTTCAGGAGAGTTTTAAATATCTTGAAACAAAACAGGGGTTGGGATGCGGGAGCAGGGCAATGGGGACATTTAAGATGGAGTAACATCCCCATCTTGTGGTATATCAGAATATTGACTCTTCTTTTTAACACTATTTTGATTTAACATAGTTTTGGGTAAAAACATATCTAACTTGATTATGGGAACACGAGAGAGTAGTGACACAGGAAATTGAATCTGCAATTTCTCAACCCATTAAATTGTTCATCAATGCTGAACTAATACAAGAGTTACATTAATAAGCGGCAGGTTTAATTACTTAGCAGATGGCTGTTCAGTGTTCACCTTAATGTTATCAGACTCAGCAAAAACAAAGAGATGACCCGCATTTGTATCTATCTGTTCTACAATATATTGTCTAGAGGTTTCATTTTTTATTTTATTTTATTATTATTATTTTTGAGACTGAGTCTCGCTCTGTCGCCCAGGCTGGAGTGCAGTGGCGCGATCTGGACTCACTGCAAGCTCCACCTCCTGGGTTCAGGTCATTCTCCTGCCTCAGCCTCCCGAGTAGCTGGGAAGCGCCTGCCGCCACGCCCGGCTAATTTTTTGTATTTTTAGTAGAGATGGGGTTTCACTGTGTTAGCCAGGATGGTCTCGATCTCCTGACCTCGTGATCTGCCCACCTCGGCCTCCGAAAGTGTTGGGATTACAGGCGTGAGCCACCGCGCCCGGCCGAGGTTTCATTTTTAAAAAATGACAAACATTCTTGTTACTTTCTTGCACTTTTTTTTTCTTTCTTTTTCTTTTTCTTTTTCTTCTCTTTTCTTTTCTTTTCTTTTTTTTTTTTTTTGAGACGGAGTTCGCTCTGTTGCCCAGACTGGAGGGCAGTGGCACAATCTCGGCTCACTGCAACCTCTGCCTCCTGGGTTCAAGCGATTCTCCTGCCTCAGCTTCCCAAGTAGCTAGGATTACAGGTGCCCACCACCACGCTCAGCTAACTTTTTGTATTTTTAGTAGAGATGGGGTTTCACCATATTGGTCAGGCTGGTCTCGAACTCCTGACCTCAAATGATCCACCTGCCTAGGCCTCCCAAAGTGCTGGGATTACAGGCGTGAGCCACCACGCCTGACTATTGTCTTGCACTTTCTAATATAACAAAAAGTGAAGACTACTGCCACCACCAAAAACAATGCTTGCTTTGCTATAATCCTTTTCCTCAGACTGAGACACTTTGGCCTATTTAAAATGTGGGTAATGGCTCTAAAAATGCTTGTTTAGGATGCAGATGTATTCTCTATTTTGTCTTCTTTGACATTTTTATGTGGTTTTGGTTCTTTAGCATATGAAGTTTTATTTTTAATCAATCCATGATTTGTCCCTAAGTTGTTCTGATGGGAATATGAGAATACATAAAGGGAATATGAGATACAGCTCCTAGTGACAACATACTTATAGTCTAGTTGAAGACATAGACATGCCTACAAGAATTATAATTTAAAAACAAAACAGTGCGCAAGTTATTTTGATGTGCCACATCAAATTTTGTAGTTCTTTCCATCTTCTGCTTTAGTCACTCAATTCACTTGATAACTCCTTGAGGAGGCATCAACTGGGCATTTACTATTTTCATGATATTGTACTAGGAGCCATGAAGAATAACGAATAAAAGGTGCAGGGAAATATTAAAGCCTTTATAATCTAGTTTGGGTGACTAACCACAAAAATTTTTGGTGCCTACACCTATGTATAATATATTGACATAAATGGAAAGTGTGGGAGTTTTGGGTCTTAAGTGATAGGTCTCTCATTCACATGTTAAACTTATTTTTAAATATAAAGATAAAGAAAATTTAGAAATGACGGAATAAAAATCTGTAACACTGCTTCATTACCAAGTATTTACTATTTTGATGTACAATTGATTTTCCCCCTCATCTCAGGGTTTAGAGTTCTTAAGAACCACTGTGTAGGAGACTATAGCTGAAGCACATAGACCATATTTAGAAATTAGGACAGGATTACCAAGATCTTAACTCTTTTTAAAATTTAGTTAGAAAATATTTAGGAATAACTCTCATGAAAAGGTTCAAGTCTTTCTTGAAGAGAACTACAAAATAAGTAGAGGAACATAAAAGAATCTTGATTAAGTGGATGTTCTTGGGTGTGAAATATTAATATTGTAAAGAAGTAAATTCTCCTCAGATTACTACACAAATAGAATGCAATTCCCATTGGAATCCCAACTTTGCAACGTGGCTCTAAAGTTAATTTTAATAATTAAATTTTAGAGAAGAGCTAAACCTTTTTTTCTGAGGAAAATGAAGAAAGAAGATGAGTAAAGACAAACACAATTAAAATTAAAATCACCTGGTATTGGCAGAGGAAGAGAAAGACAGTTCAATGAGATTAGAAACCCCATAAAAAGTTATATTTAAGAATTTCATATATGATGAAAGTAATATTCTAAATTGGTGAGAAAAGAATGAGTTTGATACAAACTAATTTTGTAACAATTGATCCATCGTTAAAAAAATTTAGATTCTTACCTATTCCATACACCATCCAAATTCCAGATGGGTTAATATTTTAGCTATTAAAAATTGAAATAACAAAATTAATAGAAGAAAATAAATGGTTACATAATCTTAGAAAGGCAGATTTTCCAAGTATGACATCAGAGACAGAAACCAGTAAGCAGAATTTGGTTGATTTTATTGCACACTTATTAATATTGATTGAATAAATCAATATTAAACTACTGATCTTTTTAAAAAGAAAGAAATGAAACCGTGTCAACATATATAGGAAGGCAGTGTATTTTTAACATCTTTCACATAAAAGAAGTCTTATAAATCTATAAGAAAGTGACAAATATATGAAAAATGGAAAGAGAATGCCTAATTTAGAAAAAAAGCAACAGACTAACACTATGTCTCAAGAAAAAAAAGAGAAAAACAAAAACAAAAAAGTCAGAGAAAATGAAACAATGATGGCCAAAAACAGCACCAGGCAATTCAAAAAATAGGTCAAACAATTGGCCTACAATATAAAAAATTCAACTTTTCAAGTAATCACAGATAGGACATTACACATGAATGATGTGAGACAGAGTGAGATTCCATATTTTTATGTATCAAATTATAAAATATTAAAAATCAAATAATACCCTATATTGGCAAAAGTGCTTAAATGAGAGGAGGGTAAATTGGATGAAGCTTGCTTGAAAGCGTTTTAGCATATGCATTTTTTAAATTAGAAATTTACAGCTAGTAGAAGATAAGAAATAACCTAAATCACAGCTGAACTGGAAGAGATTGAGACACAAAAAAACCATTCAAAAGATGAGTGAATCCAGGAGCTGGATTTTTGAAAAAATTAATAAAATAGACCGCTAGCTAGACTAATAAAGAGAAAAAGAGAAGATTCAAATAAACACAATTAGACACAACAAAGGGATATTACCACTGACCCCAAAGAAATACAAATAACCATCAGAGAATATTATGAACTCCTCTATGCACATAAACTAGAAAGTCTAGAAGAAATGGTTAAATTCCTGAACACATACACCTCCCAAGACTGACCAGGAAGACATTGAATCCCTGAACAGACATATAATGGGATCCAAAACTGAATCAGCCTAAAATAGCCTTCCAACCAAAAAAAAAAAAAAAAAAAAAAGAAGCCCAGGACCAAACAGATTCACAGCCTGAATTCTACTAGATATACAAAAAAAGACCTGGTATTGTTCCTGCTGAAACTGTTCCAAAAAATCGAGGAGGAGAGACTCCTCCCTAACTCATTCTATGAGGCCCATATCATCCTGATACCAAAACCTGGCAGAGACACAACAGAAAAAGAAAACTTCAGGGCAATATTCTTTATGAATATTGATACAAAAATCCTCAACAAAATACTGGCAAACCGAATTCAGCAGCACATCAAAAAACTTATCCACCACTATCAAATATGCTTCATCCCCAGGATGCAAGGTTGGTTCAACATATGCAAATCAATAAATATGATTCGTCATGTAAGTGGATCTAAAGAAAAAAGCCACATGATTATATCTCAATAGATGCAGAAAATGTTTTTGGTAAAATTCAACATTTCTTCATGTTAAAAACTCTCAATAAACTAGGTATTAAAGGAATGTGACTCAAAATAATAAGAGCCACGTATGACAAACTCACAACTAATATCATACTGAATGGGCAAAAGCTGGAAATATTCCCCTCGAAAACCAGCACAAGAGAAGGATGCTCTCTCTCACCACTCCTGCCCAACACAGCATTGGAAGTCCTTGCCAGAGTAATTAAGCAAGAGAAAGAAATAAAGGGCATCCAAATAGGAAGAGAGGAAGTCAAACTATCTCTGTTTGCAGACAACATAATCATATCTAGAAAACCCCATAGTCTTGACTCAAAGGCTCCTTCAGCTGATAAAGAACTTCAGCCAAGTATCAGGATACAAAATCAGTGTACAAAAATCTCTAGCATTCCTATACACCAACAACAGTCAAGCTGAGAGCCAAATCAAGAATGCAATCCCATTCACAATTGCCACAAAAAGAATAAAATACCTATGCATACAGCTATTCAGGGAGGTGAAAGATCTCTACAATGAGAACTACAAAACACTGCTCAAAGAAATCAGAGATGCCACAAACAAATGGAAAAGCATTCCATGCTCATGGATAGGAAGAATCAATATCTTCAAAATGACAATACTCTCCAAAGCAATTTATAGATTCAATGCTATTCCTATTAAACTACCAATGACATTCTTCACAGACCTAGAAAAATGTGTTTTAAAATTCATGTGGAAATAAAAAAGAGCCTGAATAGCTAAGGTAATCCTAAACAAAAAGAACAAAGCTAGAGGCATCATGCTACCTACTTCTAACTACACTACAAGGCTATGGTAACCAAAACAGCATGGTGCTGTTACAAAAACAGACACACAGATTAAAGGAACAGAATAGAAAACCCAGAAATAAGGCAGCACACCTACAACTATCTGATCTTTGACAAATCTGACAAAGATAAGCAATGGGGACAGGACTCCCTATTCAATAAATGGTGCTGGGATAACTTGCTAGCCATATGCAGAGATTGAAACTGGACCCCTTCCTTATATCGTACACAAAATCAACCCAAGATGGATTAAAGACTTAAATGTAAAACCCAAAATTATAAAAACCCTGGAAGACGACCTAGGCAATACAATTCTGGACATAGGAACAGGCAAAGATTTCATGAAGAAGATGCCAAAGCAATTGCGACCAAAACAAAAATTGACAAATGTGATATAATTAAGCTATAGAGCTTCTGCACAGCAAAAACAAAAAACAAACAAACTCAAAACTAAAAACAACTGTCAACAGAGTAAACAGTCAAACTACAGAATGGGAGAAAATTTTTGCAAACTATGCATCTGATGAATGTCTAATGTCCAGCATCTACAAGGAACTTAAATTTACAAGAGAAAAAACAAACAACCTCATTAAAAAATGGGCAAAGGACATGAACAGACACTTCTCAAAAGAAGACATTCATGCCACCAACAAACATGAAAAAAAGCTATCACTGGTCATTAGAGAGATGCAAATCAAAACCACAATGAGATACCATCTCACACCAGTCAAATGGCAATTATTAAAAAGTCAAAAAATAACAGATGCTGGTGAGGTTGTAGAGAAAAAGGAATGCCTATACACTGTTGGCGGGAGTGTAAATTAGTTCAGCCATTGTGGAAGACATTGAGACGATTCCTCAAAGACCCAAAAACAGAAATATCATTTGACCCAGCAATTCCATGACTAGGTACATACCCAAAGAAATATAAATCATTGTATCATAAAGACACTTACATGCATATATTCATTGCAGCAATACTCACAATAGCAAAGACATGGAATCAACCTAAATGCCCATCAGTGATAGAATGGATAAAGAAAATGTGGTACATATACACCATGGAATACTATGCAGCTATAAAAAAGAATAAGATCACATCCTTTTCAGGAACATGAATAGAGCTGGAGGCCATTATCCTTAGCAAACTGATGCAGGAACAGAAAAACAAATACTGCAGATTCTCACTTATAAGTGGTAGCAAAATGATGAGAACACATGGACACAGAGGGGAACAACAGACATTGGGGCTTACTGCAAGGTGGAGGGTGGGAGGAGGCAGAGAATCAGGAAAAATAACCAGTGGGTTCTAGGCTTAACACCTGGGTGATGAAATGATCAATACAGCATACCCCCATGACACAGTTTACCTATATAATAAACCTTCACAGTTACCCCTGAACTTAAACATTAAAAACGAATACAATTAAAAATAAAACAAAATTTACATAACTTTCAATCTAGTATTTTTGTGTTTAGGAATTTATCCTAAGGAAAGAATCATGGTTATGTGCCAAGATTGTGTAACAAAGACATTGATTGTAATAACAAAACCAGCAAACAACCTAATTGCATTTAAAAAAAAATTTCAACTTCTACTTTAAGATTCAAGGGGTACACGTGCAGGTTTGCTACATGGATATGTTGTATAATGCTGAAGTTTGGGGTACAATTGATCTTGTCACCCAGTAGTGATCACAGTACTGCTAATAATATGTCACTGGTTATATAAATTAATTTTGACATACCATGTAATCATTAAGCGATATTGCAGAAGAATGTTTACTAGCATAGAAAAAAAATCAATTTTTGACATGAGAAAAGAGGTCACAAAGTGTTTGTAATTCTTGTTCTACTTCTCTGTTTAATAAATACATACATCCCCTAAAATGGTAGGAAGAAGGATTTACAAACGATCTGTAGTAATATTTGGGTGGTGGGCCTAATAGTAATGCTTTTTTTTCATAGATATATTTTGTAGTTTTCTATAGTTTGCATTTATAAATTGTATAATAAAACCCCACAAAATTATATATTTGTTAATTTTTCTTGTAAGAAATTCTTATAAAATTGAAAATTCAGGGTTAAGTGTCCTGGTATATTTGTAACAAGTGTTCTGAGCTAAACCCAGTTGAAGACTGAGAATCCTTGTCAGAATCAATTACCAGTTACTGAGAGAAAAAGCTTTGGTTTCTGGGGCAAGTTGTGGACAGGCAGGCAGAAATCAACCTCAGCTCTTATCAGTGCTGAGCTCTCCCTCCTAGGCTCTGTGCTTGGGAAAAGCTTCCTTTAGCAGAGGCTGCTTTGGGAAAGAAGAATATATCATACCTGGAGCTTCAGCAGAAGTGGAAAATGGGTTCTGTGATCTTTAAAATATTGTAGGGAATAATAAAGAACTGTCATGTCAAAGCTGCAAATCATCTGTCTCCTGCAAGAGGCTCTGATATGGATGCATATTTGCTGTGGAATGTTCTTTCTTATCAGAAAGTCACTTGTGTATGCAAATGTAGAACAAAACGTAATGAGAAAAAAGTTTGAAAAATGGCAAATAAACTCGGTTAAGGTTTAAATAACTCTTTGGGATAATGCAAAAATTTGTCTTTATATTGCAGGCAGAGTTGCTTCTCTGCATAGCTGTTTCCTTTGGAGAGAGATTTCTTCCCTATGTTTGTAGTTTTTAATTTTAAAAATGTTATTTATTTATTTTTTAATTAACAAAGATTGTACACATTTACTGTGCACAACATGATGTTTTAAAACCTGTATACATTGTGGAAGGCTAAATCAAGCTAATTAATATGTATTACCTCACATACTTATCATTATTTTTTGTGGTGAGAACACCAAATATACTCTTTTGGCAATTTTCAATCACACAATACATTATTATTAACTATAGTTGCCATGCTGTACAATAGATCTCTTGAACTTATTCCCTTTGTCTAACTAAAATTTTGATCTTCTCAATCCCAGACACTGCCCTAGCCCCTGTGGACAATCATTCTACCCTCTGCTTCTATAAGTTTGACTTTTACATTATATATATAAGTTTTTGTCTTCAGTGCCTGGCTTATTTCACTTAAAATAATGTCCTCCAGGTTCATACATGTCATTACAAATATTAGGATTTCTTCATTTTTTAATGGCTGAATAGTATTCTGCCTTGTTATTCTGTTTTGCATTACTATAAAAGAATACCTGAGACTGAATAATTTATAAAGAAAAGAGGTTTATTTGGCTCATAGTTCTGCAGGCTGTACACGAAGCATGGCACCAGCATGTGCCTCTGGTGAGGTCCTCAGGAAGCTTATTATCATGGTGGAAGGCAAAAGGGGAGCAGGCATCTCATGGCAAAAGAGGGAGCAAGACAGACAGGAGCAAGAGAGATATCATATTCTTTTAAACAACCAGCTCTTGAATGAGCTCATTACTGGGTGGAGGGTACCAAGACGTTCATGAGGGAATCTGCCCCCTTGACCCAAATATCTCCCACTGGGTCCCACCTCCAACATTGGGGATCACATTTCAACATGAGATTTGGAGGAGACAAATATCCAAACCATATCATCTACTGTGTATATATACCACATTTTAAAATCCATTCATTCGTTAATGGACACACAGGTTGATTCCATGTCTTAGCTATTGCGAATAATGCTGCAACTAACATGGAAGCACAGATCTCTCTTGAACATACTGATTTCACTTCATTTAGACATAGATCAAGAAATGGGATTGCTGGATCATATAATAATATAATGGTTCCATTTTTAATTTTCTGAGGAATCTCTCAACTGTTTTCCATAACGGCTATACTAGGTTACATTTCATTTATACCAACTGTGTGCAAGGGTTCTCTTTTCTCCACATCTTTGCCAACACTTGTCTTTTTATCTTTTTGATAATGGCCATTCTAATAGTTGTGAGGTGATATCTCATTGTGGGTTTCATTAGCACTTTCCTGATTAGTAATGAGCATTTGTTCACATACCTGTTGTCCATTTGTATATCTTCTTTTGAGAAATGTCTATTCAGGTCCTTTGTCCATTTTAAAATCAGATTATTCGCTTTCTTGCTATTGAGTTGAATCTCTTACATATTTTGAATATTAATCACTTACCAGATGTGTGGTTTGCAAATATTTTCTCCCATTCTGTAGATTTTCTCTTTACTCAGTTGATTGTTTCCTTTGCTATATAGAGAAGCTTCTTAGTTTGGTGTAATTCTATTCCATTTTTGCTTTTGTTGTCTTGCTTTTGTGATTATATCAAAAAAATCATTGCCCAGATCAATGTCATGAAGCTTTTTTCCTATGTTTTCTTCTAGAAGTTTTAGAGTTTCTGATCATATATTTCAGTTTTTATTCGACTTTGAGTTGGTTTTTGAATATGATTTGAGATACAGGTCCAATTTTATTCTTCTGCATGTGGATATTTAATTTTTACAACACCATTTATTGAAGAGACTGTCATTACATCATAGTGCGTTCTTGGCATTTTTGTCAAAAGTTAATTGACCATAAATGTGTGAATTTATTTCTGGGCTCTCTATTCTGTTTCATTGGTCTACATGTCTGTTTTTATGCCAGTACCACACTGTTTTGATTGTAGCTTTGCAGTATGTTTTGAAATCAGATAGTCCTTCAGTATTGTATTTAAATTGCAACATGCTTCCACTGTGTGTGTGTGTGTGTGTGTGTGTGTGTGTGTGTGTGTGTAGATGTGGGTGGAAATGTGCTTATTTTTATTTGTTTATATTAGAGTCGTTGGTTAGCGAAGTCAGGAGTTCAGACGAAAACAAAAACAAAAACAAAACTGCAACAGATGAAATGCAAGCAGAGGAAAGACCATAAAAGAGAACTAAGCTGGTTTGTAGATGCTCAACATCCATTGGAGTATAAATACACTATATATAATGGAGAAATGTTAAAAATGAAAACCATTGTCTTTTTTTTTTTTTTTTTTTTTTTTTACTGTGCATGGAAGTGAGATGTAAAGAAAAAAAATTTTCCTTTTCTGTGAATATTGCTTGAGATGAAGCTGATGCAGCTGTGATGAGATTGTCTGCTATGATTGTTGGGGTCACAGGACTGACTTCCATGGGTGCCAAGTGTACTTGCCCCTGAAGGAGATAAATTTTTCCCACTGCCAGTTTTCTGGAACAGAAAATGAGGATGGAAAGGCAGGCCTCGGGTTGGTTAAAGAAGGAACTCCTTTCTTTGTAATGTTGTCTTGAGTCTACTGTAGGTATTCTCATATGCACTTGCAACAGTGCTGGGAAGTAATTTTCTGCCACAAGGAAGCAGGCTTGCAGCTACACAGGGAAGCAAACTGCAAAAGTCCCATAATAATAATCAGGGAGCCTGTAAAAGCCCAATGAGACTAATTCAGGAAGCATGGATTCAGACGGCTGCTATATAAAATGCCTTAATTTTTTTTTAATGTTGTATTTCCCATCTCTTATTTCTGTCTTCAGTAAAGTTTAGATGCAGAATGTAGTATGGACTATGATGAAAAGAGTTAATTAAAATCTGTATCCATGCTTGTAAAGGAGAGAAGAGAGCAATAACTTTGCTTAAGTTCTCCAGAAAATTTGATTTAATTGTTCTGGTGTTTGCATGAGTAGCAGCAGTTTTGAAAACACTACAGGTGATTCTCATGTACAACTAAACTGAGAACTGCTGCTATAGAGGCTAGTGTGGAAGAAGTGGCAACAGCAGCAGCAGCTCTGAGATGATCTAGTAATTGCATAAATGTCGGCAGCTGAGCAATGAGCAGAGTTCCATGGATAGAAGGAGGATTGCAATCCAGACTTAAGAAAGATGAAAAGTCAGGTACTGACAAGGGAATATGAATGCTGTGTTTCTTGCTGAAGGGAATTTCAAGGAGAGGGGACCTGAGATCTTGCTATCTTGCAAGCAGGGGCTATTATAATGTTGGACTTTCAGGTTACATATGAATTACTAAAAATAATAGTCTTCAGAAAGAAATACTTAAATTTTGGGAGTCCAAGGTGACATGATGTCAGAAATATTAATGATTACATTTGATAGTTATTTAAATGTTTCCTATATTTGTCACGTTAAATACTTAGAAAATGTATGTTTAAATAGAATTTAACTTTTGTTAATGCAGCTTTTCAAGCCATTGATTTATAAGGTACAAACAGAGCTAATGTGAGAATTGTTGAATCCATAAACGGTACTAATTTTTGGAATTCTTAACTGTTATGTAGATATTAGAATATATTAATCTCTCCACTAGCTGGCTGACATTACTTATCAGTAACAGAATTTAAGACAAGCATTTCCACTTGCAGCCAGAAGTTAAAAGATTATGAAACAATTGCCAATGAAATTTGTGGCAGATTATAAGACCTGTATGAAATTTACCGAAAGTACAGATTTGCTGATAAAATTGAATCATTTAGGAGATTAACCTTCAGAGGTAAATGGACTACTAAAAACAAGTCTATTGAAAAAGAAATTGCTATAACCTGCTGCAATAATTTGACAAGCTGACAGAAGCATTATATTTGCATATGAAAGAGAAGAGATATAGGATTCATTTAAAAGTAGAAAAATATCCAGTTTGTCATCTGCTCCTATGGTTGTCAAGCTCCTATCGAGTTTCTTAGTCCCAGTCTGAAGACTCAGCCACATTCCAAGTGCTCAAACTAGATTTTGTATTAATTAGATAAACTGTAAGAAACTCTAAGATAGTAACTGAATTTCGAGTCATCATTGTTCCTAGTTCCCACTGATTCTAGTAATTTTACAGATGTATAACTTGGGCTATATCACTTAGTATCAACCATTTTTCTCTGTTTTAATAACTTAATCTCTATCTTGCTTCTACCTGTCTAAGCAATCCTTTTTTTTTCTTTTTTAGAAGTAAAGTGTAGTAATTACACAAATGGACTGTATTAGTCTGGTCTTGCATTGCTATAAAGAAATACCTGAGACTGGGTAATTTATAAAGAAAAGAGATTTAACTAGCTCACAGTTCTGCAGGCTGTATAAGCATGGCATTGCCATGTACTTGGTTTCTGGGGAGGCCTCAGGGAGCTTTCACTCATGGTGGAAGGTAAAGCAGGAGCAGGCACTTCACATGACAAAAGCAGAAAGAAGATAGTGGGGGGTAGAGGTGTCACACTTTACAACAACCAGATTTTGAGAGTACTCACTATTGCAAGGACAGCACCAAGCCATGAGGGATGCACTCCCATGACTCAAACACCTCCCACCAAGCCTCACCTCCAACACTGGATATTACATTTCAAAATAGATTTGGATGGGGACAAATATCCAAACTATATAATTCCATCCTTGTCCACAATTTTATGTCCCTCTCACCTTGCACAATACAATCAGGCCTTCTAATAGTCCCCCAAAGTCTTAAGTCATTCTAGCATTAACTCAAAAGTCCAAAGTCTCATCTGAGAGAAGCTAAGTCACTTCTACCTATAAGCCTATAAAATCAAAAACAAGTTATTTACTTCCAAGATACAATGAGGGTATAGGCATTGGGTAAACATTCCCTTTCCACAGGGAGTAACTGTCCAAAAGAAAGGGCCTGTAGGCCACATGAAAGTTTGAAACCCAGCAGGGAAGTCATTAAAATTTAAAGCTCCAAAATAGTCTCCTTTGATTCCATGTTGTACATCCAGGGCACACTAGTGCAAGAGATGGGCTCCCATGGCTTTGAGCAGCTCCACCCCTGTGGCTTTGCAGAGTTCAGCCCCCATGGCTGCTGTCATGAGTTGTTGAGTGCCTGTGGTTTTTCCAGGCTCAGGGTGCAAGCTGTCAGTGGATCTACCATCTGGGGTCTGGATGACAGTGGCTGCCTTCTCACAGCTCCACTAGGCAGAGCTCCAATGGAGACTCTTTGTGGGGCCTCCAACCCTATACTTTCTCTCTACACTGACCTAGTAGAGGTTCTCTGTAAGGGCTCCACTGCTTCAGCAGGCTTCTGCCTGGGCACCCAGACTTTCTCATACATCCAATGAAATCTAGGTGGAGGCTGTCATGCCTCCATCACTCTTGCATTTTGTGCACCTGCAGGCTTAACATCACTTGGAAGCTATCAGAGCTTATGACTTGCATCCTCTGGTGCCATGGCTTGAGCTGTACTTGGGCCCCTTTGAGCTGAGGCTGGAGCCTCCCACTAGGTCCCACCTCCAACATTGAGGATTACATTTCAACATGAGATTTAGGCAGGGACAAATACCCAAACAGTATCATAGACTTTAGAATCAGAGCACCTGGATTTGGGGAATTGACTTTCTCTCTCTGTGCCATATTTTCCTTTTGTCAAACAGTTTAAGCTTACTCTTTCCTTTACCATTGGATTTCCTGGACCTGCCTACCATCCTGGTCACAGGCTTAGAAGGACCAAATCAGTACCAGACTTTGGGGTCAAACATTGTATATTATTTCTTGTAGAAACCGTGTTCTGCTGAGACTAAATGAGGGGAAAAGGTCTGTCACTCTTGCTTTCAATTGTTGGTTATCTCCAGGTTCATTGGCTAAGTGAACTCAAGTTGACTCTAAGGATCTGATCATATATCTATTCTAAGCATTCTATTTTGGTGTATTCCCTAGGTTTTTGTTTCTATGCCTGACTTCCAATTTTAATAAAAACAGTTACTTGCTGAGGACTAGTTAATTCAGACAAATTCTACTTCTGAAGAAGATTTAAAATCTGGACAAAATATTTACAATCTTTTAATAAAAACAATAGTGTAGAAAAACTTTTGAGATGACATCTGGGAAAGGAAGAATCAAAAAAAAGGTGAGCCCACCTGTAATCCCAGCACTTCGGGAGGCCGAGGTGGGCAGATCACTTGAGGCCAGGAGTTTATGACCAACCTGGCCAACATGGTAATACCCCATCTCTATTAAAAATGAAAAAAATTAGCCAGGCATGGTGGCACATACTGGTAATCCCAGCCACTTGGAAGCCTGAGGCACAAGAATCACTTCAACCTGGGAGGTGGAGGTTGCAGTGAACTGAGATCACACCACTGCACTCCAGCTTGGGCAACAGAGAAAGACTCTGTCTCAAAAAAAAAAAAAAGAAATAGCAAGCATAATATTTGAAGCTATATTGTTTTTCTTCAGGCATTTGCCACTTTGAAAGAGACAACAAAGAGGTTAACCAGCACTTTTGAAATATTTTTGAGATGTAAGTGGAACAAAAGTTGGAGTTGAGAATATGTCAGAGTTTGAGATCTAATGAACATCTTCACAGGGTGGCAATCTCAAGTGGATGTACCGTGGGTATTAAGGAAGCCATAACTAAATCAGCCCATTCACAGATATAGATGAGTATGGTGTAATGTAAGTGGTCCAGAAAATGTCAAATCATAAAATTTGAATTAAGGTAATCTTGGATTGCTAGACCTTCCAGGTACTTGGCAGAAGCAGACAAAATTCCACATTAGAGGAAGATAACATTACCTGAGGTCTCAGATTGTTTTTACAATAATTTTTCAAATGCCATGTTCAGGATACAATCAAAGATAATCAAATATCTGAGAAGGAAAGACAACGTAAGCAAGATAAAGTGCAAAAAGTTAAGAGAAACATACCCAGAGGTACTCCAGATAGTGGAATTATCACACATCCTTTGTAAAATCGGTATTTTACAATGGTTTAGAAATCAAAATCCAAATCTAAAAATTCTAGCAAGTTACTTAAAATGATAAAACACATAATTTCAGATTGAAAAAGAATTAGAGTTTCTATTTCTAAAAGAAAAACATAACAAAAATTGCTAAGGTATTTAGCTCAGTTATGCATAACCAAAGAGAAAATTGGTGAACTGGAACATGTCAGAAGAAAATATTCATTGCCAATTTTATTTAATTGTAAAAAAAATCCACAGAGGGATTAAAAAATCTGGAGAGTAAGAGACATATAGAGTAAGATGGTCTAACCCTTGTTTAATTGGAGTCTCAGATAGAAAGCAGAGAGAGGATGCAGCAGAATTTGAAGAAATAATGCTGAGAATTTTCTGAAATGATTAAAGACATCAGTTTGCAAATTCAAGATGCTTAATGAATCCCAAGAAATATAAATAAAAAGATACCCACACCTAAATATATTATAGTGCAATGCTAAAGGAAAATCTTGAAAGCAGCCAGGAAAAAAAAGAATATTACCTGTAAAGATGTAACCAATGGAATAACAGATAACTTCTCAATAGAAACAATAGAAACCAGGTAACAATGGGATAATATCTTCTTAGTGCTGACATGAGTGAATGGCTGAAACTCTAATAGAAACCATATTTTTTCTGAACGGAGTATAAGGAAAAGGAGCATTTCTGAGTCTGGGAGTATGGCGGTGTGTGGAGAATCCCAGAGAGGAGGGATCCAGAGAAAAGGATTCCCTAACTGCATGCAAACCTGCACAAAGTCTCAGTCTAACCCATAAACTATACATGCACAGAACAGGCCCAATTCAGCATAGCTAAGGCTTTGAAAACTGAACTGAGACTGGAACTGCTTATAGAAGTCTCAGCCTAACCCCTAAATAACACATTCATAGGACAAATGTAGACCAACATAGTGATGATTTCGAGCTAAATGAAGATTAAAATCAGGGCTCACAAAAGGTGAGAAACAGTACAGTCTGAATATACCCAGGTTTTTTGCTTGCTAAAACAAAAACATTAACAATCTCAAGAGGATTAAAATAGGAGCAAGAATCTACACACACAATTTAACATTCACAATTACAATATCCAAGAGGAATACAGGAATTCATTTTACTATTCTTTAAACTTTTCTCTAAATTTGAAATTATATTTTTAAAAAAGTTACAAAAAAGAAAAAGAGTCAAAGGGAAGAAAATTTGAGGCAAAGAAAACATCCTTGAAGTGGGAAAGAGCCTGGCATGTTATAGGAACTAAGAGAAAAACAGTATGGCCGGAGTGTGTTGACAAGGTGCCAGGTGGCAAGTGATGAGGAGCAGAAAAGACAGTGGAAACTGGGGCTAGATCATGCGGGTTCTCATCGGCTATGGTAAGGAGTTTGGATTTGACTCTGATGGGAAGTCACTATAAAGTTCTGAGCAGGGATGTGACAAGATATACCTTGCAGTTAATTTCAGGGAATTATTCTAACTGGAGTTGCTTAGGCTACACATCAGCCTCTGAGTCACCCAATCACTGTATCTACAGAAAAAAGGAATAACTAGGCCTTCCCTTGGTCCTCTTATCCAGAGGATGAGGATGGGGAAAATCCCCACTGGAACCCTGTGGGACAGCCAAAACCAATAGCTGCCACTGCCCACAATTTGCTATGCCTGGGCTGCCCAGCATATCACTGTTTGTGACCCCCCTACAGCAAACCTGCATTTCCGTCTCAGTTCTAATAACATCCCAAGTAACATTACAAATGATCCCACATTCAACACCAAGAATAAGAGCAAAAGCCCCTACTTACACTCTCTCTAAATGGAGATGGCGTAGAAATAGCATTTGGTTTCTCTATTCTATTCCAAGTCCAATATCTCTGGGTGATAATTATTTCATATAGTCAGGTTTGAATGTGGCTCTTCTTGACCCTGCAACTGAAGGCTAGATGCCAAATTGAATGTTGGAAGGAAAACGGTTATTCAGCAAGTTAGATGCAGAGGCTGGCCCTCTCCCAGAGGGAAGGGCTATGCCTGAACCCAATTATCCACTGTAACAGGAACCCCTTTCCAGCAGCAGGAATGGCAGCAGCAGCAGCATCCCACCACTCAGAAATTATCAGGTGATGGCAGCTAGCATTCTCAGACGGCTCCTAGCCATGTTGGCATTTATACTCAGACAACTTGGTGTCTACATCCTTTGTATTTATACCCCATATCTGAAATTTATCATGATTGCATGTTATGACAGTGGAGAGTCAGGATCCCTCTCCTGGGGGCAGGGACCTGGGGTGTGTCCATCAGTATGCTGAACTGATTTTTAGACCTCTCTTTGTGATAATAAGACAATGCAGACTATATGCCTCTTAAATTTAATCCTTGATTTGTATGTTTTCCCAATAAATCCAGTTGCTTATAAACTTACCTATGATATTGCAGAATTTGCCCTCACTCATTTTTAACTATGATTTTTTTTTCTGTTTTATAGAAGGGAATGAATACAGTGAAGTTGCTCTCCTGCAGGTTGTATTACATTTGCTAGATAGGTATGTCAAAGATCTCTTTGCCCTAGTAGTGGTCTGATTTCCTGTATTAGGATAGACTTGATTTTTGTTCAGGTTCTGCTTGCCAGGAGTATCTTCCTGGTCTGTGATTTCCAGTGGCAATTCCCAAGAGTGGCATCAATGAGGATTCACCTTCTGAAGTGTTGAAGACCTCTATTTATTTTGTCTCCCAGCATACAGTCCTCTCCTGATCACAAAATCTCGCCTCTCTAAAGGAAACACATTCCATATATTTGAGACATAGCTACACCCCTTCTGCCTACCAAACCTCCCATTCTTCTCTTTCTTCTCCCAGCTACAGGGATGGGCACATGAACCTAAACCAGAGGGTCAGACTCCTCCTCAGAACTCCTTTTCAGGGGTT
The DNA here is from genome assembly GCF_000001405.40 of Homo sapiens. Taxonomy (NCBI): domain Eukaryota; kingdom Metazoa; phylum Chordata; class Mammalia; order Primates; family Hominidae; genus Homo; species Homo sapiens. Next base: position 96,444,359 of record NC_000011.10, read on the forward strand.
TTTGGAGAATATGTTCTCTTATGACTGCAGCTGTAAGGTTGGTGGGTTGTGAGTCTTGGGGCCCTGGAGACCCTGTGCCTGCTACGTGGAGAGAGTGAGAGAGCTTCAATGCCAGCATTTGTGCATTTCATCCAGCTGGGTCACAATTCAGTGTTTCTTATGTAATTTTCAGCTGAATGAGTTCAAAATATTCTCTTATTGCTTAAGCAGTATACTGTCATTTGTAGTCAAGAGTTGTACCTAATTACATGAGGGCTTCACTGCTTTAGCTGAATGAGGTCTGTTGGCAAGTTTATATTAGTCTAGGAATTGCTTTAGGAGCTGAGCAATCACAGGACCTTCTTGACCAGGTTTGAATTTTCTCTGGCAATTAAACTTCTTTAACATACTACCATGTTGCTGGTGGGTTTGATCTGGAGGTGCCTCATTAGCTTGTAAGAAATGTCGGAAATCTTATTATGATCACGGAATCTGGACCCTTGCCTTTGAAGTTTCTATCTCTAAGCAACAGTAGTCAGGCTTCTCCCCATAGCTCTAGGCCTGAGTTTAATACTTCTGTTTTCATCCCTGCCTTTAAAACAATGGATAGGAGGGGAGACATACATATTTCACTTAGCAAATGCATTTATATATACATTTTTAGATTTGAGAGGGTTTTTTTCCTTTTACCATTTTGAAATCCCTGTCAGTAAGAACTTTAATTAAAAACTTGAGTATATTTAATATTTTGAGTATAACCACATTGTTTTAGCTATTTGTGCTGTGAAAGCCAACATTTCAGAATTGAAATGTTTATTTATAGTTTTAAAAAGTCCTTGATTCTGACAAATTTTGTAATTAGATGGGATTTCTTTTACCTTTATGAACAATGCTGTTATATTTTTATATATCCTGTTTCCTTTGAGTTCTGAAAAGGCTTTCTAATATATTTCATTTCTGGTAATTGTATGAATGGATTTTATATATAAACATAAAAATTATTCATAATATTTAAAAATTATTTTTATTATTTTAAAAATTTAAATGGTGTAAACTGCCTTCATTAGGAAAGAAGAAAATGGAGGCAATAGTTTAAATCAGAGACATCAATTAGAGATAAACTTTTTGTGTGTGTGTGTGTGTGAGACAAAGTCTCGCTTTGTAGCCCAGGCGGAGCTTGCAGTGAGCCGAGATCACGCCACTGCACTCCAGCCTGGGCGGCAGAGCAAAACTCTGTCTCAAAAAAAAAGGGGTAAACTAAATTATTCACAAATTGTTTCTGAATTATAACATATTTACTAAAATAATTTTTCGAATTCTTTTTTTGTTGCTAGTTGATTTTGGCTAAATGTTGCAGCAAAAATTAGGTCTTAGGCTTACCATATAGTAGCAACATAAGTAAGAAAAATATAGCTTGCTTTAAGAAACTCCAATATATAAAATATAATCTTCTGATGTATGACACAAATGAAGGAAAGTGTCCAGGTAAAGGAAAGCTTCCTTTAGAAATATCAATCATCTTATTAAGTATATAGTTCTACTAGTGATTTATTTTCCAAAATGTGCTTTTAGCAATTGTATTCATTTTCTATTGATTTCTAATAAATTGCCATAGACTCAGTAGCTTAAAACAATACTCATTTTTTAGTTTACTTCTGTATACAAATTCCAGGCATGGCATTGTTGTGTTCTTTGTTCTGGTTCTCACAGGTTGAAATCAGAGTGTTGGCTGTGCTGTGTTACTTTCTAGAGGTTCTCGGGAACCTCCACTTCCAAGTTTATTCAGGTTGTTGGAAGAATTCAGTTGTTTGTGGTTGTACGACTGAGGTCCCAATTTGTCTCCTGGCTGTCAGCTGGGAACTACTCTCAGATCCTAATCCCAGCCACATTCCTTGCTACATGGCCCCTTCTATCTTCAGAGAGAGCAACGGAGAATCTTTCTCTTAATGAGCTCCCCTCATACTTTGAATCTCTTCTACTCTTGAGGTTTTCACCTGATGAAGTCAGGTCCAACTGAGGGGAATCTCTCTGTCTTAATGGCAACTAATTTGGGACCTTAATTATATATGTATAATCCTTTATAGATTAATAATCACCTAGATTAATGTTTGATCAAATAGAATAACTGGGAGAAAGTTTGTATGCACCAGGGGTGAGAATCTTGGGAGCTGTCTTAGAATGTCTTAGAATTTTGCCTATTACAGCAGCGAAATGTATCATGATTGAATTAAAAAAATTCATTTAAAAATAATAGGATTCTGAATCCAAATGAGAGGTCATTTGGAAGACCTGAAACTATTTTTTACTTATTTTTTATTTATTTATTTATTTTTTTTGAGAAATTCTCACTCTGTCACCCAGGCTGGACTGCAGTGATGTGATCTCGGCTCGCTGCAGCCTCCGCCTCCCAGGTTCAAGTGATTCTCCTGTCACAGCCTCCAGAATAGCTGGGATTACAGGTGTGCACCACCATGCCTGGCTAATTTTTGTATTTTTAGTAGAAACAGAGTTTCACCATGTTGGCTAGGCTGGTCTCGAACCCCTGACCTCAGGTGATCCACCCGCCTCAGCCTCCCAAAATGCTGGGATTACAGGTGTGAACCACCATGGCCAGCTGACTTTAAACTGTTCTAACTGGGAGTTAAAGCCCTCTGTTTCAAATTCCAATGTTGCCGAGGTCTCTCAGGCTGTCAAACCCCAACACCAAGTAATGACACTTGCCTGTGTGACTTCACTCCAACTCCTTTCCGACCAAGACACAAGCATTGCTGCCCTCTGTTTGGCAAGATGATCGCTACAATGTTAACTGTCTTGTGCAAGTTTTCTATCCTGTCAGCCTTCAGCTTGCCGGCGTGGTGTACTTTGGGTGTTTATGATAGCAAAACTTGAGAACCTGTAAGTACAACCTATAAGCACATTCTATAAGCAGAGGAGGGCCCTTATTTGTTTTTTTAACCTCACATATGGTTTTGGCTCCCCCCAGGAAAATGCCCATCATAAGGAAGCATTACCTCTGTTAGCCCCTTCTGGCTCATTGACAGGCTGTCCTCCTCACAGGCAGGAATGCAGTCCCAGTGGCCCAGCTGTACTCGGAATCGACTCTCTTTTTCTCTCCCGAGGCAAAGCTGCAAAAACACTCCTCATGTTCTGCCAGCTACTTAATCCCTTTTTCTCATTTCAAACTTCAATATACTCTTTAAAAAAGGAACCTCACCAAAACCTCCCCTAAAGCTAAGTGGCTCTGCTCCTTGGATCCCAGGGCCCCAGTGAATGTTCATAGCGTTGTCTCCAGTCATTAAGAAAGTGTTAAATCATGTGCCATACACAGTTTAAGCACACAGGGGAGTGTGTAAAACTTTCGTATTTCTAGTTAGGGGTCATTACAGTATAGAATCACTTTGTGCCCAGAGATTCATTCATTTCAGAATTAAGCTCATTAGCAGTCATTGCTTTATTATTGTGTTTCTGCCTCAGTGGTGAGTTGGGGACTGCTGCACTTAAGGGGTCAGCCTGGTTCACCCTTGCTGCACCAGCCGTAGCTATTTGTCCCTGATTCATCAGATCTCAAGTCCGCAATGTGTGCCTTAATGAAGGCTGCATGCAGAGTTCAACTTTGGCTATGCCAGATAGAATAATCCCAACTCTTTTACTTACTCGCCAAAGTCATTTAATATTTCTGTGCTTTGATTTCCTGTCTTACAAGATGCACTCTGAGTGTTACTGGTAGGTAATAACGGCTTATGCGTGTAAGATGTTATTTAAAGCACCGCAGCCTTCTCCATTGAAGGCTAAGCTTGCCGATGCACTTCTCGTCCCCTGGCTCAAGAACTGAGGCAGAGGTGGGTTAGTAGACCGGACTTCTCTTAATTTCTAAATATATCTAGTATCTAACCACTTATCCCCATCACCAGTACCCCTTCCTTTGGTCAATCAAGCTTCTGTTATCCTGAATTATTGTAATAGCTTCCTGCCTCGCCTTCTGGCTTCTTTCCCCATTACCCTGCAGTCTGTCCTATATACGGCAGCTAGGCTGATTCTTTAAAAACATGAGTCTGGTCTTTCTCACTCCTCTGCTCAGAGTCCTGCAGTGACTTCCCATTTCACTCAGTGCAAAAACAGAAGCCCTTAAAATGGCCTATAAGCCCTTCAGTACCTGGTGATCCCATTAGCTCTCTGGCTTGGCTCCTGCTCACTCAGTTCTTGCAATGCTATTCTCTTTGCTGTTCCTCAAACGTGCCAGGCCTGTTTTCACCTCAAAGTCTTTGTGCACATTGTGTCCTGTGTCTAGAATGCTCTTCCGTCAGATGTATCACCTCCTTATATCTTTGTTCAAATATCAATCTATCAAAGAGATTCACACTGTCCCTCTCCTCTCACACTCCTCATCTCCTGTACCTTTTCTTTTTCCTTAGTCCTTGTCATAATTTGTACACACTGTATATTTTACTTATTTATTACATCTATTAGTTATTTTCTGTTTCACTATGCTAAGATATAAGTTTCATATGGGCAGGGATCATTAAATATTTGTTGAATTAAAGAATGAATGGATGTTTTGCTGGGGAAGACAAAGAGAAAGAAAAATGTGGGGTCAGTTAAAAAGCTGGTATATCACAAAGAGCAATATGGAACTGTAAATAAAAGGATGAATTAAAGATGCAGAGCCCTGCAAAATGTGATTAGAATAAACAAAGAACCATCTGAGCCTGTTGGTTTTATGTTCATCTTTTCAGGCATATGTAGATATATATAAGTAGTAATCTAGTGCTCTACCCAGCACCCGATCATCCAAGTTAAATAAATATATTGTGATTGACTCATTGTTAGCTCCATAATAGTCAATATTCAGGTATGTCTATAAGGCAAACTATAATCTCACGATGCTGGCAGTTCCAGAAGGAAAAGAGACTAGGACTGAGGATTGGTCAGTCATCTGAATTATAGTTTCGATGTAAAAGGGCATCTTAGAAGGATCTTACTTGGGTTTTCAATTCCTACAAACATGGATTTGAGTTCCAATTCTATCATTTTGTAGCTATGTGGCCTTGGGTAGGGTGTTTTCCACCTCAAGCCTTCAGTTTCCCCTACTTCAAAGTGTGGAAAAGTAACATCTGCTCTAGAAATATCCTAACAATTAAAAATAATTTGGCCAAAGTCAGTGTTTAATAAATAGTAGATGTTGCAGCAATTATTGTTGTTCTTGAATGTACATGGAGGATTTATGCTTGATTTATATTAAAGATTGCATCTGCTATGGGCTGAATTGTGTCCCCCCTCCCACAAATTCATATGTTGAAGCCCTAGCCTCCAATATGACTGTATTTGGAGACAGGGCCTGTAAGGAGGTGACTGAGATTGTGTGAGGTCATAAAGCTGGGTCTCTGATCTGATGAGGCTAGTGTGATTACAAGAAGAGACACTGTTCAGGTGTGTTGGCTCACACCTGTAGTCCCAGCACTTTGGGAGGCTGAGGCAGGCAGATCACTTGAGCTCAGGAGTTCATGACAAGCCTGGGCAACATGGCAAAACCCCAACTCTACAAAAAATGCAAAAATAAGCCAGGAATGGTGGCATGCGCCTGTAGTTCTACTTACTCAGAAGGCTGAGGTGGGAGAATCGCTTGAGCCCAGGAGGTTGAGTCTACAGCGAGCTGAGATTGCGCCACTGCACTCCAGTCTGGGTGACAGAGTGTGACCCTGTATGAAAACAAGAGACACCAGAAAGCCTGCTCTTTCCCTCTGTGCCCTGTGAGGACACAGCAAAAATGGCAGCTGCCACCAAACTAAGATGAGAGCCCTCACCAGAAACCAAATGGGCCAGTACCTTGACCTTAAACTTCTCAGCTTCCAGAATTGTGAGAAATAAATTTTTGTTGTTTTAAGCTACCTACTCTAGGGTATTTTGTTAGGGCAGCCCACACTGAATAAGATAGTATCCAATAGTCTTTCACAGAGTGGAGTTTTAGGTCATCCTTCGGTTCATAGTCAGTGTTTGGGTCACACTGGGCAGATTTCAAATCCTGGATATAGGGTCTTGTCAAGCCCCGTGCATTGCAAGGAATCCTACAATTGGACTGGGATTCCAGGAAAGACTCTTGTTACAGCAGAAAATGGGACTGCTGCTCAAAATCTAAGGTGGAAGACACAGCAATGGACTGGGCATATGGTCAGCACGAAGGGAGATCAACTCACCCTCACTCAGACTCATTCTAGACACCAGATGTTAAAGGAGGGCACAGATACGTGCTACACTTTCTTCTCTGCTCACATGTTGTTGATGAGCCAGACAAAACTGAGCTTAAACAGAAAGGGCACTAGAGCCCAAAGCAGAGGGAAGAACAATGGCTTTTCATTATCTTCAGCTATGAAGTGCTTATTTCCACTAGATCTTACAGTTTTTAAAGGCAAACCTAACATCACTGCATATTAAAACTTTGGTTGTTTCATCATTATAGTTGCGTGTTTGTTATCATTTTAAAAAATTTATATACAATTAGTAGAATTGAAAGTAATTGTTTAGTTATATATAGTGGACTAAATTCTCTAAAATACTACTGAGATATTTATATAATCTCTTTTATAATTAATCTCTGGGCAATCCTATCAAATGATTGTCCTTTACTTGAGGTATGGGTTGTGATTCTCCATGTGTGGTTTTTATTTTTACTATCAGCATATTGATTGTTTAGCACTGATAAAATTTCCTGCAGCTTGAGAGATTTATTTTCCAAATTAGATATTGTTATTTCCATTTGAGTAGGTAGATACGTGAATTTACCCTAATTAGAATTGACTGTTCCAGGTTGACAAAGAGCCCTACAGGCTAAATCATTATATGCATAAGGAATAAACTTAGTTTTCTCAAGAGTCAATATTTTTCCATTTGGTTTATCACAATTCAGAATGTTCCATAAAATATTTTTCAGAAATAAAATTTTCAAAGTATAAAACACAGACATAAAAAATATATTTACTACAGTATGAAAATTCACTTAAACCCATTCTAGTCAATATCTTTTCATGTAGGAGATTTAAACTCTCCAATTATATTCAATAAAGATAGTTTAGTACAAATGCATATCAGTCATACTGCACAGCCCTGGGGAATATCAGGATGAACAAAACATAGTCCTTGGCTTTGGGAAGCTCACAGATGAGTAGCAGGGAGAGGCAGGCAAGTTTGATAACAATTATAACACAGTGTGAAGTTGGCTATGGGAGACAGGTATTCATGGGGTGCTACAGGAACAAAGCAAAATAACATTTAACTCAACATAATTGGGGGGTAGCATAGAAGTTTTCTTAAAGACACAATACTTAAGTTGACTGTTGAAAGATATATGGAAACTATCCAGGTGGGTGGGGAAAGACTGGAATATTGGTGAAGCACTGTAGGCAGAAGGAACAGCACATCAGTGTTCAAAATTCTGAAAAAAAAAACAACATGTATTTTGGGGGAACTTCATGTAGAATGACGTTTTCTGAGAGTAGAGTACTAAAGATAATGGACTGAGAGGCCAGACCAGGAATGATCTTGTGTTATATTTTAGGGATTTGGAGGAAGAGACATAATATGCTTGTAAAAAGTGGAGTGTTGTGATTATTTTCATGTCTTAGGAATTTCACTGATGAGTAATGATAGAATTCACCTATCTTTTCTCATTTAATCCTCATCATAATCTGTGTCCAGCTGAATATTTGTAACATATTGGACTTTACTAAAAGGTTGGTCATTTTATGTTATTCCCTCCTTTATCCTTCCTCTTAAATTTATCTGTATTTAATTTTCAATTATTCATGGTAGCTAATGATGACAGGATGGATGTTACACATGTTAACTTGCATGAATGTTCCTTCTCTTCATTTATTACCTGGGATTATATTGCTTAAACGGGACTATGGTCAAAAGAAATTATGTGGCTACTGAGAACTGAAATCAACAATATTCCTTGTCCCTTGCATAATACTGGGGATAGACTTTCTTCCTTGACTCTACACACTGTATATTTCACTTGTTTATTACATCTATTAGTTATTGAAACTCTATTAAATTCATATACATCTATATGAAACTGTAAACATAGGACCAGGTAAACATAATTTTGTTTCTTTCAAGAAAGGCCTTCTCAAGGAAGAAAAGACCAAGTCAATGAAACAGTTTACTTATGAGGACTAAAAGTTTATTCATTTACCAAAATTTGCTTCAAGACCCCTGCCTCACTGTGCTTACCACTCCAAAGCTATTGAAACAAAACAAAACAAAACAAAATACAAAACAAAATAACCTCTGCCCAATCTCAGCCAGTTTTCCAATTGCAAGATTCACCTGAAAAACACTCAACCAAGACCCTAAAACTCTGTAAATACCCTGCCCTAATTTTCTATTTTGAGACATTATTAAAGATCTCTCAAGGTGATGTTCTCCTTTACTGCAGTAAGTCTAACAAATGTAGCTTGCCTTGGTCCTAGATTTTTCTAGTGTTTTTAATGAGGAGAACTGATAGTCAATGATCTTCTGCTGTAAACTAGGGTTGACTGTCTACTGTTCAGAATATATAGTAGTCCCCTTTACGGCAGTTTCACTTTCTGAGATTTCAGTTACCCATGGTCAACTGAGGTCTGAAAATGGCTGAGTATATTATAGTAAGACATTGAGAGAGAGAGGGGCTTAGGGTCAGGTTGAGAGAGAGAGCACATTTACATAACTTTTATAACAGTATATTTTTAAAATTGTTGTATTTTATTATTAGTTATTTTTGATAATCTCTTACTATGCCTAATTTATGAATTAAACACTATCATAGTATGCATGTATAGGACAAAAGTGTGTATATATATATAGGGTTTGGCACTATTTGTGGTTTCAGGCATCCACTGGGCATCTTGGAATATATCCTCCATGGGTAAGCAGGGACTGCTGTAATTTTGTCTGTGGTATTCTGATGAAGTTACTGCAGCCACATTTCCCCTAAGACAGTATTTGGAGATTGATGAGAAATGCTGTATAGGTAAGAGCACAAATTAACTAAGTCATTTACTTTTCACAGACAAAATTTTATCAAATAATTTTGGGTAAGAGCTGTTGGCAGAATCAAAATTTTGAGTGATGGGGGAGGTGTTATCCATCTGTTTAGGTGGAGACTTCATCCCATGAACTGTGCTAAGTGCTACTATATTTCTGGACAAAAGCAGAATAAATTTTTTGCTTAAGGTTGGTCAATACTTCTTTATGGTTCCTCATTGCTCTCATTATAAATTCCAATTTATATCTTCCAATGTCCTTTATATAATCTTACCTCTGCTTACGACTACATTTATTTTATGCATTCTCCTCCTCACACTCTTCTATACACACACAGATTCATTTTGCAAACACACTAAGTACTTGATTGTCTCTGTGCTTTGCACATGGTTTTCCCTCTGCTTGGATCAAGTTCTACACATTTAATAAGTTAAGCCCTACATTTCTTTCCTTTCTCAGTCCAGTTACTACTGCTGGGGATTGTTTTGTGAACCCATAAAATTATACTAAGTTCCCCTCTTGCTTAATCTCATAGCGTTCTGTGATTTTGTTACATTCTATTATAATTAGAGTTTATCTGTGTATTTCTTGCCCAGGCTCCCCACTCCAGATGGTAAGCTTCTTAATGGAGATACTATGTGTTATTTTTTTCTACATGTTCCCCACCCAGCATACTGCCTGCATAGTAGATGTTTCATAAATATTTATTGAGTAAATAAATAAATACTTGACCTGCTGCTTTCAATGACCTTCTTTCATTCTCTAGTAACTCTGTTGCACTGGTCTCAGGACCTTCTCCTGTTGTACACTATACCTGACATGAAACATGAAAATTGATTGCACACTCTATTAGTCTGTTCTCTTGCTACTAATAAAGGCATACCAGAGACTGAGTAATTTATAAAGGAAAGAGATTTAAGTGGCTCACAGTTCAGTTTGTCTGGGGATGCCTCACAATCATGGTGGAAGGCAAATGAGGAGCAAAGTTGTATCTTACATGGCAGCAGGCAGAAGAGAGCTTATGTAGGAGAACTCCCCTTTTTTAAAACCATAAGATTTCATGAGACTTATTCACTATTATGGGAACAGCATGGAAAAGACTCACCCCCATGATTTAATTACCTCCCACCAGGTCCCTGGCACATGGGAATTATGACACATGGGAATTATGGGAGCTACAATTCGAGATGAGATTTGGGTGGTGACACTGCCAAACCATATCACACATGTTGATTTTGCTATAGTGAAGCACAATTTTTCTAAAAAATTGGTATTGTGTACTAGAGGGATACTTGCATTCTGGCTGGTCACAGGATTTGAACTAGGAGCTAAATAGCAAATTAAAACAAAATTCAACTTTTATGTTAGATTCAAGAGGTACATGTGAAGGTTTTTTACATGGATATATTGTGTGATGCTGAGGTTTAGCATATGATTAATCTCATCACCCAGGTAGTGAGCATGGGAATTAATAGTTTTTCAACCCTTGCCTCCCTGCCTCCCCTTGTCATAGTCCCCAGTGTTTATTGTTCCCATCATTATGTCCACATGTACTCCACTGGAGACAGTGGAGGGAATTGCTACTTATAAGTGAGAACATGTGGTATTTGGTTTTCTGTTCCTGCATGTATTCTCTTAGGGTATTGGCTCAGCTGCTTCTGTGTTGCTGCAAAGGACATGATTTTGTTCTTTTTTATGGCTTCATAGTATTCCATGATGTATATGTACCACATTTTCTTTATCCAATCCACCCTTGATAGACACCTAGGTTGATTCCACGTCTTTGTAAATAGCAAATTTTAAAGCTTCAAGCATTGCCACATATTTAATGTGCCCTTCCTCATTTAATTCTTGTACTCTTGTTGTATACATTTCACTTTTACACATTGAAATCTCTTCCTCTTAAATATGCAAGCTTCTATTTTCTTTTCACACATGAAAATAATCTTTAAGGTACAACTTGTTCCAGCAGCTTTGCATCTGTACGCAAGTTCCCTTGGTCTCGTGCCCTCTGCCCACTGCCTCATTGCCCTTCCCCTCTCCACTCAAAGGTTTACTTTCCATTATAATTATTGTGGTTGCCTGAATTTCTCCAAGCCATCAGTGCCATTGAGACATGTCCCTCTGTGCTTCTAGAGCATTAAAAAATTTATATTAGAACCTAACCCAAAAGTGTGAGGGAAGCAGAACAGACTGGGCTATATGGGCCAGGATCAATACCTAAGCTGCAAATTATTTCAGGATGACTGGATATATCAGTACTATGATGATGATGAAGAACTGCAAATAGTGAGGTTGGAGGAATATCAAGAAGTCTACCACCTCAATATCTTGTCCACTTGCTGTCAACTGTTTCTAGTGATCACCATTCAAAGACCATTCTGTACTTTAAAATGTCTTCCAAAACATATAAATAGCATGGAAATAAACACACTTTCTCATTTATGGTGCCCCGTATCACTCTGCTAGAATTAACTTTATAAAGGTGAAAGTCAGTTGATATAGTTTGGGTATTTGTCCCCATCCAAATCTCATATGGAAATGTAATTCCCAGTGTTGGAGGTAGGGCCTGGTGGGAGGTATTTGGGTCCTGGAGGTGGATTCCTCATGGCTTGGTGTTATCCTCATGATAGTGAGTGAGTTCTCATGAGATCTGGTTGTTATAAAGTGTGGCAGATCTTCCACCCTACTCTCTTTCTTGCTTCTGCTTCCGCCATGTAAGATGCCTGCTCCCTCTTCACCTTATAAGCCAAAAACAAAATTCTAAGCCCCCTCAATCAACTGAATAGACCCTTCCTCTGAGCCAAGAGCATTCCAAAGTTAACCTGAAACATGAGTTCAGGCCAAGATGGGAATAGGTGGCTGGACATGCCTCATTATGGCCTCCTTCCTTTGGAATTCAGGCACAACTGACTGGCATTAACATTAAAACAGAGACCTTAAGACAATCTGTATTCTCTGAAGCCTGCTACCTGGTGGATTCATCTGCATAATAAAAACCCTGGTCTCTGCAACCCCTTATCTTAACCCAGACACTCCCTTCTATTGATTCTAGGTCTTTAGGTATATTCTTTCAACCAACTGCCAATTAGAAAATCTTCAAATCCACCTGTGACCTAGAAGTCCCCCAGTTTGAGTTTTCCTGCCTTTCTAGACCAAAGCAATGCATATCTTACATGTATTGAATGATGACTTATGTCTCCCTAAAGTATATAAAACCAAGCTGTAACCCAACCACCTTGGGCACATATTCTCAAGGGCCTCCTGAGGCTATGTCATAGGCATGTTCTTAACCTTGCAAAATAAACTTCTAAATTGGTTGAGACCTGTCTCAGATACTTTTGGTTTACAGCCTTCTGCCATGATTGTGGGCTTCCTGAGGCCTCCCCAGAAGCAGATGCTGGAGCTGTGCTTCCTGTACAGCCTGCAGAACCATGAGCCATTTAAACTGCTTTTCTTATAAATTACCCAGTCTCTGGTATTTCTGTATAGCAATGCAAGAATTGCCCAATACAGAAAATTGGTACCAAGAAGTGGGCATTGCTATAAAGATACCTGAAAATGTTAAAGCAACTTTGGAACTGGGTAATAGGAAGAGATGTGAAGTGTTTAGAGGACTCAGAAAAGGACAGGAATACGAGGCAAAGTTTGGAATTTCCTGGTTAAATGGTTGTGACCAAAATGCTGATATGGACAGCAAAAGCCAAGCTGGGGTTTCAGATGGAAATGAGGAGCTTACTGGGAGCTAGTGCAAAGGTCAATGATGTTTTTATGCCTTAGCGAAGAACTTGGCTGCATTGTGTCCATGCCCTAGGGATCTGTGGAAGTTTGAACTAAAGAGCAATGATTTAGGGTAGCTGGTGATAGAAATTTCTAAGAAGCAAAGCATTCAAGAGGTGCTTCTAACAACCTGCGGCTGCTTCTAACAACTTATGCTTAGATGTGGCAAAAATGACTTAAAGTTGGAATTTACATTTAAAGGTGAAGCAGAGTGTAAAAGTTTTAAAAAATTGTAGCCTGGCCATGTGGTATAAAAGCAAAGCTCATTTTCAGATGAAGAATCCAAATGGGTTGTGGATTTCTCCCTTTTAGAATGGGGATGTTTACCCAATGCCTATACCCCTCATTGCCTCTTGGAAGTAAATCACTTGATTTGATTTTACAGGTTCATAGGTGGAAGGAACTCATTTTCAGATGAGACTTTGGACTTGGGACTTTTGGGTGATGCTGAAACAAGTTGAGACATTTGAGGGGCTATAGGGAAGGCATAATTGTATTTTGCAACCTAAGAAGAATGTGAGATTTGTGGAGGCCCAGGGCAGAATGACATAGTTTGGATATTTGTCCCCACCCAAACCTCATGTTGAAATGTAATCCCAAATGTTGGAGGTGGGGCCTGGTGGGAGATGTTTGGGTCATGGGAACCGATCCCTCATGGCTTGGTGCTGTCCTCGTGATAGTGAATTCGTTCTCATGATATTTGGTTGTTGTAAAGTGTGGCATCTCCCCAACCCCACCCCACTCTCTCTCTTGCCCCTGCTTTCGCCATGTGAGGGCCTGCTCTCTCTTCGTCTTCCACCATGATCGTAAGCCTAATTAGGCCTCCACAGAAGCAGATGCTGCATTATGCTGCCTGTACAGCCTGCAGAGCCATGAGCCAATTAAACCTCTTCTCTTACAAATTACCCAGTCTCAGGTATTTCTTCATAGCAACGCAAGAATGACCTTATACAGGAGTCTAACTGTCACATCCAGCTTTGAGGAACTAAGCCACGAGTAGGCTTCTGGAGAGGAGACAGGCATTCAAAAACAAATTTCAGATACTTTGTTGCAAGTGTACCCCAATTTATAATTGCTTCTGGTCCTACTCCTCAGATTATCAGGACCTCAGAGCTCTCTTAGAGGTTCTTTTCTCTCTTCTAGTGTTTGTAGGAAATTCTTCAGAAGTTTCTCTATCAGTTCTATCATTCCTTTGTCTCCTAGGTTGCCTGGCTTTGAAAGCCTGATCTCTAGGCTGTCTAAGGCTATAGCTCATGTTTCTGCTAATTGCTTCCTGCAGTCTTGGGGTCTCTCCCTTATGCCGTATTTATGCTCTTATCACTATGATAGACTGTGGTATGGGGGAGGTGAAGGATGAGAGAGAGAGAGAGATAAATCCTTAGTTCTTTATAGCAAAACTAAGGCAAGGATTTAAAGCCATTTCACAAGGCTTTGGAGATAGTTGTGGGATAAGTGGAGGGAATTGCAACCCAGAGAGAGAGCAACTTATAGTTGCTAAAATGTGGCTACTGTCAGAAGCCACAGACCCAGTTCCATCCTTGTGGTTGGCAAACATTAGCAAACATTACAAATGACCACCAATATCTGGTTCTCTTCTCCTTTTGAGCACTCAGAAGAATAGACTTATTAGCCACCTTGAAACTGGGTAGTGCCATGAGATTAGTTCTGGCCAATGTGAAAGGAAGCAGAGCCATCCCAAAGCGTGAGGTGCCCTGGACCTATTTTGCTCTATATAAACAATTTGATCTAAAAATGTATATATAATTCATGGGCTCATGTAAGTTATAGTTATTTATCAGCGAAGATTTAGAATAGCAATTAGAGAAGAGGTACTTAGGTACCTGATTGCTGGTCAAGTCAGAGCAAGTGAAGATTTTTTTGTAGTGTTCAGGCACCATCTCTTTGGATTCAAGTTGGGGAACTATCTTTTGCCTTCTTTATTAGCAAATGCACCACTTTTGGCTAATTTTATATTTCCTACTGGGGAGAAAAAGGTAATAATATTATTACTTACAATGCCATGGTCCATTGGAAGCTGTTTGTATTGAAACAATGTAGATCTTCATGCCTCTTCAGTTTTCTAATTCCATGGGTTCAATGCTGGTTACAGCATCACTCCTGATGCTGCATTATCCATCCCACCAACCCTGAATAATGGCTTTGAATGATTCTCTCAAAAGTTGTTACTGTGCTTCTTTGATGATAACCACACATGCAAGTCTAACCCAGTGTATGAAGGAAAGAGTGAATGATAATTCAATTTTGGTTATGTTAAATGTACTGTTCTGATTTTTGTAGTCTAAATGAATTATAGCACATCTTCCAACCACGTTTCTCTTAAACTCCTTAGGCTATAATCACTTCATTCTTAGAATACTATTGCTTTCATTGTTGACTATATCCCTGAATTCCACACACCGACACTGGCAGGAAAGGTAGAGTGAGAAGTGCAGTACCATTCACATAAGGGGTGTTTAGTCCCTAATGTGACATGGCTTAAGACAGACCTGGTAGAATATGATATCAGCACAATTGGAAGCAAGAAAAGACATCAACTGGGAGACCCTATTGACTTTGAGCAGCAATGATCTAAAAATCCATTGAAGGAGAATGGCAATCTCCACCTTTCTTCAAGACTTTCTCTCTCATGTGATGCAGAGCCTTCAAAAAGGGTGACATGATTGCACTGCATGACAGCAGTGGGAGGTACACAGAATAAAAAATGCCTTCTGTCACCCTTGGATGCTGTAGACCGGAGATGTTGTGAATTGAACACAGATGGGTAAGAGCTGACACAGGGGTAGACACAGGGCTTAAACCCAAGAGATGGTGGGGGACAGATGGTAGCTCAGAACACAGAGCTTGTCTTGTGTCCAATGTGAGTGAGAATCACCCAAAATAGCATGTTGTTACCATTCTGGCAGTCAGTCTTGTATAATTCCATAAACGAAATATCACACTGCTTGTTGGGAGTAATCTCCTTTAGGCTATCCCCCCGAGCCCCAGAACCAGAGTCAGACATGTGGTGCCAGGATGACCCTCTAGGTGCAAGTCCCAGAGCTTCCTAGAGCTCTGGGACTCTGGTTAACTCTATGTATGGGATAGAGGGTCAGAGTGCATATTAAAGGGTAAAAATGGGGGTGAGAGCTCATGTAGGTCCTGGTCTTGGCTTGGGGTGCTCTTCCTGTGTTACACTGCCAGGCCTAGCTAAGTCCCAGGCACTGGTACGGCCCTCTAAATTCCAGATCCCCCTGAGGTGTGGGGCCCAGGTTAAAGAGCAGTACTTTCTGGAAGTGACATGTGTCACTTCCAGCCTGAAGTATAGAAAAGCCCATGTGGTTTTCCGTTTTCTGGCTGCAGCCATAAGAGTGCTGCCTATTCCAGATGGTAAGGCTGCTAACTGTGGAGTCTCAGTCAGCCTGAGATCCTGAGTGACTGTGTGGAGCAGAGCCTCTTGCTCACCCACAAGGGACATGTAACCTGAGCCAGAAATAAACTACTTTTTGTGTTTAGCCTACCAGGTTTATTGTTACAATAAAAAGACCTAGCCTATCCCGATTAACACAGATCCTCTGTATGATGGTTACTCTGCAGCCACAGGCCAGCCACATTTAACAAGAAATACAATGTAGCCACTGTCCTCATGGACCACTTAATCTAATGGGGGTTACACTTACATAAATGATCTTAGAGGAAGGGCACCTCTGCTTGAGGGGGTAATTGGGGTACAGATGGACTCCTTCAAACCTTCAGATGAGGCTAAATTATATTTTAACATCATTTTAGTTCCAAATTGTATCTCCTAGCTGATGTGGCCTTGAGTAAAGCACCCATCAAATAAGATTGTGTATCCTCTTGATTTGTCATCTCTAAAGAGACAGGGTCCATATCTTCCAACATGCTTTGTAAGTGCACTCAGCTCCATGCTCTACTTGGTGCTGATGATGCCAGCTAGCTTCTGATTTCAGCAGAGAGATACTATTGAATTCATCTGACCTCTGCACTGAAAATAGATCTTTGCTGAAAAGAAGGCAATGTAAAATGGGACCCTCATTTTTATCCTTATCTATTGGCATAATTGCTGTCTATTTATTTTCAATTGTTTTGCATGCCAGTGTTTTTCAAGGACTGACTTCTAAATATGCTTCAAAGAGAGTAAAACTGCATAATAAAAAAGTCAGAGAAATTTTAAAAAGATGGGTTAGCTTGTAAAGGGGCAGGGGTTTGAGTGACTATGTAGAATTCAAATGCTTCTCATTACTAGGATAAGCGGAAATCTTTCTTTCCTAAAATTAGAGTGGTTGGGGAAGAAGGGAGCATTTATTTGTTAAAAATTAACCTTTCATGATTGAAGAATTGATAATAGGCATAGTCCGAGTAAGTGGGAATTGGTTGACTGGGTAGAAGTGATTGCAGGGGAAGTTCTTGAAATGGAGACAAAGAGCTAGAAGCTTCATCCTTTCTGAAAAACAATATGGAATCAAGTGGATTCAGATCGTGGTTAAGAGTTTGAAGATTTTAGACACTGACAAAAGTATATTTAATTCCTGGCTCTATTTTCTATCTTAGTGATATGTGGCAAATTATTTGACCTATTCATGACTAGTTACTTCTTAAAAAGTTTTAAAAAATATTCAGTAATATTTTGGAAGTGGGGTAATTGTTCTTGTTACATTAGATAGTGTGATGATTCAAGGAGATACTGAACCATGCTTGGAATAAAGTGCTTAATAAAGAGTAGCCCTTTACTCTTTACAATGTTGATAATTATCAACATTATTACGTAAATACAGACTTCCTAGTGCTTAGGCTAAGATAAAAGAGTATGAAGAGGCATTTTACATAATTACACCATGAGGGTGTGCCCAAGAAAGAAGCATCATATGTGTGTTTGTACGTAGGGATTCTGGGAGACAGGAACTCATTTTTGCTAGACTGGATCTTGAAAGACTGTGTTGCTAAAGCTATAGCAGCCAGAATCTTGTTGCCATGAGGAAAAAGCCTGGAATTTCTAGTGATAAGCATGAGCAGAAAAGTAAAGCAGTACAAAGACAGAAAAATAAAAAGATATGGAGAATCTCAATCCAGATAATGTATGTGATCTCTGAGTCTAGCCATGCCTAATGTTGGTGCAACCCCGGATTTTCTAATTCTTGAGCTAATAAATTCTGAGTTTGAGTCTTGAGTTTTCAGGTACTTGCAACAGAAAGGATCCTTTAAAAATAATTAGTTTTTGATAAAAAGAAGGGTATTTTCTCCCCTCTTTCTTTCTTGAGTTTAGACATGATGCCTGGAGCTATATTAGTTGGATATCCACCTGGAGGCAAAAATCTTGAGGCAAAGGCTAACAGAAATGCTGACATATTTATCCTGACAGTTTAGAGCCATGGAAGTAATGCCAACCTCACTTTTTGTATTAGTTTACTGGAGATGTCATATAAAGTACTACAGATTAGGTGGTTTAAATGACAGAAATGTATTTTCTCGCAATGCTGGAAGCTAGAAGTCTGAGATCAAGTAATCAGCTCGGTCAGTTTCTTCTGACACCTCTTTTCTTGGCATGCAGGTGGCTGTCTTCGTGTGTTTTCCCATGCTCCTCCCTCTGAGTGTGTGTGTATCCAAATCTTCTTTTCTTTTAAGGATACCTGTCATATGGGATAAAGTCCCACCCTAATTACCTTATTTCAACTTTATGACCTTTATAAAGATAGGATTACCTTCTGAGGTACTGAGGATTAGGACTTCAACATATGAATTTTGAGGGAACATGATTCAGCCCATAACACTTTTATTACAGAAAGGCAACACGTACAGAAGTCATCATATTTCAGATTATTTTGTTAATATTTTAGAAGCTAAACAAATAGTTTAAACCCTGTTGGAAGTAGTTTATTTGAATTTCTATTTATGCAGATATATTTCTTTTGACTTACTAGGAGCTGGGCTATGATCTCATGCTTTGGTAATACATACAATTCTCGGAAGAAAAGGGTTTGTAGACAAAAGATGCTTTGCTCTTGAATTCAGGGACTATAGATTGTCTTTCTCCTTCATTTTACAAAAAAGGACCGTTTTTCCCCCCAGAACTCCAACGAATGAATTTAGGGCTTTAATAGCTTAGAGAGATCATGGGAGGAGGGAAAAAAAACCCAACAAAGTGGACTGGGGTTCATAAGGGCGTGATCCCAGGCATACAGAAGGAAGTTTGACCAAGAGGATTAATAATAGCTCCTGCCATTACCAGAGTACTGTCTAACTCCTGGAAGCCAAAAAGTAGCCCTCTTACCCTTTCTCTCCAAGACTAGATCACTTTACTCTATCCTAAAACTTGAGCTGATAATTGCAAATGTTAACGTTTTCAACTACACAGGGGAGGCATTGCCTTTTTGGGAGCTTAGCGAGAACTTCAGCAGACTTTCTATATCTCCCCAGGGGGTGGAAAACCTGCACAAGTTGGATTCCAGGCCTGTTAAGTTAAAAAAAAAAAAAAAAAAGAAAGAAAGAAAAAAGAAAAAAAAAAGAAAAAGAAAAAGAAATTTATCTAAGTGCCGAGAAGAAAAGTCAGGTTTTAAAATATTGTCCATGACTTGTTTTCTAATAGCTTCTAATTTCTCATGGAGGCAATCGTATTTGAAATGAGATTTGAGTAAAAAGGAAAAGCATGGTATTTGCAAACTATTCATCCATATACAATAAAGCTTTAATGATTTTTTCCTTCCACGATTTTAGCATAAAGTCTGATCCTATGGTCTTTACATAGGTTGAGCTTTTACATTTTTAAAATGGTATTTCAGCTTGATTAGGAACTCCAAGGGGAGAGGGCTGATCCAGACTAGAATCCAGACAGCTTGTTCACCCACTGTATTTTGCCCAGTAGAGGGCACTTGGAACTCACACATAAATTGCAGTGGCATCAGTGGTAGCGGCGGCAGCAGCAGCACTTAAGATATCCATTTTCATTGCCATGGTGATTCTTTTTTTTTTTTTTGAGACCGAGTTTCTCTCTTGTTGCCCCAGGCTAGAGTGCAATGGCGCGATCTCGGCTCACTGCAACCTCCATCTACCAGGTTCAAACAATTCTCCTGCCTCAACCTCCCAAGTAGCTGGGATTACAGGCACCCGCCACCACGCCCAGCTAATTTTTTGTATTTTTAGTAGAGACGGGGTTTCACCATGTTGGCCAGGCTGGTCGTGCACTCCTGACCTCAGGTGATCTGCCTGCCTCGGTCCCCCAAAGTGCTGGGATTACAGGCGTGAGCCACAGCGCCCGGCCGCCATGGAGATTCTTAATTAACAGATAACATCAGGTTTTCATTGACACTGGTAAAATGAGGTGACTGTGACCTTGAATAATAAAATCTGTAATCATTTTGGAAATATCAGGAGTTGGAAACTACTTAGATATTTCTTCTTGGTGATTGTGCTGACCTGTAATCAATACAAACAAAATCTAAATTGCAAATTATTCTTCAAGCTACATCCCCGGGGTAAAAATTTTATTTCTTTTTAAAAATAAAATTGAATATATACTTGTGACAGCTTTAGGATAAGAAAGTAATAGACATATAACATCTATTATTCTTACGTGAGGAGAATTGAATTGCTTAATACTTTTAAGTATCAAATAAACAAGTTTCAGGCACAGGAAAAAGGAGTCTTAGAATGTTGAGATTCAACATTTTCCCCTTCGTCCGCAGAGTACAGCTTAAGCAGCAAAATGAGGAAAACGACATTCTCTCTCTGTTCTGTTTACAAGTCAAAAGCTTTGATTTACCACTAGAGGGCACTCATTACCCTGTTATCTTTCTGAGGCCTTTAGCTCAGCAGGGCTCCCATTCAAACGGAATCTCTGCATTTACTAACATTTGTGAATTATTTAGGAATAATTAGAAACACCCCATAATTCTGGACAGATTTTTTTCTTTCTAATGCTTCTTCTGATTGTGACGAAAAGTCCTTGACTGCATCAAATGTAAACTAGAGGGACTTAGCAAATTCAGATTGCTTTTGCAACCATACATAAAATGTACTTTACTATCATACATTTTTAATTTTTATAAAGCAAAGTAAAAATTTAAGAACACTTATGCTTCTCTTTTTATGTTTTTCTTTTATAGAAGCAATTCTGGATATTAATCACTTTGGAACGACATCTTTGTGATGTTTCACAGCATAAAATCAACTGCTACATTGGTTTCTTATAGTTTCTTTGCAGAATGATGAAAAAAATAATTAATCTCGTGAAAATCCTTCTAATTGCACCAGTTTTCTGGTGTTGCGTAGTATATCTCCAACTCTAAAATTTTATTACTCAGGTCTTTCAGTACAGCATGTGGTCAGGTTGTATTATTATTTGCAAATATTTACTCCACCTTTTTCCCAATGGGAGGAAAATTACCCATGCCATCATGCTGAGCTTGGTCAATGGAATGTGAGAAGAATAACGATGCCAATTTCAAGGAAAGACCTTAAATATGATTTAAGAATAAAGGCATTAGCCTCTTGCCTTTCCCTTTTGCCATGAGAATGCATGTGTTATGAGAATGCATGAGTGGCTGCCTGTCAGCCTGGGTCCCTGAATGTGAAGCTCTATGGAACAGAGCCAAGGTTTTCAGAGCCAAGTGACACTCGCTGGCATGTTACTTGGGCAAGAAACCTGTTTACTGTTGTAAGCCACTAGAGTTTTAGGGTTGCTTTTTGTGCAGCAAACTGACTCATATAGAAATTGATATGACGAGTGGGGAACTACTTTATGAAAATAAAAATGGTGTCACAATTGCTTCAGGATAAAGCAGTAGGTGGTAAGAAAACTGTAAAGGAAATTGAAAAAAAGTGGTGATCGATGTAATATAGTTTTTCTGCAATGGTGATAAGTTTGGAGGCAGAGAGTATACCTCATGAAATTGTAGCTTTGGCTGGCGGGGTATTTAAAAGGAATATTTCTAGTGTGAGTTGGTTATTAGCTACATTTGATAAGATATTTTTAAAAGGAAATAAATACAGAAAATAACTGGCCTGTTTGTAGGAAGGAGTGAAATAGAAAACACAGAGTCCCAAATTTTGGGATTTCAGAGTTGAAAAGTGAAACTGTTTTCAATCATCAATTGATAAAAAATAAAATTAAGAAATGTTTTGAGCCAAAAACACTGATTAAGACATAGGTACAGCTAAAATTAGGGGTGTGGCCACAAATCCTAAGGGCACAGTTCTGCCATAACTAGATAAGCACACAATATCTTTAATTAAGTCTAAAGAAAAACATACATCTACAAAATAATTGTGGTAGCAGCTACTGGCACACAGAAATGTAATCACATAGATAAATAGCTATATCTTTGAAAGAGTTGTACTGCCAAAAGCACTGTCATCTTCAATTCAAAGAGACTGTAACTGTTTGAGATGATTTGTGCCCCAATTTTCTTGGGCAAGAGGCAGGCTGAGAAAGCTGCTCCTTCCCCTAGAATGGCATTGTCTCCAATGCTCTCCTCAGGTGCATCCAACAAGAATAACCAAAAAGAGAAGATGTTCCAGAGGGTGGATTCAAGACACAGAGAATGATGGACTGAGGGTATCTCCACTTCTACCTCCTCAAGAGCTGAACAGAGGCTACTCAAGAAATATTCCCTGCTCTAGGTTAGGAGGCCTCATGATGCTTGTTCAGCAGAATTTCAAAATTACTGTGTATTACTGATGGCTAAGTGTCTGTCTGCCTTCCTCTTCATGAATGGAGGTTTCATTGTAGTTGTTCTGTCCCTGTTTCACCATTTTATGTGAGTGTGTATGAGTTATTTTATTCCTGACTTAGAGAGTACCACAAGATCTTCAACTTTGCACCTGATGCCGTAAGCGGATGCAATTTTCAAGGTATATTTAATGGGAGCGAGTAACTTTGAGTGAGAAAGGAAGGAAAGTGAATATCCAGAGAAGGTGTTCTTTGACCGATTGTATTATTCTTTGCAAATGTATATTTCCCTCTCCTGCTATGGGAAAAATGTATTTTCTTGCTTCACGGATGTTGGGCTACTCCATGTGACTTTTTTTTTTTTTTTTTTTTTTGGCCAACAGTATGTGAGCCAATGAGACAAACATTATATTTGCACAGAAACTTCAAAAGTGATTGCTTCTTGTTAGCCTCTGCCACAAAAGTAAGCATCTTTCCCTGAGGTCCCGGTATGAAAGGAAATGTAGTACAGAGTTGAGCAAAGCTCTAGTACCCCATCCATTCCACAGATGCAGACATGTGAGTAGTAAACAAATATTTGCTGCTACAAGCCACTGAGATTTTAGAATGTTTCCTTCATGGCAAGCTCGCTGATGAAGGACTCAAGATCTTGTTTGAAATTTCCTTTGCAGTTTTGTTCAAGGGATGTAGTGCCCATAAAAATTTTATTAGTTATTTAAAAAATAATCATTTAAGCTATAGTATTCCAAAAAACCTTAGCTTATATGCCAAATAAAATTAAAAGTATTTTTCTTTATTAAAATGAAGCAAACACTTGCTGATGTTGAAACCTCAACACACAGGAAGTTAGAACATTAGAAATTAGAAAATAGAAAGACAATTCCGTAAGGTTATTGGTTTTGTTTAGTAGGACTTTGTGGTGTATGTATAGCACATTAATGAGTCGAATCAAACTATTTGTAATGTAGGCCTTAAGAGTGAACTGGACACTTTTGAAAACTATAGATGCATTACTGACATACAGTGTACTACTGAGAACTGTCAGATTATATGTATGAACCTTTGCCAGTGACTTTCCAGCTTGGTAATGTGTCATACTAGAGGAACAGGATCATTTAGAAGCATGCCTCATGTGATGTGATACTAGTAGTGAAGTAACAACATTTGCTTACAATTTTTCCTTTACAAATTAGAATGGATTCAAGACTATCCCTATTGTAACCCCAGGCTTACTTTCATTCCAGCATGCTTTCTTATGTGGGAGGGTAATGGAGTATCCTAGTATATGTAGCATCCTAGTAACCCTACAAAATCTCAGGTTGATTTTGTTTGTGTTTCAGGCCATTATATAGGCTGCACTTGGAAAATGTGTTCCATATGTGAACCTCATCTGTCACGTGAATGTGTAGCAGGGGTGAGATTGAAACCTCTTGAATTCCTGTGAGAACTGACGTGACTTCTAGTGGAGAGAAATCAAAGATCAGGAGTGGGGTGCAAATAAGCAGGTATACCTCTGCTCTTCTAATTCAGAAATAAGGATAAGCAGAGAGAATGAGGAGTGACACCTAAGGGTAAGCTATGAAGGGCAGAATGGTTCTTCTGCTCAAAATTTTTTCCATGCCAATTTTTCCATTTGAGTCAATATGTCTTCTTCTAAAATGCAAAAACCCACTGGAAGAGTAGGCATTCAACTTTTCTTTTATTTTTTCTTTCTTTTTGTTTTTTTGAGACAGGGTCTTACTCTGTCACCCAGGCTGGAGTGTAGTGGCGTGATCTCGGCTACAGCAACCTCCACCTCCTGGGTCAAGTGATTCTCCTGCCTCAGCCTCCCAAGTAGCTGGGATTACAGATGCCCACTACCATGCCCCATGCCCAGCTTTTTTTTTTTTTTTTTTTTTTTTTTACTTTTAGTAGAGATGGGGTTTCACAATGTTGGCCAGGGTGGTCTTGAACTCCTGACCTCAAGTGATCTGCCTGCCTTGGCCTCCCAAAGTATTGGGATTACATGCGTGAGCCACCACGCCTGGCCTCAACTTTTCTAATGCTTTAGTTAGTAATTCCTTGGAGGGCTCAGAGTCCACAGAGGGGGATCTTTCTGGAGTTAGAAGTGTTAAGGTATAAGGCAGATCTGGGTGAGGGTACTATAAAGAGCTGTACACAGCTACAACCCCAGGTTTATGCCACATCAGGCACGTGCTGGGCACTGAGCAGATGGGGGTGAATGAAAGGACAGACCATGTCAATGGTTGCTAGGACGAATGCTTAGGGATTTGGGAATCTTCCCGCAGACTAGTTTTCCTGCCTCACATCATGCCATTTTCTTTACCAAATCCCACATAGAACATGGTCAATGCCCCGCACATATCTCCTATTACGAGACTTTTGCCTGGGTTGCTTTTTCCATTCTCTCAGACATAAATACTTATAGATCCTTTCATGCCCATTTCAAATGTCTCTACCTCTATGATCTCTGATTGATTCCCTGGGCAGAATTAAGCTCCCTCCTTCCCACTTTAGTTTTATTCTTCTAGATACTTCTCACTTTATACTCTCATTATCTATTTGTGTACTATGGATGTATTGAGGTCAAGACCCAAGGCTTTTTTATCTGTGTCCCTGCCACAGCATCATGCACATACAAAATGGGTGCTCAATAAAAGCTAATTCGTGGAGTAGAAAGAAGAGGAGGGAAGATATTAGAAAAGTTATATAGAGGCAAAAATGGCAGCAGATAGCTGTCAAAACAAACTCCATTCATTGTGAAGTCAGGGTGACAGCTGGCCCAGATGCCCTTGGGAATTATTTCGCTTGTAGACTTTGGTATATGACAATAGTGCTAAGTAGATTTTAGTGCCTGTAAATAACTCTCCCTCATATTAGATGTTTGATTGTGGCTGGCAGTGGGTGTGGGGTCAGCAGTCTTTTCCATGCTGCCTACCTTATCCTATGACTTACAGACACAGCAGTTATTGGAGAGCTTGTGTGGCTTCTTGGAGTGCTGCCGTTTTACCTACAAAAGATGTTGATTGCCTTGGATTGAAAAAACTTGCTTTTTCTGACTTTTGCATGCCAGATTGGCTGCAGAAGTGTTATGAACGTTTCTTAGCTTTTTTTCCTGTTCAAAGCTGTGCTTTCATGTGCATGGTACATTTCCTTGGCTTTGACCTCCTTGAGGTTACCCCCACTTTGGCTTGTAAAGCAGCATTGTTTGGGGATTCTGCTGTCATGCATCTTCTGGGTGCAAAATGCCTGGCGATGCTGGTGGCAGAAGGCTTTGCTTTTTTGCCAGATACACTAGTTTTGTAGTTTTGTTGTTGTGCTATAAATGTGCTATTATTTATTTCTTTATTGGGGAGTGTAGGTGTTTAATATAGAGGGAGAAAAAGAGAGACAGGAATAGAGGGGGAGAGAGAGGGACATATGAGAGATAGGTATTCTCTGTTATGCAATGTTAAAATACATTTAGGCTAGGTTAAATGCTGAAACTGTCTACTAAATGCATCTCTGCATTATTTGGAGATTTTCTGCCTTTAGCAGGTACTTCCACATTCCTATTCTACCTGTTTGTTCTTTGGTTTTCCACAATGTCATACTTCACTGGAAAGTGCTAGTACTGTTAATAATTGTTGCCATTTATTGAATACTTCCTTGGGCCAAATACTGTAGTGAGGGCACCAGACATGTCATATGTCTAATTATCATAAAAGTATCATGATATATGACCAGTACTATTTTTAACAATCTCTAGATGAGAAAGCTGAAAATCATATGGTTTATGTGATTTGCTCAAAGCTACCCATCTCAGAAAAAGTAGCATGTAGATTTGGGATCAAACTTTGGGCTATGTGGTTCTGACTCATATGTTTCCTCTGTGTCATGCCATTTTTTTTTCTGTTTCCTGCCATTACCCAGAATTCCCCCCTCCTTCATGCTGCCCTTCTTCCTCAGGCCCTTGTTTTCTGCTGAAAACTAATGAGTGAATCACAATCTCTAATGTTAGAGACTATGGTACTTAGGATATGCACTATTTTAGATAACATATTCGTTCTTGAAAGGGGAAATGGGAAAAAGGGACATAATACCTTCAAGCATTCATAGTATCTTCTTTCCCCCTAAACGTTCTGAAATAAAGACTTCTTTTGAGAACTCAAATCCCTAAGGGATGACGCTCTGATAAGAGGGTCTTTTCAGGGTAAATAAACATCCACCGCCCCTCATGTTTTCTAATGATGCCCAGAAGCCAGATGGGGTTCAGAAGCAGGAAAGGTACTCAATTACTATTTGTTTCCTTTAAGACTTGACATGGCTGCAAAATCTCACTCAAGTCTATTTAGATACATCATAGAATCAGGGAATCTTGGATTTGAATGAATTTCATTAAAATAAAATCTAATCCAATGATTTCTTATCTGGGGCATGCATCAGAATCATTTTTTGAGACTTAAAATTACAGATTCCCAGGCCCAGCACCCCAAGATCCTTACTTTATAGGTCTTAGATGGTAACTGGGTTCAATAAGTGATTCTAAATTATAGCTAGGTGGAGAATCATAAATTTAATTTATTTTTCACGATATATGAATACTTTCTTGCTTCATTTGATTTTCTATTTCTTCACTGCATCCCTGGGAAATATGCAGGGAGCAGAACACGAAGATTATTTTCTGCTCAGTTCCACAAAGAAAATCAGTGGCTAGGGTATTACATGAATTATGAGTGACTACAATCTTCAGGCTTATTATTGGAATAGAGTGCTGTGTTAATTTTTCAATATATTTTCTTTCAAAGAGCTATTTCTCCTATTCCCGTGCCTCTTCCTTGATACTATTTTGACACGGATGATCCTGGATAATTAGGTCAATAATTCCATAGATGTTATTAACCTTTTAATTTGGAATAATTTTCAGAAAAATTGGAAGCAGAGGGTGAGAGACTGGGTTCTAGCTCTGTCACTAAAAGCTATAAGCTTTGAAAAAGCCCGTTACTGTGAGACTCAGTTTCCTCACATGCAGTTTGTTCAGATGAACTTTGAGGACCATCTCAATTCTAGGAATCTAAAGTCTCCCACTAACTTGTAAGCTCCTTATTGTCCACTTGAACATTGTTTCTGTTATTTTTTTTCCTGGATTCCTGTTATACTCAGTAGCTTTCCTAGTAAAAGAAGACTTATATTCTGTCATATTTTCTGTCTCACTGACTCAGCCTTTCAAAAATTCCAAGACAAAGATAGAGGCTTCAAGACGGCTGAGCAGAAGCATTTGGTACTCACCTCCTCAAAGAATAAGAACCAAAATAGTGAGTAGATAATCACACTTTGAATAAATCATCTAAGAGAGAACACTGGAATTCAGCTGAGAAGTGACAGGATAAAGGAGAAGGAAGTGAAGCAGCCAGCTCATCTGGGATTGGTTGGGAGGCTAGAGAGGCTCCTGAGTGCAGGGAAAGGGTAAATGAGTGACCCCTAGTGGCCCACATTCCAACCATTGAATGCATCTCAGCCATGGGGAAGCCCCAGCACCCTTGTGGTCCCCGAGATTAACATAGGAAGCTGCTTGGAGACTGTGTGAAGGCATTGCTTCAGAGAAGGAGCTCACACTGGGTCCTACACACTTCTCAAGTCCTAAACAGCTGCAGCAAGCCACCATATTGAGAGCCCAGCCCAGAATGGACTGCATCTTGCTTGGGTACCCAACAGCCCTTGCATTTCCATATCTCTGGAGCCCCATTGACATCCCCCACCTGCAGCCACCACTTTGGCTGACTACTGCTGCCAGGGCTAGAGCATGAGCCATTGGCAAATACCTCCACTGCCTCCAGCAGTAAAGCCATCATGCACATTCATGCACTCCCCAAAACAAACTCCTGCCAGCAGCAGTAGTTGCATGCTGTTGGCTGTCACTGTGGGGGCTGAAGTGCGAGTGAAGTGCACTCTTCCCAGCCACCTGCATATGGCTGTTACCATTAAAAGCAACTCCAACCTCCTCAGTAGAAGAGCTGCAGTGCAGCCCCTGCTGCCCTCCCCTGGACATACTGCCTTGGGCCTGGGGATCACCTTGCCTTTGCCTGCCACAGCCAGTTACTGCAGACACCACCGGTGGGTCTGAAGACAGGTCCTCCTCACCTGGCTTCACCTCCTCAGTGTCTCAGCATGCTGCCCAGGTGCCTGGGGATTGCCCAGCCCAGTCCATCACTGTTGCCACCTGAATACTCCTCCTGGGGTCCCAAGATCTAGCCCATCCAGCCTGCCACTACCACCAGAGCTGGCACCCACCTGCATGTGCCACCTGGGAGCCTGATGACTGGCTGGCCCAGCCCATTGCAGCCACTGCCAACATCAGAATGGACTGCTTGAAATCCAGAGGTTTGTCCTGCCATTGCTGCTGCCATTGCCCATGTCACACCTGCTGTCCAGGGGCCTGAGAACCTATTCACCTGCTTGGACCACTGCTGCTACAACTGGCACTTGAGCAAGCCACGTGGAAGTCCAAGAATCAGCCTGCTTGGACCTGCTAACACCAGTGGCAGTATACACCATGCTGAGGCCCAAGGACAGGCATGTTTGGCCTGTTGCTGACAGAACTGGAGTCTGAGGAAATCCCCATCTGACATCCCCATCCTCAGAAAAACTTCACCAAAGCTTTCACTAGCAACCATACCCTAAGCCACTGTGGAAATCACAGACACCACTGATGCTGTGTACAATCAAATAAATCATATAAACACTACACTCCTGCTTGCACCTACAATCAAAGTTAAAGTGCCCTGTGCATCCAACACCATAGATACATCTTTAGGAAAAAGTTTTCCCTATGCATGCAAATTTAAAAAAACTGGAAGAAGCAGCTATTACACCAGATATACAGATATCAATGTAAAGACACAAGAACCATGAAAAAATAGAAAACATGACACTTCCAAAGGAACACAATAATTCCCCAGAAACAGAATCCAATCAAGAGGAAATTTATGAGATCCTAAAAAAGGAATTTAAAATAATGATATTAAAGAGGCTGAGTGAGAAGCAGGAGAAAACCAAAGCAATACAAGGAAATCAGAAAAACAATTCAGGATATGAATGAGGAATATATCAAAGAGACAAACATAATAAAAGAGAACAAACAGGAATTCTGGAACTGAAGAATGTACTAAGTGAAATAAAAAATACATTAAAAAAACTTCAACAATAGATCAAGCAGAAGAAAGAATTTTAGAACTTGAAGACAGGTCTTTTGAAATAACCCAGTCAGACAAAAATATAGAAAAAGAATAAAAAGCAATGAACAAATTTTGTGTGACATATGGGACACCACAAAGTGAATAAATATTCAAATTTTTGATGTCCCAGAAGGTAAAGAGAAAATAAAAAGGATAGAAACTTATTTAACAAAATAATAACTGAAAACTTTCAAAGTCTAGCAAAGAGATTTAGACACCCAGATAAAAGAAGCTCAGAGATTCCCAAATAAATACAATGCAAAAAGACTTTCTCCAAGGCATATTATAGTCAAACTATCAAAAGACAAAGGCAAAGAGAGAATTCTAAAATCAATAAAAGCATTTAGTCACTCATATGGGAATCCCTATTGTCGGAGGCTTGTGAACCAGAGCAACTCCATGTTGAATAGGTGCTGGGAAAGTAAGGCTAAGACCTGCTGGGCTGCATTCCCAGATGGTGATGGCATTCTAAGTCACAGGATGAAATAGGAGGTTGGCACAAAATACAGGTCATAAAACAAGTTGCTGATAAAACAGGTTAGAAGAAGCCAGCTAACACCCACCAAAATCTCTCATCCAAGTACTAATCAGGCCTGACCCTGCTTAGCTTCCAGGATCAGATGGGATCAGGTGTATTCAGGGTGGTACAGCCATAGAAAAACCCATCAAAATCAAGATGGCCATGAGAGTGACCTCTGGTCATCCTTGTGACTACACTCCCACCAGCACCATGAGAGTTTATAAATGCCATGGCAATGTCAGGAAGTTACCCTATATGGTCTAAAAAGAGGAGGCATGAATAATCCACCCCTTATTAACATATCATCAAGAAATAACCATAAAAATGGGCAACCAGCAGC
Organism: Homo sapiens; assembly: GCF_000001405.40. NCBI lineage: Eukaryota > Metazoa > Chordata > Mammalia > Primates > Hominidae > Homo > Homo sapiens. Next base: position 96,474,895 of record NC_000011.10, read on the forward strand.
CCTTGGGGCTGCTCTTTCTATGGAGTAGCCATTCTTTTATTCCTTCACTTTCCTAATAAACTTGTTTTCACTTTACTCTATGGACTCACCCTGAACTCCTTCTTGTGAGATCCAAGGACCCTCTCTTGGGGTCTGGATTGGGACCCCTTTCCTGTAACACTATCAGATTAACAGAGGATTTCTCAGCAGAAACCTTGCAGGACAGGAGAGAATGGGGTGATATATTCATAATACTGAGAAAAACAACAACAACAACAACAATGACAAAACACTGCCAGTCAATGATACTATACCCAGAAAAGTTATTCTTCATAAATTGAGAAATAGTCTTTCCTGGACTAGAAAAACTGAGGGAATTCATCACCACTGGAATGGTCTACAGGAAATGTTTAAGGGAGTCCTATACTTTGAAGCAAAGGGATGATATCTATCATCATGAAAACACACTAAAGTATAAAACCCACAGGTAGAGAAAACACAAACAAGGAAGAGAAAGGACTCAAATATTACAGCTAAAGAAAATCACCAATTTACAATAATAAGCAATAGGATAAAAAGAAAAGTAACAATGGGATATGCCAAAAAATCAGATATTAATAAAATAACAGGAATAAGCCCTGACATATCAAGAATAACCATAAATGTAAATAATTAAGCCTTCTACTTAAAATATATAGAATGAATGAATGGATAAAAAAATTACTCAACTATATGTTGCCTATCAGAAACTCATCTCTCCTGTAAAAACATATATAGTCTGAAAGCAAAGGATAGAAAAAGAAAGCAAAAGTGAGCAAGAGAAGCTATAATTATGTCAGATAAAACAAACTTTAAGACAAAAACAGTAATAACAAGACAAATGTAAAATGACCTTATAAATTTATGAAATTTATTATATAATGGTAAAGGATCAATTCAGCCAGAGGACAAAAAATTATAAACAGAAATGCATCCCAACACCAAAGCACCCAGATATATAAAGCGGATATTATTAGATCTAGACAGAGAGATAGATTCTAATGCAGTAATAGCTGGGGACTTCAACACCTGTCTGTCAGCATTAGACAGATCATCTAGACAGAAAATCAACAACAACAACAAAAAATTGGATTTAAACTGCATTTTAGACCAAATGGACCTAACAAACATTAATAGTACATTTCATCCGACAGCTACATTCTTTTCATCAGCACATAGAACATTCTCCAAAATAGACTACATATTAGGACACAAAACAAGTCTCAACAAATTTTAAGAAATCAAAATCATATCATATTTCTTCTCAGACCCAGTGGAATAAAACTAAAAATCAATACCAACAGGAAATTTGGAAATTGTACAAATACATGGAAGTTAAACACATGCTACTGAACAACCATTGGGTCAAGGAAGAAACTAAGAAGGAAATTTAAAAAAACATTCTTCAAACAAATGAAAATCAAAATTCAACATATCAAAACCTATGGGTTACAGTAAAAGCAGTGCTAAGAGGGACGTGTATAGCAATGAACACCTATATCACAAAGTAGAAAGATTTCTCAAAGAAAAAACCTAACAATACACTTCAAAGGACTAGAAAAGCAAGAGCAAACCAAGCCCAGTATCAGTAGAAGTAATGAAATAATAAAGATCAAAGCAGAACTAAACTAGAGATAAAATAGAAAGGATCAATGAAATGAAAAGTTGGTTTTTTGAAAATGTAAACAAAATTGATAAATTGGTAGCTAGACTGACCAAGAAACAAAAAGAGAATTCTTCTCAAACTATTCAAAAAAATTGAAGAAGAGGGAATTCTGCCTAATTCATTCTATGAAGCCAGCAGTACTCTAATACCAAAACCAGACAAGGATACCATGCACAAAAAAAGCTACAAGTCAATATCCCTGATGAACATAGACACAAAAATTCTCAACAAAAAATGAGCAAACTGAATCCAACAGCACACCATGAAGATAATACACCATGATCAAGTGGTATTTATCTCAGGGATGCAAGGATGGTTCAACATACACAAATCAATAAATGTGATGCACCTTATCAATAAAATGAAGGACAAAAACCATATTTTGTCTTAATAGAAGCAGAAAAAAAATTTGATAAAATTAAACATTCCTTCCTGATGAAAACTCTCAACAAACTAGGCATAGAAGAAACATAGCTCAATATAATAAAGGCCATATATGACAAAATCACAGCTAACATCATAGTGAAGGAGGAAAAACTGAAAGCCTTTCCTCTAAGAACTGGAATAAGATAAGGATGCCCACTTTTACCAATACTATTCAACAAAGTACTGGAAGTCATAGCCAGATCAATCAGGCAAGAGAAAGAAGAAAAACATCTGAATTAGAAAAGAGGCCATCAAATCTTTTCTTTTTGCTCATGATATGATCTTATATCTGGAAAAATGTAAAGGCTCCACCATAAAAATCTTTGATCTGATAAATAAATTCAGTAAAGTTGCAACATATATCAACATATGAAAATTAGTAGCATTTCGATGCACCAATAATAAACTACCTGATTGAAAAATCAAGAAAACAATTCCATTTATAATAAGTAGAAAAAAATTAGGAATATATGTAACCAAGGATGTTAAAGACCTCTACAAGAAAAACTTCAAAATGCTGATGAAAGCAATTGAAGAGGACACAAACAAATGGAAAGACATCTCATACTCATAGATCAGAAGAATTAATATCATGAAAATTGCCATACTACACAAAGAAACCTGCAGATTAAATGTAATCTCTATCAAAATACTAATGCCATTATTCACAGAAATAGATAAAATGATTCTAAAATTCATATGGAACCAAAAAAGAATGCAAATAGCCAAAGCAATCTTGAGGAAAAAGAACAAGGCTGGAGGCATCACACTACCTGACTTTAAAATGTATTACAAGGCTATAGTAACCAAAACAGTATGGTATTGGTATAAAATCAGACACATAGACCAACAGAACAGAATGGAAAACCCAGAAGTATATTCATGTATTTATAGCCAACTGATTTCAACGAAGGTGCCAAGAAGATACTTGGGGAATGAGTACCTTCTTCAATAAGTGGTGCTGGAAATATTGGATGGTTATATGCAGAATAGTGAAACTGGACCCCTATCACTCACCATATGCAAAAACCAAATAAAGATGGTTTAAGTACTTAAATGTACGACCTGAAACTGTAAATCTACTAGAAGAATACATAGGAGAAGCATTTCAGGATATTGTTCTAGGCAAATATTTTATTGCTAAAACCTCAAAAGCACAGGCAACAAAAACAAAATAGGCTAGGGGAAGTGGCTCACGTCTATAATCCCAGCACTGTAGGAGGCCGAGATGGGTGGATCACCTGAGGTCAGGAGTTCGAGACCAGCCTGGCCAACATGGTGAAACCCCTCCTCTACTAAAAATACAAAAATTAGCGGGGCATGGTGGCACGTGCCTGTAATCCCAGCTATTCGGGAGGCTGAGGCAGGAGAATCGCTTGAACCCAGGAGGCAGAGGTTGCAGTGAGCCGAGATTGCGCCATTGCACTCCAGCCTGGGCAACAGAGTGAGACTCCATCTCAAAAAAAAAAAAAAAAAATAGACAAATGGAACTATATTAAACTAAAAGACATCTGCCTAGCAAAAGAAACAATTAACAAAGTGAAAAGACAATCTGTTGAATTGGAGAAAATATTTTGTAAAATATTTGTTTGAGAACATACTAAAATCCAAAACGTGTAAGAAACTCAAACAATTCCACAACCCCAACCACATAGTCTCATTAAAAAGTGGGCAAAAATGTGAATAGACATTTATTAAAAGAAAATTTAAATGCCCAACAGGTATTGAAACAATTCTCAACATCACTAATCATCTGGGAAAGGCAAATCAAAACCACAATGAGATATTATCCCAGTTAGAATGGCTATTAATAAAAAGACAATACATAACAGATGCTGGCAAGGATGCAGAGAAAAGAGAACTCATACACCGTTGCTGGGAATGTAAATTAATATGGCCTCTATGGAAAACAGCATGGCGATCAAAAAACTAAAAATTTTTTTATCAAAAAACTAACAATAGAACTACCATAAGATCCAGCAATTCCACTACTGGTTCTTCATCCAAAGGAAAAGATCAGTGTATCAAAATGATACCTGCACTCTTCTCTTTATTGTAATCTTTGCTGTTTGATTACAATGGTAAAGATATGGAATCAACTTAAGTACCTATCAGGGGACAAATGGATAAGAAAATATGTGGTTTATATGCAAAATAGAATGTGATTTGGCCATAAAAAGAAAGAAATCATGGCACTGGTAAATGGAACTGGTTATTATTATGTTAAGTGAAATAAGCCAGGCACAAATATTGCATGTTCTCATTCGTATGTGGATACTAAAAAAGTTGATGTCATGGAGAGAGAGAATGGAATTATATTTACCAGAGGCTGGGAAGGATGTGTGAGTGCGGGGTGGATAAAAAGAGGTTTATTAATGGGTAAAAACATACAGTTAGAAGGATTAAGTTCTAATATTTGATAGCAGAGCAGGGTGACTATAGTTAACAATGATGTATTGTATTTTTCAAAACAGCTAGAAGAAAGGACTTGATATGTTCCCAATACTTAGAAATGGTAAATTCTTGATTTGATGGACACCCCAAATATCCTAACTTGATCATTGTACAGTCTTCGCATGTAATAAAATATCACAAGTACCCTGTAAATATGTACAAACATTATGTATCAATAAAAAAGAACCACAACAAAAAAGATTCTGAGATATTTGAGAGGAAGTGTCATTTCCTTCTCCCCTAACTGAAAGTGTAGTGTGAAATATATATAAGAAGAAAATAAACACAAAGAATTGTGGACTTTTAGAGTTGAATATTACTTAGAGACCATTTATTTTGCCCATTTAATTATACCTATGTGAAAGTAAAGGCTAAAAGCTGATAACTGCTCACCCAGGCAGCCAATGGCAGAACGAGGCCTATAACCAGGTTTGCTGACTTCCAGGGCAAGTATATTTTTTCCTGCCACATGTCTTTGGTTGGTTGATTGGAAAGCACTGGCTTAAAACAATATTAAGTCTAACAAAGGTGGCCATGTTTTAATGATTAGTTATACATTTCTGCAGTCTGCACAGTGGAATAAAAGATCCTTTTTAATATTAAAGTTTATTTCTTCATTTATCACTGAACACCTCAAAATACCTTAGAGAACTTATCAAGAAGGTCTTAAAACCAGTATATATGATCATTATTAAGGAGAATGGTATATGCTTGTGCTATTAGCTCAATTTTTAAGAGACGAGAAGAACTTAAATAAGAAAAAGTAGTTCAAGGTCGTAAAAATCTATTGTAAATCAGCAGAGAAAAACCAGCTTTATAGTCTGGATTCAGCTGCATACACTTTGCCTGGTCTAAGGGTATAGATTATGTTTTTAGAAATGAAGAAGTGATGTGATTAACATTTCTCTTGTTTAAGATAAAAATAAAAAATGTTGACTTCAGCCATCGATTAATTTTGGGGTGCAGGGGTAAGGGGACTTAGATTCAGCAGGGCCAAGTCAGCTTGTTTTCAACCAAATATCACTAGATGAGCACCATTCTCTGCCCCCTGTGTTCTGGGCTGTCCCTTAACTGCTGGACTAGTATATTCTCTATTATTTTAATCTTTTTTTTAAAAAAAGCTGTTAGCTTTGGTCCATAAATAGATTCTGAGACTCTGAAGTTCTAATAATAACAGCTGATATTTTCTCCTGAGAAATTAAACCATTTTGTGGCTACTATACAAGTCAGTTAAAATTAATTATTCTTCCTTAAATTTGTCCGCATATACGATATGGTGGTGGTACTGCCATTTTAACTCGTAATATGCAACTAATGTTACTTTATACCATTGGTCCTCAACTAGGGACTAGTTTGCTACCCAAGAGTCACTTGGCAATGTTTGGAGACACTGTTGGTTGGCACAACTGGTGGTGCAGGGATGTATGTACCACATGCATCTGGTGGGTAGAGGACAGGGATCCTGCTAAGATCCTACAATGTGCAGGACAGCCCCCAACAAAAAAGAATTATTTGACTAAAAATTTTCATAGTGCTAAAGTTGAGTAATCCTGTTTTATAATTAGGATTTACATAAAGATGTTACCTTATACATATATATAGGAATCATTACTGATAATTTAAATATACATGAATTAATCTACTCTAAATACTGAATGTCAGATACTGTGTTGATCTCACTTGTCACAATCTCTTAATTTGTCAAAGTTATAAGCTGATGTTTTGCTTTCAAGAGGTGTGACGACTCATGAATAGGTCTGCTGTTTTTGTCAAACATAAACATGAATAAGAAGGATTTTGTCAGTATTCCCAATTCTTTGAACCTGTTTTAAGTGATTTTCAGCATTTAGGTCCTAGTGAAAAGTAATTCCACAAACCAGTTTTCATCAAAGCTTAGTAAGTGCTACCTCAGCCCCTGATCTCTGAAACAAGCTTGTGGTAACATGCCAATCCATTGATTTAGTCATTGCTGTTGCAGGACTTCGATGCTAATTCTATTTTTAGTTTCTGTTTGTAGCAACTAGCAAGTATTAATGGAGAAATGAGAGAGAAATAGTCTTTTTTTTTTTTTTTTTTCCAAAGCAAAACTAGTCAGTGGCTCTGTGGCTGCAATTCCCAGTGCACTGTGATTTTGCCTTTAAATGTAATTTCAAAACAGCTGTAATGGCAAATTAGTTTCTTTCTATTAGTTAAGTGATTATACACCAATCAGAATTGAATATACACACTATTAAGTTTATAATTATATTTGAGAATTTCACAGTCCACTTCGTCTTCCTTTAGGACTCCTTGAGCGCTCCCTGATTCACACTTCTTATTGAAGGGAGGGTTTTACCAAATGTTTAAACATGGTAATCTTGGTGGAGAATATTTAAAGTCAGGCTCAAAGCTGAATCGAATGGCTAAGTTTTCAAGGTCTTTTTTACTTAAGCCTTGGTCAGAATCCAGTTTAACAGTGAGTGAAATTGACTGTTGATAGCAGTGACTTGGCTATCTCTATCCATTTCCTAGTGGACAGGACTTTGAATTCCTGCCATCTCCTTGTCATAACAAAAACCAAATATTAAATGAGTTGGCCATGATGCAGTGACCAGATTTAGAGGAAACCCTTTCAAGGTTACACAAATAGCTATAAAGGACTTGGATACTGTTATCTTTTCTGGGAAACAAATTGTGGCAAAAGAGAGTATTTTTTTTTTAGATTTGTTTCTGTTCATGAAACTTAATTTTTATAGCTTTCACTTTTTTTCATAATGCAGCTTGCTGTTACATAAATTCAATTATTTTATTCAAGGAAATTTATTAAGAGCCTCCCATGTTCTTCAATTTGTAATAATTCTATACAGAATAAGCTTGAAGGAGAGCATGGCGCATGTATAAGATTGTTCCTCAATGTCAGCAAGAAAGGACTGTGGCTTGATGGTGAACATGCTGAGGCTCTGGAGTCAGGCAGACCTGTGTACAGAGCCAAGCTCTGGGCTTTATCAGCATGTAACCTTGGAATGTGGCTTAATTTTTCTGAGCCTTGGTTTCCTTATCAATTGAATGGGAAGCAGCATAGTGTAGTAGTCAACAGCAGTGACTCCAAAATCTTACTGCACACATTCGATTATCCATTCCACCACTTGTGCAATATTAGGTAAGTACTAAAACCATTCTAGGCTGCCATTTCCCCATTGAAAAATAGGGTTGAATGTTACTATCCTTTTTTGTTTGTTTGTTTGTTTGAGACAGAATCTCGCTCTGTTGCCAAGGCTGGAGTGCAGAGGTGCGAGCTCGACTCACTGCAAGCTCTGCCTCCCTGGTTCAAGTGATTCTCCTGCCTCAGCCTCCCAAGTAGCTGGGACTACAGGCACGTGCCACCACGCCTGGCTAATTTTTTGTATTTTTAGTAGAGACAGGGTTTCACCGTGGTAGCCAGGATGCTCTCGATCTCCTGACCTCGTGATCCAACCACCTCGGCCTCCCAAAGTGCTGGGATCACAGGCGGGAGCCACCACGCCCCACCGAGAATGTTACCATGCTTTTAAAACATTTAGCAAAATGTGTAGCCCACAGCAGGTTGTCAGTGAATGATAAAGGATCATCTTCATCATCATCTGATTACCATTATCATGAGAAAGGAAATGCTCCATCATTAGAGGAATTGAATCAGAGGCTACTTTCAAGTTAGTGACTAGTATATTCATGCAGACAGTATAGCTTCAATCTAGATTACCTCTTTTGTTATTAAATGAATAACATCTTAATGTTAGAATTTCAGAGCTGTGGCAACTGGGCAGAAATATTTTTAGGCAAGAGCACCTTCCCTCCATGTAGGCAACTACCTCTTCTGGGAATACATGAACTGACACCTGAGAATCCTAATTAACTTTCTTTTACCAAGTTTAAACAGTTCTTTTTTTAAAAAACTTTTCCAAAATCATAGTTGCTCTCCTTTGAATCCACTCCAAATTCCACACATCTCCCTTGAATTAGTTTAGCTACATAGTCCAGAAATGCTGCATGAATTCTTCATGTTACTGCTTCTTTTATTTATGCATCCTGAGAACACATTTTTTTTTTTTTTTCACCAATGACAGAACCATTCTTGACACCTGTTTAGCTTGAGGTCAGCTCTATCTGTAACTCTCTTTTTGTAGCTGCATAATGTCAGCTGTTTCTCATCTGGAGTTTTTGCACTTTGTTTCTCATTTCAAAATGCACTTTTGTGCTGGTTGAAAGTCATTATTTTTATTTCTGCCTCCTTCTGCTGCCAGGGTCATTTGGAAATCTAATTTATCTTCTAAGGGTGAATGACTCACCCTTCTTTTCCACCTCTGGTGGCCATGTCATCTGTGGATGTGATGAAGAGCTTTTTCATCCCTAGATAAGTGATGAAAGAAAATGTTTAAAAGCTGCAGGCACTGGATGGTCTTCTGCATGAATTTTAGTTAAGAGATTTCAGTGACTTAAGCAGCTCAAAATTAATTAAAACAAAAATATTCTTATGAGGTATGGGGATGTCTTAAGTATGTAGACTTAGGAAGCTTATTTGCAGCAATTGAGTGTTGAATATTTAGGTCAGTATATTTGGACTAGTCCTCTGAATGGAAATAAAGGTATTTTCTGTGACACACTATATCAAAGTACTTTACTTAATCAGCAGCTTCTACCATCTGAAACATAAAAGAGAACTAGAAAATAAGCATCCAAAAGTCCTGACTAGAGTGTTTTATGGGCCAGATCTCAAGCACTTTATGCTTAAAAATTGGGAAGGTCTCTAATGACCCATACTAAATCTGTATTTGTTTTTACTTCACCTACTGTTTTAACTATGCCTTTTATTTTCTGTACTTTTCAACTTTGACATCTGCGGCCTTGCTGGCCCTAAAGGGAGTGCTTCTCCCAGGGTTAGCCAATTCCTAGAGAGAATAAATCACTTGCCTTCTTCAGCATGCTTTTCAAATACCAACCAATTAATTCAGAGTCCACAACCTCAATCACCTACTTTACTGAGCTCTCACACTCCAGGTCACTATCCACCTACCCTATCACCCCAGGGCCAGCTACATGACAACTAGGATTGGCCCCTCTGTCCTGGAGTCTGCTGAAATTGTTCAAATTAGACAAAATGAAGCTTGCTTATCCTGCCTTGCCCATTCCTTCCTGTAGAAACTATGATAAAGGATCTTGTCTACAGTTTCCCCCTCCTCCTCTGCTTTTTGACTAGCCCCATGCTAGGTCCCTGCATGGTGTGATGTGCCTTCTCCTCTTGAACACTATGGATCACAAACTATCTTTTCAATGGCAATTGTCCCCTGATCTGTTGGCCTTACCAGAGCTATGTAATAATAAATCTTATTAGAACACAGATAAAAGGTTCAAACTTCCAGTTTCCTAAAATATAGCAGGCACAAGAGTAATAAGCTAGAACAGAAGGGAGGTTCTATAATCACGTATGTTGGTGGTACTATAGGCTGTAACTTATTGGTTGGATAAATAACTTCTTGCCAAGCAATGTAAGCAATATATAAGTGTGACAAACTTAGATGGAAATGAGAACAAGGTAAAATGTGTTCTTTCAGTTTTAAACTTTTTTTTTGGTTTATTATTTTTTTTACACTTTAATCCCTCATCTGTTTCCTTTAATCTCACATTTGAACCCATTTTTGGCATGTGTGCTGCTCTTGGCCATAAAGAAACTCATTCTCATTTTGGTATTACTAGTGATAATGATAACAGCAACAGAAAAATAACTTTAAAATTCCATCATAAGACAAACTTTGTACTGAGAGCATTATATGTTTCTTCATTTGAAACTTGCAATAAACCCTGAAATGTAGATGTTATTTCCTTGTTAGACGAGCAAAGAGACATTTATAGAGGTCATTTTAACTTATGCTAAATTGTCTAGTCAGTTCTAATAGAACCTGGACTCAGGTGTATGCTATCTAATCATCTCTTCTGTGTTACATTGTTCACTACGTTGTATTGAATAGACTCTTTCGGTGGTAGCTTAAAGAGGACAAGGAAGTAGCTAATGTCTGGATGATATGTCCTTTTGTGCTATGAACTCAATGATTTTCTCCTTTGGAAAATTAATTCCTTCTTCTTGCTTTGAAAATGTATTGCTTATATTTCAAATTACACAAATCACAGTTATATTGGAGATAGGTGGATATGTATTGCCAGCTCAACCAGCTTGTAGGCTGCATGGGTGCAGGAACTCTACCTCATCTTTTTATTCTTCAGAGTATTTAGCACAGGGACTTGAGATTATTAATTATACAATAAATATTTGTTGAGTTGATCTGAAGATTAAATGTGTTAATGCATATTACATCTTTTTGTAAGACACTAGCCACATGAAAGACAATATGATTATTTGAGTCATCATATATAGAGAAGGAAGGGAAATAGAGGAGGGCGGGAGGGGGAAACCCACTCCAGAGACTTTAAAATCTCTTTGAGAGTGAAGTCATTAAAATCTGAATATAAAATTTTAATTTAAACTAGAATTTTTCTAGTTGCTCCTAGTGTAGTAGACTTTTCTAAATTTTTACTAAAAACTTTGAGAAGATAAAGGAAAAAAGATGAAACCCTACAGCAATATTGAGAACAAAGACTCACAGAAAAAAATTCAAAATCTGGGAGAAATTTACTCTTACCTAGAGGATAATTGTGCTTCTATTACTTAGATTCAGTTTCAAATAAGAGAATACTCTAATAGTGACTAAAACATGAGGACATTTCTTGTTTGTTTAACAAGTAGCCTGATGTTAGATGTTCTCTGTATACTTCAAGCACCCAACATCACCATCAAGAAATTAGGTTATTTCCATTTATTCTCACTGCATTCTCAATGTGTTGACATTTTGTCCTCAGATTTTTCATCTCATCATCTCAGGATAGCTGCCATAGCTCCAGATACTACATTCTAACACAGAATCATATCAAGCAGGAAGGAAGAGAGAAGGGGCAAAAATAGAACATTTTCTTCTATGTTTCTTTCTTATGTGGAAGGAAAAATACCCCAACCCTAAGTCTTCAGTGGACTTCTCTTTACATCATTGCCTAGAAGTAGGTCAATCATGGCCGGGTGTGGTGGCTCATGCGTGTAATCCCAGCACTTTGGGAGGCCAAGGCAGGCAGAACACGAGGTCAGAAGTTCGAGACCAGTCTGGTCAACATAGTGAAACCCCCTCTACTAAAAATACAAAAAATTAGCCGGGTGTGATGGTGTGCACTTGTAATTCCAGCTACTTGGGAGGCTGAGGCAGGAGAATCATGTGAACCCGGGAGGCAGAGGTTGCAGTAAGCCAAGATCATGCCATTGCACTCCACTCTGGGCGACAAAAAAACAAAAAAAAACAAAAAAAACAAAAGCCGATTGCTGGCAAGATGGCTGAATAGCAACACCTCTGGTCTGCAGCTCCTAGTGAGATCAACACAGAAGGCAGGTGATTTCTGCGTTTCCAACTGAGGTACCCAGTTCATCTTATTGGGACTGATTGGACAGTGGGTGCAGCCCATGGGGGGCAAGCCGAAGCAGGGTGGGGTGTTGCTTTACCTGGAAAGCACAAGGGGTTGGAAAATTTTCTCCCCTCCCCAAGGGAAGCTGTGAGGGACTGAGCCTGTGGAACTGTGCACTCTGGCCCAGATACTGTGCTTTTCCCACGGTCTTCGCAACCTGCAGACCAGGAGGTTCCCTCTGGTGCCTATCCTACCAGGGCCCTGGGTTTCAAGCACAAAACTGGGTGGCCGTTTGGGCAGACAGTGAACTAGCTGCAGGAGTTGTTTTTTTTTTTTTCCCATACCCCAGTGGCGCCTGGAATGCCAGCGAGACAGAACTGTTCACTCCCCTGGAAAGGGGTGCTAAAGCCAGGGAGCCGAGTGGTCTGGCTCAGCGGTTCCCATCCCCAAGGAGCCCAGCAAACTAAGATCCACTGTCTTGAAATTCTCACTGCCAGCACGGCAGCAGTCTGAGATCAACCTGGGACGCTCAAGCTTGGTGGAGGGAGGGGTATCTGCCATTGCTGAGGCTTGAGTAGGCAGTTTTACCGTCACAGTGTAAACAAAGCCTCCGGGAAGTTCAAAGTGGGTGGAGCCCACTGCAGCTCAGCAAGGCCACTGTGGCCAGACTGCCACATTTCTCCTCTCTGGGCAGGGCAGCTCTGAAAAAAAGGCAGCATCCCCAGTCAGGGATTTATAGATAAAACCCCCATGACCCTGGGACAGAGCACCTGGGGGAAGGGGTGGCTGTGGGCACAGCTTCAGCAGACTTAAACACCCCTGCCTGCTGGCTCTGAAGAGAGCAGCAGACCAGCACGCATTCGAGCTCTGCTAAGGGTCAGGCTGCCTCCTCAAGTGGGTCCCTGATCCCCAAGTCTCCTGACTGGGAGACACCTCCCAGTAGAGGACAAGAGACACCTCATACAGGAGAGCTCTGGCTAGCATCTGGCAGGTGCCCCTCTGGGATGAAGCTTCCAGAGGAAAGAACAGGCAGCAATCTTTGATGTTCTGCAGGCTCCACTGGTGATAACCAGGCAAAGAGGGTCTGGAGTGGACCTCCAGCAAACTCGAGCAGACCTGCAGCAGAGGGGCCTGACTGTTAGAAGGAAAACTGACAAACAGAAAGGAATAGCATGTCCACTCAAAGACCCTATCCTAAAGTCACCAACATCAAAGACCAAAGGTACACAAATCCACAAAGATGGGGAGAAACCAGAACCAGAGTTCTAACACATGAGAGGAAGCTAAGAACCTTGAAAAAAGGTTAGAGGAATTGCTAACTAGAATAACCAGTTTAGAGAAGAACATAAATGACCTGATGGAGCTGAAAAACACAGCAAGAGAACTTCATGAAGCATACACAAGTATCAGTAGCTGAGTTGATCAAGCAGAAGAAAGGATATCAGAGATTGAAGATCAACTTAATGAAATAAAGCTAGAAGACAAGATTAGAGAAAAAAGAATAAAAGGAATGAACAAAGCCAAAGCAATATAGGACTATGTGAAAAGACCAAATCTACATTTGATTGGTGTACCTGAAAGTGATGGGGAGAATGGAACCAAGTTATAAAACACTCTTCAGGATATTATTGAGGAGAACTTCTCCAACCTAGGAAGGCAGGCCAACATTCAAATTCAGGAAATACAGAGAACACCACAAAGATACTCCTTGAGAAGAGCAACCCCAAGACACATAATTGTCAGTTTCACCAAGGTTGAAATGAAGGAAAAAATGTTAAGGGCAGCCAGAGAGAAAGGTCGGGTTACCCACAAAGGGAAACCCATCAGACTAACAGCAGATCTCTCGGCAGAAACCCTACAAGCCAGAAGAGAGTGGGGGACAATATTCAACATTCTTAAAGGAAAGATTTTTCAACCCAGAATTTCATATCCAGCGAAACTAAGCTTCATAAGCAAAGGAGAAATAAAATCCTTACAGACAAGCAAATGCTGAGAGATTTTGTCACCACCAGGCCTGCCTTACAAGAGCTCCTGAAGGACGCACTAAACATGGAAAGGAACAACCAGTACCAGCCACTGCAAAAACATACCAAATTGTAAAGACCATTGACAATATGAAGAAACTGCATCAACTAACGGGCAAAATAACCAGCTAGCATCATAATGACAGGATCAAATTCACACATAACAATATTTACCTTAAATGTAAATGGGCTAAATGCTCCAATTAAAAGACACAGACTGGCAAATTGGATAAAGAGTCAAAACCCATCAGTGTGCTGTGTTCAGGAGACCCATCTCACGTGCAAAGACACACATAGGCTCAAAATAAAGGGATGGTGGAATATTTACCAAGCAAATGGAAAGCAAAAAAAAGCAGGAGTTGCAATCCTAATTTCTGATAAAACAGACTTTAAACCAACAAAGATTAAAAGAGACAAGGCCATTACATAATGGTAAAGGGATCAATGCAACAAGAAGAGCTAACTCTCCTAAATATATATGCACCCAATGCAGGAGCACCCAGATTCATAAAGCAAGTTCTTAGGGACCTACAAAGAGACTGAGCCACCCTCACAATCATAGCAGGAGAGCTTAACACCCCACTGTCAATATTAGACAGATCAATGAGACAGAAAATTAGCAAGGATATTCAGGACTTGAACTCAGCTCTGGAACAAGCAGACCTAATAGACATCTATGGAACTCTCCACCCCAAATCAGCAGAATATACATTCTTCTCAGCACCACATCACACTTATTCTAAAATTGGCCACATAATTGGAAGTAAAACAGTCCTCAGCAAATGCAAAACAATGGAAATCATAACAGTCTCTCAGACCACAGTGCAATCAAATTAGAACTTGGGATTAAGAAACTCACTCAAAACCACACAACTACATGGAAACTGAACAACCTGCTCCTGAATGACTACCGGGTAAATAATGAAAAGAAGGCAGAAATAAAGATGTTCTTTGAAACCAATGAGAACGAAGATACGAACATACCAGAATCTCTGGGACACACTTAAAGCAGTCTGTAGAGGGAAACTTATAGCACTAAATGACCACAAGAGAAAACAGGAAAGATCTAAAATTGACACCCTAACATCAAAATTAAAAGAACTAGAGAAGCAACAGCAAACAAATTCAAAAGCTGGCAGAAGACAAGAAATAACTAAGATCAGAGCAGAACTGAAGGAGGTAGAGACATGAAAAACCCTTCAAAAAATCAATTAATCTAGGATCTAGTTTTTTGTAAAGGTCAACAAAATATATAGACCGCTAGCCAGACTAGTAAAGAAGAAAAGAGAGAAGAATCAAATAGACACACTAAAAAATGACATATGGGATATCACCACTGATCCCACAGAAATACAAGCTACCTTCAGAGAATACTATAAATACCTCTATGGAAATAAACTAGAAAATCTAGAAGAAATGGATAAATTTCTGGACACCTACACCATCCCAAGTCTAAACCAGGAAGAAGTCAAATCCCTGAATAGACCAATAAGAAATTCTGAAATTGAGGCTGTAATTAATAGCCTACCAACCAAAAAAAGTCCAGGACCAGACAGATTCACAGCTGAATTCTACCAGAGGTACAAAGAGGAGCTGGTACCATTCCTTCTGAAACTATTCCAATCAATAGAAAAAGAGAGAATCCTCCCTAACTCATTTTATGAAGGATGCATCATCCTGTTACCAAAACCTGGTAGAGACACAATAAAAAAAGAAAATTTCAGGCCAATATCCCTGATGGACATCGATGTGAAAATCTGCAATAAAATACTGGCAAACTGAATCCAGCAGCACATCAAAAAGCTTATACACCACGATCAAGTTGGCATCATTCATCCCTGGGATGCAAGGGTGGTTCAACATACGCAAATCAATAAATGTAATCCATCACATAAACAGAACCAATGACCAAAACCACATGATTATCTCAATAAATGCAGAAAAGGCCTTTGACAACATTCAAAACCACTTCATGCTAAAAACTCTCAATAAACTAGGTATCAGTGGAACATATCTCAAAATAATATGAGATATTTATGATGAGCCCACAGCCAATATCATACTGAATGGGCAAAAACTGGAAGCATTCCCTTTGAAAACTGGCACAAGACAAGGATGCCCTCTCTCGCCACTCCTATTCAACATAGTATTGGACGTTCTGGCCAGGGCAATCAGGCAAGAGAAAGAAATAAAAGGTATTCAAATAGGAAGAAAGGAAGTCAAATTATCTGTGTTTACAGATGACATGATTGTATATTTAGAAAACCCCATCATCTCAGCCCAAAATCTCCTTAAGCTAATAAGCAACTTCAGCAAAGTCTCAGGACACAAAATCAATGTGCAAAAATCACAAGCATTCCTCTACACCAATAACAGACAAACAGAGAGCCAAATCATGAGTGAACTCCCATTCACAATTGCCACTAAGAGAATAAAATATCTAGGAATCTAACTTACAAGGGATGTGAAGGACCTCTTCAAGGAGAACTACAAACCACTGCTCAAGGAAATAGAGAGGACACAAACAAATGGAAAAACATTCCATGCTCATGGATAGGAAGAATCAATATCGTGAAAATGGTCATAGTGCCCAAAGTAATTTATAGATTCAATACTATCCACATCAAGCTACCATTGAATTTCTTCAAAGAACTGGAAAAAATTATTTTAAACTTCATATGGAAGGAAAAAAGAGCCCGCATAGCCAAGACAATCCTAAGCAAAAAGAACAAAGCTCCAGGCATCACACTACCTGACTTCAAACTACACTACAAGGCTACAGTAACCAAAATAGCATGGTACTGGTACCAAAACAGATATACAGACCAATGGAACAGAACAGAGGCCTCAGAAATAATACCACACATCTTCAGCCATCTGATCTTTGACAAACCTGATACAAGCAAGCAATGGGGAAAAGATTCCCTATTTAATAAATAGTGCTGGGAAAATTGGCTAGCCATATGCAGAAAGCTGAAACTGGACCCCTTTCTTACACCTTATACAGAAATCAACTCAAGATGGATTAAAGACTTAAACTTAAGACCTAAAACCATAAAATCCTAGAAGAAAACCCGGACAATACCATTCAGGACATAGGAATGGGCAAAGACTTCATGTCTTAAACACCAACAGCAATGGCAACAAAAGACAAAATTGACAAATGGGATCTAATTAAACTAAAGAGCCTCTGCATAGCAAAAGCAACTATCATCAGAGTGAACAGGCAACCTACAGAATGGGAGAAAATTTTTGCAATCTACCCATCTGACAAAGGGCTAATATCCAGAATCTACAAAGAACTTAAACAAATTTACAAGAAAAAAATCAAACAACCCCATCAAAAATTGGGCAAAGGATATGAACAGACACTTCTCAAAAGAAGACGTTTATGCAGCCAACAGACACATGAAAAAATGCTCATCATCACTGGTCATCAGAGAAATGCAAATCAAAATCACAATGAGATAACATCTCATGCCAGTTAGAATGGCTATCATTAAAAAGTCAGGAAACTACAGTTGCTGGACAGGATGTGGAGAAATAGGAACGCTTTTACACTGTTGGTGGGACTGTAAACTAGTTCAACCATTGTGGAAGACAGTGTGGCGATTCCTCAAGGATCTAGAACTAGAAATACCATTTGACGCAGCCATCCCATTACTGGGTATATACCCAAAGGATTATAAACCATGGTACTATAAAGACACTTGCACATGTATGTTTATTGAGGCACTATTCACAATAGCAAAGACTTGGAACCAACCCAAATGTCCATCAATGATAGACTGGATTAAGGAAATGTGGAACATATACACCATGGAATACTATGCAGCCATAAAAATGATGAGTTCATGTCTTTTGTAGGGACATGGATGACGCTGGAAACCATCATTCTCAGCAAACTGTCACAAGGACAGAAAACCAAACACCGCATGTTCCCACTCATAGGTGGGAGGTGAACAATGAGAACACATGGACACAGGGAGGGAAACATCACATACTGGGGCGTGTAGGGAGGTGGGTGGCTAGGGGAAGGATAGCATTAGGAGAAATACCTAATGTAGGTGACGGGTTGATGCGTGCAGCAAACCATCATGGTACATGTATACCTATGTAAAAAAACTACACATTCTGCACATGTACCCCAGAACTTAAGGTATTAAAAAAAAGAAGTGGGTCCATCACTTTCAAAGATAAATAGATTTTTTTGTGACCAATAATTAGTCTAGGGATAGGCACATTATCACATATGTGTACACAAACACACACACACACACACACGCACACACACACACACAGTCATGGTTCCTTTGGAAATGAAGAATGCGAATATGGCTACTATGTCAACAAACAACAGTATCTGTCATAAAACTAGATTAAGAAAATAATTTTGTCTGCCACATGCTTTGCTTCATGAAACAGAGCAGCCCCTTCTATCTGAAGAATGTTAGAAGCTACTTGTTTTCCACTCTGAAATGTGCCCCTGGAGAGAGAATCTGGACCAGTGACTACCAGAAAACTGAGCACTGGCTCCTCCATTATAAAGATATTCTGTTTGAGACTGTCATTTATCTGATTCACCCATAATTCTGTATTCCCATGCACCATTTTACTATATTTTTAAAAAAGACTGCAACTTTGAGAAGATAACAGGGCAGAATGTGGAAGAAACTAACAATGATCTCTTATATTCTGGGAAGTATAGTTTTCACAAATAATAGATTGCATTTAGGATAGGAATTGATTGAAAACAGTGCCTTCTGAAGATTACAGTTTTTTTCATGAACTTCATAATTAGAACATCATACTGTGTCATAATCTGAATTTCCATCTTCTGTTCATTAAAACCAGTGGCAGTATGGATGAAAGCATGCTACATCCTGGGAATTGAATATATTTAGGAATATATTATGTTCAGTATTAATATTTAAGAAGACAGTTTGCCCAAAGAACACAAAAATTAACAGTGAACTAATCCAGTGACATCTATACACTTTTTCTATTATCGGTTCTTTCTTCTTACTCAAGACAAGAAATAATCCGTATCATTTATATGTAGATAATACAAAGCAAGGAAAAGGAAAGAAAATTTAGAAAGAACATAGTTTTGAAAATGATCTACTATAGGTAACAAAAGAATAACTTAAAAATTCTTGTTCTTAATATTATAGTTCTTGACATAGGAGTAGTCATAAGAAGAGAACAGTTGAGATGGTTGATCTGAGGAAGGATTGCAAGGACACATTTTAATATCATCTTCTTGGGCAAAGCTTGATGCTCCTGTGTTTCGCTTAACTGATCCTCTTCTACATCCTCATGTTTTATAACGCTAGGAAATGTATTTTTTTTTTTTTAGCTATATCTGTTGTAACACAATTTAGGTGAAATCTCTTCACTTTTTGGATGAAAAGCTAATAAAACATTTGTTAAAATAGCCAGAGGTTTTACAAATTTAGGATACTATGGGAGGAGAATTTAATTCAAAATATATCAGTAAGGACATGTTAATTTATGTTACAGTAAAAAATAATCCCTAATTTTCAGTAGGTTAAAATTACAGAGTTTGATTTCTCACTCATACCACATGTCCATCTTGGGTGGGCAAGGGGGACTTTGCAAGAAAAGATCCTATTTCAGGATCTAGGCTGGTAAAACAGTCACTACTGGGACATTGCCAGCCATCCTGGAAGAGGGAAAAATTACCTTTGGATGGTCATGTCTAGGCACTTAAGTGTTCTGACACAGAAGTGATTCGTGTTACTTTTATTTACAACTTATTTGCCAGATCGAGTTTTATAGCCTAATCCAACCAGATGAAAGCCAGGCATATAATTCTACTTGTGACTGGACAGTGGGAAATTAGAAATCTACAGTGAATTCACTCAAGACAATCACAATCTACCTATTTGGTTCCAAATATTTGCTTTATTCTTTCTTGCAAGCAACATATATTCTCTGTCTTCCCATTGGAGAAAATAGAAAAGTTTTATCCATTCATAACATCAAATCAGAGTCTAGGATTTTTGATAATTCATGGTGGTTTCTAAATTGCAGAGATGAGAGCAGAGCCACAGGTCCAGATGTGGCTCCTGCTATCCATAGATCTGTGAACTAAAAAGAATAATTAGTCTGTTTCTCCCAACCTAATATACAATGATTGAGCAGGATAAATAAAGTAAACATTCTTGTTTGGAAGTGGAAAGTAAGGAAGATTCACAGTAGTTACTGATTCATAGCAATTTGTAAATTCTACTAGGGATAATTTTCAAGGGCCTGCTATTCTGAGGATAACAAATATTCTTTTTCTCAGTTCTGATTCTGCTAGGAGAGAAGCTCCCCAGTCCATTGTTCTTTGTAGCTCTTAGTTCTATTCTCTTTGAGGTTCTTCCTTTCCAATTATTCTCTTTGACTGTGTCTAGAATGGGGATTAGAGAATATGCTTTCCCTTTGTTTAAGCTGCTTATCGGTTGTTTTCTTTTGCATAGGAAGTTAGAAATCCAAAAGTCATTTTAAGTCTTGAAGTTTCAATATTTTCTCCTCCCCCTCCTTCTCCTCCTCCTCCTTTTCCTTCTTTGCCTCCTTCTCCACATACCTCTAATTTATTTGGGATTATAAATGTTTGAAAAACTTAGCAGGCTTCTTACTTATTTGCTTCTAGTCTATTTGTCCATAGAAATACTCACAGTATGTGAGTATGTGCATATGTACATATATATTTTTGACTTGGAGGGAGTGACAGACTTCAGGCTTTTTTCTTTTTTTTTCTTGAGCAATTTTGAACAATTGAAGGGATTTATTGGGTTTCATCTTAATCTATCTAAAGACTTTTAACAATAAGTGTAAGGGCACTTCCTTGTTTTTGTACTTTTAGACTGAGTTTTATCTAAGCATTGTTTCTCAGAGTGTGTCTCCATTTTATTTTTTCCTCTTCAGGACTGAGAAACACTTGCCTCTTCCAACTCTATGGGTCCCTAAATTTGTGGTTTCTCTCTATTCTCTGTTATTCCTGCTCACAGCTGAACCAGTTCTATTCTGAGCCCATCTTTTCCTTTTAATACTTTGCAAAGTGCAACAAACAGCAGCTGGGACACATTGCTAATGCTCCAATTTGTCCCTCAGAAATACAAGTTCATCAGGTGCAGGATCTGCTTTATAAATTATTGCAGTCAATGTGTGGTGGTAAATGTTTAATAGCCAGCTCTCCAGGAAAACAAAAGCAAAAACTCCATGATTTATGGTGCTCCCAATTTCAGTGGTATAAATTCTTCTATTATGATGGATCCAAGTTAACAACATCACATCATAAAACTTGGAGTTGGGAAGAGATACTCACAATTAGCTGTCTTGGGCATAAACCAGCTCTAGCACACCACTGAATACAGGTGATTATTTTATCAAAAGCATTGCCATTGCTTAATATGGAGCATCATCCTTCCATGTTTCTCACAACAGGCTGTCTAGCCCAAAGCCAAAGCCACATATTTTGGATTTTTTTAATGGCAACTCCCCACTTCTCAGTACCAATTTAGGTATTAGTTAGTATAGACTATGTTATGCCACAGTAGCAAACAAAGCCAAAATCTCAGTGCCTTAAAACAAGAAAGGTTTATTTCTCACACATACTGCCATGCCCATCACAGGATGTCTAGGGCCTATGCTTCACACGTCCATACTGCAGGACCCAGGCAGTTAGAGCAGCCATCACCTGGAACATAGCAGATGTTCCAGCCTCATGGAGAGGGAAAGAGAACCCTGGAGGGTTTGGTACTGGCAACTAAATGAATTGTTCTCAGAAATGATGTGTACCACTTCTCTCCACAATTCATTGGCCAGAATTAGTGGCAAGACCACAAAAAGAAAAGAAAAGAGGAAAGAAAGTGTGAACCTACCATGTACCTGAAAGGCAAAGAACAGAAAATATTTGGCAGTTGGCACTAATGGCTATCACAACTCTGTAACAGTAGAGGTGTCTACAGCCACACAATTTGTGCAACTTGCCAAGCAACTAGAGTAGTGTTTTTCTTGTTTATTTTTTTGTATCTTATATAGAAGATTTTAATCAGTAAAGACTAAGAAAATACACAATAACAGCAATTATTTTAATTTTTAAATTTTTTTTGAGATGGAGTCTCGGTCTGTCAACCAGGCTGGAGTTCAGTGGCTTGATCTCAGTTTACTGAAGCCTCCTTCTCCCAGGTTCAAGCGATTCTCCTGCCTCAGCCTCCCAAATAGCTAGGATTACAGGCACCCACCACCACGCCCAGCTAATTTTTTGTATTTTTAGTAGAAATGGTTTTCACCATGTTGGCCAGGCTGGTCTCGAACTCCTGACCTCAAGTGATCCACCTGCCTTGGCCTCCCAAAGTGCTGGGATTACAGGCGTGAGTCACTGCTCCCTGCCAAGCAATTATTTTTTTTTACTAAGCTCTTCTTTATATCATGATCCAATAAAGGTTTTTGAATATTCCTACTGTAACTGACTAAAATTAGGATATATTATATAATAGCTAGTAGATTAAACACAAACACAAACATCCACATACACACACATGCACATTCATGAAATATCATAAGAAAATAAGAAAATTGCTGTCATAGAAATCTCTGAGTGATGCGTTCCTGAGTTTCTTTTATTTTACCTTTTATCCAATTTTATGTAAGCTTAGAATTTTGCAGCAACAAACATAATTTCCTTTATAATGAGAAAAAATCAGATATTAAAAATTTATATAATTTTTAAATGATATATATTAATTCAGCTATGTAAAAATATAATCAGAATTGAAAAATTTAGATGGAAGGATATCAAAATATTCTCAGTGGTTGTTCCTGAGTGGTGGGATTAGGTGTGATTCAAAAAATATATTTGTCTTTTCCTTTTTCAGATTTGCTACAATGATGAGATATTGTTTATATTGTTATAATAATTTAAAAATGACAAATGAGGCACCTTTTTATTTCTTCTTTTCATAATAATTAATTGTAATTTCATTTTTATGAAAAATTGTCTTTTTCACCAATGCTTCTGCTATTATGTTTATACGTATTATGTCTATTGTCATTTTCATTTTCAATGAAGATATATATATACATACATATATGTATATATATATACACATATATCCCTCTGCATTAGTCCATTCTCACATTCCTATAAAGAAATACCTGAGACTGGGTAATTTATAAAGAAAAGATGTTTAATTGGCTCATGGTTCTGCAGGCTGTGCAGGAAGCATGATGCTGGCACCTGCTCAGCTTCTGGGGAGGCCTTAGGAAACTTACAATCATGGCAGAAGGTGAAGGGGGAGCTGGCAATTCACATGGCTGGAGCAGGAAGAAGGCAGAGACAGGGAAGGTGCCACACACTTTAAAACAACCAGATATCAAAAGAACTCACTATCGTGATGATAGCACCAAGAGAGGATAGTGCTAAACCGCAAGAAACCGTTCCCATGATCCAATGACCTCCCACCAGGCCCACCTCCAGCACTGGAGATGACATTTCTATGTGAGATTTGGGTGGGTTTCTTTTGAGAAGCCTATCCCAAGCCAGCAGGATGGGCTGGCCACTGAACATCAAGACTCAGGTCAAATGTCCTCTATTCAGAGGATTTCCTCGACTACCCAATTAATCTAGAAAAATACTTGTCAGGCATTTCCTTTCATGTTTGCTTTGATTTATAAAGCTTACCACTCTTTAAAATCATCTTATCTGCTTATGTTTACTTGATTTGAATTTATCTCCCTCTTAGAATGTCAGTTTCATGAGAGCAGGCTCCCTCTCTGTCTTGTTCTCCACTGTATTCTTAACACTTAGATCAGTGCCTGGCACATAATAAGTGTTAGTCCGAACTGCACCATTTTGTAAACCACCCACTATTTTGCAGACCTTGGTCAAAGTGAAACATTCATGGGGGTTCTGGCTGTGAGAAACATCCTGCCTAACACCTGCCTACAAGTCAGACAAAGGCCCAACTAAAGAAATATCCCTATCATATTCTGTTGGGAGAAAGTGCAAAGAAACACCATGTTCCACCAGAAAAAGGGCCAGAACTGCCTCATCATGGGAACATCTTATCAATATCCTGCTGAGCAGCAAGCCATATGGCCCAGACCCCTCCCGCTCAAACCTTTAAGTACCCCAGCCTGTAAGTGGAGGTGGGCTCTGGCATTAAGCTGGTCTCCCACTTCCATAGGTGTCTGCAATATACTTGTATTGCTGTTTGAGCCGCCCTGTGTGTGTCTTTCTTTAACCCTCGCCTTCCCTTTAAAACCTAACATTTTGGTGCCAAAGCCAGGGATGGGGATTGGGTTCTAACGCGTAAGTCTTCTCTTGCTACCTGGAAAGCAGCAAGCGGCAAAAGCTGGCCCCGGGCCCGCCTCCAGGTCCTGAGGGAACTCCCTGTTCCCAGCCCCATTCCCTTGTTCTCTCTTCTTCTCCAGCCCTGGGCTAACCTCCAGATCCTGATCAAACTCTCCATCTTCTTTTTCCTTCCTTCCCCTTTCTGGGCAGCTCCAACAAGGATCACCCCCATTGCTGGACATCACAACCCAAACTGGTCTCCAATTAGTGGGCAAGTCTTCCTTCTCCTCCTGTCCTGATTACTCACATATTCCTGCCTGTTGACAGAAAATCCCAGCGCTGGGTGAGAGGTCTCTCTGGTCATCAGGTGACCGTGGCCTGCCTTCTCAGGGGACGCCCTCACGATGTTCGCCGCTCCGGCCACTCCAGTCTCCAGGGAAACGCAAAGAGCTGCAGGGATGCTCTGGCTCTCCCGTTTCCCTTCTAACAGGAGGAATTGGGGTACTCGCTCCCCTCCTCTAAGTTTCTCACCCTTCTGGCCACCAGTATGGGGCAAGGCTCTTCAAAACCTCCTCGAGACACCACTCTGGATGTCTCGTCTGGAACCTCCAAACCCAGGGCTTGGCGAACTCCATTAAAACCGAATGCCGTATTCACTCCTCTCGTATGTCTCCTGCAGGACCTATGAGCCCAGGGCTTGGTGGACTCTATTAAAACTCAGCACCGGCCGGGCGCGGTGGCTCACGCCTGTAATCCCAGCACTTTGGGAGGCCGAGGCGGGCGGATCACGAGGTCAGGAGATCGAGACCATCCTGGCTAACACGGTGAAACCCCGTCTCTACTAAAAATACAAAAAATTAGCCGGGCGTGGTAGCGGGCGCCTGTAGTCCCAGCTACTCGGGAGGCTGAGGCAGGAGAATGGCGTGAACCCGGGAGGCGGAGCTTGCAGTGAGCCGAGATGGCGCCACTGCACTCCAGCCTGGGCGACAGAGCGAGACTCCGTCTCAAAAAAAAAAAAAAAAAAAAAACTCAGCACCTTACTTGCCTCTGTACCTTCCTCTGTAATGTGGCCTAGCTTCAATGTAAACTGGACAATAATAGTCAATGGCCAAACAACAAAATATTCAATTTCCAAATTCAACATAATGTAAAAAACTTCCTCCTGTGCAATGGTAAATGATCTGAGGTGCTTTGCTTATCTCTGTTTGTGGTTGTCTCTCTGCCAACCCTGTTCACCTTTTCAAATCCTCCTCCTCAACAAATATCTTGCAAAAGCACCTCCTCCTCCAGACAAGGCTTCCTTCTCTAATTTCAACCTGGCTAACAAACCCCCTCCCTCTGTATCCATCCCACCCCTCCTCCTTCTCATTCAGCTGTGGCTCCTCTACTCCCTTATTGTTGCCCTTCGCCCCCTCCTTCTCCACTGCATACCAGGTCTCACACTCAACCCCCTTTTGCCAAAAACCAGGCACATGCCCAAAGGTCCTCCAAAGTACTCCCGTTGTGGGAGGTTGTGGGGGCCTAAGGCACAATCTGAGTTCATGTTTCCTTCTCCCTAGCCAGCCTCTCCCAGCTTGAAAAGAAGCTCGGCTTTTTTCCCACAAATTCCACCTCCTGCAAGGAATTTCTAAATATCACTCAATCTTATGACCTTACTTGTCATGACATATGTCATGCTGTCCTCCACCGTCACCCCGGAGCACAGGGAATGCATCTCGACAGCTGCCCAGGCCCATGCAAACACCCTCCACCAACAAGATGCTGCCCATAACCCAGTAGGGACCCTAGCTGTCCCCAGAACTAATTCCAACTGGGATTATCAGGCAACTTCTGCAGACAGACAGAAACAGGGCCATATAATATCATGCCTCCTAGCTGGCATGAACAAAGCTGCCCCTGCTCTTTTCCTCTCCTGCCTTTCAGAGGCCATGACTAAATATACCACCTTAAGCCCTAATACCAGTAAGGGCAGAATCTACCTTCATTTACACTTAATTTCCCAGTCAGCCCCAGAAATAAATAAATAAATAAAACTTTAAAAACTGGAGGATGACCCTCAAATCTCCCAAAGAGACTTAATCAAAGTGGCCTTTAAGGTCTTTAACAATACAGAGGAAAAACTGAAAACCCAAAAGCCAAAAAGGGACCAAGCTAAACACCAGATGCTGGCAGCTGCCGTTCAACAGGGTTCCCAATGCATACAAAAATCCTCAACCTCGCAACAAACCACCGGAAGCCTGTTTGAAGTGTGGCCAACAGGGTCACTAGGCAAAAGCCTGCCCTAATCCCAGGACACCCTCAAAACCTTGCCCCATCTGTGGTATCAAGGAACACTGGTCATTGGACTGTGCTCAGCGAAACTCTTCATCCCGTTTCACCACCTCTAACTGAAGACTGATGGGGCCTGGAATCCACTCCCCCCACTGCCATCACCGCCTTGGAACCCAGGGTAACACTGTCAGTATCTGGTAAGCTTATGCTTTTCCTGTTAAATATGTGACTAGTTACTCAGTTTTACCAGGATATTCTGGACCCCTCCTCAGTTCTTCTATCTCTATTTGTGGGAGTCAATGGAATCCCCTCTAGGCACAAACAGACTGGTTCTCTATTATGCAACCTATTCAACACCCCCTTCACCCACCCATTCCTGATTATCCCTCAGTGTCCTACCCTATCTTGGGGCAGGACATACAAAGTAAATCCCAGGTCTCCATACAATTTGCCTCCTACAATTCCATCCCTTTTATTTTACTCTGCCGCCCAGATGCTTCCCTCTCCTTCCCCTCATCCTCATTATCCACCCTGTTACCTTTTGTTAATCCTGAAGTTCGAAACGTTTCTAAACCCACAATAGCCACACATCACATCCCAGTCACAATAACCCTCCAAAACCCCTCCATTTTCCTTCGTCAGTCTCAAAATCCCCTTAACCCAGCTGGTCTTAGGGACCTCAAACCTATTATCTGTAAACTTTTATAAGCTCGAATTCTCAAGCCTGTCACCTCTCCCCACAACACCCCTATCCTAGTGGTCAATAAGACAGACAGGTCTTACCTCTTGGTCCAGGATCTCTGAGTTGTTAACTAGGCCTATCTATCTGGTGGTCCCAATCATATACTCTACTCTCCCATATTCCCTCATCTACCACACACTTCTCTGTATTGGATCTAAAGGACACCTTTTTCACTATTCCCTTAAATTTTGCTTCCCAAAGTCTTTTTGCTTTCACTTGGTCAAATCCTAATACACATCCTCCCAACTAACATGGATCATACTCCCACAGGGGTTCCAGGATAGTCCCCACCTATTCAGACAGGCCCTCACCAAGAATCTAGCTGAACTTCCCCTTATTCCTAGCACCCTCCTCTAATACGTCAATAACCTCCTTCTCTGTAGCCCCTCCCTTAACCTGTCCTTTGAACACACCACTCAGCTTTTAAATTTCCTCCATAGTCAAGGATATCGGGTCTCACCCACAAAGGCTCAGGTAGCCCAAACCCAGGTCACTTACCTTGGGCTTACTCTACCGCCTAATTCTCAGGCCTTCTCAACTCAGTGAAATGAGCTAAATTGGGATATTCCTCTTTCCCACACAAAGGAGGACCTCCTCTCCTTCTTGGGTCTTGTGGGATACTTCCAGCTGTAGATTCCCAAGTTTGGCTTGCTGTCCAAGCTGTTCTACACGGCCTCACATGGGCCCATCCTAAAATCCCTGAACCCAGCTTGCCCCATCAACTCCCACTTTAAAAAACTAAAAAAATGCCTTTTTAATGGCCCCAGCACTGGGACTGCCCAACCCCACCAACCCCTTTACTCTGTATGTACATTCTGACCAAGGCCTTGCTTATGGACTACCAAACATACAGCAATGCCCCACAAGCCGTTACATACCTCTCAAAACAACCGGACTCTCATTCAAGGCTGGCCACTGTGCCTAAAAATCTTAGGTGTGGCCACATTGCTGGCCTCAGAGGCACAGAAACTCACTTTCTAACAACACATTACTATGTGTAATGCATCTTCCCATAACCTATAGAACCTCATAAGCCATCATTCTCTTCTATCCCTCTCACCATCCTGCTTACAGCAGGTACATGCCTTATTCATAGGAAACTCTCTAAATCACTTTCCAGAAATGTAAAGCTCTCAACCTGGCCACCCTTCTCCCTGTAAACACCTCCAACTCTGAGCTCTCTCTCACTCCTGCCTGGACCTCTTAGACTCCCTCTCTTCCCACTTCCAACACATTTTGGAAGCCCCTTTGCAGGGAACCCCTACATGGTTCATTAACAGAAGCTCTTTTAGGGAGCCATGTCCAGCAGCTGCCAAAAACAAACTCATCATTGCCAAAAACAAACTCCTAAAATCCAATGCTCTCCCGCCTCATACTACCCCTCAACAGGTGAAGCTAGTTTTTCTAACCACGGCCCTCACCCTAGCAAAGGGAAAGAGAATTAATATTTACATGAATTCCAAATACACATACCACATCCTACACTCTCACGCCTTAAGCTAGCCGGAAAGGGTTTTTCTAGCTACAAAAAGAACCCCCATAGGAAATGGCAAACTCATATACAAGCTGCTGGAGGCAGCTAAACTACCATCACAGGCTGCCATCATCCATTGTAAAGGACACTAAAAGGCTACAAATGCCATAAACAAGGGAAAGTTTTTAGCAAGTTCGGCGGCCCAGCAGACAGCCCTTAAAAAATCATTATTGCCCATTTTTCCCAACATACACCCTATATATACCCAAGAGGAACAAATCTCAGTCACCTAGGCTGGCACCATTCAGGAATTAAAATGGTTCTACCTCAATAATAAAATTGTCTTACTCAAGTCACAAAAAACTTCTGTACTTTTATAAGTGCACAACAATTTTTATGCTGGTTACTGCCCACTACTCCATCTCTTAAAAGGTTATATACATTCTCCCACCATGGCTGCTAATCTCAAAAATATTTCTAAGGCATGTTCCCTTTGCACTCAAACTTCCCCTCAGGAAGCTATCAAATCACCTCCTTTCCTGCACACCAGGCCTGAGGACACCTGTCAGGGCAGGACTGGCAAATCGACTTCACCCACATGCCCCCCCATAAAAAGAGTCCAATACCTTGTGACAGCAGTAAATATATTCTCTGGATAAAAGCTTTTCCTACCACCACCAAAAGGGCACACACTGTCACTTCTATTCTCCTCACTCATACTATCCCCCAGTTTGAACTCCCCTCTACCATCCAGTCAGACAATGGGCCAACATTTATTTCACAGGTTAACCAACAGCAAGCAAAGGCTCTAAACATTAAATGGGCTTTCCATATTCCCTGTAACCCCCAATCTTCCAGTAAGATTGAACAGGCCAATGCCCTTCTGAAACAACAACTAACCAAACTCTCCCTTGAGGTTAAGACGACCTGGACTTCACTTCTCCCATTGGCCCTCATGCATTTGTGAGCCATTCCCCACAAGCCCCTCAGCCTAAGCCCATTTGAACTCATGTACAGATGCCCCTTTATCCTCCAGGATCTTCCTTCATCTCCTCCCCCTTCTATATGGGATACTTGGCTGGCATTACACCTCACTCAACATCTAACAAGACAGTGTGCAAATGCTTACTTGCCCCAGCCTGAAAGCCCATCCTCCAGACACTCCTCCCTGTCCCTACAACCAGGGGACTGGGTCTGAATCACAGACTCCTCCTCCTCCTCTCTCCAACCAAAGTGGATGGGTCCTCACCAGGTAATCCTAACTACTCTCATGGCAGCAAAGCTAACATCCTATCCATATTGGATACACCATTCCAAACTAAAAAGACCACCAATTCCACTTCCAGAAATTTCCTCATCCCCAAATTATTCTTCCTCCCTCACAGGACTGACTTGCTGCGCTTACAAAAATTCCAGAAGTTGCCGATCCAGAAGGCCCTGGTCCATGACATTCTCTGCCTCCAATTTCAAATCTTTTATCTCATACTTTGTTTCAAATCTTTCCCAGTATTCCCTCCCGTGTCCCTGGATAGACCACTCCAGTTCCTCACATTAATCCAGGAGCTATGGCTGCAGGACACCTTCCAGGATATCACTCCTACTCAAATCTCCGTTTTTGTTTTTATTTTTTCTTTTTGTCTTCTTTGTCTGTTGGATACTCTAAGTCCCCACCCCCAACCTTTGGCAGTTGGGGCCCCTTTGTCAACCTCACACATTACCTTTTAATCAGTTACACTTCCCTCTTTCTTCCAACTGTTAAATTTATTTGTCCACATAAATCCAGCAAATCACAGCCCTTCCTGTTAACCTAACCACATAAACCTGGTCCAAAATAAACCTGCATCTCACCTACTCAGCCAATCCATTCCCAAAACCTGTTTATAATCTTGCTCAGCTAAACACCTTTCCCCCAATCCATCAAATAAACCCACACTGTCACACACTGGGATGTCGCCCTCCTTTACTTCATGGCCTCTAAACGAAACATGTTTCAAGCTGGATTTCATAAAACACCTCCTTACCAACCCTGCCCCTCTCTGCTGGTGCAGCTCTCCATGTATCAAACTCAAGTGTGCTTCCTGGAAAAAAAAAATGCACATGATTCCCTCAACTGCAACCTTTATCCTTCTGCCCTGTCAGAACCACAATGGCTATTAGTTACCAAAACCCATCTCTTTCTCTCTCTCCAAAACCAAAAAGCCTTCACCTCCTTCCCCATCAATATTCCCTATCAGGCCCTCACAGGGACAACCCTTGCTACCAACTATTCAACTTGGAAAAACAGAAAGTTGGGACAAAATGTTTATTCAGGATTCAACCCCTCCTTCTCATGGCTCACTACCTTCACTTACAACTTTTCCCTGTCCACCCCAAGTCTCTTCTGTGTGAAACAAACTCTTATCTCTGCCTACTGGCCAATTGGTCAGGAACAGGCACCCTAGTATTTCAGTCCCCAAACATTAACATCCTACCAAACAACCAGAGCATCCAGGTTCCTTTAGCAGCTTCTGTCTCATCTTCCTCTACATGCACTAAGCGGGCTCTACATCTCATTCCTCTGGTAACAGGATTAAGCATCTCTGCTGCACTTGGCACTGGAATAGCAGGGATATCACCCTCAACTGCCCTATATAACAAAATCTCTGCAGTTTTCTATGATACCCTAGAGGACATGCACACTTCCATGACAAGCCTCCAAAGGCAGATAGACGCCTTTGTGGGAGTCGTCCTTCAAAACCAAAGGGCTCTAGACCTGTTAATCGCTGAGAAGGGGGACATATGTGTATACTTCCAAAACCAATGCTGTTTTTATGTTAATGAATCCAGCATTATTCATGACGCGGCCCTAAGGCTCCATGACAGGGCTGCAGAAATCCATCAAGTTACTAACTCTTGGTGGCAGGGGTCATTGTTTCTAAAGTGGATGCCTTGGTAACCCCTTCTTAGAGCCCTTAGTTTTCTTCCCTCATAATACTAAAAACTACTCCTGTGTACTCACCTTTATATTCTGCTTTATCTCCCAAAGGCTGAACTCCCTTGTCCAGGCAGCCACCTAGAAACACATTCATACCATCCTTCTCCACCAAGTCCGGTATCAGCGCCTCCAGGAAAACAACTCTGAAGACGACACGCAGTACTTCAAAACCCAAACCCTGACTACAGTGCCCCTATTCAGCAGGAAGCAGCCACATAATGAACAACTCTCATCTTTCTTTTATAGTAAAGTAGGAGGCAAGAATGTTACTCCAAACTGTAACATTTTGTAAGCGCCCCCCCCCCCCCCCCCCCCCCCCCGCTGTTTTGCAGACCTTGGCCAAAGTGAAACATTTCACCAAGATTCAGGCTGTGAGAAACATCTTGCCTACCCACCTGACCACAAGGCAGACAAAGGCCCAACGGAAGAAACATTCTTATCATACCCTACTCGGCAAAGGCCCAACGGAAGAAACATTCTTATCATACCCTACTCGGCAAAGGCTCAACTAAAGAAACATCTCTATCATATTCTGTTGGGAGAAAGTGCAAAGAAACACCACGTTCTGGAGGAATAAGAGCCAGAACTGCCTCATCATGGGAACATCTTATGAATATCCTGCCGGGCAGCCAGCTATATGGCCCAGATCTCTGCCGCTCAGACCCATTAAGTACCCCAGCCTGTAAGCGGCGGTGAGCTCTGTCTGGCCCTAAGTTAGTTGGCCCTCAACTTCCGCAGGTGTCTGCAATATACCTGTGTTGCTGTTTGAGCTGCCCCCTCTCTGTGTCTTTTTTTAACCCTCGTCTCCCTTCAAAACCTAACAGTAAGCACTCAATTCTTACTTGTTGAATAAATGAATGATAGACAATGGACGATGGTTAATTTTTGTTAAGAAAAATGGAAATTCGGCTGGGTGCAGTGGCTCACGCCTGTAATTCCAGCACTTTGGGAGGCCGAGGCAGGAGGATCACGAGGTCAGCAAATCGAGACCATCCTGGCTAACACAGTGAAACCCCGTCTCTGCTAAAAATACAAAAAAAATTAGCCAGGCGTGGTGGTGGGCGCCTATAGTCCCAGCTTCTCGGGAGGCTGAGGCAGGAGAATGGCGTGAACCCGGGAGGGGGAGCGTGCAGTGAGCCGAGATCGCACCACTGCACTCCAGCCTGGGCGACAGAGCGAGACTCCATCTCAAAAAAAAAAAAAAAGAAAGAAAAAAAATAAAAATGGAAATTCAAAGGAGCAGAAAGAGCAATTGCATCTGTAGGCAAGTGCTGATCCTTTCTAAGAATTATGGGTCAGAGAAGCCATATCAGATGTAAAACACAATTACAGGGTTGAAAAGGGAAGATAAAGCAAGATTTCAGGAGTTTCCCAAATGCAAGAGTAATTCAGGAAATGATTTATAAAATTGAGCAGTGAGAGAGTGGTATGTACTCTTATTAAGTTTAGAAGGTCATTTGGTCAGGCTGGAGTTCACTGGCTAGTCAGGACAAACAATCCCACTGTCTCCACTGGCTCTGCTGCTGTGTCTCTACAATTAGGTTGCATCGTTAGATATTAAGTAGATTTTCTAATTTCTATTTTATGCTATCCTATAGTATCACAAGGAGTATATGTGTGTGTTTGGGGGTGGGGGTGGGATTTGAAGACTTTAGAAGGTTCCACTCCTCTGTTTAAGCAATTATGATGTCAGTTGAAGACAACACTCACTCCTCTGCCTCTGCAAGAGAAAAGCCCAAGGGCCTAGGTAAACAATGGACAGCATCCTGGATGATGAGTGAGTTTACTTCTTTAAGAAAAGCAACTTGAGGGCAATGGAAAGGTGGCTTAAAAGAGAACAGGAACCATATGTCAATTATAGAAAGAATTATTAGGACAAAGGTGGTGTACTGAACCTGACTTCAGGATTAGTTTGAACAGCATAATCCTAGAAGTGTTCTAAAAGTTCCAGTTAGTGAGGTTTTAGAATTTTTTAGCTTCGGGTAAAAAATCTATTTGATAAGGTCCAGATTTTTCATATCACTGTGACTATTTGGAGATGGTCTCCTGTAGGTCTGTTTCTACTGAGCTGGGAAGCAGCCCAGGTTTGCTTCTGGTGCTCCTGGTCCAAATCACCTATGGTTCCCTGAGAGAAAACCATTCTTTACAGAGAGAGAAGGGGAAACTAACACTGCTTACATTAGAATATATTTACGTGTCTGCACTATAAAACCTTACATTAAAAGGCTAAAATGCAAACAGCATTACAGGTCTCTTTCCAGGGGTAAGGTGACATTTTGTTAGGAACCTTTCGAAAGTTACTTTGCTTATCTCTGCCTTTCTGTCTCTCATGTTCCAGGGCCATAACTTATGAAGATCAACACTGATGTGATTGGTCTTTACTCCCATGTCATGTTTGCAATGAGGCTTTCCTGGCCACTCTAACTAAAATTGCTCCCTACTGACACTATATCTCATTCCCTTGCTCATTTTTCTCTTTTGCACTTACTATTATCTAAAAACAAAACAAAAAAACCTTATTGTTGGTTTCTGCTCCAGAGTGTAAGTTCTATAAGGGTGGATTAGATATTCATGTCTGTGTCATAGACATTTCTATTCCCTGGAGTCTAGAACAGTATTTGGCACATGGAAGATACTCATTTAGTATTTTTGAGTGACTAAATTATACATTGAATTGGCACAGTCCTCGAAAGCACTCTCATTAGATTATAAAGCTTGTTACAATGAAGCTGCTGTTATTGCAAATTTGTG
This sequence comes from Homo sapiens, assembly GCF_000001405.40. Classification (NCBI taxonomy): domain Eukaryota; kingdom Metazoa; phylum Chordata; class Mammalia; order Primates; family Hominidae; genus Homo; species Homo sapiens. The sequence continues at coordinate 96,509,456 of NC_000011.10, forward strand.
TACTAGTGATTGCCTTCCTTCCTTATGATTCATAATGTAGCTCATGATGGCAAGCACTTAGATTGAAAAGTTTTAGAACCTATATCAGGGGTAGGCACTTCTTGAAATAAATGAAAGAAAGAATGAATATATGAAATCACTTTTAACATCCTTTCTCAGAACTGCATTCAGAAACAGTCTACGGCCTGAATAAGCAAAATGGTCTAATTACTTCTTATCCACATGTTGCTTTTTGCCAAAAATTGCTAAGTTTAATGAGTTGTTAGTGGAGCAAAATAATGCCTCCATCATAAATTTGCTTATAGACAGTCTTCCATATATCCTATTATAGACAATACAAGATGGGAAAAGTAAACAAAAATGCCTAAATCCTGTCAGGTGACAGTCTCATAAAATTTGACTTCAATTTAATATCCAGGGATATATGTGGGTGATGAACATTTGACAACTGCCTTACGTTTTGCTGCAGTGTCACACAGAGTAGCTGCCATTCTGGTCCAAAAACCCTGCGGGGAAAAGAAAAAACATGAAATATTAGAAATCCTTAATTATGTTTCCTGAGTTTATTCGGCTTGAAGTCTGATTGCCAAAAATATCCCTGCTTGTAACATTAATAGTCTTTTCTATTTAACTAAAATATCAGGAATGTAAAGGAAATGTAAACCACTTCGGTTGTCTAACCAACATTATTCATTTGATTTCTGCTCACTGCTGATAGTAGCACATTTATATTTCATGGTTTCTGAATTCAAACTGCAAAAATATCCAGATGTGGTCGGCTGCTTTCAGGACCAGATGATAAACAGCATTATTTCTTGAAGTTAGATAGCAATCCTGAAGAATAGTCCATTCAGCAGCAAATCAAAAGATTTATATTAAGTAGGAAAGTCATATTAATCTTGCCTAGGTATCCCTGGTAGCAGAAACTTATCTGTAGGGAAAATAGAAAGCATTATATAAAGAAAGAGGCTTACATTATGGCCTGGAAGCAGAATGGCATCAAAATAAGGAGAGAGACTCAATATATAATTTAGAACTAATTTCTGAGAACAATATTTAATGGAAAACTTAATATCACAGCTCACAACCCCACTTCAGGGCCAATCAAAAAGTAGGTAAGCAATTTTGGAATGCTTCATGATGTGGAAAGAAATCTTTGTTAGAGACTTACGGTTTTAAATTATTATAGGCTTCTTCCTATGAGGTTTCTGGAACATAATGCTTTAAAAATGCATTGGTGATGTGAGTGTTCCTACTAACACACGGTTCTCTGCAGCTGAGGATATATTTCTAATGTTGCTGCTCATGGTTTCCTTTGATCTGCCAGTTTTAGCATAATGATCTAATACACATGTGAGTATTTTGAACAGGCAAATAGTTCTACATAAATTCTAGATATGGCATTTTTCTCATTTTTGTTTTAGTGTACATTTATATATATGAAAAGAGTGTTCTTCATCATTTCTTTGCAGTGCAATTTTAAGCCTGAAAAGAATATTTGGTCTTCAATCTTGGCAAGCATACCTGTAAAGTAGATGGTAAGGCTGCTGATGAGGTAAGAAACTTTCTTCTTGGTTAATGAAGGGTATCTAATGGTCTTCTTTATCATCTTGATATATTTGTATTTACCTCTCTAAAAAAAAAAACTGTACTTGGTTAGTTATTCAAATTGCTAAAAATCAAGCTGAAACCAATAATAAGTAGAGCCTTAAATTCTGAGGAAAAGTTTGCAGAGTAAAACCCATCTTTTTTTATACCGTAATTCAAAAGTCAGTTTTTAAATCATGATTCTTGAATTATGTCTTCTTTTTCCTTGGCTATTAAGACTGTCTAAGATAGCTTTCTAGTTTAAGAGGTGGAGATTGATCTTTCTTTAAATAACTAACCCTCTGTGGATTGTTCTATACAATTAATCAATTAAGTTGGTGTTGTTTTATTGTTTGCTGCTACATGTATATTAAGTCTTACCTCCAAGCCCAACTGTATGATCCTTGAAAGCAGGACATAAACCAGTTTCTCAGATATTAAAGGAAGCTGAAGAGTATTACACAGAAAAAGTATAGAAATATTAAGGATGAGAAGTACTGGGTATTTTATGAGTTAAGCAAGCTTCTTTAGTGCAGAGCTTCTCTGAACGTCTGTTGTAGCATGTAGCTGTGGCTCCTGAACCAGACTGCCTCGGTTCCCATCTTAACTCCATTATGAGCTGTGTGATCTTGAACCTTGGATACATGGCTTAACCTTTATGTGCTTTAATTTCTAGGACTGTAATCTGGGTTACCTCACACAGTTTTATGAAGCATTTAGAAATTAATGCATGCACTATTATCATTAATGTACAATTGTGAATTTCTGCAAGAGCAATTTACTGTGCAGTTTCCATAAACATATCTGACCATGGAATTATTTTTTTTTCCTGACATATCACATAACTGGTGTTCCAGAAAATACACTCAAAGAAATATCTTTAGACAGTGTCCTATGATTACTGATACTTAACACATTTGTATCATGAACATTAGATATCCATATGCCATTCATACAGATTTTAAAATATATATATTTTTACTTTTATGCATGCTTCCCCCTCTGCCCTTCTGGATGTATACGCCAGAACCATTTGAGGTAAGTTCCAGACTTTGGGATTTTTCAAATTAAAGTACTTTACCATGTATTTCCTAGGAATAATGACAACCTGTTATAGAACCATATTATTATAACACTTAAGAAAATAAAAATGATTATATAATATCATCCAGCCAATATTTAAAATTTATCCAGATATTACCAGATGTCTTTTATAGATACTTTTTTAAAAATATAGGACTCAATTGAGGTGCACACATTTGATTTTGTTATATATATGTAACTTTCTTTTAATATAGAATAATCCTCTCATATTATTTTTCTCACTAATTATTTAAAGAGCTTTGATCAGCTGTCTTGTAAAATGTCCTTTCGTCTGATTGTCTTCTACGTTGACTAAATTGTTTTCTATCCTTTATCTTTCTTGGAAATGGGAAGATAGGTCTAGAGTTTGGTAAGATACAAGTTAAACAATTTGACAAGAGTGCTTGGTAGGTGATTATCTGTATTTCAAAGCACGTCACATTTGAGACATATATCAGATTGTTCCTTTATTAGTAATGATAATTTTGATCACTCATTTAAGGTGGTGACTCTCAGAAGTCCCAATTGTAAAAGTATATCTTTTCCTTTATAAATTTTAAATAATCCATTGTGTAATGCTTTGAAATTTGTGAATCTCTTTTTCCTTAACAACATTTTACCAATGCTTTTTGTATCCATTGACTGCCCTTGTTTAAGTCAAATAGTACATTGGGATTAGAAAATGGTGATTTTTCTGATTTTGTTATTCTGTGTACATTTACTAGCAAGCATTCTTCTGTTAAGGTATTATCACTGTTTTGAGTGGCATGTGACCTAAAACGAAGTGATGGAACGGCATGGAAGAGCAGACACATGCTTGACAGATTTAGGCAGCTTTATGACAGTTGTAAAAGAAAATGCCAGAGCTTTTCAGAGAAGACAGGGCCAAACATAAGAGGAGGGACACACACACACACAGAGGGAGGGAGAGAGATAAAGAGAGAGATACAGGTTTATAATATGACTATCCCCTGGGAAAGGCCCCTGGGAAGGGACCAGTAAACCAGGAGAGCCTGTTTCATATCAGTGCCATAACTCCCTTGTTTCTTTGACTCCTTTTTATTATATCATTTGGTTAACTGCTCTCCTTTTGTCCTCACTTTCAAGTTCTTTATCTCTTTTTCTGAAGATGTAACACTTATAATTAGCATACCTCTATCTTCCGCATGTAAATTTTTGGAAGTGTTGGCAGACAGCAGAGAAGGCAGAGTTTGGAAAAATACAGGAATCACAAGCTCTAAGATAGCCATAGACAGGGTATTAGGCTGTGTGTATCAAGGCTTGGGTGGGAAATACACGGTACACTCCAACAGGGTCATAAGGTGAGTTTAATAAAGGTATGGGCAAAATTAAAATAACTCATAAAGGGTATTGCAGTACCCTCAGCTATGTAACAAGTTAATAGCTGTAAGCTCTAGCATCGAGAGAGTAGTTATGTAGAGAGGGCCACCTGAAGGAGCAATCGACTTGGAGGGACATAGCCAACACACAATCCCTGTGGGGAGGAAGCTGGTGAGTAAATACCCCACCTTCAGTCTTCCCCACCTTCTGATCTCCTAAAATATAAGTTCTATAGGTATAGAAATTTTATTTGTCTCATTTATTTGTATGTCTAGAAGAAATAGTACCAGGTATGTAGGATGTGCTCAATAAGTTTTGTTTAGTATGTAAACAAATGAATGGAAGAGAGAATGGATGTGTGAGAGACTCAGAGGAGTCATTTTGAGTTTCTCAGTTGGTCTTTTGAAAATCCCATTACTATCCCATTACTGGGTATATACCCAAAGGACTATAAATCATGCTGCTATAAAGACACATGCACATGTATGTTTATTGCGGCATTATTCACAATAGCAAAGACTTGGAACCAACCCAAATGTCCAACAATGATAGACTGGATTAAGAAAATGTGGCACATATACACCATGGAATACTATGCAGCCATAAAAAATGATGAGTTCATGTCCTTTGTAGGGACATGGATGAAATTGGAAATCATCATTCTCAGTAAACTATCGCAAGAACAAAAAACCAAACACCGCATATTCTCACTCATAGGTGGGAATTGAACAATGAGATCACATGGACACAGGAAGGGGAATATCACACTCTGGGGACTGTGGTGGGGTGGGGGGAGGGGGAAGGGATAGCATTGGGAGATATACCTAATGCTAGATGACGAGTTAGTCGGTGCAGCGCACCACCATGGTACATGTATACATATGTAACTAACCTGCACAATGTGCACATGTACCCTAAAACTTAAAGTATAATTTAACAACAACAACAAAAAAATCCTAAAGCAAATTACATTTTCTTTGCCTTAGTAATGCATATCAATGCCATGATATCTCATTATTTTATTTTTAGAAAAAATGATCAATGAGAAAATTGCACCAGAGGACCCACATTGGGACTTTTGAGTTGAACACATTACTTAGCAAATGCTAACATGGGAACTTGAGGATATTTAGTGAACCTGCTGAAGTCAACACATTAATGCAACTGAAACCAATAGAGAAGAAGCTATCTAACCTTGGCATTTTGGGGTCTAAAAAAAGCTTTTACCCACTATTGTGCTTTGTAACCTATAAAATAAATCAAAATAAATCAAAACATAACAACAGTTAACCTTGAAAACCTTTTGACTACCTCCCAGGGTTAATATTCTTGAAGGTAGTATAGTGTGATGGGAAAGTCTGTATCTTGAATTAAGCAAAATTCTGTCAAATTCTGGCTCTGCTATTCATTATCTATATAACATAGAAAGATTACTTGAAAAAGTTTTTAAAATCTCACTTTTTCATTTGTTAAACCAGAATAATCTCACCTGTATTGTGCCAAGAATTGAGAAAATGTATTGCAAATGTTTTGCACATGATATCTGCTTTATACATGTTAGTTCCTTGTTTTCCTTGGGGAAAGATAAATTAATACATCGATATAAATTAAAATAGAAAATTAATATAAATTACTATAATATTAATTTTATATTAGCTTTTATTTCTCTTCATTTTTGTAAACTTTTGGAAATTCTTGATGTTATTATGTAGTTAATGAACTTAGAATCAATTTCAATGAGCTATATCAAAGAAGGCAGAGGAAAAACTACATGGTTTTACTTAACTATACCCCACCTTGTCATTTACTTCATCATGAGATAGCAATAGTCACAAAACCCAATTTAAAAGTAGAAATAAAGATAAATTATCAGAGTTCACAAAAATCTTCCATTCCTGTGTGTAAATGGCACTATTGAGCAAAAGTCTTAGATTTCTCTTATGGAAAGTTTAAATATTTCCATGTTGTTATATTTTATTTTTCCTGCTGGAAGGGGAAATACGACTGATTTTTTGGTAGGCAACTGAAATAACTAGTTTATTGCCTATCCTTCCACAGATATTTTGTGCACATGTGGGCAATTATATAAGCTCTACCACTTTTAAATTTTTAACAGATGCTATATTTTAGACTAGATTTAAATTTTAGGAAAAGTTGTAAAGATATTACAGAGCCCCTATATACTGCATCAACCAGTTTTCTCTTTTGTTAACATCTCACATTTCGGGATACATTTGTCACAGCTAGGGAATCAACATTGGTATATTATAATTAGTTAAATTTCACAGTTTATCAGGTTTTGCTATTTTTAACCGAGTGTTCCTTCTTGGTTCTAGGATCCCATCCAGGATACCATCTTAAATGTAGTTATCATGCCTCCTTAGCCTCTTCTGATCCATGACAATTTCTCAGACTTTCCTTGTTTTTTTTTTTTATGACCTTGACATTTTTGAGGAGGGCTGGTCAAGTATTTCGTAAAAGGTTCCTCAGTTGGAGTTTGACTGATGTTTTTCTCATGGTTAGACAAGGGTTTTGAGAGAATGACTTCAGAGGTGAAGTGCCCTTCTCAGCATGCTAGCAAGGGTACGTATTTCAACATGACTTACCACTGATGATGTTAACTTTTATCACCTGGCCAAGGTAGTGTGTGTTGTTTCTCCAGTGTAAAGTTTCTTTGAAAGTCACTTACCACTTACTCAGTGAGTGGAGAGTTGTGTTCCATCTCCTTGTGCCCCTTTAAGTTTTTTTTTTGAATTTTTATTTTAAGTTCAGGGGTACACATCCAGGTTTGTTACATAGGTAAAGTTGTGTCATGGGGGTTTGTTGTACAGATTATTACATCTCCCAGGTATTAAGCCTAGTACCCATTAGTTATTTTTCATGATCCTCTCACTTCTCCAAACTTCCACCCTCTGATAGGCCCCAGTCTGTGTTGTTCCTTTTTATGTGTCCATGTGTTCCCACCATTTAGTTCCCACTTACAAGTGAGAACATGCGGTATTTGGTTTTCTGTTCCTGCATTAGTTTGCTAAGGATAATGACCTCCAGCTCTGTCTGTGTTTCTGAAAAGGATGTGATCTCATTCTATTTATGGCTGCATAGTAGTCAATGGTGTATATGTGCATTTTCTTTATCCATTCTATTGTTGATGGGCATTTAGGTTGATTCCATGTCTTTGCTATTGTGAATAGTGCTGCAGTAAACATACTCACACATGTGTCTTTATAATAGAATGATTTATATTTCTTTGAGTATATACCCAGTCTTGGGATTGCTGGGTCAAACGGTATTTCTGTCTTTAGGTCTTTGAGGAATTACTCCACTGTCTTCCACAATGGTTGAACTAATTTACACTCCCACCAACAGTGTATGAGTGTTTCTTTTTCTCCACAACCTCACCAGCATCTGTTACTTTTTGGCTTTTTAATAATAACCATTCTGGCTGGTATAAGCTGGTATCTCATTGTGATTTTAATTTGCATTTATCTAATAATCAGTGATGTTGAGCTTTTTTTATATATGCTTGTTGGCCACATGCATGTCTTCTTTTGAAAAATGTCTGTTCATATCCTTTGCCCACTTTTTAATGGTCTTTTTTTTCTTATAAAGTTGTTTAAGTTCCTTATAGATTCCGGATATTAGACCTTTGTCAGCTGCATAGTTTGCAAAAATTGTCTCCCATTCTGTGGGTTGTATGTTGTCTCTGTTGATAGTTTCTTTTGCTATGCAGAAACTCTTTAGTTTAATTAGATCCCACTTGTCAATTTTTGCTTTTGTTGCAATTGTTTTTGGTATCTTCATCATGAAATCTTTGGTTGTGCCTATGTCCCGAATGGTACTGCCTAGGTTGTCTTCCAGGCTTTATATAGTTTTGGGTTTTACATTTAAGTCTTTAATTCATCTTGAGTTAACTTTTCTATGTGGTGAAAGGAAGGGGTCCAGTTTCAGTCTTCTGCATATGGCTAGCCAGTTATCCCCATACCATTTATTGAATAGGGAGTCCTTTCTCCATTGCTTGTTTTTGTCAGATTTGTCAAAGATCAGATAGTTGTAGCTGTGTGGCCTCATTTCTGGGGTTCTCTATTCTGTTCCATTCTTCTGTGTGTCTGGTTTTATGCCAGTACCATGCTGTTTTTGTTACTGTAGCCCTGTCATATAGTTTGAAGTCAGGTAGTGTGATGCATCCAGCTTTGTTCTTTTTGCATAGGATTGCCTTGGCTATCTGGGCTCATAAGAACAGCATTGAATGTATAAATTGCTTTGGGCAATATGGTCATTTTACCATATTGATTCTTCCTATCCATGAACATGGAATGTTTCTCCATTTGTTTGTGTCATCTCTTATTTCTTTGAGCAGTGTTTTGTAATTCTCCTTATAGAGATCTTTCACCTCCCTAGTTACCTGTATGCCTAGGTATTTTTTGGTAGCAATTGTGAATGAGATTGACTTCCTGATTTGGCTTTTGGCTTGACTCTTGTTGGTGTATAGGAATGCTAGTAATTTTCGCACATTAATTTTGTATCCTGAGACTTTGCTAAAGTTGTTTATCAGCTTTAGAAGGTTTTGGGCTGAAACTATGGGGTTTTCTATATATAGAATCATGTTGTCTGCAAACAGAAACAGAAATAGTTTGACTGTCTTTCTTCCTATTTGGATGTCTTTATTTCTTTCTCTTGCCTGATTGCTCTTGTCAGGACTTCTAATACTATGTTGCATAGGAGTGGTGAGAGAGGGTATCCTTTTCTTGTGAAAGCTTTCAAGCAGAATGCTTCCAGCTTTTGCCCATTCAGTATAATGTTGGCTGTGGATTTGACACAGATGGCTCATATTATTTTGAGATATGTTCCTTCAATACTTAGTTTATTGAGAGGTTTTAACATGAAGAGATGTTGAATTTTATCAAAAGCATTTTCAGCTTCTATTGAGATAATTATGTGGTGGTGTTTTTTGTGTCTTTAGTTTTGTTTATGTGATAAATCATATTTATTGATTTGTGTGTATTGAACTTGCATACAGTAGATGAAGCCTACTTGATTGTGTTGGATAAACTTTTTGAGGTGTGGCTGGATTTAGTTGGCCAGTATTTTGTTATGGATTTTTGCATGGATGTTCATCAAGGATATTGGCCTGAAGTTTTATTTTTTTGTGGTATTTCTGCCAGGTTTTGGTATCAGGATGATGCTGGCCTCATAGAATGAGTTAAGGAGGAGCCCCTCCTCAATTTTTTTGGAGTAGTTTCAGTAGGAATGGTATAAGCTCTTTGTACATTTGGTAGAATTCAGCTGTGAATCCATCTGGAGCTGGGCTTTGTTTTTTGGTTGGTAGGCTATTTATTACTGCCTCAATGTCAAAGCTCATTATTGGTCTGTTCAGGGATTTAATTTTTTCCTAGTTCAGTTTTGGGAGGATGTATGTATCCAGGAATTTATTCATTTCTTTTAGATTTCTAGTTTATGTACATAGAGGTGTTTATAATATTATCTGATGGTTATTTGTATTTCTGTGAGGTCAGTTGTAATATCCCCCTTGTCATTTCTGATTGTGTTTACTTGAATCTTCTCTCTTTTCTTCTTTATTAGCCTAGATAGCATTCTATTTTATTAATTTTTTCAAAAAACTACCTTTTGTATTCATTGATCACTTAAATTGATTTTCATGTCTCAGTCTGTTTCAGTTCAGCTCTGATTTTGGTTATTTCTTGTCTTCTCCTATTAATAGCTTTGGGGTTAGTTTGCTCTTGCTTCTCTAGTTCTTTTAGTTATGATCTTAGGTTGTTAACTTGAGATCTTTCTATTTTTTTTTTCTTTTTTTGATGGAGTCTTGCTCTGTTGTCAGGCTGGAGTGCAGTGGCACAGTCTCGGCTTACAGCAGAATCAAGTGATTCTCCTGCTTCAGCCTCCCGAGTAGCTGGGACTACAGGCGTTCACCACCATGCCCAGCTAATTTGTGTATTGTTAGTAGAGACGGGGTTTCACTACGTTGGCCAGGATGGTCTCAATCTCTTGACCTTGTGATCCGCCTGCCTTGGCCTCCCAAAGTGCTGGGATTAATTCTTTTCTGATGCAGGCGTTTAGGGCTTTAAATTTCCCTCTTAACACTGCTTTAGCTGTGTCCCAGAGATTCTGATATGTTGTATCTTTGTTCTCATTAGCTTCAAGGAACTTCTTGATTTCTGCCTTAATTTTATTATTTACTCAGAAGTCCTTCAGAAGCAGGTTATAACAATTTCCATGTAATTTTATTGTTTTGAGTGATTTTCTTAATCTTGGTATCTAATTTTATCGCTGTGTGGTGTGAGAGAGTGGTGGTTATGATTTCAGTTCTTTTGTATTTGCTGAAGAGAATTTTCCTTCTGATTATATGATCAATTTTAGAGTGTGTGCCATGTGGCAATGAGTAGGATGTATATTCTGTTTTTTTCTGGGTGGAGTCTATCAGGTCCATTTGATCCAGTACTGAGTTCAGCTCCTGAATATCTTTGTTAATATTCTGCCTCAGTGATCTGTCTGATACTGTCAGTGGGGTAGTGGAGTTTCCTACTATTCTTGTGTGGGAGTCTAGGTCTCCTTGAAAGTCTCTAAGAACTTTCTATATGAATCTAGGCGCTCCTGTGTTGGGTGCATATATATTTAACATAATTAGATCTTCTTGTTTAATTGAACCCTTTACCACTATGTAATGCCCTTGTCTTATCTTTGTTGGTTTAAATCTGTTTTGTATGAAGTTAGGATTGCAGCCTTTGCATTTTTGGTTTTCCATTTGCTTGGTAGATTTTCTCCATGCCTTAATTTGAGCCTATGGGTGTAATTGTATGTGAGATGGGTCTCTCAAAGGCTGCTTACCCATGGGTCTTGGTTCTTTATCCAGTGTGTAACTCTGGGCCTTTTAACTGGGGCATTTAGCCAATTTACATTCAAGATTAGTACTGATATATGTGGATTTGATCTTCTCATCATGATATTAGTTGGTTATCTTGAAGCCTTGTTTATGTGGTTGCTTTATAGTGTCACTGGTCTGTGTACTTTATTGTGTTTATGGAGCGGCTGGTAATGGTCTTTTCGATATTTATTGCTTCCTTCAGGAGCTCTTGTAAGTCAGGTCGGGTAGTAACAAATTCCCCCAGCATTTGCTTGTCTGAGAAGAATCTTATTTCTGCTTTGCTTATGAAGCTTAGTTTCGCCAGATATGAAATTGTGGGTTGAAATTTCTTGACTTCAAGAATATTGAATATTGGTCCCCAGTATCTTCTGGCTTGTAGAGTTTCAGCTTGATAGAGCTTCTTCTAGTCTGATAGGCTTCCCTTTATAGGTTACCTGACCTTTGTCTCTTGCTGCCTTTAACATTTTTTCTTTCATTTTGAACTTGGAGACATCTGATGATTATGTGTCTTGGGGAGGATCTTGAGGAGTGTCTTACTGGGGTTCTCTGCATTTCTTGCATTTGAATGTTGGCCTCTCTAGCTAGGTTGGGGAATTTTTCATGGTTGATATCCTGAAATATGTTTTCCAAGTTGCTTTCATTCTCCTTATCTCTTTTAGGAACCCCAATGAGTCATAGATTGATTTATTTACATAATCCCACATTTCTCAGAGGTTTTGTTCTGCAGCAGAGTGCTAACACATGCAGAGGTGCCTGCCTCTCTGCAGGTGTTCACCACAGTGGTAGACCAATACAGATGGGGGGCAGGGGGTGCCTGCTGGAGATGTGTGGGTGGTTGCACTGGAGGTGGTGCTGGCTTGTGGGTGGGGTGCTGGTCTGTTCATGTCTGGGTGCCTTCTCTGTGCCCCACAAGCAGGAATAATTGCTCAGTTTGTGGGAATATCTGCTGTCTTCCATGCAGTGTTAGTGGAAGGGTAAGGTACTGATGGGGGTGGGGTTGCTATCTCTGTGCCTGCCAAAGCTTTGTCTGCAATGGTGGTTAGCAGGTAGGGTTGGGGGTGGACTGCATTCCCATGTGCTGGCCAGGCAAGTAAAGCAAAACCTGCCCTTGCAGAATGTACCAGCAAAGTGATGTGGAGAGATGCTGTGGGGCTGGGGTAACCTGCAGCATGGGAAAGAAGCATGTAGGCTGCTCTGTGGCTATAGGAGCCACCTCACTGGAGCTCTCCACTGGTCATGCATGGTCCGCTAGCACAGAAGCTATGGTGTGAGACCCCAAGGCACCCCAGACTGCCCTGTAAACAGGCATGGCCAGAATGGGTTGCCCATAGAGGCCAGCAGACCAAGGGGTGCTCAGGTTGGACCAGCCCCACCTAATGTGTAAGACTGCCCTGCAGAGATCAGGTCAGACTTCTTCTAGGGCTGTAGTCTCCAATAGGAGCAAGTCAAGCCTAGGGGGACGGCTGTCCCTGGCTGTGCTCTGCTACAGATGCTCCTGCACTAAGCCTCTGAGCTACTCATCAGCTGGTGTTCTGCCCCTACCACTTCTCTCAGCAGATCTCCCTGACAACTTGAGTGTCTGTGGTAGTCAAGGGGTTCCTCCTGCTGGAGTTCCAGAGGCTCATGGCAAGAATGGGTTGTTCCTTGCCAGTTTAATTCACCCATTCCCCTGGAGCTCTTGTGGTTCAAAAGTGAGTCCCAGTGTGCTGTAGCCATGCAGAGTTCCCAGATTTCTTCCCCTTCAGCCCAGCTTCTGTGTCTTCCCTCTGTCCACTTGGCATCTTCCCTGTGAAGATCTGTTAAAAGCACACCAGTTATCTCAGTCCCTTGGTGGGAGCTGTTCCACCTGGCTGCATGTAGTTGGCCATTTTACCTTCTCTACAACTGATTTTTGAATTATTTTATTAGTAGTAGTAGGGCTATCATCCAACAATATTGTTTTGTAACATACATAGAAGGAGTAGTAGCTTTTGTGGATATTACTATTTTTATTTTGTAAAGCATCAGATTCAGCATTGAGCTAAGATGAGTTAACCACTCACTGGAAGGAACTGTGATTTCTTTGTGGGCTCTGGAGTACCAATCAGTTTTCTAGAAGAGATACTAGACAAATGGGGCTTTAAGAGAACAAGTATACATTATATTAATAGGTACTTTACTAAATTAAATGTTTTATTTCTTCCAGTGTTTAAAGGGCAAGGCTTTTAAGTGATTTACACATAAACTCCATTAATTTAAAATACAAAATCACAACCTCTTTTTCATTAATCTTGTTTATAAAAATTATTTGCTTGGAAGCTTTTTGCTATTTCAACTTTTCAATTTTAATGTAGCGTGGTTCCTCCCTTAAAGCTCAGCTATGTTCCCTTCAGGATTCAGGTGTGTCCAGACACAATGTGTAAGAGTGGTGGGGTTTTCTAAAAACAGGAACTGAAGAGGGCTGCAACTTATTGTCTACCTCCCTTTACTTGTGGTTTGTGAGTTTCTAATAAGAGACATAACTTGCCCCTCTCCACTCCTTGGGTAGGATTGAGCTTGGGCAGGGCCTGGGCAGGCTTAAGTGCACACACACACACACACAGACACTCTCTCTCTCTCTCTCTCTCTCTCTCTCTCTCTCTCTCTCTCTCTATATATATATATATATATATATATATATATATATATATATGTATATGTATATACATATATATTTCAGATGCAGCAACTAAATGGTGCTGGTGCAGACAAATTCCACAATTAGGGGCCCTAGTTCATTATTTGGGTGGATTGGGAAGGAAACAGAGAAACACCAAAGAAGATATTTCTTTTAGAGGAGAAAATACTTGCTATTTTTCTTGCTTTATATTTTTCTAATCTTTAAAATTAGTGAGATATGAAGCATCTACGTTTTGTGATATTACTTGATGTGAACACTTTGTGGTTTTAAAGGCTAACCTACATTTTTGAGATAGAATATTTAATAAAATTTGCTAACTAAATTTTTAAGAAGACAAAAAATTTAATTCAAACAAATCTATAGCTTCAAGGAAGTGAAATACCTGCTGAAGCTACCAAACTGTAGTAAGCAGAGTGTGGCTCTCTCCCAAGGCATTGCAAAAAAACACATGACTTATTGCAAATATTGCTCCAATTCACACATTCTAGTCTCCTCAGATTGATCAATCAGCTTATCCACTTTCTATCACCCACTTTACAATCTGAGAGAAAGATAATTTCCCCAGAAACAATGAAAAAAGATTATGTGTATATGTTATATATCAATATAGTATATATATAGATTGCTGTCTAACCTCTTGAAAAGTGCTTGCTGGAAAAATCTTTTCAGAAAACGGGTCATTTCCTTCTTTAAGTTGTTTGGAGAACATTGTCCCTAGACTTTAAATCTCACAAAATATATTTCCCTTGCTACACAGTAAGTATTTTGTTTTTCAATGTTGCTGTGAAGCTGTTATGAGCCTGACATAAGATGCATGTGAAATGTTCAGATGTTTGGCAGATATAATGTAACTATCATGATTGAAGCCGGCCAAGAAACTCATTTTTCAGGCCTCTTCAGTCCTCTATATGAAACATTTTGACCTACATCATCAATTTAGAATTATACAGCTTCATGCCAAATTTCACTAAGGGTTCTAAGTTCATGAGTAGGTCCAGAAAGAATTCTTTGCAAGTTTTCTTTGCTAGAAATAAAGTTTACACATATTTTTTTCAAGATCTGTTTCTCAAAACTATCAGAATTAGAGGAAAAACTTTTGTTGGTTAGGACTTTCCATAAAACAAATATTTGTTGAATGAATGAATAAGAAATTTTACTAGATGCATGCTAGTGGATTTACTGTGCAGCTAATGAATGAGCCTTAGCAATGTAATTATATGGTTGTATGTTTATAAACAATTTGAAAACAAAATTGTACCTTCTAAGAGCGATGGGGTAGAACCTAATTAACACCTCTTTCTTCTTTAATTAATTTTCCCTTTGTCACCCTTTTGTCATTGGCACTGGAATCCTTATGAGCATTTTTGAAATCTAAGAACAAATGGAGTTGCAGACACATTTATTTTGGGTTTGGTGAGATATTTATGTAGCTTTTAGTCACTTCTGAGTATAGATACATTATTGCTAGTTGTCAGTGCGGGAATGGCTTCCAGTCTACTACTGGCCCCTGTGCCAACTCACTCTGTTTTATGTCAGGAGAGTGCAATGTCAGAGATCTCATGGTGTTATGAAGGCTCCCTGTAGTACTTGGTACAAGGAATGTGTGGGTAGCAGAGAAAACACAATATTTTAAAAGTGAAAGCTAGAAGCTAACTTAGGGAGAATTTTTCAAACACTAGGTGGTGCAAAATTTTATGTAGAGGATTTGATTCTCATTGATCCTATTAAAAATGACTCTCTTTTTTCAGTAATATACTTGGTAATGAAATATGTAACTATAGATATACCATACATTTTGATTTTTAAATGATAATTTCATAAAATAAGATTTATCAGAATTCATAGAAGCACAAACATTTAGCATGACTATAAACAGTGAGTGTATCTATAGCTCATATATGAAATAGCATATATGTATGAAATAGCACATATATGAAAATAGTGTGACAGACATATTCTCCAAATTTGACAACTTCAAAAAAGGTCATATGACATTTTCAATGATGAATCATGATTCTAAACAAAACTCTTATAAACTCTGAATAATAAAACCAAATTTTAATCTTCTGGGCTAAAGACAGAATTATCTTTTCTTTCTTTCTACAGAAAATCATTATTCTATGAAGAGTTAATCAAAGAGTATGTAGCCAAAAAATATAGGGAAAAAGGTACTCTAGAGGTGCACAGTGCAATTAATCAATAAAAACAATATTTTGTTTTTCTGTATTTTGTAATGTTTGTAGTATTTGTCAAATTTTTAATATCTATAATTTTTGGTGGTTTTAGTTCATATTCCAAATAAATGTCTTTAACTTAATTTTATATTTTTTGTTAAGGAGGTTACCCAAATTCTGTAAGTTTTAGACTCCCAAAAACCTGACATGCCTTAGATGCAAATTACCACAAAATTTTTACAAATGAACTTTATGAAGGTATAACTTATATATAATAGAATGCATACTTTTTATTTGTAGAATTTGATAATGTTTGACAAATGTACATATTCATGTAGCCACCACCAGAGTCACGATAATGAAATATTTTAATTACTTCCAAAGGTTCTCTTGCGGCCTTTCTCAGTCAATACCTATTCCTCATCCCCAGGTCTAGGCAACTACTGATCTGCTTTCTATCACTATAAATTAGGCTTGTCTTTTCTAGGGTTTCATATAAATTAAATCATACTTATGTAATTTTTTGTTTCTGGCTTCTTTTTCTCAGTTTAATGTTTTTGAGATACATCAATGATTTTAGAAGAGTCAATAGTTAATCTCTTCTTATTGCTGAATAGTATTTCTTGATGGACATTTGGGATATGCTCAATTTTGCCTATTTTGAATAAGATACTATTCACGCACATGTCTTTATGTGGACATATGTTTTTATTTCTCCTGGCCAAATAGCTAGAAGTGGAATTTCTGGGTCTTATGAATAGTAAATACTTATGACATTTTATCTTTTAATTATTTTTTGGCACCCTTTAGGATATAGCTCGAATTTTCATTTATTCATTCAATGAATAGTTATGCAATGTGCTGTGCAAGATACTCAGGAATCGTAGGTGAATATAATACAAGCCATAACCTAAAGCACACTGAAAAAATAAGGCAAAAATTTCAAAGGTGAAATCTCTCAGGATTTGTGGTCAGAAAAGGCTTAAGTTGTATCTTAAAAGAAATATGTCAGTAGGCAGGTATTGGGTAAGGACACAGCAGTCAGTGGAATTTTCATGTGCAAAGGTATGAAGGTATAAAAAGCATGGTAGATTTGGAAAATTGCAAAGGTTAGGAATTGAAGGGAAGGTAAGAATAGGTGAAGACAGAGCAGAAAGCTGAGCAGATGAAGGAGGATCCTCAAAGATAGACAAATGTGTGTGTGTTTTTGTTTGTTTATTTTTTGGTGAGACATTATCTCGCCCCTGGTGCAGCCAGTCACTTCTTCCTGTACTTGCGAAACACTTGGAGCATATTTCTCTTTAACATATGTGATATTCATGGATCTGTCTCCTCTACTTTACTATGAGTTCCTAGAGGATAGCTCTGCTATCATCTGTGCTCACCATGCTTGGCACTTATTAGGGCATTAGAAAATTAGAGTTTGTGCAAGAATGAATGAACAAATGAGAATGAAAGAAATAACCTACATACTCTGCCACTGAACGGGTTCAGAAAACATTCTTTATCAAAGACCTATGAGACATCCTTATAAAGCCACATTAGAAATACATATTTATCTCTCTACTGAAGCAATGTCATGTGTATAATCTTCTTATGAGCTTGACTTATTAATTTCAATTGTCTTTATGATCAATACTGATTTCATGGTCTCATTATCCCTGGAGTAATCTGCATGGATGGCTGAGATAGTTGAAATGAATGAATCAACTGTGCTGCAGCCTTCTTAATTTTGTGGCAAAATTGGCCTTAAAATTGTAGTGCTGAAAAAAAATCCTTTGTTTAAGCAAAGCTAGAAATCTTTATAGTTTTGTGAGCTATCCACTTTTGGCCATAAATTGATGCTGTATTTTCTAATGAGTATTTTCATTTGTGCCAGAGCTCATTAAATCCTATTACCTTCATGATCATTTACAGAGGTTTAAATAGTCCAATATCCCACCTTTATTTATGAAAAGCATATGTTTTGGCAATTTGTTGTAATAATAAACAGTATTTATTTCATTGCTTGTTCACTTTAATAGCAGTAACATAAACATGCAATGGAAGAGGAAGGAAGTCAGGGAAATAAGAACAACTGCTTAGAAAAATAGAGAACAGAACCAATTCAGAAGAAAACTTGAGATGTTTTGAATTATTAATGAATTAAAATTGAAGTGAACATATCATTAGCCTCCTAAAACAAGGTACTTTGGAGACTGAAAGGGGCATGGCAAATAATTCTGTCTGGATCACAGGTGATATGTGAACTGTGCCAGTCAGGTAGAGATGGATGATCCCCCTAATTAAAGTACTCTTTTCAAATCCCTTTGTTTCAGATTATTACCACTTCTTATCACTATAATCTAAAGTGCTAATTAGTAGGTCTAGGAATATCTATAGCTCTTTGATTTTTTAAAGCTCCCTGCAGACACCTTTCTTAGTGGACTTAGTGGACTGACTATTGTAGTCCAACAAGGGAGAAATTATTTTTCAAATTGCTATGAAAATATGGGCTATATGAGATGATAGTTATATTAATTTGCTTGATTGTAGTAATGACTTCTTTATGTAAATGTATATAAAGATAAGTATATCAGAACATCATGTTGTATACCTTAAATACATACAATACAAAATAAAAATAATGGAAGAAAAAGAGACCAGCATCTGCCAGACCTAGTCCTTGTGCTGGCACCACCACCAGCACAACTGCATGCACAGTCGCCAGCAGGATCCTCCTCCCCACTGAGCCATGATGCCTCTATCACTGTTGTGAACGCCCACATGGAGGCAGGTAACGGCACCCACTAGCACCCTGCCATAGCCAATGAGCATGCACACCACTGCACTATCACTGCTGGCACATATGAACAAGGAACGATCCCACTACCTCCACACTACAAAATGCTTTGGCTGGCACCACTCATCAGAGTGTAGTGACCAGCAGTCAGGGAACACCTTGGTGCTGCCATTGCAATGGATTCCTAACTTAAAAGAGCCATAGAACAAAGTCAGGCCTGATACAAGTCCCCCAGAGTTACAGCATGCACTCCAGCAACTGGGAGCTGAGCCATGGCCCATTAAAATCTTCCAGTCAACTGGACCCACCTTATACCACCATCAAACCCTCAAGGTCATCAAATAGGATAAAAGAAAAAAAAATCCACCCAATGGTCAGCAACTTCAAAGATTGTAGAAGAAACAACAGCCCACAAAGATGTGGAAAAACCAATTCAAGAACTCTGACAACTCAAAATCCCAGCGTGCCTTCTTTCTTTCAAATGACTGTGTAACCCCTCCAGCAAGGATGCTGAACTAGGCTGAGATGGCTAAAATGACAGAAATAGAATTCAGAATACGGATAGGAACAAAGATCATTGAGATGCAGGAGTACATTGAAACCCAATCCAAGGAAGCTAAGAATCACAACACAACAATACAAGAGCTGACTGGCAAAATAGCCAATACGAAAAAGAACGTAACTGCCTGATAGTGCTGAAAAACACAATATAAGAATATTATAATGCAATCACAAGTATTAATAGCAGAATATACCAAACTGAGAATAGAATCCCAGAGCTTGAAGACCAGCTTTCTGAAATAAGACAGTCAGACAAGAATAGAGAAAAAAGAATAAAAAGGAATGAACAAAACCTCCAAGAAATATAGAATTATGAAAAGGGACCAAATCTATGACTTGTTTGTGTCCTGGAAACTGTTGGGGAGAGTGTAAGCAACTTGGAAAATATATTTCAGGATATCATGCAAGGGAACTTCCCCAAGCTAGTGAGAGAGGCCAACATTCAAATTTAGGAAATGCAGAGAACCCCAGTAATATGATTCACAAGAAGATCATCCCCAAGACACATAATCATCAAATTCTCCAAGGTCAAAATTAAAGAAAAAATGTTAAAGGCAGCTAGAGAGAAAGGTCAGGTAGCCTATAAAGGGAAACTCATCAGACGAACAGCAGACCTCTTAGCAGAAACTCTACAAGGCAGAAGACATTGGGGACCAATATTCAATACTCTTAAAGTAAAGAAATTTCAACCCACATTTACATATCTGGTCAAACTCATCTTCATAAGCCAAAGAGAAATAAGATCCTTTTCAGACAAGGAAATGCTGGGGGAATTTGTTACCACCAGACCTGCCTTACAAGAGCTCCTGAAGGAAGCAATAAATATGGAAAAGAAAGACCATTACCAGCCACTACAAAAACACACGGAAGTGCACAGACCAGTGACACCATAAAGCAACCATATAAACAAGTCTTCAAAATAACCAGCTAATATCATGATGAGAAGATCTAATCCACACATATCAATACTAACTTTGAATGTAAATGGGCTAACTACCCCCAGTTAAAAGGCCTAGAGTGACACACTGGATAAAGAACCAAGACCTATGGGTAAGCTGCCTTCAAGAGACCCATCTCACATACAATGACACCCATAGGCTCAAAATAAAGGCATGGAGAAAAATCTACCAAGCAAATGGAAAACCAAAAAAAGCAAAAGTTGCAATCCTAAATTCATACAAAACAGACTTTAAACCAACAAAAATCAGAAAAGACAAGGGCATTACATAATGGTAAAGGGTTCAACTAAACAAGAAGATCTGATTATGTTAAATATATATGCACCCTGGCCGGACATGGTGGCCTCACACCTGTAATCCCAGCACTTTGGGAGGCCAAGGCAGGCAGATCACCAGAGGTCAGGAGTTTGAGACCAACCTGGCCAACATGATGAGACCCCGTCTCTACTCAAAATACAAAAATTAGCTGGGCATAGTGGCTCACACCTGTAATACCAACTACTTGGGAGGCTGAGGCATGAGAATTGCTTGAACCTGGGAGATGGAGGTTGCAGTGAGCTGAGATAGTGCCACTGCACTCCAGCCTGAGTGACAGAGTAAGACTCTGTCTCAAAAAACCACCCAACACAGGAGCACCTAGATTCATATAGCAAAAGTTCTTAGAGACCTTCAAAGAGACCTAGACTCCCACACAAGTATAGTAGGAGACTTCAATACCACACTAACAGTATTAGACAGATGATCAAGGCAGCAAATTAATGATATTCAGGACCCAAACTCAGTACTGGATTAAATGGTCCTGATAGACTCTACTCAGAAACAGCAGAATATACATTCTTCTCATCGCCACATGGCACATACTCTAAAATTGGTCACATAATCGGAAGGAAAATTCTCCTCAGCTAATGCAAAGGAACTGAAATCATAACCACCACTCTTTCAGACCACATGGCAATAAAATTAGATATCAAGACTAAGAAAATCACTCAAAACCAATAAAGTACATGGAAATTGAATAACCTGCTCTTGAGAGACTTCTGGGTAAATAATAAAGTTAGGGCAGAAATCAAGAAGTTAATCAGAACAAAGATACAACATACTAGAGTCTCTGGGAAACAACTAAGGCAGTGTTAAGAGGGAAATTTAGTGCCCACATCAAAAAGATAGAAAGACCTCAAGTTAACAACCTAACATCACGACTAAAAGAAGTAGAGAACCAAGACCAAACCAACCACAAAGGTATTAATAGCAGAAGACAAGAAATAACCAAATCAGAACTAAACTGAAACAGATTGAGACATGAACTTCAATTCAAAAGATCAATAAATACAGAAGGTGGTTTTTTGAAAAAACTAATAAAAATAGATAGAACACTATCTAGGCTAATAAAGAAGAAAAGAGAGAATATTAAGAAAAACACAATCAGAAACAACAAGGGGGATATTACTACTGACACAGCAAGAATAGAAATAACTATCAGATAATATGAACATCTCTATGCACATAAATTAGACAATCTAGAAGAAATAGATCAATTCCTGGAGACATACACCCTTGCAAAATTGAACCAGAAAGAAATTGAATCCCTGAACAGACCAATAATGAGCTTTGACACTGAGGCAGTAATAAATAGCCTACCAACCAAAAAAAGCCCAGGATCAGATGAATTCACAGCTGAATTCTACTGGATGTACAAAGAAGGATTGGTACCATTTCTCTTGAAACTGTTCCAAAAAATTGAGGAGGAGGGACTCCTCCTTAACTCATGCTATGAGACCAGCATCATCCTGATACCAAAACCTGGCAGGGACACAACAAAAAAATAAAACTTCAGGCCAATATCCTTGATGAGGATCAAAGCAAAGATTTCTCAACAAAATACTGGCAAACTGAATCCAGAAGCACACCAAAAAGCTTATCCACCATGATCAAGTAGGATACATTCTTGGGATGCAAGGTTGGTTCAACATATTCAAATCAATAAATGTGATTCATTATGTAACAGAGCTGAAGACAAAAGCCACATGATTAGTTCAATAGATGCAGAAATGTTTTTGATAAAATTCAACATCCCTTCATGTTAAAAACTCTCAATAAACGAGGGATTGAAGGAACATACCTCAAAATAATAAGAGCCATCTATGTCAAACCCACAGCCAGCATCATATCGAATGGGCAAAAGCTAGAAGCATTCTCCTTGAAAGCTGCCTCAAGAAAAGGATGCCCTCTCTCACCAGTTGTATTCAACATAGCATTGGAAGTCCTTTCCAGAGCAATCGGGCAAGAGAAAGAGCATTCAAATAGGAAGAGAGGAAGTCAAACTATCTCTGTTTGCAGACAACATATTCTTATATCTAGAAAACCCCATAGTTTTGGCCTAAAGCCTTCTACAGCTGATAAACAACTTCAGCAACATCTCAGGATACAAAATCAATGTAGAAAATAACTGGCATTCCTATTCACCAACAGCAGTCAAGCTGAGAGCCAAATTAGGAATGCAGTGCCATTCATAATTGCCACTAAAAGAATAAAATATCTAGGAATACAGCTAACCAGGGAGGTGAAAGAGCTCCACAAGGAGAACTATAAAACACTGATGAAAGAAATCAGAGATGATACAAACAAATGGAAAGACATTCCATGCTCATGGGTAGAAAAAGTCAATATTGTTAAAATGGCCATATCGCCCAAAGCAATTTATAGCTTCAATGCTATTTCTATCAGACTACCATGGCATTCTTCACAGAACTAGAAAAAAGTATTTTAAAATTCACATGGAACCAAAAATGGCGCCAAATAGCCAAAGCAATCCCAAGCAAAAAGAACAAAGCTGGAGGCATCATGCTACCTGGCTTCAAACTATACTACAGGGCTACAATAATCAAAACAGCTTAGTACTTGTATAAAAACAGACAGATAGACCAATGGAACAGAACAAAGAGCCCAGAAATAAGGTCATACACCTATAACTATCTGATCTTTGACAAACCTGACAAAAACAAACAATGAGGACAGGGCTATGTATTCA
Organism: Homo sapiens; assembly: GCF_000001405.40. Taxonomy (NCBI): domain Eukaryota; kingdom Metazoa; phylum Chordata; class Mammalia; order Primates; family Hominidae; genus Homo; species Homo sapiens. The sequence continues at coordinate 96,532,510 of NC_000011.10, forward strand.
ATAAATGGTGCTGGGATAACTGGCTAGCCACATGCAGAATACTGAATCTGAACCCCTTTCTTACCCCATATACAAAAGTCAACTCAAGATGGAGTAAAGACTTAAAAGTAGAACCCAAACATATTTTTTAAAAAAACCCCAACAACCTAGGCAATAGCATTCTGGACACAGGAAAGGGCAACAATTTCATGACAAAGATGCTAAAAGCAATTGTATCAAAAGTAAAAATGGACAAATGGAATCTAATTAAACTAAGTAGCTTCTCCACATCAAAATAAACTATCAATAGAATAAACAGACAACCTACAGAATGGGAAACATTTTTTTGCAAACTATGCATCTTTCAAAGGTATAATATCTAGCATCTATAAGGAACTTAAACAAATGTATAAGAAAAAACCAAACAACCCTACTAAAAAGTGGGCAAAGAACATGAGTAAACATTTTTCAAAAGAAGACATACATGTGGCCAACAAGCATATGAAAAAAAGCTCAACATAACTGATCATTAGAGAAATACAAATCAAAACTGCAGTGAGACACCATCTCACACTAGTCAGAATGGCTATTACTAAAAGGTCAAAAAATAACAGGTGCTGGCAAGGTTGCGGAGAAAAAGGAACACATATTAACTGTTGGTGGGAATGTGAATTGTGAATTAGTTCAACCATTGTAGAAGACAGTGTGGTGATTCCTCAATGATCAAATAACAGAACTACCATTCAACCCAGTAATCCCATTAATGGGTATATATCCAGTGGAATATAAATCCTTCCACTATAAAGACTAATGCATGTGTATATTTAGTGCAACACTGTTCACAATTACAAAGACATGGAATCACCCTAAATGCCCATTAACAGTAGACTGGATAAAGAAAATGTCATACATATACACCGTGGAATACTATGCAGCCATGAAAAACAAATGAGATTATGTCCTTTGCAGGAACATGGATGGAGCTGGAGGCCATTATCCTTAGCACACTAATGGAGAAACAGAAAACCAAATACTACGTGTTCTCACTTACAAGTGGGAGCTACATGATAAGAACACATGGACACATAGATGGGAACAACAGACAAGGAGGCCTATTGGAGGGTGGAGGGTGGGAGGAAGGACAGGATCAGGAAAAATAACTAATGGGAATTAGGCTTAACACCTGGATGACAAAGTAATCTGTACAACAAACCCCCATGAACATAAATGTACTGAAGTAACAAACCTGCACATGTACCTCTGAGATTAAAATAACACTTAAAAAAAAAAGAAAGAAAATAACACCAGTGCTGGTTGCAGTGGTTCACTCTTGTAATCCCAGCACCTTGGGAGGATAAGGAGGGAGGATCACTTGAGGCACAGAATTTGAGACCAGCCTGGGCAACATAGCAAGAGTCTGTCTCTACAAAAAAAAAAAAAAAAAAAAAAAGAAAAGAAAAGAAAAGAAAAAAGAAAAAAAAATTAGCTGGGTGTGGTGGCGCACACTTGTAATACCAGCTATTCAGGAGGTTGAGGCAGGAAGCTTGATCCCAGGAGACTGAGAGTGCAGTAAGCTATGATTGCATCACTGCACTCCAGCCAGGGTGAGAGAGTGGGCTCCTAAAACAAATAAATGTAAACAAAAAAAGAAAAAAAAATAGTGCTTACCTCAGGGGATGGTTGACATGAAAGTGAAGATGAGAGCTAATGGATGGCCGAAAAGTTTTTCCATCAAGTTACACCCTTTTTTAACTCAGAAGGAAGAATATCTCAGTATTTTTCAGGTGCGAATGCATTTATTCTTTAATTTTTTATTCCGCACACACTGCCTGTGACTCACAGTTGTTCTGCTGGTTGCTGGGAATACAATATTGAACCAGATGTAGCCACTGATTCTGATGGACTAATAGTGAAAATGAATAGCGAGGTGTATATTAATGAGCAAAACTTTTTTGGTGGGATTCTGAAGGTAATGAAGCTCAAAAAATAATTTCAACTGTTTCAGCATGACTGAATTAAGTGTACATTCTTCAAAGGATGATTTAAAAAGACAATGCCAGTTTAGATGTATATATTTTTTTGTGCTTGTTGTTTTACTTAGTTAACAGTGTTCTTTATTCCTAAATTCCTAATTGCCAAGCACAAGTTAGCTTGTTTGGGGAAAGCTCTTTGATATTTCTCAGAGTATTTCTGTGTTTGAACTCAATTTGTAATCTTACCCTTGCTTTTGAAGTATTTAAAAATGTTTTAGAATCTCTTTTTAAAAAGCAATTTGAGTTTTATTGATCTGCAGAGCTTGGGTTTAGAATGCACAAATAGGCACTTAAATGCATTTTGGTAATAAATGTTTCAAAATTAGATAGTTTGAGAGTTACTAAAGAGAAAATTAAGTTTTAGAATAAATCTGTTGTGAGGTTAAGCGGGCAATTGTAATATTTTGGGTTAGTACCTTTGATGAGCACGTACTTTTTGTGTTGGTCTTTCACTTTGTTCACTTTTGTGTAAAGATTAAAGCATATTGAATTTTTATTCATTCAACCCACACTAATGGAGAGCTACTGCATTGGTGAATGAGGGAAATATGAATATCAAAAAGGCAGGATCCTCCCCTTACATGGCATGTATTCTGTTGGAAAAGAGAGGTATGCAAACAAATAGATGTTGTATGGCATTTTACTAGCAGGTGTAATGGTTAAAAGGAAGGTTCTAATGTCTTTAAATCCCAGGTTAGAGTAATTTTTTACCAAACCATGTAACCCTGACTGATCATTTATTCTCTTTTACTTTTTTTTAAATCTATAGACTGTGTGTTTTACCATTACCTACTTCATGGGGGTGGTCGTGATTATTAAATGATTGACAAAAAGTGCTCAGTTAAATATGTGGCACCCCAAAGTGCTCACGGAATGCTAGGGATTATGATAATATCAGAGTGCACAGTTAACTTTCACAGGAGTGAGTGGTCAACTGGGTCTGAAAGATTGCTTTAAGAAATAGTTGACAAAAAAATGGTGGAGATTTTTTTAATGTCCCAAATCTATTAGTGACTGCCATGCTCTTTGGACCAAATATTCATGAAACAGCTTGATGAAGCTATTAAGCACTCTTTTTGACGATACAAAATTGTCAACTAAACAATCTCTGACCTTTTGAAATGTGATTTCACCATAAACCCCTTGCTAGGTGTACCAGCAAGAAGTTTCCAAAAAAGTCTCTTACTAGGTATAATTGCTAGATATACCTGGCACTGACCAGGTATTCAGTGGTTCCTCACAAATGAGTAGCAAGGAACACAACCTTTGACTTTCCTTCGAAAAAGGCATCCAAATAAGGAGAAAGAGGGGCAAGAAGAGTAAAACATCTTACTAACAGCAAGCGTGAAATTTTAGACTGCAAGTCGTTTGCTTGTTTGATCTTAGATCCATTCTCTGCCATTTCCCTGCTTTGAACTGCCCACTGCAAACTGCATTTCTCAGGCTTCTTTGTGCTGCCTTCCAGTTAGGCTTTCCATTGGGAAGCACTGACATAGATGGAGAAATATACAGGGAATTATAGTAGAGAATGATGCTGACCATTCTAGGGATTAGTTCGTGCTAAAGGCCGGTAGGGTATTTTTCTCCCTTTCTTTGCCTTAGGCACCGTTGGCAGTGACTGCAACGGTTAAGTGGTTCTAGCTCCCTGTAGTCAGCCGTTTCCTCTCAATTCTCAGCTCCTGAATCTAGCTTTCACCAATGGCCAAGCTTTGGAGTTTCAGCAACTCCTCTGCCTTCCTAGGCCCTCTGGCCCTAGTGGATGTTAGGGTTGTTAGTGCCTTCCTATAGTTCCTGCAGTCACTGATCTCAGAGTTGCCTCACCTTCTAGCTGTTCTCTCAGTAGTCCAGACATTTTATGATTAATTTCTCATATTAAATTCTTTCTATTGAATTACCTTGTGTAGTAATTTTGTTTTCTTGGCTGGGCACTGACCAATACAGAAAGCAAATGGAGAATATTTTATTGTTCTTGCTGGTTCTTGGCTGAGAGTTTCTGTGATCAGAATATCTGCAAGAAAAAAGTCAACATAGTATGCTAATTTTAAAAATTACTGAGAATATTCCTCAACTTGGAAAGATTTTGGGAGTCTTCACTTATTACTATCATAGGTATTAGTTAGTGATGGAATTATATCATTTCTTGATACGTATTGTTTATAAAATGTAGATACTTTCAAAGCAATTAAGGAAGCAAGGTGATAAATGTTTGCAATGTTATTTGCAGCATCCTAGTAGGTGGAATATTACTAAGGATGCTTTCACATACCTGAATGAGTTTGAACAAGTTATTTCACAGCGTTCTTCTTTTTTCTTTTATAAAATGAGGGTGCAAAAAGGATATCTTGTGTCTTTGTACTTCCCTCAGTGTCTATCATAGTGTTTCAGAAATAGTAGGGTCTCAGTATTTTTGTGAAATGAAAGTCAAATCATTCATCTGGATATGTGCTGGTCTTTTACTTGCTTTCCCCTACCTGTTTGTTTCTTCACCATATAGGAGGGAAGAAGTTAAGTAGGAGTACAGATAAATTGTCTAACAAGGAAGGAAAAACTGAATTCATTTGCTGGTTGCTTTATTTTGATTTTATTCGAATACACATCATTGTTACTTTTCTTATAACTGTAACAGTAGCCCAATGAATAATTTGCCTTTGGTGGTGATTTTGGTGATGATTTTATATATTCCATCTATTCCTCCAGATTTTAGACCCCAAATACCTACATATACTTTCATCTCTCTCACCCCATCTCATGTTCCACTCATACCAGTTCTCTTCTTATTCTAGAAACAACTTTATTATTTTTTCTTTGATTTCTCCTAAGCAAGTTCCTCATCTTCATTAAGTGCCATCTTCTTCATAACATCTTCTCAAATGGTCCCTGATGAAAAGTAATTGCTTTTTTTGTTTATACCTCTGTAAGTACTTATCATACTGAATTGCAATGATTTGTGTGTCTGATTTCCTGCCAGATCTTGATTATTTTGAGAGTAGGAGCCACTTTTTTCATCTTTTCCACTTTTATACCTAGTATTTTGCCTGCCATATGGTGAATGTTCAATGAATGAATATTGAAGCATTCTGTTTCTGATAATTTACTTATATTTGATTATTTATTCTTCTACCTCATTTCCTAGATTGTGAGCTCTTTCCAGGAAATGAAGTAGAAGGGGAGCCAGAAAAAATGACAATTTTTTTCTGTTTTGGATCTTTGCCTTGTCGCTATGCCCTGTTTCCAATTTATTACCTGGTAATATTAGGAGTACAGTGAACTTTGGTTGAATTTGGACACATTTGAGATCTTCCTTCCAAACCTGGTAGGAAGATTTAAGAAATCATCCAGTACACTGTTCAACCCCTGGAAACCAAAACTATTTTTGAGTAGATGCTTCAGAAAGACACAGAACTGTACCAACTAATGATTATTTAAACTTTATACACAGAATAATCTGGAGATATGCAAAATAAAATGAGGGCTGATATGTGTATTAATCTAAAACCAGACAACACTTTGAAGTTTATTTTTAGGTTATTGACCATTTCAGCAGCATATAGACAAGTATACATAATTCTCCATTATTGAACTTAAAGAAAAGCTTAAATAAGCATCCAAATTCGTTGACTATGTATATGTAGAGGTTTATACTTAGGAGGTACTCAATCAGTTGGGATCCTGGGACGAAAACAGGTTGCACTTTCAAACTAGGTTAATTTGAGCAGAGTTTAAGAAAGCAACTACTTTCAAAGTTGTGACCAGGGTTAAAAAACCAAAACCAAAACCAAAAAAACACCAAGGGAGAGTACAGTGCCCTAGGCCTAGTAACTGTGGGGAGTGGTTACTAAGGAGATAGAACAGTTACCAGAATTTGGAGAGAGACCTACATGGAAAGCATCACTTAAGAAGAACTGCGGGCTTAAATGCAGCCTCAGGCAATCCACGGCTATGTGGCAGAAGGGAGTCAAGGGGGAAAATATCCTAATTTCATTCTCCTCCTGCTCTCTGATATGCCAGTATCTCCCATTGGATATACCCATCTGAAAGCCAGAAAGCATGAAAACTGTTTGATATAGCTTCCCAGGTGACAAAAGGCAGAGGGCAAGTATGAGATAGCTAGTATAGACACTGATTCTGGGGACAAGATCTAAGAGAGTTCTCTCAGTTATTAATATATAGCTTCCCTTGTTCCCAAAATAAAGATGTGTGTTTGAGAGATAGTCTTCCAAGCTTTTCCTTGGAAGACTCAGGAACTAACTGCCACAGAATTCTCATAGATTCTAGCCTCTTGATGAGTCATAGCTGAATGTGATGTTAATCTCCTACCAATTTTTTTTTAAAAGGAGATCCTAATCATTGTAGAAATGAAAATTCATAATTCTCAAAACAACTTCCACCAGTTTAATCAGAGTTAGGTCATATAATGCAACCTATTTCTCATTTCTTATTTATACTTTAAGTTTTATGAGAAATCAGAAAAAAACTAGAGCAATCAGGAGTTGGAAGTAGACCTGGAAGACTTCCTTCATCCTTTGTGGTTCACAAGTGTGTGTGCCGGCTTTTCCAGTATAACTTCCGAAGGCCACCAACTTTTATTTGTAAGAAGGTTTGGTGAATCAGACCGGTTATATAATACCATTGCTTTCTCCTTTTAACTCACTCCAGCTTTTTCTGAGATAATTTATTTCCTGTCCCTTTAATCATTTTGCCTATTCTTCTTTGGACTATTTCCAGGTTCTCCACATTCTTTTAAATAAAGCTTAACTATTACAAAGAGCTATTCTGGGAAATCATTATTTAAATAAAAATTGTTAAAGCATTTAAATGTTTAAAAATGGCTACATAGATGTTAGAAAATGAAATGTTCCTGTCTAATAACGCTGATAGTAGAATTGTAGTAAATTAAATTACATCAGGTCAGAGCATAAAACCTTGAATGAATGTCAAGCATATCAGGACCTGAGAAAGAAATGCTTTGTTAAGAGAAAGTGGTTGCAAAGAGCCAAAAATAAAACTAAGGCTAGAGAACTTTTCCTTGTACTAGTTACTAAAAATTCTGTCTTAAGATGGGGATCTAACTCATTTGTTCAGGAAGTTGAGATGCTAAAGTGGACACAAATCTCAAAGGAGCCCAGATATTTCATTATATTAGAAGAAAAAATTTAGAAGATCCTACCTTGGAAAAGTTAATGTTACTGTCTATTGAAAGAAGGAAAGCTAACAAGTTTCAAAGTGTTTTAGATGGCAACCAATGTCCTAATTGCCTTACGTATTAATACTTTATTCCATCTTCAAAATCAATCATGAGAGGTAGAATATTCCAGTTGGCCTTTTTAATGATTAAGACATTAACTTAGATTTGAATCCAAGTTGGCCTGATCCAAAGACTATTTTTCCCACTACATTATGCTATAAATAATTTTCTAGTAAAAAAATTAATGTGCCAAGAAAGCCCTACATTTTAATATATGGAGTATATTTGTTAGTTTTGTAGGTGAAAATTTTAGACAATCTGCTTGTAAATTTGTGATACAGGATGCTTCATAACTAAAAAAATTCTTCAAAAATTATTCCTTGATCTGTTGATTGTATGTCATTAAACATATCTCTTTATAGAGAAAGAGAGATGTATATTTTTTAATGAGAAGGACTTGAGAAATTTCTATACATAAGAATAGGAAGATAAGAAAATAGGACAGAAATATTCTAAATTTGCAAAAGCAAGTTGATAAATTTTATTTTATGGTCAACAAAACATTTACATATATTTTATCCCAAATTTTTCCTCAGGTATAATTAAATTTACTCGTAGTATCTCCAACACAGATAGCCTGACATGAAGAGCTTCTCATTTCTGGATTTGGGCAAACTGTAATTTAACTAGATAATGCCTCCTGCCTTCTAGCTATGGAGTAATATAGAATTCATAGTGTGTCTTTTTTCAATATCAGCTTCACATTTATCTGAATTTTGAGTATTGTATGTAAGTTCCTTGTTCTGTGATATGTAGTTGATAGACCTGCTTAAAAAATTTCTTCCTTGTTTTGTCACTGATTGTCAGCAACATCAAAAGTTCCAACAGTTAGCATTTATTGAGTGCTTACTGAAGGCCTAATATATTGCTAAGCACATTTTTATACACTGTGTCAGTATTAACTCAGTTGTATAGACTGAAAAAGGTGTTTCCTGCCTTGAATGAGATCCTATATAATTTTAACATTAATTCATTATTGAATTTTATTTTTAAAATTAATTATTTTAATCAATTATATCACATATATAGTTTACCATCTTTGCCATTTTAAAGTGTACAGTTCAGTGGTAAGAAATACATTTATATTCTTTTTCTTCCTTCATTACCCCCTCCCCTATACCTTCTTGGCCTCTAGTAACCAACATTCTACTCTCTATCTTCATGAGATCCACTTTTGTAGCTCCCACATATGAATGAGAGCATGCAATATTTGTCGTTCTGTGTCTGGCTTATTTCACTTAACATAATGGCCTCCAGTTTCATCTATGTTGCAGCAAATGAAACAATTTCATTCTTTCTTATGGACAAATAGTATACTATTGTGTAATAAACTACATTTTATTTACTCATTCATTGGTGGACACTTAGGTTGATTCCATATCTTGGCTATTGTGAATAGTGCTGCAGTAAATATGGGATTGGAGATATCTTTTTGATATATTGATTTCCTTTCTTTTGAATATATACCCAGTAGAGGAGTTGCTGGAGAATGTGGTAGTTCTATTTCTAGGATTTTTGAGGAAACTTTATACTATTCTCCATGGTGGCCATACTACTTTACATTCTCCCTAACAGTGTATGAGGGTTCCCATTTCTCTATGTTCATGCCAACATGTGTTATTGTCTTTTTGATACAAGCCATTTTAACTGGGGTAAGATGACATCTCATTGTGGTTTTGACTTGCACTTCTCTGATGATTAGTGAGGTTCAACATGTTTTTCATATTCCAGTTGGCCATTTGTATGTCTTCTTTTGAGAAAAGTCTTTTTAAATTTTTTGCCCATTTTAAATTGGATTTTTTTTGCTATTCAGTTGTGTGAGCTCCTTATATATTTTTGTTATTAGTCCCTTGTCAAATGTATAGTTTGCAAATATTTTCTCCCATCCTGTAGGTTGTCTTTTCACTTTGTTGGCTTCATTTGCCTTGCAGAAGGTTTCTAGCTTGATGTAATCCCATTTGCCTATTTTTTTTTTTGGTTGCCTGTGTTTTTGAGGCTTTATGTTAAAAATCTTGCCCAGGCCAACGTTCCGGAGCATTTCCCCAATGTTTTCTTCTGTAATTTCATAGTTTCAGGTATTAGATTTAAATCTTTGGTTCATTTAGATTTGATTTCTTTGTATGGTGTGCGCTAGGGGTCAAGTTTCATTCTTCTGTATATAGTTATCCATTTTTCCAGCATCATTTATTGAGATGAGTGTCCTTTCCTCATTGTGTGTTCTTATCACCTTTGTTGAAGATGAGTTGATTATGAATGCATGGATTTATATCTGTGTTCTGTAATCTGTTCCACTGGTCCATGTGTCTGTTTTTATGCCATCATCATGCTGTTTTGGTTACTATAGCTTTGTAGTACATTTTAAGGTCATATAATGTCATGCCTCCATCTCTGTTATTTTTACTCAGCATTGCTTTGGCTATTCAGGATTTTTATGGTTCTATATAAATTTTAGGATTTTTTATATGCATGAAGAATAGAAACATTTTGATAAGGATTGCATTGAATTTGTATTGTCATTTTAAAAATATTAATCCTCCCAATTCATGAACATGGGGTATTTTCCATTTTTTTTGTTTCCTCTTCAATTTTTCATTAGAGTTTTTTTTTGTATAGATCATTCATATCTTTGGTTAGGTTGAGTCCTAGGTATTTTGCATTCTTTGTCGTTATTGTAAATAGTATTGGATTTCTTGATTTCTTTTTCAGATTGTTTGCTGTTGGCATATATAAATATCACTGATTTTTGTATGTTGACTTTGCATCCTGGAACTTTACTGAATTCATTTATCAGTTCTAACAGTTTTTTTTTTTATGTCAGTGTCTAAGTTTATCTAGGTTAAGATCATGTTGTCGGCAAAGAAGGCCAATTTGACTTACTTGTGTCAAATTTGGATGCCCTTTTTCTCTTTTTCTTGCTTAATTGCTCTGTCCAGAACTTCTAGTATTACGTTGTATAAAAGTAGTGAAACTCGGCATCCTGATATTGTTCCAGATCTTAAAAGAAAGGCTGTCAACTTTTCCCTGTGGAGCGTAACCTCACAGTGTGAGGTTGTCATATACGGCCTTTATTATTTTGAGATATGTTACTTCCATATGCAGTTTGATGAGCGTTGTTATCATAAAGGAAAGTTGAATTTTATTAAGTGCTTTTTTTGGCATCTATTGAAATAATCATATGCTTCTTTGCTTTTTTTTTGAGAGAGGGTCTCACTCTGTCAAAAATTTGCTATCTCTTTTGGCCAAGTTACAGAACAGTATCCAGGGCTGGGGATGTAGGGAGGTAGTCCCACCTATAGTCTTTGTTTCTGCCTGCCCTCACGGGTATTTCTCTCTTCAGGAAGTCAGGATACTTTCCACTGGTTAGGATAAGGACAGGTCTTTCTAACAGGGAACCCAAGATGTGGGGAAAGCTGCTTGACCACCTTCATCTCACTTTTTGCAGTATGGAAACTGTAAGTTGGGAGATTTTTCTGCTTGCTTGTTGCCAGGCAGAAAGGGAGGAGGAGTGTCATAGATGTGGAAGTTCAATTATTCTACAGTTTGCTCAGTTTTTTCGCTTCACTGTGGCCTTGGTATCTGTCTCATCCTCATATTTGAGTTCTCAGTTGTTGCTGGTGCAAATATCTGCACTGTATATTTGTTTTTGTTTCTGGGGAGTGCAGGGGTTGAAACCATTCTGTTTCTACACGGCTATTTTAAAACCAGAAGTCCGATTATTGAAGTTCTAAAACAAAATTGAAAACAAAAGTTTTCAAGTACTAACCATGTGCTAGGCATTGTGCTGAATTCAGAGGTGATGTTTGCCAGCAAAAAACTCATTGTATAATGCAAGGAAAACATATACACATACATGCTTCAAGGCAAGTATACCATAACCTAGAAGAGAGAACACCCAAAGGATCTTAGGGAAACAGTATTAGGGTGGTACTTAGGGTTGTAGGGTAGATGCTTTGGAATTGATAGTTAAGTGTGTAAATTTTCTAAGAAAATATTAGGAATTTTTGTGCACATACACATAGGATTTTCTAGTAATCTAAATTTTATTCATATTGCATCATAATGTGAGTTTTATGCCATATTCTTGCCCATTTACTCTTGAGTTCTGCACTGTGTGCTTGCTGTTACAATTGACTGCTTTGGACAGGAGCGTTGGAACAGTAAATTGAAGGAACATCATTGTAGCACAGTTGAGTGTCTGCAGCTGGGTAGCATACATCTATGCTATAGTATTGACTATTCTCTTGTTATGAATATGTGATGCTTGATAACCTTTTCTTGCATACATCTTTTCTATTCCCCCTAGCTCGTATGTTTTCACATAAAGACTTTTTGGTAATTTTGTCACAAGTGGCTAGACATGTTAAATAAAACAAATTAAAAGACTTTTCTTTCAATATTGTTTTGTCATTTAAAACAAAATAAAATTACCAGAATGATTATAATAAGCTATTTTTACAGGTGTTCAAGCCAATGTTACCTGATTATTTAATAATGATGCATAATATTTTCATTATTTTTAGGTTATAAATATTTTTAATCTCTATTTTTGCTTCTTTGACCATGAGTTGTTCAGAATTATATTTACAGTTCTCAAAAGTGTTCGGTTATCTTATCATAATTTGATTACTGATTTTTAAAATTATCATTTATATGATAATAAATTCATGAATAATAACTCATTTTCATATGATAGTCTTTGAAAAATGTTGTTACCAGATTTATGGGCTAGCACTTGTAATTTCTGATACAATTGTTTCAGATGTGCTTGATAAAAGATATACTTTCCAAACATATCCCCTACTGTTGTATGCAATATTCTATGCATGTCCATTAAATCAAACTTCTTGTGTTATTTTAAACTTTCTATAGCTTAACTGATTTTTGTCTGCCTAGTCTATCACTTACTGAAAAGTTCTCAGTTGTCTTATTGTATTTCTATTAGTTTTTTTCTTCATATATTTTGAAGCTGAGTTATAACTGTGTAAGTTCAAAATTGCCATATTTTCTTTGTGAATCAAACCCTTTCATAAGATATGAAACTTTTTATTTTTAGAAATGTTTTTGTTTAAAAATCTAATAATGAGGTAATACAAATTTTACCTATTATATTAGATAATACAAAATAATACAAATTTTGTTTTGGTTAAAATTTAACTCGTATATATTTTCCATCCTTTCACTTTAACATTTTCTTGTTTCTTAAGTTTTCAGTGTCTCTTGAAATAAAATATAGCATTTTCCATTCCAAGATGGCCGAATAGGAAAATCTCTGGTCTGTAGCTCCCAGCTACACACCAGACACAGAATATAGGCGATTTCTGCATTTCCAGCTGAGCTACCTGGTTCATCTCACTGGGACTGGTTGGACAGTGGGTGCAGCCCACGGAGGGTGAGCTGAAGCAGGGTGGGATATCGCCTCACCCGAGAAGCGCAATGGATCCAGGGATTTCCCTTTCCTAGCCAAGGGAAGCCGTGACAGACTGTACTTTGGCTTGACTGTACACTCCTGCCCAAATACTGTGCTTTTCCCATGGTCTTAGCAACCAGCAGACCAGGATATTCCCTCCCATGCCTGGCTCAGAGGGTCCCACGCCCACGGAGCCTTGCTTACTGCTAGTGCAGCAGTCTGAGATCGACCTGCGAGGCTGCAGCCTGGCTGGGGGAGGGGCGTCTGCCATTGCTGAGGCTTGAGTAGGTAAACAAAGCAGCTGGGAAGCTCGAACTGGGCAGAGCCCACCACAGCTCAGCAAGACCTACTGCCTTTATAGACTCCACCTCTGTGAGCAGGGCATACCTGAACCAAAGACAGCAGAAACTTTTGCAGACTTAAACATCCCTGTCTGACAGCTCTGAAGAGAGCAGTGGTTCTCGAGCACAGCATTTGAGCTCTGAGAATGGACAGACTGCCTCCTCAAGTGGGTCCTTGACCCCCTGTAGCCTAACTGGGAGACACCTCCCAGTAGGAGCCGACAGACACCTCATACAGGTAGGTGCCCCTCTGGGATGAAGCTTCCAGAGGAATGATCAAGCAGCAATATTTCCTATTTTGCAATAGTTGCTGTTCTACAGCCTCTGCTGGTGATAACCATGCAAACAGTGTCTGAAGTGGACCTTCAGCAAACTCCAACAGACCTGCAGCTGAGGGACCTGACTGTTAGAAGGAAAACTAACAAACAGAAAGGAATAGCATCAACATCACCAAAAGGACATCTACACACATCTACACCAAAACCCCATCTGCAGGTCACCAACATCAAAGACCAAAGGTAGATTAAAACTGCAAAGATGGGGAGCAACCAGAGCAGACAAGCTGAAAATTCTAAAAACCATAGTGCCTCTCCTCCTCCAAAGGATTGCAGCTCCTTGCCAGCAACGGAACAAAGATGGACGGAGAATGACTTTGATGAGTTGACAAAAGTAGGGTTCAGAAGGTCGGTAATAACAAACTTCTCCAAGCTAAAGGAGCATGTTCTAACTCATGGCAAGGAAGCTAAAAACCTTGAAAAAAGGTTAGATGAATGGCTAGAATAAACAGTGTAGAGAACACCTTAAATGACCTGATAGTGCTTAAAACCATGGCACAAGAACTTCATGATGCATGCACAAGCTTCAATAGCCAATTCGAACAACTGGAAGAAAGGGTATCAGTGATTGAAGATCAAATGAATGAAATAAAGTGAGAAGACAAGTTTAAAGAAAAAAGAGTAAAAATAAATGAACAAAGCCTCCAAGAAATATGGGACTATGTGTAAAGACCAAATCTACGTTTGGTTGGTGTACCTGAAAGTGATGGGGAGAATGGAACCAAGTTGGAAAACACTCTTCAGGGTGTTATTGAGGAGAACTTCCCCAAAGGGGCAATGCAGGCCAGTAATCAAATTCAGGAAATACAGAGAACAACACAAAGATACTCCTTGAGAAGAGCAACACCAAGACACACAATTGTCAGACTCATCAAGGTTGAAATGAAGGAAAAAATGTTAAGGGCAGCCAGAGAGAAAGGTCAGGTTACCCATAAAGGGAAACCCATCACACTAACAGTGGATCTCTCTGCAGAAATCCTATAAACTAGAAGAGAGTGGGGGCCAATATGTTCAACATTCTTAAAGAAAAGATTTTTCAACACAGAATTTCATATCCAGCCAAACTAAGCTTTATACATGAAGAAGAAATAAAATCCTTTACAGACAAGCAAATGCTGAGAGATTTTGTCACCACCAGGCCTGCCTTACAAGAGCTCCTGAAGGAAGCACTAAATATGGAAAGGAAAAACCAGTACCAGCCACTCCAAAAACATGCCAAATTGTAAAGATCATCGATGCTATGAAGAAACTGCATCAATTAGTGGGCAAAATAACCAGCTAACATCACAATGACAGGATCAAATTCACACATAATAGTATTAACCTTGAATGTAAATGGGCTGATTGCCTCAACTAAAAGACACAGGCTAGCAAATTGGATAAAGAGTTGAGACTCATCAGTGTGCTGTATTCAGGAGACCCATGTCATGTGAAGAGACACACATAGGCTCAAAATAAAGGGATGGAGAAAGATCTACCAAGCAAATGGAAAGCAAAAAAAAGCAGGGGCTGCAATCCTAGTCTCTGACAAAACAGACTTTAAACCAACAAAGATCAAAAGAGACAAAGAAGGCCATTACATAATGGTAAAGGGATCAATTCAACAAGAAGAGCTAACTATCCTAAATATATATGCACCCAATAAAAGAGCACCCAGATTCATAAAGTAAGTCCTTAGAGAGCTACAAAGAGACTTAGACTACCACACAATAATAATGGGAGACTATAACACCCCACTTTCAATACTAGACAGATCAACGAGGCAGAAGGTTAACAAGGATATCCAGGACTTGAACTCAGCTCTGCACCAAGCAGACCTAATAGACATCTACAGAACTCTCCACCCTAAATCAACAGAATATACATTCTTCTCAGCATCACATTGAACTTATTCTAAAATAGACCACATAATTGGAAGTAAAGCACTCCTCAGCAAATGTAAAAGAACACAAATCACAAGAAACTGTCTCTCAGGCCACAGTGCAATCAAATTAGAACTCAGGATTAAGAAACTCACTGAAAACCGCACAACTACATGGAAACTGAGCAACCTGCTTCTGAATGACTACTGGTTAAATAAGAAAGTGAAGGCAGAAGTACAGATGTTCTTTGAAACCAATGAGAACAAAGACACAAGGTACCAGAATCTCTGGGACACATTTAAAGCAGTGTGTAGAGGGAAATTTATAGCACTAAACGCCCACAAGACAAAGCAGGAAGGATCTAAAATTGATACCCTAACATCACAATTAAAAGAACTAGAGAAGCGAGAGCAAACAATTTCAAAAGCTAGCAGAAAGCAAGAAAAAACTAAGCTCAGAGCAGAACTGAAGGAGGCAGAGACATGAAAAACTCTTCAAAAAAATCAATGAACCCAGGAGCTGGTTTTTTGAAAAGATCAACACAATTGATAGACTGCTAGCAAAACTGATAAAGAAAAAAGAGAGAATAATCAAAGAGATGCAATAAAAACTGATAAAAGGGATATCACCACCAATCCTACAGAAATACAAACTACCATCAGAGAATACTAGAAACACCTCTATGCAAATAAACTACAAAATCTAGAAGAAATGGATAAATTCCTGGACACATTCACCCTCCAAAGACTAAACCAGGAAGAAATTGAATCTCTCAATAGACCAATAACAGTCTCTGAAATTGAGGCAATAATTAATAGCCTAACAACCAAAAAAAGTCCAGGACCAGATGGATTCACAGCCAAATTCTACCAGAGGTACAAAGAGGAGCTGGTACCATTCCTTCTGAAACTATTCTAATCAATAGAAAAAAATCCTCTCTAACTCATTTTATGAGGCCAACATTATCCTGATACCAAAGCCTGGCAGAGATACAACAAAAAAAGAGAATTTTAGGCCAATATCCCTGATGAATATTGATGCAAAAATCCTCAATAAAATACTGGCAAACTGAATCCAGCAGCACATCAAAAAGCTTATCCACCATGATCAAGTTGGCTTCATCCTTGGGATGCAAGGTGGGTTCAACATACACAAATCAATAAACATAATCTATCACATAAACAGGACCAATGACCAAAACCACATGATTATCTCAATAGATGCAGAAAAGGCCTTTGACAAAATTCAGCAGCCCTTCATGCTAAAAACTCTCAATAAACTAGGTATTGATGGAACGTATCTCAACATTATAAGAGCTATTTATGACAAACCCACAGCCAATATCATACTGAATGAGCAAAAACTGGAAGCATTCCCTTTGAAAACCAGCACAATACAAGGATGCCCGCTCTGACCACCCCTATTCAACATAGTGTTGGACGTTCTGGCCAGGGCAATCAGGCAACAGAAAGAAATAAAGGATGTTCAATTAGGGAAAGAAGAAGTCAAATTGTCCCTGTTTGCAGATGACATGATTGTATATTTAGAAAACCCCATCATGTCAGCCCCATATCTCCTTAAGCTGATAAGCAACTTCAGCAAAGTCTCAGATACAAAATCAGTGTGCAAAAATCACAGCATTCCTGTACACCAATAACAGACAAACAGAGAGCCAAATCATGGGTGAACTCCCATTCACAATTGCTACAAAGAGAATAAAATTCCTAGGAATCCACGTTACAAGGGATGTGAAGGACCTCTTCAAGGAGAACTACAAACACAGCTCAATGAAATAAAAGAGGACACAAACAAATGGAAGAATATTCCATGCTCATGGATAGGAATAATCAAAATTGTGAAAATGGCCATACTGCCCAAGGTAATTTATAGATTCAATGCCATCCCCATCAAGCTACCAATGACTTTCTTCACAGAATTGGAAAAAACTACTTTAACGTTCATATGGAATCAAAAAAGAGCCAGCATTGCCAAGATAATCCTAAGCAAAAAGAACAAAGCTGGAGGCATCACGCTATCTGACTTCAAACTATACTATAAGGCTACGATAACCAAAACGTATGGTACTGGTACCAAAACAGATATATAGACCAGTGGAACAGAACAGAGGACTCAGAAATAACATCACACATCTACAGCCATGTGATCTTTGACAAACCTGACAAAAACAAGAAATGGGGAAAGGATTCCCTATTTAATAAATGGTGCTGGGAAAACTGGCTAGCCATATGTAGAAAGCTGAATCTGGATCCCTTCCTTACACCTTATGCAAAAATTAATTCAAGATGGATTAAAGACTTAAATGTTAGACCTAATACCATAAAAACCCTAGAAGAAAACAGAGAGAGTACCTTTCAGGACATAGGCATGGGCAAAGACTTCATGACTAAAACATCAAAAGCAATGGCAACAGAAGTGAAAATTGACAAATGGGATCTAATTAAACTAAAGAGCTTCTGCATGGCAAAAGTAACTACCATCAGAGTGAACAGGCAACCTACAGAATGGGAGAAAATTTTTGCAATCTACCCATCTGACAAAGGGCTAATATCCAGAATCTACAAAGAACTTAAACAAAGTTACAAGAAAAAAATCAAGCAACCCCATCAAAAATTGGGCAAAGGATATGAACAGACACTTCTCAAAAGAAGACTTTTATGTAGCCAACAGACACATGAAAAAATGCTCATCATCACTGGTCATCAGAGGAATGCAAATTAAAACCACAATAAGATACCATCTCATGCTAGTTAGAATGGCAATCATTAAAAAGTCAGGAAACAACAGGTGCTGGAGAGGATGTGGAGAAATAGGAACACTTTTACACTGGTGGTGGGAGTGTAAATTAGTTCAATCATTTTGGAAGACAGTGTAGCAATTCCTCAAGGATCTAGAACTAGAAACACCATTTGACCCAGCCATCCCATGACTGGGTGTATACCCAAAGGATTATAAACCATGCTACTTTAAAGACACATGCACATGTATGTTTATTGCAGCACTATTCATAATAGCAAAGACTTGGAACCAACCCAAAAGTCCATCAATGATAGACTGGATTAAGAAAATGTGGAACATATACACGATGGAATACTGTGCAGTCATAAAAAAGGATGAGTTCATGTCCTTTGTAGGGACATGGATGAAGCTGGAAACCATCATTCTCGGCAAACTATCACAAGGACAGAAAACCAAACAGCACATGTTCTCATTCACAGGTGGGAACTGAACGATGAGAACATGTATACACAGGGCAGGGAACAACACATACTGGGGCCTGTTGGGGGGTAGGGGGCTGGGGGAGGGATAGCATTAGGAGAAATACCTAATGTAAATGACGAGTTGATGGGTGCAGCAAACCAACATGGCACATGTATACCTGTGTAAGAAACCTGCATGTTGTGCACATGTACCCTAGAACTTATAGCATAATTTAAAAAATAAAAAAAGAATGGTGATAGAATCAGATTCTCCCCTTTGGAGCATTTGCTTTTGAGATAAATGGAGAGAGTTGGCACCTGGATGTGGGAGTAGAAGTGGGAAGACAGGCAGAGACAAAAATCTTCTGTTATGCAACTTGAACTATTCTAGACATTTCATGAGTTGCAGCTGTGCTATGCCAGAGCTGGCTGTATGTCTCCGACAACTGGTTGTGTGCATCCCTTTTCAGCTCTGCCTTCAGAGACATCTGGTTGGTCGGAGTGTTTATGCCACGCGAATTGGTTAATGCTGCAGATCAGGGCCCCTGTTCTTTTCGTCCAGATCTGGTTGTTAAATGTTTACCAGCACACCACTGGGGTAGGGGCGGGATGGTGTAGGAAGCAGGCAGAAGCAGCTACCTCCTCTGGGTCTTTTGCCTTAAAATCAATGTTCAACGGAATATGGTAACATGATTGTTATTAAGGCTATAATAAAGAAGACACTTAAATAGAAAAAATATATATATATAGCTAAAGTTTATTTAAATGAAGTAATCTTTGTCTTTTAATTGAAGTGAGTTAAAAGTATTGATATTGCTGATGCATTTAGAATTTTTTCTAAAATCTTGTTTTGTGCTATTTCTCTCTCGTCTCTTCAATATTTTTTTCTTTTTGTTTTATTTTTCCTTTGTTATTTTGGATAGCCAATTATTTTTCTGTCTTTTTCCTCATTACAACTCTCTGCTCTGCCTGTTAAGAAGTTATTATTTCTATATTTATTTATTAGCCTGTTAGCAAATTGTGAAATTAAACCAGTACCTTTCACGCCTTCCCAAGCATAGCTTGAGTACATTTAGAACACTAACTCAGATTACTACCCTCCCAATATATATGCCATAATTAGTCCAATATGTATGTCAAATCCTTTAGGTTCATTCTGTTTTCCCTCTTCTCCTTACGAATTAAACATTGTTGCTCTTTTTGTATGATCATGTCAGTTTGTATTTACGCATATATTTATCAATTCTTTACACTTCATTTCTTGTTGTATTCCAGGTTTCATATGTAGAATTATTTTTTTTCTGCCTGAATAACATCCTAGAGAATACTTTTAGTGAGGGTCTTTTGATAAATTTATTCAGTTTTTGTTTATATGAAAATATTTTTATTTTTCTTCATTCTTGAAAAATAGTTTTGCTTTATCATAGAATTCTAGATGGAGAGTTATTTTCTCTTAGTTCATTGAATAAATTTTTTTCCTGTAACTACCAACTTTCATTGCTGATGTTAAAACGTCAGACTATCTTAAGTAGAGGTGCTGCTGTGGATGTTACAATGCAGTGGTCTCTCTTCACTTGGGCTGTGGGATAGCAGCAAGTGTATTGGTTGCTAAAAGACACTAAGAGCAACATTTTTTGCAATCCAGTTTCATTAAACTTTCCTGGCATTCAGGATTCAGAGCACTCCATTCGTCTGTCTATTGAGCTTCTTCTTCATTCCATCAAGGACACATTCACTGTTTCAATATCCTTACTCTAAATATTGGTTCCCAGGCTCTCTTTCAGCCAAGGGAAGAGAAAATTTCATACCAAGCCTTTCTGCAGGAACACTTAGAAAGCCTTTAGCCTCATGACATTTTCTCTGCTTAACCCATCTACTGGCCCTGGAAACTCTTTGATTCAGGAGAGTTTGAAGATTCAGAGAGACTGTTTCCAATTCAAGCTGCTAGTATTCTAGAAACCTAAACTCTAGTGCTGTTTAGTCAGACTGGAGGGAGATTCCAGGGAGGGCTTATGTCTTGTGGAACACCAGGTCGGTCAATAGATGTAAAATAACAAATTCCTTCAGAGTGCTAGTGAACACTTGCCAGTGAACACTAGCATATCTTTTCTGATTTTTAATTGGAATGCATGGCTCTTATTGTTGTCATTATTTTACTTTATTCTACAGCAAGAGAGTCTGCTTCTGCAGTATTGTTGTACTGACATATAAAACATTTTAATATATCTCTTTAAGATAATGTAAAAGTTATGTTAATATTTGAAAAACATTTGCTGAGTGGCAGCGTGAAAAATGGACTTTGTGGTCACTCAGAACCTGCTCCTTATATTTGAATCTTTTATTAGTTGAGTGACATTAGGCAAGTTTTGTTTAACACATGCTCTCATTTGTAAAATGGAAATAGCAACAAACTACCTCCCAGAGTCTTTGTGAAGATTAAATGAACATAGCACAATGCATTATTCACTTCCAGTGGGTTATTAATGACTTCTTTAAGAGTATTGATATTTATATATCTCTAGCATCCAGCATAAGACTAGCACTAGTTTATGACAAATGAACGAATGAATGAGTGAATGAGAAAATGTTGCATAAAACAGTTGAGTCATAAAACACAGCAGTAAATAAGTTAGTATCAAAGGAATGATACGGATATTATTCTTCATCACCACTGCAAGTGTTGTTCAAAGCAATAGGAGATCAGTGGAGGCTGGAACAGGTTGAAAGTCTTATGAGTTTGTGAAATAACTTAGCCTTTAAAAGTTACTAAGGTTTGGGTAAGAGCAGGTCATGAACAAATGAACAGTATAAGCAAAATGTAAATTTTGGAAACCAACAAGATATGAGCATAGTGAGGTGTGATTTTGGAAGCTTGGGAAGCAGATTATGATGAAATTGGACCTTATTTTATATGTAGAAGATACATTGAAGGTGTAGAAGATACAATATAGTGTGGAAGTAGGAAGAACACGAGGTTTTGGTGTATCTAGAAATCATGCAATAGAAGCTCAGGCTAAGGTTCTAGTAGGGTAAGATAAATCAGCTCTCTGTTTCTTAAATATTTGTACCCAAAAGCGAAAATTTTAAAGGAAGATTGGAAATGGCTGCACATGTGCTTTAGACTGGATTGTTTCTAGTATTCTCTTTTATAGATGTGATGAAATGCTAGTAAGCTTGAAGTTAATTCATCACCAAATATTTATTGCACAACTAGTATCTTCCAGAATGTTTTAGGCACTTAAGATAAAGATATGGTTTAGATAGGCAAGATTCCTGTTGTCATGGATATAATGTTATTCTGGAGAAATCCAATAGTGATCAGGAAAGCAAAAAACCGAAATTCCCTAAAATAATTCCAGTGCTGTGAAGATAATACGGGGTAATGTGATAGAGTGAGCCAGGAAGTGGCAATATTTGATAAAGGGGCCTTGGAAAGTGTCCTTGCGAAGGTGCTATGTTAACTGAGATCTGACATGACTAAAGGGGTCACCATTCAGAGACAGAGTTCCAGAGAGAGGGAGAAGCAAGTGTAAATATTCAAAGGTGAGAAATAACTTCGTGTGCTTCAGGAGCTGAAAGAAGATTGGTGTGGCTGAAGAATAGTGAGCATGGAAGAGAGAGGTAAAAAATAAAGCTACAGAATTGGACAGTGGTAATATTATATAGAATTTTATAGCTCATGGTAAGAAGTGGAAATTTTACTTTCAGTGCAATGGGGAAAAGTCGAAGTTTTAAGTTTGTGGTGGTATGGTCAGATTTATCTTGGTAGTGGGAAAATTTACTATAAGAGAGCAAGAGTGAAGACAGGAAGACCAATTGCCCTGTGGTTGTTCAGGTGAGCTGAGTGGTGATTTGTACTAGCATGAGATTATTGGAGATGGAAAAAAAGCAAATAATTCAGGATATATTATATTATATATAATATTATTTCACTGGGTAGCACAGAACAACTGTTTTAAGCTCTGCCTCCAAAATATATATTATATATAATCTATATTGAATATATATTACAAATAATATATATTGAAGATATATTATAAATAATATATATTGAAGATATATTATATTATAAATTATATATTGAAGATATATTATATTATAAATAATATATATTGAAGATATATTATATTATAAATAATATATATTGAAGATATATTATATTATAAATAATATATATTGAAGATATATTATGTTATAAATAATATATATTGAAGATATATTATGTTATAAATAATATATATTGAAGATATATTATGTTATAAATAATATATATTGAAGATATATTATGTTATAAATAATATATATTGAAGATATATTATGTTATAAATAATATATATTGAAGATATATTATGTTATAAATAATATATATTGAAGATATATTATGTTATAAATAATATATATTGAAGATATATTATGTTATAAATAATATATATTGAAGATATATTGTTATAAATAATATATATTGAAGATATATTATGTTATAAATAATATATATTGAAGATATATTATGTTATAAATAATATATATTGAAGATACATTATGTTATAAATAATATATATTGAAGATACATTATGTTATAAATAATATATATTGAAGATATATTATGTTATAAATAATATATATTGAAGATATATTATGTTATAAATAATATATATATAATAGGGATAGAAGCCAAGATGGCCAAATAGGAACAGCTCCGGTCTACAGCTCCCAGCGTGAGCGACGCAGAAGACGGGTGATTTCTGCATTTCCATCTGAGGTACCGGGTTCATCTCACTAGGGAGTGCTAAACAGTGGGCGCAGGTCAGTGGGTGCAGTGCACCGTGCGTGAGCTGAAGCAGGGCGAGGCATTGCCTCACTTGGAAGCACAAGGGGTCAGGGAGTTCCCTTTCCTAGTCAAAGAAAGGGGTGACAGATGGCACCTGGAAAATCGGGTCACTCCCACCCGAATACTGCCCTTTTCCAAAGGGCGTAAGAAACTGCGCACCAGGAGATTATATCCTGCACCTGGCTCGGAGGGTCCTACGCCCACGGAGTCTCACTGATTGCTAGCACAGCAGTGTGAGATCAAACTGCAAGGCAGCAGTGAGGCTGGGGGAGGGGCGTCCGCCATTGCCCAGGCTTGCTTAGGTAAACAAAGCAGCCAGGAAGCTCGAACTGGGTGGAGCCCACCACAGCTCAAGGAGGCCTGCCTGCCTTTGTAGGCTCCACCTCTGGGGGCAGGGCACAGACAAACAAAAAGACAGCAGTAACCTCTGTGGACTTAAATGTCCCTGTCTGACAGCTTTGAAGAGACCAGTGTTCCTCCCAGCACGCAGCTGGAGATCTGAGAATGGGCAGACTGCCTCCTCAAGTGGGTCCCTGACCCCTGAACCCTGAGCAGCCTAACTGGGAGGCACCCCCCAGTAGGGGCAGACTGAAACATCACATGGCCGGTTACTCCTCTGAGACAAAACTTCCAGAGGAACGATCAGACAGCAACATTCGTGGTTCACGAAAAACCACTGTTCTGCAGACACCACTGCTGATACCCAGGCAAACAGAGTCTGGAGTGGATCTCTAGCAAACTCCAACAGACCTGCAGCTGAGGGTCCTGTCTGTTAGAAGGAAAACTAACAAACAGAAAGGACATCCACACCGAAAACCCATCTGTACATAACCATCATCAAAAAACAAAAGTAGATAAAACCACAAAGATGGGGAAAAAACAGAGCAGAAAAACTGGAAACTCTAAAAAGCAGAGCACCTCTCCTTCTCCAAAGGATCGCAGTTCCTCACCAGCAATGGAAGAAAGCTGGATGGAGAACGACTTTGACAAGTTGAGAGAAGAAGCCTTCAGACGATCAAACTACGAGCTACAGGAGGAAATTCAAACCAAAGGCAAAGAAGTTAAAAACTTTGAAAAAAATTTAGATGAATGTATAACTAGAATAATCAATACAGAGAAGTGCTTAAAGGAGCTGATGGAGCTGAAAGCCAAGGCTCGAGAACTACGTGAAGAATGCAGAAGCCTCAGGAGCCGATGCAATCAACTGGAAGAAAGGGTATCAGCGATGGAAGATGAAATGAATGAAATGAAGTGAGAAGGGAAGTTTAGAAAAAAAAGAATAAAAAGAAACGAACAAAGCCTCCAAGAAATATGGGACTATGTGAAAAGACCAAATCTACGTCTGATTGGTGTACCTGAAAGGGACGGGGAGAATGGAACCAAGTTGGAAAACACTCTGCAGGATATTATCCAGGAGAACTTCCCCAATCTAGCAAGGCAGGCCAACATTCAGATTCAGGAAATACAGAGAACACCACAAAGATACTCCTCTAGAAGAGCAACTCCAAGACACATAATTGTCAGATTCACCAAAGTTGAAATGAAGGAAAAAATGTTAAGGGCAGCCAGAGAGAAAGGTCGGGTTACCCACAAAGGGAAGCCCATCAGACTAACAGCGGATCTCTTGGCAGAAACCCTACAAGCCAGAAGAGAGTGGTGGCCAATATTCAACATTCTTAAAGAAAGAATTTTCAACCCAGAATTTCATATCCAGCCAAACTAAGCTTCATAAGTAAAGGAGAAATAAAATACTTTACAGACAAGCAAATGCTGAGAGATTTTGTCACCACCAGGCCTGCCCTAAAAGAGCTCTTGAAGGAAGCACTAAACATGGAAAGGAACAACCGGTACCAGCCGCTGCAAAATCATGCTAAAATGTAAAGACCATCAAGACTAGGGAAGAAACTGCATCAACTAACGAGCAAAATAACCAGCTAACATCATAATGACAGGTTCAAATTCACACATAACAATATTAACTTTAAATGTAAATGGACTAAATGCTCCAATTAAAAGACACAGACTGGCAAATTGGATAAAGAGTCAAGACCCATCAGTGTGTTGTATTCAGGAAACCCATCTCACATGCAGAGACACACATAGGCTCAAAATAAAAGGATGGAGGAAGATCTACCAAGCAAATGGAAAACAAGAAAAGGCAGGGGTTGCCATCCTAGTCTCTGATAAAACAGACTTTAAACCAACAAAGATCAAAAGAGACAAAGAAGGCCATTACATAATGGTAAAGGGATCAATTCAACAAGAAGGGCTAACTATCCTAAATATATATGCACCTAATACAGGAGCACCCAGATTCATAAAGCAAGTCCTGAGTGACCTACAAAGAGACTTAGACTCCCACACATTAATAATGGGAGACTTTAACACCCCATTGTCAACATTAGACAGATCAACGAGACAGAAAGTCAACAAGGATACCCAGGAATTGAACTCAGCTCTGCACCAAGCACACCTAATAGACATCTACAGAACTCTCCACCCCAAATCAACAGAATATACATTTTTTTTCAGCACCACACCACACTTATTCCAAAATTGACCACATAGTTGGAAGTAAAGCTCTCCTCAGCAAATGTAAAAGAAGAGAAATTATAACTATCTCTCAGACCACAGTGCAATCAAACTAGAACTCTGGATGAAGAAACTCACTCAAAACCTCAACTACATGGAAACTGAACAATCTGCTCCTGAATGACTATTGGGTACATAACGAAATGAAGGCAGAAATAAAGATGTTCTTTGAAACCAATGAGAACAAAGACACAACATACCAGAATCTCTGGGACACATTCAAAGCAGTGTGTAGAGGGAAATTTATAGCACTAAATGCCCACAAGAGAAAGCAGGAAAGATCCAAAATTGACACCCTAACATCACAATTAAAAGAACTAGAAAAGCAAGAGCAAACACATTCAAAAGCTAGCAGAAGGCAAGAAATAACTAAAATCAGAGCAGAACTGAAGGAAATAGAGACAGAAAAAGCCCTTCAAAAAATTAATGAATCCAGGAGCTGGTTTTTTGAAAGGATCAACAACATTGATAGACCGCTAGCAAGACTAATAAAGAAAAAAGAGAGAAGAATCAAATAGATGCAATAAAAAATGATAAAGGGGATATCACCACCGAACCCACAGAAATACAAACTACCATCAGAGAATACTACAAACACCTCTACACAAATAAACTAGAAATTCTAGAAGAAATGGATAAATTCCTTGACACATACACTCTCCCAAGACTAAACCAGGAAGAAGTTGAATCCCTGAATAGACCAATAACAGGAGCTGAAATTGTGGCAATAATCAATAGCTTACCAACAAAAAAGACTCCAGGACCAGATGGATTCACAGCTGAATTCTACCAGAGGTACAAGAAGGAACTGATACCATTCCTTCTGAAACTATTCCAATCAATAGAAAAAGAGGGAATCCTGCCTAACTCATTTTATGAGGCCAGCATCATCCTGATACCAAAGCCGGGCAGAGACACAACCAAAAAAGAGAATTTTAGACCAATATCCTTGACGAACATTGATGCAAAAATCCTCAATAAAATACTGGCAAACCAAATCCAGCAGCAAATCAAAAAGCTTATCCACCATGATCAAGTGGGCTTCATCCCTGGGATGCAAGGCTGGTTCCATATATGCAAATCAATAAATGTAATCCAGCATATAAACAGAACCAAAGACAAAAACCACATGATTATCTCAATAGATGCAGAAAAGGCCTTTGACAAAATTCAACAACCCTTCATGATAAAAACTCTCAATAAATTAGTTATTGATGGGACATTTCTCAAAATAATAAGAGCTATCTATGACAAACCTACAGCCAATATCATACCGAATGGGCAAAAACTGGAAGCATTCCTTTGGAAAACTGGCGTGAGACAGGGATGCCCTCTCTCACCACTCCTATTCAACATAGTGTTGGAAGTTCTGGCCAGGGCAATTAGGCAGGAGAAGGAAATAAAGGGTATTCAATTAGGAAAAGAGGAAGTCAAATTGTCCCTGTTTGCAGACGACATGATTGTATATCTAGAAAACCCCATTGTCTCAGCCCAAAATCTCCTTAGGCTGATAAGCAACTTCAGCAAAGTCTCAGGATACAAAATCAATGTACAAAAATCACAAGCATTCTTATACACTAATAACAGACAAACAGAGAGCCAAATCATGAGTAAACTCCCATTCACAGTTGCTTCAAAGAGAATAAAATACCTAGGAATCCAACTTACAAGGGACGCGAAGGACCTCTTCAAGGAGAACTACAAACCACTGCTCAATGAAATAAAAGAGGGTACAAACAAATGGAAGAACATTCCATGCTCATGGGTAGGAAGAATCAATATCATGAAAATGGCCATACTGCCCAAGGTAATTTATAGATTCAATGCCATCCCCATCAAGCTACCAATGACTTTCTTCACAGGATTGGAAAAAACTACTTTAAAGTTCATGTGGAACCAAAAAAGAGCCCGCATCGCCAAGTCAATCCTAAGCCAAAAGAACAAAGCTGGAGGCATCCCATTACCTGACTTCAAACTATACTACAAGGCTACAGTAACCAAAACAGCATGGTACTGGTACCAAAACAGAGATATAGATCAATGGAACAGAACAGAGCCCTCAGAAATAACTCGGCATATCTACAACTATCTGATCTTTGACAAACCTGAGAAAACCAAGCAATGGGGAAAGGAGTCCCTATTTAATAAATGGTGCTGGGAAAACTGGCTAGCCATATGTAGAAAGCTGAAACTGGATCCCTTCCTTACACCTTATACAAAAATCAATTCAAAATGGATTAAAGACTTAAACGTTAGACCTAAAACCATAAAAACCCTAGAAGAAAACCTAGGCATTACCATTCAGGACATAGGCATGGGCAAGGATTTCATGTCTAAAACACCAAAAGCAATGGCAACAAAAGCCAAAATTGACAAATGGGATCTAATTAAACTAAAGAGCTTCTGAACAGCAAAGGAAACTACCATTAGAGTAAACAGGCAACCCACAAAACAGGAGAAAATTTTTACAACCTACGCATCTGATAAAGGGCTAATATCCAGAATCTACAATGAACTCAAACAAATTTACAAGAAAAAAACAAACAACCCCATCAAAGAGTGGGCGAAGGACATGAACAGACACTTCTCAAAAAAAGACACTTATGCAGCCAAAAAACACATGAGAAAATCCTCACCATCACTGGCCATCAGAGAAATGCAAATCAAAACCGCAATTAGATATCATCTCACACCAGTTAGAATGGTGATCATTAAAAAGTCAGGCAACAACAGGTGCTGGAGAGGATGTGGAGAAACAGGAACACTTTTACACAGTTGGTGGGACTGTAAACTAGTTCAACCATTGTGGAAGTCAGTGTGGAGACTCCTCAGGGATCTAGAACAAGAAATACCATTTGACCCAGACATCCCATTACTGGGTATATACCCAAAAGACTATAAATCATGCTGCTATAAAGACACATGCACACGTATGCTTATTGTGGCACTATTCACAATAGCAAAGACTTGGAACCAACCGAAATGTCCAACAATGATAGACTGGATTAAGAAAATGTGGCACATATACACCATGGAATACTATGCAGCCATAAAATGATGAGTTCATGTCCTTTGTAGGGACATGGGTGAAATTGGAAATCATCATTCTCAGTAAACTATCGCAAGAACAAAAAACCAAACACCACAGATTCTCACTCATAGGTGGGAACTGAACAATGAGAACACATGGACACAGGAAGGGGAACATGACATTCTGGGGACTGTTGTGGGGTGGGGGGAGGGGGAGGGATAGCATTGGGAGACATACCTAATGCTAGATGACAAGTTAGTTGGTGCAGCGCTCCAGCATGTCAAATGTATACATATGTAACTAACATGCTCATTGAGCACATGTACCCTAAAACTTTAAGTATAATAATAAAAATAAAAATTAAAAAAATATATCTAATATATAATATAACACATAAATTATATATTATATTATATATAATATACATACAATTAATATATATTATATAATATATAATATAATATATTGTATATGTATTATATATAATACATATTATATCACATATATAATATTGTATATATAACTGTATATTAATTATAGATATAAAATATTATATATATTACATATAGTATATTAAATGTAATATACTATATTTAATATAATATATATTATATATATTTCATTAAATATATAATAATAATACATATAATATATAACATATAATATATATATTATATATAACATATAATATATATATTATATATAACATATAATATATATATTATATATAACATATATTATATATAATATAATATATAACAATATAATATATGATACGTCATATAACAATGTAATATATGATACGTCATATAACAATGTAATATATGATACGTCATATAACAATGTAATATATGATACGTTATATAACAATGTAATATATGATACGTTATATAACAATGTAATATATGATATATTATATAATATATGATATAACATATGATATATTATATAATATATGATATAACATATGATATATTATATAATATATGATATAATATATGATATATTATATGATATAATATATGATATATGATATATTATATGATATAATATATGATATATGATATATTATATGATATAATATATGATATATGATATATTATATATCATATACAATAATATTATATATAATATATCATATACAATAATATTACATATAATATATAATATGTAATATTATAAGATATATTATTTTTATATTTAATATATAATATATATTATATATAACAATATAATATATAATATATTAATATATACTAATATATTAATTCATTATATAAAATATTAATATATAATAATATAATATATAATATATAATATATATGTTATATATATTATCTTTATACAATATAAATATATAATAAAAATATAATATATTATATTTAATATAATTTTATATTAAATATATGCTATTTAGTATAATTTTATATTAAATATATGCTATTTAATATAATTTTATATTAAATATATGTTATTTAATATAATTTTATATTAAATATATGCTATATAATATAATTTTATATTAAATATATGTTATTTAATATAATTTTCTATTAAATATATAATATAATATATATTAAATATACATTTAGTATTATGTATATTTACTATATATTATATTTTATATAATATATATTTAATATAATATATTATATTATATGTAATATATATTTGATATAATATATTATATTTATTTAATGTATATTTAATGTAATATACTTTATTTCATTAATATATATTTAGTGCAATATATTATCATTAATATATATTTAATACAATATATTACATTTAATATACTATATTATATTCAATTAATATATATTTACTCTAATATGTTATATTTAATTAATATATATGATATATTAAATTTAATATAATATAATATATCATATTATATATATGATAGGTTATATTAAATAAAATATGATATATCATATTAAATATAATATACAATACATAAATATAATATAATACAATATATAAATAGATATACATATAATACAATATATTACAATATACACAATATATACAATATAATATACAATATATAAATAATATATATATAATATACAATTTATATAAATAATATATATAACATACTATATATAAATATATGCAATATAATATACAATATATAAATATAATATATAAATATAATAACAATATACATTATTGTTATATTATATTATATATCATATAATATAAATAATATATTATATGATGTATTATATGATATATGTTATTATTATACTATATTATTCATAATACAATATAAATAATATATTCATATATAAATATATGAATAATGTTTTATTATATAATATATAACATATATTATCATATTATATTAATATATAAATAAGATATTATATTATATATTATGTATTATATCAAATTATATTATATTATATATAATTAAATATAATATATATTAAATATATATAATATATTAAATATATCTAAGATATTAAATACGATATATATTAAATATATATAAGATATTAAATATGATATA
Organism: Homo sapiens; assembly: GCF_000001405.40. Taxonomy (NCBI): domain Eukaryota; kingdom Metazoa; phylum Chordata; class Mammalia; order Primates; family Hominidae; genus Homo; species Homo sapiens. Next base: position 96,563,896 of record NC_000011.10, read on the forward strand.
TATTAAATATATATAAGATATTAAATATATATATTAAATATATATAGGATATTAAACATAATATATATTAAATATATATAATATTAAATACATAATATATTAAATATAATATATTAAATATATATTATATTAAATATATAATATATTAAATATACATTATATTAAATATATAATATATTAAATACTTTATATTAAATATATGTTAAATATAATATATTAAATATATAATATATTAAATATATATGATATTAAATTTATAATATATTAAAGACAATACATTAAATATATATTATATTAAATATCTATTTTATTAAATATAATATATATTAAATATATAATATTAAATATAATATATTAAATATATATTAAATATAATATATTAAATATATATTAAATATAATATATTAAATATATATTAAATATAATATATTAAATATATATTACATATAATATATTAAATATATATTACATATAATATATTAAATATATATAATATTACATATAATATATTAAATATATATAATATTACATATAATAAATATATATATTCAATATAATATATTAAATATAATATATTGAATATATATTATATGAAATATAATATATTAAGTATATATTATATGAAATATAATATATTAAGTATATATTATATGAAATATAATATATTAAGTATATATTATATGAAATATAATATATTAAATATATATTATATTCAGTATAATATATTAAATATATATTATATTCAGTATAATATATTAAATATATATTATGTTCAGTATAATATATTAAGTATATATTATGTTCAATATAATATATTAAGTATATATTATGTTCAATATATATTACATTATATATTATATTGAACAGATATTATAATAATCATAATATATCATATTAAATATATATTATATTAATTTTAATACATTATATTGAATACATATTATGTTAAATATAATATATAATTGGTAATATATTTTACATTTAATATTATATTATATGTAATATATGTTATATATAATATTAAATTATATGCAATAGATATTATATGTAATTTATAATATATTACATATAATATATAGTATATATACTATATAATTTATTATATATTATATATTTTATAATAATATATATTTTATAATTCATATATAATATTATATAACATATAATATATATAATACATAATATATTCTATAATATAATATATATTATATATTATATAATATGATATATATTATATATCATATTATATATATTATTATATTATATATAATATATTATATATAATATATAATTATATATTATATATAATATATTACATATAATATATAATATAATATATTTTATTAAATATAATATTATATAATATACAAAATATAATATATGTTATATATAATATAATATATACTATATTATAAATATAATATATATTACGTTATAAATATAGTATATATTACATTATAAATATAATATATATTATATTAGATTATAATATATATTACATCATATTATAATATATATATTATAATATGTATTACATTATATTATTATAGATATATTATATTATAATATAATTAATATTATAATACAATATATATTATATTATAACATATATTATAATATATATTATATTATAATATATATTATATTATAATATTAATTATATTATATATATTATATTATATATTATTATATTATATATATTATATTATAATATATATTATAATATGATATATTATAATGTATATTATAGCATAAATATAATATAATATATTATATTAGAAATATAAGATAATATAGTATATTATAAATATAATATTATATATTATAATATAAATATAATATTATATATTAATGTATAAACAATATTATATATTGTTATAAATATGATATGATATATTGTTATAAATATAATATTATATATTAATGTATAAACATAATATTATATATTGTTATAAATATAATATTATATATTTTTATAAATATATTATATAGTTATAAATATAATATTATATGTTATGTTACAAATATAATTTAATATATATTACTTAATAAATATATTATAGTACAATATAATATAATATATATGATAATATAGTATATATTATAAACATAATATAATATATATTATAAATATAACATATATTATAAATATATGATATATATTATAAATATAATATATATTATAAATATAATATGATATATATTATAAATATAATATAACATATTATACATTATAAATGTAATATAATATATATTATAAATATAACATATATTATATAATAA